>NC_000012.12:95585128-96210128 GCF_000001405.40 Homo sapiens
CAGACTCTGTCTCAAAAACAAAACAAACAACAAAAAAAACTAAAAACATTTTTCTTAAATATTTGTTAAGTTTCATTTCCCAGAATTGGTTTTCTTTATGGGGTGTGTTTTTATTTTTCCTAGAGGTGATACAAGCAAAAGAGGAAAAAGTAGTCTTGTTAAAGGAAAATGTACATGAGCTTTTCTATCCCTTAATTTTTAGGTTTAAAATTGTATTTCCTTTGTTTTTCCCACCCATGAAAAAAAAACTCACATATTAGACTCTTGATTACAACAGAACATCCTAAGGAAAAGACTTTCTTTAAGAGTTTAATATTAGAAGTCATAGGAGATTATCAAATGGTGAAAAACTAAAACAGAAAGGAAAAAATGTTTTCAGTATTTTTTTTTTGTTTTTGCATTTTTTTTTTTTAAACAATCTTGCTCTGTCGCCAGGCTGGAGTGCAGTGGCACATTCTTGGCTCACTGCAACCTCTGCCTCCTGGGTTCAAGTGATTCTCCTGCCTCAGCCTCCTGAGTAGGTGGGATTACAGGCATGCGCCACCATGCCCAACTAATTTTTGTATTTTTAATAGAGATGGGGTTTCACCATGTTGGCCAGGATGGTCTCCATCTCCTGACCTCAGGTGATCTGCCCGCCTTGGCCTCCCAAAGTGCTGGGATTACAGGCATGAGCCACTGTGCCTAGCCTCAGTATTTGTTTTTTTTTGTTTTGTTTTTTGAGACGGAATCTTGCTCTGTCGCCCAGGCTGGAGTGCGGTGGAGCGATCTCGGCTCACTGCAAGCTCCGCCTCCCGGGTTCACATCATTCTCCTGCCTCAGCCTCCCAAGTAGCTGGGACTACGGGCGCCCACCACCACGCCCGGCTAATTTTTTGTATTTTTAGTAGAGACGGGGTTTCACCGTGTTAGCCAGGATGGTCTTGATCTCCTGACCTCGTGATCCGCCAGGCTTGGCCTCCCAAAGTGCTGGGATTACAGGTGTGAGCCACCATGCCCGGCCAGCCTCAGTATTTGTTTTTTTGCCCTGCCTTCCCATCTGTAAATGTTTTAAAATTTATTTATTTATTTTTTGCTTTTTTTTTTTTTTTTTTTTTTGAGATGGAGTCTCACTCTGTCACCCAGGCTGGAGTGCAGTGGCGTGATCCTGGCTCACTGCAATCTCCACCTCCCAAGTTCAAGCATTTCTCCTGCCTCAGCCTCCTGAGTAGCTGGGATTGCAGGTGTGTGCCACCACACCTGGGTAATTTTTGTAGTTTTAGTAGAGATGGGGGGTTTCACCATGTTGGTCAGGCAGGTCTCAAACTCCCGACCTTGTGATCCACCTGCCTTGGCTTCCCAGAGTGCTGGGATTATAGGAGTGAGCCACTGCACCCAGGCAGACTGCAAGTTTCTTAACCCTGAACACTGAGGGTTTTTTTAACTGTAAAATGGGGATAAAAATAATATCTATCTTGTAAAATTGTTACAAAATTAAGCCCTTGGTATATCAGTGTCTTTTAAATTCATTTTGATTTTTGATTTATTTTTTTTCTTTTTTGAGGCTGGGCGTGGTGGCTAACGCCTGTAATCCCAGCACTTTGGGAAGCCGAGGCAGGCAGATCACTTGAGGTCAGAAATTCAAGACCAGCCTGGCCAACATGGTGAAACCCTGTCTCCTCTAAAAATACAAAAATTAGCCGGGCATGGTGGCGTGTGCCTGTAATCCCAGCTATTGGGAGGTTGAGGCAGGAGAATTGCTCAAATCTGGGAGGCGGAGGTTGCCACCACTGCACTCCAGCCTGGGCGACAAGAGCAAAACTCTGTCTCATAAAACAACAACAACAACAAAAAAAAAAACCCACAAACAAATAAAAAAACAAATCACAAAAATTCAGATACTTTTATATACCCCCTAGATTTGCAAAAATTGGGAAGTCTGACAATATCAAAGTTTGGCCAGGATAGGAAGCAGTAGGAGCTCTCATACACTTCTAGTAGCAGTGGACACTGACACAACACTTTGGAAATTAGTTTGCATTAACAAATGAGGTTGCAGATAAGCATATCCTATGACAATAATTCCACTCCTAAGTATATACTGTGTGCTTATGTTTATTACAGTTTGTGTTTTACAATGTTCATAACAGCATTGTTCATTGTAGCTCCAAAATGGAAACATAAATATCCATTAACTGTACAAGGGAGGAATAAATTGGGGTGTATTTATAAAATGGGGAGGCTGGGCATGGTAGCTCACGCCTGTAATCCTAGCACTTTGGGAGGCTGAGGTGGGAGGGTCACTTGAGCCCAGGAGTTTGAGGCTGCAGTGACCTATGATCACACCACTACTCTCCAGCCTGGGTGACGGGGAGACCCTTTCTCAAAAAAAAAAAAAAATTAATAAAAATGAAATGGAAAATTATACAGAAATGAAAACAAACTACAGCTGCAAGCAATGATGTGAAGCAAAAGAAATAAGAGCATACATACAGTATGATTCCATTAAAGAAATGTCAAAAGTGGGCAAAACTGTATTATTTAAGGATATACTTATGGGGAGTAAAACTGAAGAAAAGGAAGAATATGATAAGGATGAAAGTTAGTGCTGGGTGCAGTGACTCACGCCTGTAATCCCAGCACTTTGGGAGGCCAAGTGGGTGGATCGCTTGAGGTCAGGGGTTCGAGACCAGCCTGGCCAACATGGTGAAACCTCGTCTTTACTAAAAATACAAAAATTAGCCAGGCGTGATGGCAGGTGCCTGCAGTCTCAGCTACTCAAGATATTGAGACAGGGGAATCACTTGAACTTGGGAGGCAGAGGTTGCAGTGAGCCGAGATCGCACCATTGCACTTCAGCCTGGGTGATAGAGTGAAACTCCATCTCAAAAAAAAAAAAAAAGATAAAAAATAAAAGATATTTTCTAGAGTTATGAGGTCAATATTTTGAAATATTTAGAGGAAAAATTAATATCCAAGACTAACTTGTAGTAGGGGTTTATATTTACCTGAAATCCTACAAGGGTAGATTATAGGTAAAATTATAAAATTGACAAAAAAAGCTTTTGGCTCTATGCCCTCTTCCCTTCTGGTTTTATTGTCTTGCCAAAATCCTGCATCTCATTTCTAATTTGTTTAACGAAGGTGATAGCTTAAGGGGTTAATTCTTCCAGGAATTTGTATTTTAAGAGATTTTTTTGAAGGAAACTTAAAGGCTTTATAGACCCCAAATAAAATCTCAGATGATGGAATTTAAGCTATTTTTGAGAAATGTGAGACCATTTTTCACAAGATGGCTTACTTGTAAGGTATTATAAGTAACAAGCAACCACTGCTTGTAGAAGACCAACCAAAGAAGAGATTCCTTCTGGCTAGGCATTGGTTTCTTTTGAAATTGACAAAGATTTAGGGCACTTTGCCTGAAGTTTTTGCTGTGTGAGAGATGAAATCTCTACTAACTCAATGAACTGTAAATAGTGGTAGACACTTTAGCTGCCCATGTATGAAACAGCTTGTCTCAGCTCAGTCAAGTGAAATATAACCAACCACTAAAATATGAAACTTAGAAGTCCTTCATAAAAGAAACTAGAGGCTGGGCACTGTGGCTTATGTCTGTAATCCTAGTGCTTTGGGAGTCTGAGGCAGGAGGATTGCTTGAGGCCAGCCTCTGTGAGACCCCATCTCTACGAAAAATTAAAACAAAACAGAAAACCTTAGCTGGGCATGATGGCATGCCCTTGTAGTCCCAGCTACTTGGGAGGTTGAGGCAGGAGGATCGCTTGAGCTCAGGAGTTTGAGTTACAGTGAGCTACGATCGTGTCATTGCCCTCCAGCCTGAGTGACAGAGAGAGACCAAGAAAGAAGCTGGAAAAATGACTGTTGGCTGGGATGAAATGAGTTTCTTTGACTTATAAAGTGTAAATTTTAAGATCATTACTTTGGCAAAGTTAGAAAAGATATATCTTTATGCAAAAGTACAAGAATAAGACTTCTGTTGAATTTGAAATGCATTCTTTAAACAATTATCCCCAAGATTGAACAGTCTTCTGTAATAGAAATTAGTGGAAAAAAAAAAAAAGAATACTAGAAGTATTTTAGCTAACTGATTTGCTAGGTAATTTGTAGACCTGTACTTGCAGCTAACAGAGTAATTTTAAACAATTTGGACTATATTCTGGCTGTTGAATACCCGAAAGTCATTTGGTGCCAATAATTACTAAGCCACCTCAAAATTGTGGGTAAAAACAATTGCTCCTATATTGGTTTAGATTTTAGCTCAACAATATACATAAGTGATAAAGTATGTAGACACACACACACACACATGCACACGTATTTTCTTGAGAGTTTCAATTAGTTTATTTTCTGAGTAGTCAGGGAAACTTTTTTTTTTGAGATAGAGTCTCACTCTGTTGCCCAGGCTGGAATGCAGTGGCAGCATCTTGGTTCACTGCAACATCTGCCTCCTGGGTTCAAGCAATTCTCATGTCTCAGCCTCCCGCATAGCTGGGATTACAGGCATGCACCACAATGCCCAGCTATTTTTTTGTATTTTTAGTAGAGATGGGAGTTTCATCTTGTTGGCCAGGCTGGTCTCAAACTCCTGACCTCAAGTGATCTGCCCACCTCGGCCTCTGAAAGTAGTGGGATTACAGGCATGAGCCACTGGACCCAGCCAGGAAACCTTCTTTAATAGGTGTTGAAAATAGTCCTTTGAGTATCCTGAGGTATCTTTGTTCTAGGGTGGCCAATCTCATCATCACATTAATAGAAATCTTGTTTTTTATTTCTAGTATCCAGTTTTTATGGAATTCTCACAGATACACAAGGACATGTGTATAAAGATGTTCACTGGAACATTTTAAAAACTAGAAATTGGAGACAAGCTGAAAATATATTATAATGGGAAAGTTGTATTATGGTACAAGGATGCAATGGAATGTAATTCAGTTGTTAAAATGAATGAACTAAATTTATTTATTTATTTTGAGATGGAGTTTTACTCTTGTTGCCCAGGCTGGAGTGCAATGGCACGATCTCCGCTCACTGCAACCTCTGCCTCCCAGGTTCAAGCAATTCTCCTGCCTCAGCCTCCCAAGTAGCTGGGATTACAGGCATGCATCACCACACCCAGCTAATTTTTGTATTTTTAGTAGAGATAGGGTTTCTCCACGTTGGCCAGGCTGGTCTCGATCTCCTGACCTCGTGATCCACCTGCCTCGGCCTCCCAAAGTGCTGGGATTACAGGCGTGAGCCACCGTACCTGGCCCAGAGGAGGTTTTTAATTAATTTGTTTATTTTTGAGACAGGGTTTCACTCTGTTGCCAAGGCTAGAGTATAGTGGCACGATCAGGGCTCACTGCAGGTTTAGGTAAAGCAAGAACGTGGGATCACCAAGGTTGGACTCAGGCAATCCTTTTACTTCGGCCTCCTGAGTAACCACAACTACAGGTGCATGCCACCACGCCTGGCTAATTTTTGTAGTTTTCTTGTAGAGATAAGGTTTTGTTGTGTTACCCAGGCTGGTCTTGAACTCCCGGGCCCAAGCAACCTACCTGCCACAGCCTCCCAAAATGCTGGGATTACGGGTGTGAGCCACCATGCCCAGCCAGCAGAGGAGTATTTAAATAATCAAGCAGATAAGATGCCCTGGTCTGCAGATACCAGTCAGCCTCTTTCCTCAGCCACCCATGTCATCACCTGGTAGGTGCATGAAAATAGTGGCCTTCATGGCAAGGCTGGAGGTAAGCATGGGCTCAGCAGCATAGACTTCTACTTTTCAAGGCTGACAGCTATGGCCACTGCTGAGTGCTCAATCTGCCAGCAGTGGAGACCAACAATGAGTCCCTGATATGGCGCCGTTTCCTGGGGTGATCAGCCAGCCACCTGGTGGTAGGTTGATTACCTTGGACTGCTTCCATCATGGAAGAGGCAGCATTTTACTCTTACTGGAATAGACACTTACTTGGGATATGGCTTTGCCTTCCCTGCATGCAATGCTTCAGCCAAAACTACCATCTGTGGACTTAGAGAATGCCTATTCACACCACCATCATAGTACTTTATACAGCATTGCTTCTGCCCAAAGAACTCACTTCATTTCAAGCAAAGTGTCACAATGGGCCTATGCTCAAGGAATTCTTACCATGTTCTCTATCATTCTGAAGCACTCAGCTTGGTAGAATAGTAGAATGGCTTTTTGAAGACTCAGTTACAGCACCAGCCAGGTGGCAGTACTTTGCAGGGCTGGGACAAGGTTCCCAGGAGGCTGTGCATGCTCTGAATCAGTGTCCAATATATGATGCTGTTCTCCCATAGCCTGAATTCATGAGGCCAGGTATTGAGGGGAGAAAATGGGAGTGGTATCACTCACCATTACCTGTAATGATCCACTGGCCAAATTTTTTATTTCTGTTTCCATGACCTTCTCTGCTGGCCTAGAAATCCTAGTTCCAAAGGGATAAATGCTTCCACTAGGAGACACAATAATGATTTCATTGAACTGGAAGTTAAGACTGCTACCTGACCACTGCAGACACCTCAGACCTCTGAATCAAAAGGCAAAGGAGTTAACTGCGCTGGCTGGGGTAACTGATCCTCACTACCAAGGGGAAAATGGATCACAGTAGAGGTGAGGAGGAGTATGTCTGGAATATGGGAGCTCTTTTAGGGTGTCCCTTAGTATCACTATGTCCTGTGATTAAGGTCAATGGGAAACTACAACAGCTCCATCCAGGCAGGACTACTAATGATCTAGACCCTTCAGGAATGAACGTTTGAGTCACTCCACTAGCTGAAGACCCACAGCCAGCTGAGGTGCTTGCTGAAGGCAAAGGAAATACAGAACAAGTCTTGGAAGAAGGTAGTTATAAATAACAGCTCTGACCATGTGACCAGTTACAGAAATGAGAACTGTGTCATGAGTATTTCTTCCTTACTTTGTTATGAATATGTTTATGCACTTGTGTGTATATATATATATATATATGTATATACGTATATATATACACAACTATCTTTGTTTTCTTCCCCTCTCTTATCCACTTATTATACAGCATAGGATTTATTGACTTTGCATTGTAGAATTTAAGTTACATTGTATCAAGATGAGTGCACATCATCTAAAGGCTTTGCATCCTCTTCTGGGGAGAGGGTTAGTACAATTTCAGTTGTATACAAGGTAGTTGTATCATATTAGGCAGAAGTAAAATCTTGTTACTATCTTTATTTGGAGATTAAGTAGGGTTTGAAGAGATGTCTATGGGTGCCAAATTGACCAGGGGTAGACCTGTGATGGTTAATTTTATGGGTCAACTTGACTAGTGTGTCCAGACGTTTGGACACCAGTCTAGATGTTGCTGTAAAGGTGTATTTTAGATGCGATTAACATTTAAGTCAGTAGGCTTTGAGTAAAGCAGATTGCCTTCCATAATGTGGGTTGTCAAGCAATACATATAGTAAATTTCATTTCTATTAAACACTTATGTTCAAGCATATACACAAATACTCAAGGAAAAAGGTCTGGAAACAATGTACACAAATTATTTCCTTTGGGGAATTAAATGGGAGTTGAGGTAAGGAAAAGGGTCGTATCTTTCCTTTTTTTTTTTTTTCATATTGAACCAGGGTCTCACTCTGTCATCTAGGCTGGAGTGCAGTGGTGCAATCTCAGCTTGGCTCACTGTAGCCTCAACCTCCCGGGTTCAAGTGATCCTCCCACCTCAGCCTCCTGAGTAGCTAGGACTACAGGCACGTGCCACCACACCAAGCTAATTTTTTGTATTCTTTGTAGAGATGGGGTTTCACCATGTTGGCCAGGCTGGTCTCAAACTCCTGGCCTCAAGTGATCCACCTGCCTCAGCCTCCCAAAGTGCCGGAATTATGGGCATGAGCCAGCCACTGCACCTGGCCTCCCTTTTTATTTTTACAATTTCTCTAATTAAAATTCTCCCCTTGCAGTGTATTCTTGCATTTGTTCTTTATTCCTGGGGAAGATACTACTTTTCTATATTTTGATTGTATCTGGATTAAGAATATCAGTTATCACCTTTAGCCTGACAAATTTTCTTTCTCAATATTCACCTACAACTCTATGCTGGAACTAGCACTGTATTCTATGCATCAAAAGCACAGATATTCCATGGCCATCTTTCCTCCAATCTGCAGGCTGTAGAAGTGTGGAGAATAAGACTAAGAATAATGTAGCTTGTTTGAGATTCAGTATTTCATGATGACTAAATTTAGTAACGTAAATTATTAACAATGTGATGTATTTTGTGTGACTACAGATGACCTTTTATTGGTAGTGTACTTGCATTGTTGCAAATTGGGCTCCCCAGCCACAGACTCAGAGCTTAGCATGCAGGATATTTATTAAGGAGTGCCCTTGGGATCTCGACTTGTGGAATGAGGGGGAGGGAAGCAGAGGGATAAATCCAGCTGTGATGCACACCCGCCACAGTCTCAGCCAATCCCACCAGAAGCTCTGAAGCTAGAATAGCCTTTTGGGGTTGTCCCAAGTTGGCCTTAGATGGCCAAGTCTTTCTATTCCCTCATCATCCAGTCGTTGGATATGGGCCACCCTGGAAAGGGTGTGACTTTGGGCAAGGTTGCTCTCTGCTTCTGAGGCAAGCTGGGAAGTGAATATGTGACAGCTGAAGGCTAATCGAGTTGCTAACACAGGGTAAGGCTATCTGCCAACAGAACTAGCAGCTGGGTAACACGTCCTTCATTGAAGACGCCTCTGAGTGGTTATCACAATGCCTACCTCACGCACTGTTCTTATTTTTGGGATCAGCTTCTCAGAGTTTAAAACCATTATGTGTCTTTTATTTCTCTTCAAAATTGATGTAGTGTGTATCAGTATGATAATTCGATGAGAAAATGTGAAATACTTATGGTTTATTAAATGTTAGCTATCATTATTATAATTATTAATATTATTCTCATTTAGCAGATGTCTTGAAAAGACCTGGTATTGTTTCCCAAGCTTTGTTTTTATTAAGCATGCTTAATAAAAACAAAGCTTGGGAAACAGTTCTGATACTAGTTGAAAAGAATATTATTACATTTCTGTTGTACATACAGTATGTCGAGTTGGCCCTGAAAAAGTTTCAAATTTGGGGTTGTTTTCCTGTAGTATGAGTGCTAATCCCTTTACACATGATAATGAACATTTTAATCTTCCCTTTTTCTTTTATGAGATCGAATTCAGTGTCATTCAATGATTCCTAAGGAACTCTCTTTCCCAGCTTATTAAGGGAAAAGCCAGGCTGAGGCTTTTAATTCATCCCCCTGACAAATGTAACACCATCAGAAGTCCTAATATTAAATAAAAACTTGGTTCCTGCTCTAGGAAGAATAATCATGTGAGACTATGTTGTTATTGCTGTTGACATTTGGTTTTGTATTTGACTGCTATGCTGCTGAAAAATATCTGTTAACTAGGAAAATGATACTAATATGAATAATAGAGGTTAGCACTTATTGAGCTCTGTACTAAGTATTTTACCTGTGTTATGTCATTTAAGTATCTTCTCAGTCTTAAGAGGCTGATAAATTTTTTTTTTTTTTTTTTTTTTTTTTTTTTTGAGGTAAGAGTCTCACACTGTCACTCAGGCTGGAGTGCAGTGGCACAATCTGGGCTCACTGCAACCTCTGTCTCCCGAGTTCAAGCAATTCTCGTGCCTCAGCCTCCTGAGTAGCTGGGATTACAGGCTCCTGTCACCATGCCCGGGTAATTTTTGTATTTCTAGTAGAGACGGGGTTTCACCATGTTGGCCAAGCTGGTCTCGAACTCCTGACCTCAGGTGATCTGCCCTCCTCGGCCTCCCAAAGTGCTGGGATTATAGGCGCAAGCCACTGTGCCCGGCTGAGGCTAATAATATTATTGATCTTCTTTTACAGATGATAAAACTGTGGCTCAGAGGGGGAGGTTGCTTAAGGTCAAACATCTAGTAAGTGCAGAGCAGGAATGAGAACCCAGGTTAATTGGACTGCAAGATTCATGCCTCTATCCATTCCATTTTATTGACATTAAGGACTGATTTGAATACATTCCTTTCAAATGGTCAATCAAGTCTTTATTAAAAACATACTGTGAGCCCAGCACAGCCAGGGTTGGGGGAATAAAAAAATTATAAGCGTTTTCTGTGCATTTAATCTAGCTGAGGGATCACAAGATTATCAAGAGGAATGTTTCCTAAACCTTAGTTAGTTATTCACCATTTTTCTGTCGTCGTTGTATTTGTGTACCACATGAAGTGTTACTTCCCCCTTTCTGAATTCTCTCATCTCCTAAACTTCACTTGTACACTCAGATCTCTCAACTGTGTTTAACAAAAGCTGAAAAAAAATGCAGATAGTTTTTCATTTATCTTTTATACCTCCTTGAAAGACGATTTAATACTTTGGTTAGTACAATTAGAAATTAATGTATTAGTGGTAATTTACTTCACTACTGTATCATCCTTCTAAGCAATTCCACAATTCTTCCATTTTCTTATTATTTTAGTTTTAAAAAAAATCATAGTTAAGAAAAGCTGATCAGAAATGGTGAACAAATTCCTAGGATAATGAAACAGCAAAATATTTCAAAATGTGAGAAAAACAAGATCACTAACATCTCATAATTTATCTTAGCTTTTATAAGGGTCCAGTTGACGCATATGGCAATTGCAAAATAGAATACGTTTTAGCCTATTAAAAACAAAGAAATAATTTAATTGCACATTTAAAAATAACAAAGAGAGTATCATTGCATTGTTTGTAACACAAAGGATAAATGCTTGGTGATGGATACCCCATTTACCCTGATGTGATTGTTATGCTTTGCATGTCTGTATCAAAATAGCTCACATACCCCATAAGTATTTATGTCTGCTGTGTACCCACAAATATTAAAAATAAAATAATAAGAGAAAATTAAATTCAAAAACAAAGAGCAAAATTTGTCTTTGTTTTTTGAAGAACTCTAAGATAAAACCAAAGTCAATCTTCCCAGAGGAAGATCCTTATGAAAAAGTCAATCCTTACAAATAGAACAGCTCAAAAAATAAATTTATTTTATGTTATTTTTTATTTTTTGAGACGGAGTATCGCCATGTCACCCAAGCTGGAGTGCAGTGGTGGCAACCTCCGCCTCCCAGATTTGAGCAATTCTCCTGCCTCAACCTCCCAATAGCTGGGATTACAGGCACACGCCACCATGCCCGGCTAATTTTTGTATTTTTAGAGGAGACAGGGTTTCACCATGTTGGCCAGGCTGGTCTTGAATTTCTGACCTCAAGTGATCTGCCTGCCTCGGCTTCCCAAAGTGCTGGGATTACAGGCGTTAGCCACCACGCCCAGCCTCAAAAAAGAAAAAAAATAAATCAAAAATCAAAATGAATTTAAAAGACACTGATATACCAAGGGCTTAATTTTGTAACAATTTTACAAGATAGATATTATTTTTATCCCCATTTTACAGTTAAAAAAACCCTCGGTGTTCAGGGTTAAGAAACTTGCAGTCTGCCTGGGTGCAGTGGCTCACTCCTATAATCCCAGCACTCTGGGAAGCCAAGGCAGGTGGATCACAAGGTCAGGAGTTTGAGACCTGCCTGACCAACATGGTGAAACCCCCCATCTCTACTAAAACTACAAAAATTACCCAGGTGTGGTGGCACACACCTGCAATCCCAGCTACTCAGGAGGCTGAGGCAGGAGAAATGCTTGAACTTGGGAGGTGGAGATTGCAGTGAGCCAGGATCACGCCACTGCACTCCAGCCTGGGTGACAGAGCGAGACTCCATCTCAAAAAAAAAAAAAAAAAAAAAAGCAAAAAAACAAACAAAAAACCCCTTGCAGCCAGTCCAACCCCAGAGCCCATGCTCATAATTACTTACTATTCAATCTCCCCAGATAAATTAGTCCTCCTATTTTTTTTTTTTTTTGATACAGATTCTCCCTGTTGTTGGCTGGGCTGGAGTGCAATGGCACGATCTTGGCTCACTACACCTCCGCCTCCTGGGTTCCAGCAATTCTCCTGCCTCAGTCTCCCGAGTAGCTGGGATTACAGGCGCCCACCACCACGCCTGGCTAATTTTTGTATTTTTGGTAGAGATGGAGTTTCACCATGTTAGCCAGGTTGGTCTTGAGCTCCTGACCTCAGGTGATCCACCTGCCTCAGCATCCCAAAGTGCTGGGATTACAAGTGTGAGCCACCGTACCCGGCCAGTCCTCCTATTTTCATCACTTATGTTATCCTACAGTTTTCCTTAAAAAACTATATAGTGAGATATATATATATACACACACACATATACACACACACGTGTATATATATATATACATGTATATATACACACACACATACATGTATGTTTTATATATATATATGTAGCTGGGATTACAGGCTCCTGCTACCATGCCTGGGTAATTTTTATATTTTTAGTAGAGACGGGGTTTCACCATGTTGGCCAGGCTGGTCTTGAACTCCTGACCTCAGGTGATCTGCCCAAAGTGCTGAGATTATAGGCGTGAACCATTGCGCCCAAGTAGCTGGGATTACAAGCTTTTTTTTTTTTTTTTTTAAATTATACTTTAAGTTCTAGGGTACGTGTGTACAACGTGCAGGTTTGTTACATATGTATACATGCGCCATGTTGGTGTGCTGCACCCATTAACTCGTCATTTACATTAGGTATATCTCCTAATGCTATCCCTCCCCCTCCCCCAACCCCATGACAGGCCCCGGTGTGTGATGTTCCCCTTCCTGTGTCCAAATGTTCTCATTGTTCAATTCCCACCTATGAGTGAGAACATGCGGTGTTTCGTTTTTTGTCCTTGCGATAGTTTGCTGAGAATGATGGTTTCTAGCTTCATCCATGTCCCTACAAAGGACATAAACTCATCATTTTTTATGGCTGCATAGTATCCCATGGTGTATATGTGCCACATTTTCTTAATCCAGTCTATCATTGATGGACATTTGGGTTGGTTCCAAGTCTTTGCTACTGTGAATAGTGCCGCAATAAACATAGGTGTGCATGTGTCTTTATAGCAGCATGATTTATAATCCTTTGGGTATAAACCCAATAATGGGATGGCTGGGTTAAATGGTATTTCTAGTTCTAGATCCTTGAGGAATCGCCACACTGTCTTCCACAAAGGTTTAGGAACACTTTTACACTGTTGGTGGGGCTTTTTTTTTTTTTTTTGAAACTATACTATAAGAACACTATGTTTGTTTTGCTGGCCACAGTATCTCATTGCATATAGCACAGTACCTGGCACAGAGTCAATGCACAGTAAATATCAATTAAGCTAAATACTTGGACAATTATTTAATCATTATGCTTAGCATCTAATCAGTTACCATGGGCAAAAGTAACAAAATGCTTTATTTGTTGAGTACATACTCTGTCGATAGCAAGTTGTAGGCTCTGAGATAAGAAGATCAAGACATGATCTTTGCCTTCAAGGAACCTCCAATCCTCAGTGGGGTTTAGGGCAGGGACAAGGACAAGGGCATAAAAGGATTAATAATAATGCAGGTGGGCAGGTGTAGACACCTGACTATAGATAGTGTCACCACTTTCTAGGAACTTCACAGCTTCATAAAAGAGTCATCATGGAGGCTTCCATTCTTTGAAGGGCAGAGAATGCTTTCATATATATATATATACTTTTTTTTTTTTTTTTTTTTTTTGAGAGACAGTCTTGTTCTGTTGCCAGGCTGGAGTGCAGTGGCACGATCTCGGCTCACTGCAACCTCTGCCTCCTGGGTTCAGGCGATCTCCTGCCTCAGCCTCCCAAGTAGCTGGGACTACAGGTGCCCGCTACCATGCCCAGCTAATTTTTGTATTTTTAGTAGAGGTGGGATTTCACCATGTTGGCCAGGATGTTCTCAGTCTCTTGACCTCGTGATCCACCCGCCTCGACCTCCCAAAGTGCTGGGATTACAGGCGTGAGCCACCGCGCCCGGCCTCTTCCCTATATATTTAACTGTAACTTCTCTTAAGCATTTTTATTTTTTAATTTTTATTTACTTATTTATTTTTTGAGACAGGGTCTCACTCTGCCTGCCCATGCTGGAGTGCAGCGGTGTGATCTTGGCTCACTGCAACCTGCACCTCCCAGATTCAAGTGATTCTCCCGCCTCAACCACCCAAGAAGCTGCAATTACAGGCACACACCACCACACCAGGCTAAATTTTGTATTTTTAGTAGAGACAGAATTTCACCATGTTGGCCAGGTTGGTCTCAAACTCCTGGGCTGAAGTGATTCTCCCGCCTTGGCCTCCCAAAGTGCTGGGATTACAGGTGTGAGTCACTGTGCCTAGCCTCTTACAGATTTTTAGAAAGAAAGTTTTATATTCTCCTCTTTCTGATCTATCATTTTTTCCAGGAAATTCTTTCAACCTAAATCTTATATAATCAATTTCTGTTCTTAGAGAATAGGAATTGATAGTGAATATTCATCTACAGGCTTTGAGGATCATTATTAAGTTACTTTCCAGTGACTTAATTTTTAATTCACTTAATTATTAAGTCACTCTACAGGCTATACAATTTTATTTTATTATTATTATTATTATTATTATTATTATTTTGAAGATGGGGACAGGGTTTTGCTCTGTTGCCAGGCTGGAATGTAGTGGTGTGATCTCAGCTCACTGCATCCTCCAAGTCCCAGGCTCAAGTGATCCTCCCCCCTCAGCCTCCTACATAGCTGGGACTATAGGCATGCACTACCATGCCAGGCTATACAATTTTACTTTTTAAAAAATTTTCAGCCAGGTGCAGTGGCTCATGCCTGTAATCCTAGCACTTTGGGAGGCTGAGGTGGGCAGATTGCATGAGCTCAGGAGTTTGAGACCAGCCTGCGCAACATAGTGAGACCCCATCTCTACTAAAATACAGAAAATTAGCTGGGCGAGGTAGTGCAGGCCTGTAGTTCCAGCTACGCGGAGGCTGAGGTGGGAGGATCACTAGAACCAGGGAGACAAAGTTGGCAGTGAGCCAGGATTGTGCCACTGCACTCCAGCCTGGACAACAGAGTCTTGCTCTGTCGTCAAAAAAATAAAAATAATAATAATAATTCATTCTGTTTTCTTTTCCTATCTTTCAGTCATAATCATTTCTCTCTTCTACCTTATCTCCAAGATTTCCAGGTTTCTTTTACATTGTGAAGCTGAGATTTGATCATGTTCCTTGTAATAGGATTATTTTTACTATTTCTGCTGACTTTCCTTTTTCTCCTTTTTTTAAAGAAAATAATTTTTATTATAAAATTTTCCTGTAATTGACAGTAGCATATAATTAACTTTGCACAAGTCATATCCCCTCTGCAGCAGATTGAACCACATCTCCTGATATTCATAACCCTCTGCAGTCTTCTCTTGAATCTGGGCTGGCCGTGAGGCCTGCTTTAACCAACAGAACACAGAGGAAGGCTTAAGCCTTAAGAAGACCTAGCAGCTTTCTCGGGGAAGCCAGCTGCCATGTAATATGTCCATCCTAAGACCGCCATGCTGTGAGCAGTTGTCCTCCACATGGCCTCTCCACGAGCCCAACCTAGCCACACGGAGAAGCCATGTGGTGGAGAACAAAGTCCCTGGCCAACAGCCTCAGCCGATCTTCCAACGGACAGCTAGCACCCACTGGCCTGGCTATGAATGAGGCCATCTTGGAAGTAGATTGTCTAGTCATAGTTGCGCCATCCCAGCTGCTGCCATGTGGAGCAGTGACAAGCTCTCCTTGCCAAGCCCTGCACAAATTGAAGAATTGTGAACAAATCATTTCTTTAAGACAGTATTTTTTGGAGTAATTTGTGAAATACCCAGAAATAATTGAAACACTCTCTCTGGGCGAGGCTTTCTTTTTTTCACCTGTAAAGTGAATTAGTTGGACAAGTTAATCTCTACCTCTTATAACCTATTAGAGTGTAGTCTGTGTTGTTCCATTGCTGCTCAACTTCTGCCCACAACCTGATACTGGTCCTGTATCTTCTTATTTGATACTAACTTGTGACTAGGCTTGTTGAAATTTATTGTCTTTTTCTCCCCTTTAGATTAAGTCTCTAACTCGCCAGAATCATTTTAAATCGGTATTTTAGGTGCTGATTTCCATCCTACAGTGTGTTAATACTGCTCCCAGCTTGGTGATGTGTCCACTTTATGAGCTTGCCTTCTCCTCCATCATTTCCTTCAGAAATCTCACAGCTGTGTTCTCACAGCTGGACTGGCAGATTCGCTGTCCTTTTTGGCCCTCAGAAAATCTTATTGGCATAGTTTCTAGGATTCAAAACTCTGAAACTTGCCTTTCCGACCCATTTTGCTGTTTCTGGCTCAAGCATATTCCCAAATTGGTCTCTTTTTCCAAGATATAGCATGCCCATTCCTGTGAATTTCTTGTGAATAACATGTGCTATTAGGAAGTTAATGAGAAAAATACTTTTCTTTTTTGGTGGAGTCTTGGCTCAGAATATTCCTGAAGTAATCATCATCAATTAACTATGCCTCAAGACTTCTGTGATAGGGATGTAAAGCCAATAATTCTTTTTTACATCACGTTGAATTCATGTCTCAGAATATTGCAGCACATCTGTTCTTGAGCTGAATTTATTCCAGAAGGAACATGTTTCCTAATAAATATTGTCCAGTCATTTTTGAAGGACCTTTAAGCTCGGAGAGCATTAAAGTAATTGATTCTCAGCATTTTTCAAACTACTTTCAGGTTTAGCCACTGCTGGCCATCTGTTTATTCAGTTTAGAAGGAGTTCCAAACATAGCCTAGAGTCATCATGAGTAATCTTAACAGGCTCACTGGAGCATATGCCATAACTCCCATCTTCCTAGGATTTCAAAAAATGCTGTTGAAAAGAACTGCATGCCTTTTAGGGCCCACCTCTCCTTTCTTGCAGATGATAGACTATCTAGGAGCTAAACATGTTACCTGACGCAACAACAAAATAGAAGCGTTGATCTATGGGGCAGGCAGACTGTAAGGTTCACGCAACACAAATTCCCATGGTGCAAGGTTACTAGTTCTAGGGCAGAAGGCCACTGTTTTTCCAACTCACCCCTCAACCCACTCCAATTGGAAAAGCACTCATTGTCACAGGCCCCTTAAACATTTGCCTAAACACTTTCTGGGGTAATATGATTTACCCCAGAGATCATGACTCTGTGCTTTCCTACGTAGTGGGTCTTTTTTTGTTTTTTGTTCAGCATCCTTTCTCTTCAGAAGTGTCTTTCCTCTACATCCTGTGATTCTGATGGGCTACAATTCCCAGGCTTCACTTATTTCACTATAGTAACAGCACATGATCCAGGCTTGACCAGTCATGGTAACTTCTTCGTCTGGACACCGGTATTGGTTCAGGTTGGCAATTGATCCAAGCAGGGCCAATCAGAGACTTGGCTGAACTGATAGATGGATGATGGTGGAAGATTCCTCTGCAGAAGATGCTACATTAGAATGCAGCATGCAACCACACATAGTAATTGTCCTAAGCCACATGGAGTCTGCCTTATATTAAGAGAAAACTAGGCTGGGCGCAGTGGCTCATGCCTGTAATCCCAGCACTTTGGGAGGCTGAGGCGGGTGGATCATGAGTTCAGGAGATTGAGACCATCCTGGCTAATACAGTGAAACCCCGTCTCTACTAAAAATACAAAAAATTAGCCGGGCGTGGTGGTGGGCACCTGTAGTCCCAGCTACACGGGAGGCTGAGACAGGAGAATGGCGTGAACCCAGGAGGCGGAGCTTGCTATGAGCTGAGATCGCGCCACTGCAATTCCAGCCTGGGCGACACAGTGAGACTCCGTATCAAAAATAAATAAATAAATAAATAAATAAATAAATAAATAAATAAATAGAAAACTAACACATGGGAGCCGAGTGGAAACAGAGAAGATGAGAAGTGCCAATGTTGGTCTGACCCCTGGATACAGCTATATTTGAACTTCTAAGATATTCATTTACTTTTTTACTTTAGCGCATTTAAGTTGTGTTTGTCTCATTTGCAATCCAAGAGTCATCATTAACAGCAACGTAGTCTTTAAGAAAAATGTATGCAACCTTAAAAATAGCTTCCTTCTTAGAAATGTAAATCACAGTTGTTGAAACTTTAGAACAGGTTTTCATATAATTTGGTAATTTTTTGGAAGGTGAGAATTTTTTAGAGGCGAGAGTGGTTTCCTTAATCCAGGCAGGTGGTGCCTTGTCTGACAAGATTCTCCATCCAAATCTTTCAAAAAAATGTATTGTGACCTACTGGGAAGTTTTAGTTCAGGGAATAGAGTTGTTGCTTCACTCTGTCCCAAAATATTAGGAATACAGGACCCAAGGAAATAACTGAAATGAAGGAACTGTGGCCCATGTATCTCTTTAGGAATGCCTGTTGATTTTAAGATCTACTGACGATATGATGGATGAATCCACTGAGCTTAAGCTATTTTCTGTTGGGTGTGTTGGGAGAAGTGAAAAGGACGCTTTAAGCACAGACAATCAGTAGTTTCATTTTTAGTTTGTCTCTCACTCCAAGCTTTGTAATTAAGCATTTTTATCTTTACAAAGCCCACTGGCATCATCCGCTTTAAGATTTTCTAAGATGTTTCGGAATGTCTCCTTCTTCCTACTTCTTCCCTTTCCTCCTTTTTACTTTAATTTTGTCTTTTCACTTTGATTTTGTCTTTTCACTTTGATAAGTGATTTTCAGTTTAAATTTTATCTGTATTTTATATTTTAAGTTATGTTAAACATATTTTGGAGGTACACCAAATACACACATACATACTAGATAGGGCTGGAGACTTCTGGCAAACTAGGTGGAAATATTGATGAAATTATGCGTTGCATTTGGACTCAACTTTATCCTCTAAAAATCAACAAGCACATTAGAGAACTTAGTAAAATTGATCCTTTTGATAAGTATACTATATTATTATTGAGCAGCTGTGTGTAAGGAATTATGCCAAATATTGAGAATGAGAAGAAGAAAATGATTTGATTCTCTGCCCTTGAGGAATCTATGATGGGAAACAGATTCAATGTCCCAGAAAGGCAGAAGGAATGCTTCTTCTATTAGGCTCACATTACACCTGTCTTGATTATAGCATATATCATAATTATTTCTTTAGGTATTCATGTCTTCCTTTGGAATAAAAACTCTATGTTGAGCCAATTGGCTGTCTTCTTCATTTTTATATTCTCTGTGCCTAATATTGTCCCTGACACAGTAGTTATGTTTTTATTTTTTTGAGATAGGATCTTATTCTGTTGCCCAGGCTGAAGTGCAGTGGTGTGATCTTGGCTCACTGTAGCCTCGACCTCCTTGGCTCAAGAAATCCTCCCACTTCAGCCTCCCGAATAGCTGGGACCACGGGCTTGTGCCACCACACCTGGCTAGTTTTTATATTTTTTATAGAGACAGTGTTTTGTCATATTGCCCAGGCTAGTCTCAAATGCCTGAGCTCGAGTAATCTGCTTGCCTCAGCTTCCCAAAGGGCTGGGATTACAGGCGTGAGCCACTGTGCCCAGCAGTAGTTACTTAATAAAAGCTTGATGTCGATGCAGTTAATGGAATGTGCAACTCAAACTGACTTTAAAAATGAGGAAGTCTGCCAGGCGCAGTGGCTCACGCCTGTAATCCCAGCACTTTGGGAGGCCAAGGCGGGCAGATCACGAGGTCAGGAGTTTGAGACCAGCCTGACCAACATGGTGAAACCCCGTCTCTACTAAAAATGAAAAAATTAACTGGGCATGGTGGCAGGCACCTGTAATCCCAGCTACTCAGGAGGCTGAGACAGGAGAATCTCTTGAACCCGGGAGGCACATGTTACAGTGAGCCGAGATGGCACCACTGCACTCCAGCCTGGGTGACAGAACAAGACTCTGTCTCTAAAAAATAAATAAAATAAGAAGGATGTAGTTTCCAATACTGACCCAGATGCTGCTATAGAGAATAATGGACACAAAAGATCCTCCCAGACAACAGAATTGGGGGTGATCATGTGGGTCAACCAAGGAACTTACTCTCTGCCAGGACAGGGAATCTTTGCAGCTTCTGCTCATTAGGATTTTACAGTTGCTGAGGATGAGTGACAGCTGTATGTTTCCCATTCTTCCCTTGTCTGACCTGGAGTTTTACTTGTGGTTATCCTGTCTTTGTCACAGAAGTGGAGAGTGGATGTTTAGTAGATGAGTCACTTCTCCAAAAGGAACCACATCCAAACTCGATGGAGAGGTCTTGGACTCTGCGAGGTAACTGGGTAGGACTTTGGATTGGTTTCCTTGGGAAGGAGATGAATGTGTTCTTATGTCTCAGAAGGGTATGCATTGATTCTTGGGTGGCCAGAAAGGTGGTCTATAGAACCTGCTAATTGGCCTCTGATATCCGTTCTCTCAATCTCTCTCTCTCTCTCTTTTTTTTTTTTTTAATTTGAGACAGTCTTGCTGTGTTGCCTAGGCTGGAGTGCAGTGGTGTGATCGTGGCTCAGTGCAACCTCTGCCTCCTGGGTTCAAGGGATTCTCATGTCTCAGCCTCCCAACTAACTGGGACTACAGGCATGTGCCACCATGCCCGCCTAATTTTTGTATTTTTAGTAGAGAGGGGGCTCACCATGTTGGCCAGGCTGATCTTGAACTCCTGGCCTCAAGTGATCTGGCCTCAGCCTCCCAAGTGCTGGGATTACAGGTGTGAGCCACTGCGCCTGGCCCCAGCTAATTTTTTAATTTTTGTAGAGGTGGGGTTTTGCCATGTTACCCAGGCTGATCTGGAACTCCTCAAGCAATCCACCCACCTCGGTCTCCTAAAGTTCTGGGATTATGGTGTGAGCCACCATGCCCAGCCAAGTAAACATTTTCTTAGAGCCAGATAGGAAATATTTTGCCATGAAAGTCATAGGGTCTCTGTCCCAGTGACTCAATTCTGACCTTGTAGCTCCAAAGCAGCCATTGACAAGACTTCTACAATGGATGTGGCCGTATTCCAGTAAAATTTTATTTGCCAAAACCGGTGCCTGCTAACTATAGTTTGTTTATCTCTGTATCTCTGCTCTGGTGGAACAATAACATTCATGAACTCTGGTTCTCTGGATGCCCTGGAAAGAGAACTGCCCTACATTCCAGATCACCTACTAACTCAGATGTCTATGTGAAGGAAAAATAAGGCGTTTTGTTTTTGTTTTTTTTTGTTTGTTTTGTTTTTTGTTTTTGACAGGATCTCACACTGTTGTCCAGGCTGGAGTGCAGTGGCAGGATCATAGCCCACCGTAGCCTCAACCTCCCTTGGCTCAGGTGATCCTCCCACCTCAGCTTCCCAAGTAGGTGGGACTACAGGCATATGCCACCATGCCTGGCTGATTTTTTATTTTAAAAATTTTTTGTAGAGACAGTGTATCACCATGTTGCCCAGGCTGGTCTTGAACTCCTGGGCTCAAGCAGTCTTCCTTTCTCAGCCTCCTCAAGTGCTGGGATTACAGGCATGAGCCACTGTGCCCAGCCTGAGAAATAAGTTTTTAACTCTTATGTAAGTCACTGTTATTTTGGATTCTGTTAAGGTGTTCAAACCAATATCGTAATGCAACTGTATCTTCTGGTGAGAAGTATCTAAATATGGATGATCACAGTTCCCTGGGAGTGTTATTACTTTATTTTAGTCACTAATCTAGTTCTAGAAAAAAGAGTGATGATTGGGAAACTCATCTTTTCAAAATCCTGTAGCAAGTCTGACATGGTACTGATGTGGCACTATATCCCTTGATTCTGAAGATGCCAGTTGGAAGCAGCAACCAAAGATAACGTTTCTTTGCTTTTGTTGTTAACCTGAAGTCATTGTAAAGAAGTTGAATGACCTCTTGACATTTAGGAGATGTTAAATGACCTCAGAGCCAGTTTTTCACTAGTAAGGATATAATAAATAACTTGAATTTCACTAAATGCAAGTTAGTTGCAGGTTCCAACCTGCAATTCTGGTTAAACATAAATATCCTAAAGGCAGTATACTTGTAAAGAAAATTTCCATATATTGCATAACGTATTCACACTTTGCCCATCATTCAAGGCATTGCATGTGCTATTGTCAACTTCCCTAACCACCTTTTAAATTTATCATCAACATAAAATTAAGAAGAATAGTGAAATTCTTTTCATATTGATGACAGTCCACTATTTTCTACAGAGCAAGATAATCAAAACAAAATAATTGGTCATTTTGAAGAAGAAATTTACTGAATGAAGCAGTTGGAAAGAATGGATTACAGTTGTTTTTGAGAAAGTTTACATTAATTGTTCACATTAAAAATATATCTTCCAAGTATCTTCTCTGCTTTCCTTAGTCGTTTTAGCAAAGGCATCTGTGTTTATTTATTTACCTAATAAGTAGTTATTCTCTAAATTCTTACCTCTAAGTTCTCTAACTTATTCTTTAAGTTCTTGTCTCTAAGAACATTTATTTACCTAATTATTTATTCATTTACCTAATGTCATCTTTTGGTCCCATAATTTTAAATAAGTGCAAAGTGATGTTTATACTGCCAGTTTGGAGTTTTGCAGTAGCAGGTGTGATTGTCTTATAAAACTCTTTTGATATAGCCAATGTCATGTTCCTTATTCGTGTGTTATTTTCGAAATGTATTCAAGGCAGCACCCCCGAGACAGCTGTGACAATAATGCCCCCCCCCCCATGACAACAGAGGAACTGTGCCAAAGCTCAGCAAAACAAAATTTACTTGGCAGGGGAGAGAGTTTAGAGGCTTTTCACAGCTCTTTGGAAATGCTAATAAGGTCTCAACCTTGAACCATGTTTGCTTTTTATCTGGGAAACCCTTTCCAGTTACAATAGCATTGATATACTAAGAGATTCCAAGTTAGGAGTTTATACAGTAGGTTTATGAGACAGGTAATCCAAAAGTCAGGTGCTCCCTCTTCGCTTGGAAGAACAGTGCATTTTGGGACATTTTAAAGCACATTGTCAACTTCTTTGGCCTTTTTTTTTTTTTTTTTTTTTTTTTTTTGAGTTGGAGTCTTTACTCTGTCGCCCAGGCTGGAGCGCAATGGCGCGATCTCGGCTCACTACTACAACCTCTGCTTCCTGGATTCAAGTGATTCTCCTGCCTCAACTTCCTGAGTAGCTGGGATTACAGGTGCGTGCCACCATGCCCAGCTAATTTTTATATTTTTAGTAGAGATGGGGTTCTACCGTGTTGGTCAGGCTGGCCTCGAACTCCTGACCTCGTGATCCACCCACCTCGGCCTCTCAAAGTGCTGGGATTACAAACGTGAGCCACCGCATCTGGCCGGCTCCTTTAACCACTACTTATAACAGGCTCACAGCCTCAAGGTTGGCAGGCTTTACCGCCAGGCGTAATGTTGTGTTAATGTGGGTGAAGTACATTTGCAATGTGCAAATAGTTGACTCACAGCTCTAATTTTGTTCTTCTGAGTAGCTCTTTTAAGCTTCCCTGCCCTTTTTGTCTTATGTTGCTTAGATGACTGGAGAAAAATATTATTATCTGATGGCTCAATTTAAAGACCCACGATTAAACCAACTGAGCTCAGCCTTCACACTCACACCTACCTTTCAATATCTGGCACTAATCTTTTAAATACCTTGTCAGAGGAATACTGTTTCCTGGGTGTGTTCAAACTAGTCATGTTGTTATGTCCCAAAAACAGTGGGATCCTTTTCAGACGAAAAACACATGAAGGCTCAAAGCCAAGCTGCTGCGTAAAAGCTTTCCCTTTCCTTCCTCTGACCCATCCTCTTTGGAATAATTAGATGAATGGTGCTTTTTTCTGTGATTTATCTGTGTTTTTAAAGGCAAAACTCCCATGAAGAGATGGGCTATTAAGAATTCTCACAGTTGGCTGGGCATAGTGGCTCACGCCTGTAATCCCAGCTCTTCTGGAGGCTGAGGAGGGTGGATTGCTTGAGATCAGGAGTTCAAGACCAGCCTGGCCAACATGGTGAAACTCCCGTCTCTACTAAAAATCCAAAATAGCCAGGCTTGGTGGCAGGCGTCTGTAATCCCAGCTACTCAGGAGGCTGAGGCAGGAGGATGGCTTGAACCTGGGAGGTGGAGGTTGCAGTGAGCCAAGATTTTGCCGCTGCACTCCAGCCTGGGCAATGGAGCAAGACTGTCTCAAACGGACAAACCAAAAAAGGATTCCCACAGTGAACACTTTCAACTATTTGTTTGAAAATTTTTATTCCTCTTTTGCTGTGTCTAAAAGACTAAGAATCTTGAGGAGTTATGTATAAAAAGCTCTAACTCTCCTTTTGATAATTTTTAGAGTTAGTAATTTATAGCCTAAAGAATTATATAAGGCTGGGCACAGTGGCTCACACCTGTAATCCCAGCACTTTGGGAGGCTGAGGTGGGCCGATCACTTGAGGTCAGCAGTTTGAGAACAGCCTGACCAACATGGTGAAACCCCATTTCTACAAAAAACAAAACAAAAACAAAAACAAAATTAGCCGGATATGGTGGCACATGCCTGTAATTCCAGCTACTTGGTAGGCTGAGACAGGAGGGAGGCAGAGGTTGCAGTGAGCAAAGATCGCACTACTGCACTCCAGTTTGGGCAACAAGAGTGAAACTTTGTCTCAAAAAAAAGAATATATAAGGTGACATCATTTAGTATAAACACAGATAATATAGGATCTTGGAAAATATGAGTCGTATCAGTACTTAGCAGCAATCAGGTCATTTACTAGTTATGAGTAATTGACTCAAAATGTATCTTTTTCTACAAAAGAAACATTATTATTATGAGTAGGCTGCTTAGCATGCATATTATCATTTATTTAGTACTGAATGTCATAGTGTCTTTCTTTTTATTATTCTCATGTTTCTAAAGCAATAAGAAAAACAGATGGGATAGGCCGGGCGCAGTGGCTCACGCCTGTAATCCCAGCACTTTGGGAGGCCGAGGCGGGCGGATCACGAGGTCAGGAAATTGAGACCATCCTGGCTAACACGGTGAAACCCCGTCTCTACTAAAAATACAAAAAAAATTAGCCGGGCGTGGTGTCAGGCGCCTGTAGTCCCAGCTACTTGGGAGGCTGAGGCAGGAGAATGGCGTGAACCCGGGAGGCGGAGCTTGCAGTGAGCCGAGATCGCGCCACTGCACTCATGACTGGGCAACAGAGCGAGACTCTGTCTCAAAAAAAAAAAAAAAAAAGCAGATGGGATAAAAACAACAGAAGAATATTATCCATGTGTTTATGCAAATAACATGGCTTAAACATTTTGTGATAGCTAAGTTAGTGCTCTGAATAATAATTTGTATGCACTGAGTAGTCAAAATTTAAAAATGTGGAAACTTACATTTACACTGATTTCAAATTAAATTGATTTAGGAACCAAAGTATACTTTCATGATGAAATTATTTTTTAGTGTTTCAACAACTATACCTACCGTTTTTTTCACCCTTTTCTTTTAAAATAAAAATATATGTGTGCATATGTATTTAAATAAAATAATGCTTATTATAGAAAATTTGGAAAAAAAAAAACCCTGAAATTGCATCAGATAATTACTTCTGATAATTAGAACATTTTGACATCAAAATCAGCATAAACTCACGTTTTACTATCTGCTCTTCCTCCCACCATATGTTGATATTTTATACATTTTATTATTTCTTTAAATATTATTTGCTTACATGATTTTGAAGCTTAATCAAATGAACATACCACAATTTATTAAACAAAATTTCTATTGTTGGACATTCAGATTGGGTTCAACTTTTTCTTTTTATAGTAACATTCAGCAGAACACCATTGAACATAAATCTTTGAATGCATGTTGATTATTTCCTTAGGATAAACCCCTAAATCTAAGATTACGGCGACCAGAGTTACTTCAATTTTAACTGGTGAAATAATTTAAAAATTGTTATTTTCTTCTTCTTCTTTCTTCTTTCCTTTTTTTTTTTTTTCTTTTTTGAGATGGGATTTTGCCCAGGTGCTATCTTCGCTCACTGCAACCTCTGCCTCCTGGGCTCAAGGGATTCTCTCGCTTCAGTCCCTCAAGTAGCTGGGACTGCAGGCATGTGCCACCATGCCCCAGCTAATTTTTGCATTTTATGTAGAGACGGGGTTTCACTATATTGGTCAGGCTGGTCTCCAACTCCTGAGCTCAAGTGATCTGCCCATCTTGGCCTCCCAAAGTGCTGGGATTATAGGCATGAACCACCATGCCTGGCCCCCAAAATTGTTATTTTCAAGTCTAAAATTTCTTTCAGCTTCTACATGACAGATAATTCTCCTGACAAAATAGTCTTCCTTTTTAAAAAATGTGAAAGATAGTTTTGACTTGTCCAATAAATGAAGCTTTATCAGTGGTTGTGTGTATGTGATTTTGTGAATTTTTTTTGTTTTTTTGAGACAGAGTTTCACTCTTGTTGGCCAGGCTGGAGTGCAATGGTTCACTGCAACCTCTGCCTCCCAGGTTCAAGCGATTCTCCTGCCTCAGCCTCCGAGTAGCTGGGATTACAGGCATGCACCAGCATGCCCAGCTAATTTTGTGTTTTTAGTAGAGACGGGGTTTCACCATGTTGGTCAGGCTGGTGTCGAACTCCTGACCTCAAGTGATACACCTGCCTCAGCCTCCTAAAGTGCTGGGATTACAGGTGTGAGCCACTGCACCAAGCTGATTTTGTGAATATTGCAAATGTATTTGTGGAACAAAATGGCTTGGAGTCCCTCTTAAATGAATGCCCTGTTGTTCTCATCATAGCAATCCACCTACTGCTGTAGGCTTGATGTTATCACTCCTGCCATTCGGGCAGGTGTCTGGAGGGTGGAAGTAGGGACAAAGACCTTAGAAAAGTGGTAGGGTGATGAGAGATAGATTGGGAATTAATAGCAAATCAGGAAAGAAGCAATTAAGTAAATGACGAGAATTGAGGCTGGTTAGAGTAGGTCTGAGAAGCAGAGTAGATACTTTTCTCATTTTAATGAATGCTAATCAGCTGGCCTAGTGAAAACCTCCTCCTGATATGCCAAACACAATGGCTTATGCAAACATTTGATAAAGCATTCTCAGGTGTGTTAGTCATTAAGCCATGACCTTGGGAACAGATTGCATGGCTATATTCCTCAGTCATTTACAGTACACACACAGGTCCATAAATGCAGCTGTGTGAATATAATTAATTACTAACAATTCTTATTTTAGAAGTGGTAGTATCTTGAGAGTAATCCATAGGTAGTGGACAAGAAATAATTAAAAGCTGTTCTGCATTGAGCCTAGCCAGAAGCTCTAAAAGCTATTGTGCTATACTGTCGGAAAAAGGGGAGTTTAATTAATTAATTAATTCATTTATTTATCTTTCTTTTTTTTGAGATGGAGTTTTGCTCTTGTTGCCCAGGCTGGAGTGCAACGGTGTGATCTTGGCTCACCGCAACCTCAGCCTCCTGGGTTCAAGTGATTCTCCTGCCTCAGCCTCCCGAGTAGCTGGGATTACAGGCATGCACCACCACACCCAGCTAATTTTGTATTTTGAGTAGAGGTGGGGTTTCTCCATGTTGGTCAGGCTGGTCTTGAACTCCTGACCTCAGGTGATCCGCCCGCCTCAGCCTCCCAAAGTGCTGGGATTGGGAGTTTTCTTTAAAAGCGATAAAGGACAAGCCCACTGAGAAAGTTATCTGTTGTTACCTAGGATAGTCTTCCTGGTGGTAAAAATCCTTTGGAAACTTTTTTTTTTCTTTTTCTTTTTTGAGACGGAGTTTCGCTCTTGTTGCCCAGGCTGGAGTGTAATGGCTCAATCTTGGCTCACCACAACCTCCGCCTCCCGGGTTCAAGTGATTCTCCTGCCTCAGCCTCCCGAGTAGCTGGGATTACAGGCGCCCACCACCACACTCGGCTAATTTTTGTATTTTTAGTAGAGACAGGGTTTTACCATGTTGGCCAGGCTGGTCTCAAATACCTGACCTTAGGTGATCCACCCGCCTCGGCCTCCCAAAGTGCTAGGATTACAGGTGTGAGCCACCGTGCCTAACCTGGAAACTATTTTCTTCCATCTTAAAATCGAACAGCTGAAATAAATCCGTCCTCCCAAGTTAAAGCATACATCAGGAGGATAATGGGAATCTTGTGAGTCAGAGTTTATCAGAAAGATGAGATGGCCAGGGATGAGGCCAGGCAGGGAGAGGCAATGCTATTAGGACCAACAGATGTAGTCACTGTTGTCACTGACTCTGGTCTTCTGGCCAGGATTGGATCTTTTAGAGCAGCAGTTTCCACATCCAAGCGTCAGACACACTGAGGTGTTAATATCTATTAAGTCAAAATCTTTGGGAACGGGGCTTGAGAATCTTAAAAAAAAAAAAACTTTTCACTGGGTGCAGTGGTTCACACCTGTAATCCCAGCGCTTTGGGAGGCTGAGCGGGGAGGATCAGAATTTTTGGGGGGGCTTTAGCCCAGGAGTTCAAGACCAGCCCTTTTTTTTTTTTTTTTTGTAGAGATGAGGCCTCCCTACGGGCAACATTAGCTGGGCGTGGTGGTGCATACCCCTAGTCCTAGCTATGTGGGAGGATTTCTTGAGCTCAGGAGGTTGAGGCAGCAGTGAGCCATGACTGCATCACTGCACTCCAGCCTGGGTGACAGAGTGAGACCCTGTCTCAAAAAACAAAACAGCAACAGCTTTTCAACTCAGCCAGGTTAGAAGCTACTATCTTGGAGCTTTCCCATTTTCAAGTTGTTAGATCAGTGACTGTGGCCATTTGGCCTAGTGGGGGTTTCTTAAAACAACAGCCTCCAAAGGGAGGATGTTGGAAGAAAACATTAGAAATATTTATATATTTAAAAATCTCATCCTTAGCCAGGAGTGGTGGCTCATGCCTGTAATCCCAGCACTTTGGGAGGCTGAGGCGGGCGGACCACTTGGGGCCAGGAGTTCGAGACCAGCCTGGCCAACATGGAGAAATTCCGCCTCTACTAAAAATACAAAAATTAGCCGGGTGTGGTGGTGGGCACCTATAATGCCAGCTACTTGAGAGGTTGAGGTAGGAGCATTGCTTGAACCCGGGAGGCAGAGATTGCAGTGAGCCAAGATGGCGCCACTGCACTCCAGCCTGGGTGACAGTGTGAGACTCCATCTCAAAAACAAAAACAAAAACAAAAACCTCATCCTTTAAAATGTTCTGTATTTTTATGTTTTATCAAATGCATAATATATGAGGTCATATTATATGATATAATTTAGAAATAAATATACATATAGTGGGATTTGTGCTCAAAATGTTTTATTGGTAGAGTTGAGCAGTCAAAAAAAAAAAAAAGTCTTGGACCCACTACCTTGGAGGGCTTGAAAAATGAAAACTTATCCTTAAGAGGCAGGTATCCAAAAGCGATGTTTGGCCTTCAGAAGTAGATATAATGGACCATATACTTTTAGAGTCACATGACCAACCCAGACAGGACAAAGATAAAATTCCTGGACAGAATAGTGGCTTAGCCACTGATAGCTAGAGAGGCAGCTTGATGTAGCCAAAAGAGAACAGGCTTGGGAGTCAGCACATCTGACCTCAACTTGGAGTTCCGCCACTTCATAGCTGGGTTTCCCTAATCTCAGTCCCAGTTTTCCAATCTGTAAAACAGGAACAGAAACACTTAAGTTGCAGGAACCCCTTGAGAATTAAGTGAGATAATGTATTTAACAGAGGTCAGCATGTAGCTGGTACACTATAGGATGGTAGCTCTTGTTACCAACAGCTATTATTGATGGTACTATAGGTATAGAGGCAGTATAAGGTAGTGGTTGATAGTATGGGTTCTGAATGTCTGAGTTGGAATTTTGGCATGGTCACTCATTAACTGTATTAAATTGGGCCAGCTGATGGTAATAATAATATAATATAATAGTAGTATGATGTCTGGCTCATAATATATGCTTGTTTTTTGTTTGTTTGAGACAGAGTCTCACTCTGTTGCTCAGGCTGGAGTGCAGTGGCACCATCCCGGCTCACTGCAACCTCCACCTCCCGGGTTCAAGTGATTCTCGTGCTTCAGCCTCCCAAGTAGCTGGGATTACAGGCCTGTGCCACCACCCTGGCTAATATTTTGTAATTTTAGTAGAGATGGGGTTTTGCCATGTTGGCCAGGCTGGTCTTGAACTCCTGAGCTCAGGTGATCCGCCCGCCTTGATCTCCCAAAGTGCTAGGATTCACTGCACCCACCCAATATATGCTTAATAAATATTAGCTGCTATCAACCTCATCATCATTGTTATCACCATTATCATCATCATTACATCAGTTTTTGGTTTTTCTTTTTCTTTTTTTCTTTCTTTTTTTTTTTTTGGTGATGTGGTCTCAATCCTGTCTCCCATGCTGGAGTGCAGTGGTGCAATCATGGCTTACTGTAGCCTTGACCTCCATCCCTGGCTCAAGTAACCCTTTCACCTCAGCCCCCCGGAGTAGCTGGGACCACAGGCACATACCACCACGCCTGGCTAATTTTTTTTTTTTTTTTTTTTTTTGTAGAGATGAGGTCTTGCTATGTTGCCCAGTCTGGTCTTAAACTCCTGGGCTCAATGTTTTAATTGTAATGTGAGGCAGTATCAGACTGAATAATCCTGGACCTGCTGAAAAAAGAAAAAAGATAATATGAGGCAGTCAATGATAAATAAATAATTGTAGACATGTGGTTACAATTCTGTTATTAATCACCAAGTAAAATGACAGGGAAATCTGCTGGTATGGTTCCCTGATGGCATCAGTTCCTATACTTTTGTGTACACTAAAATCATCTGTGGGGCTTCTGAAGAAGGCAGCCAAGTCTATTTCCTGAATCAGAATTTTTAGGGTGGAGCTCAGGCAGCTGTGTTTTCCATGAGACAAATGAGTGATTCTTATACATAACAAAGATGAGAACCACTGATTATAGTGTCCTCCTCTCAACAGCTTTAGTTCTCCTCAATTACTTCCAACATTTCCCAAGCCCCAAGAAGCTCATTAAGATAGTGTTATATTACAAGTACCTCCAGGATCCAAATGACCATCTGGCTATTACTTGGTGCTTGGTAGGTTGTATTCTTAATTCAGATGATTAGGCCACTGGATGGAAGTTTTAAAATGCTTTTCTTTCATTTGGGGTTTACATTTTGCTTTTTAATTTTGCTTACCACCATGTCATATACCTTACTGCTCAAGACAAATATTCACAGTCAGAACTGGAAGGGAATTTAGAGTAACTGGTCCAATATCCATATTTTACTGATTTTAAGAATGAGGCTAGGGCCGGGTATGGTGGCTCATGCCTGGAATCCCAGCACTTTGGGAGGCTGAGGCAGGAGGATCGCTTAAGCCTAGGATTTCGAGACTAGCCTGGGCAACATAGTGAGAGCCTGTCTCTATTAAAAATATCTAGTAATTTATTTATTAAAAAAAGAGAAAGAGACTATACTCTTCCCTCTGTTTAGTTAGCACCAAAACCAAGATTAAAATTCAGTTTCTTTCTTTCTTTTTTGAGAGAGTCTCACTCTGTCGCCCAGGCTGGAGTCCAGTGGTGCTATCTCAGCTCACTGTAACCTTTGCCCCCCTGGGCTCAAGCGATCCTCCCACTTCAGCCTCCCGAGTAGTTGGGTCAACAGGCGTAAGCTACCAACGCCTGGCTAATTTTTGTATTTTTTGTAGAGACAGGATCTTGCCATGTTGCCCAGGCTGGTCTGGAACTCCTGAGCTCAAGTGATCCGCCCACGTTGGCCTCTAGAAGTACTGGGATTACAGGCATGAGCCACTGCACCTGGCCAGAATTCAGTTTCTTGATTTCTGGGTTTGTGTTCTGCCTCCACCATGTTAATAACCATCTGGCACTGAAAAAAGACAGCGTGTTCACCTTTTGGAACTCTGTTTCTTTCAAGTCACTAAAACGTCACTTAGAAAATGATCTCTCCCAAAACCTCAGAGGTATGAAAGAACTAGTGTTTTCAAAATGAGAGGACCATTTCTAAAGAAAAACTAAAATGAGGTTTTCTTATATTAGTTGTCCTCAATTTTAAGCTTTATCATTAAACAGAAATGATGGAAAATTACTTCCCATTAACACAACTCAGTTGAAATGTTTATATGTTTAAAATATCTGCAGAATTATACTAATGCTTAAAAGCACTGTGCCACAGAAAACTTTGGACATTAGCATTTATCTACTTGGAGTAACTCTTATCTATAGTGGAAGACAAAGCTAACACGGTATCAGTTATACTGTGTTAGTCACTGTTGTACTATTCTGTTGCTAGTACACCATAATATAGTATACCCTTCCTTTTAAAAAAAAGCCTGGGCCGGCTGTGGTGGTTCACGCCTATAATCCCAGCACTTTGGGAGGCCAAGGTGGGCGGATCATGAGGTCAAGAGATGGAGATCATCCTGGCCAACATGGTGAAACCCCGTCTCTATTAAAAATACAAAAATTAGCTGGAAGTGGTGGCATGCACCTGTAGTCCCAGCTACTCAGGAGGCTGAGGCAGGAGAATTGCTTGAACCTGGGAGGTGGAGGTTTCAGTGAGTGGAGATCGCGTCACTACACTCCAGCCTGGCGAAAGGGCAAGACTCATCTCAAAAAAAAAAAAAAGAAAAAAAAAAGCTGGTCCAAAGGTACTGTACTATTTCAACCGATTGTTCACAGTCAGTTACAGATTGTCTTTTCCTCCTTCTCACTACTGCACTTGACTAGTCTTTTTTTGTTTGTTTGTTTTTTTGTTTTTTTGAGATGGAGGCTTGCTCTGTCACACCCAGGCTGGAGTGCAGTGGCGTGATCTTGGCTCACTGCAACCTCCACCTCCCAGATTCAAGTGATTCTCCTGCCTCAGCCTCTCTAGTAGCTGGGATTACAGGTGCCTGCCACCATGTTCAGCTATTTTTTTGTATTTTTAGTAGAGACAGGGTTTCACCATATTGGCCAGGCTGGTCTCGAACTCCTGCCCGCCTTGGCCTTCCAAAGCACTGGGATTACAGGTGTGAGCCACCACATCTGGCCTTGACTAGTCTTAATAATAATAATAATAATAAAATATTTTAGGCATATAGAAAATAATATGACATCCATAGTGTAATGGTTAGCATTCTGGACTCTGGAAATAATATGACAAATAATATATACCCATTACCCAGCTTTAACAAATCTTAGCATCTTGCCATAACATGTTTCTTTCAGATCTGTTTGTTTCCTTTGAAGGAATAGCAGCACCAAAAAGTAAGATAGAGTTGAAATACCTGGTATATCTCTCCTCAGTCCTTCTCCTGTTAACCACTATCCTCAATTTGTTATTTCTCATTCCCATGCCTGGGGTATTTTACTTTGTTTGGGGGTATTTGTATGACTGTTTTATACTCTTTTTGTTGTTTTTGTTTTTGAGACAGGGTCTCACTCTGTTGCCCAGGCTGGAATGCAATGGCATGATCATAGCTCACTGTAGCCTCTACCTCTTGGGCTCAAACAATCCCGTCTCAGCCTCCCAAGTGCTGGGACTACAGGTGCACACCACCACACCCAGCTAATTTTTATATGAAGAGACAGAGTTTCACCATGTTGCCCCAGCTGGTCTTAAATTCCTGAGCTGAAGCAATCTGCCTGCCTCAGCCTCCCAAAGTACTGAGATTACAGGTGTGAAACACCACACCTGGCCTCTGACATCTACTCTTTAGATGTTTATTGATAATTCTTCCAAGTTATTTATTTTTTTCTAAGAGCTTTAAACTCTTATACATGGATATATAACTATTTATCCTAACACCTTTTATTGAATAGTACATCCTTTATAAACTAATTGATAATGCTATCTTTGACAGCTATCAAATTTTCAGAAATGAACCTAACCACCTTTTAAACTTGAGGTAATAGGAAACAGTTTGAAGGAATTTGCACAGTGAAAATATTTCAAAACTGTATCATCAAAATTCAGTAAAGGAACAAACCAACCAAACTGGCAAAATACAATTTTGCATCATTAAATAATTTTTTTGTCTTTTTTTTTTTGCAAATGTATATCAGTGTACTTCTTCACCAGACAATTTTGGCACAGTCTTCTATATTCTCCTTATTGCTTAGAAACCATAGAATGCAAACAAGTGCCTTACACAATTCTGTACCCTACAAAAGACCCGTGGCAGAACGAAATACTGCTTATTAGGTGGTATAGGGAAGGAGTAAGATGACGTTCCTTTTCTCTTTTTTTGAGACAGGATCTCACTCTGTCACCCAGGCTGGAGTGCAGTGGTGCAATCTTGGCTCACTGCAACTTCCACCTCCTGGGTTCAAGTGATTCCCGTGCCTTAGCCTCCCGTGTAGTTGGGACTACAGGTGCCTGCCACAACGCCCAGCTCATTTTTTTTTTGTATTTTTAATAGAGACAGGGTTTCACCATGCTGGCCAGGCTGGTCTCAAACTCCTGACCTCAGGTGAACCACCTGCCTCCGCCTTGCAATGTGCTGGGACTACAGACATGAGCCACCATGCCCAGCCTCTGTCGTTTAAAATCAATTTCGGGCTGGACGTGGTGGCTTATGTTTGTAATCCCAGCACTTTGGGAGGCCAAGATGAGAGGATTGTTTGAGGCCAGGAGTTCAAGACCAGCCTGGTCAACATAGTGAGACCCTATCTCATATTAATTTAAAAACAACAACAGCAACAAAAATCAATTTCAAAGGGTTACACTTTATTGTAGCATTGAAAAAAGTTACTGTGTATTTGGAAGGGCATGGACATATAGCTATGAGATATAAATTTCTTATAAGGGAACAAAAGTTGTCACTGGAAGACTGGCTTCCTCTTCATATTTCTTGATTAGCAAAAGTCATATGCTTTATTGCAGTGGTCCCCAACCTTTTTGACATCAGGGTCTGGTTTCATGGAAGACAATTTTTCTATGCACTGGTGGGGAAGGGGAATGGTTTTGGGATGAAACTGTTCCACCTCAGATCATCAGGCATTAGTTAGAGTCTCATAGGAAGCGCACAACCTAGATCCCTTGCATGCATAGTTCACGATAGGGTTCGAGCTCCTATGAGAATCTAACACTACTGCTGATCTGACAGAAGGCAGAGCTCAGGCAGTGATGCTCACTCACTGTTCATTTCCTGCTGTGCAGCCGGTTCCTAACAGACCACAGACCGGTACCAGTCCATGGCCTGGGGGGCTGGGGACCCCTGCTTTACAGGTTCCAAGAAGGGGAGCCACTCACAAATACATTATTTGATTTTGTCACTGTGATGCAGAAAGCGATTATGTCAAGGGCCTGGCAATGCAATGAAAGGAAATGGAAGTTGCCAAGTATAGGAGACATTGGTATGACTGATCACATATCATGAAAAACTCAGGCACTAGAATATGTCAACATTTTCTAGCTAATATTTGAAGAAAGCTGCCTAACTTCCAGTCACGTGTAATTTTACTGAGAAATAAAAACAAATGCAGAAAGCAGAAACAATGTGGTTTTTTTTTCTGAGATGGAGTCTTGTTCTGTCACCCAGGCTGGAGTGCAGTGGCACGATCTTGGCTCACTGCAGCCTCCGCCTCCTGGGTTCAAGCCATTCTCCTGTCTCAGTCTCCCAAGTAGCTGGGACTACAGGCATGCACCACCACTCCCAGCTAATTTTTGTAATTTTAGTAGAGATGGGGTTTCACCATATTGGCCAGGTTGGTCTCGAACTCCTGACCTCAGGTGATCTGCCTGCCTCAGCCTCCCAAAGTGCTGGGATTACAGCCGTGAGCCACCGCTCCCGGCCACAACCTGGAATTCTTTAATATGCCTTGACATTATCCTGTTAGTCCGCAAAGTGGTAAAGATGAGCAAGTTTTATGGTACATGGAGGTTCGCCACTGGATGCCGTACACCATGCTGTCCGTAAGAAGTGATTTGGAAGTTCATGAGGAAGAGAAGCCTCAAACTTTGATTGTAACAGAACACAACAAAGTGGAATATAATTGCATGAATAAATGTATGCTGTGGTTGATTGGTAAAACATTTTTGTGTGCATTTAATATACTGGTCGTTTTTGGAAAAAATAACAACCCTGCACCATATTGATGGTCTGTCTAAAAATCGATCACATTTTAGGATCAAAGAATTCAAAATGTCTCTTTTCTAGGTATGGGGCTTTCTCTTCTGTTACCACCTGCTTTTTCTTAAGGAATTCTGCTGTATTTCCAGTTCAAGGAAGGGATATAGGCTTTATGTTTTTTTTTTTTTTTTGAGATGGGGTCTTGCTGTGTTGCCCAGGCTGGAGTGCAGTGGTCTGATCATGGCTCACTGCAGCCTTGACCTCCTGAGCTCAAGCGATCCTCCAACCTCAGCCTCCTAAGAGGCTAACTAAGGAGCACACCACCATTCCTGGGTGATTTTTATTTTTTAAATTTTTTTTGTAGAGACAGGTTGTCACTACATTGCCCACATGGGTCTCGAACTCCTGGACTCAAGTGATTCTCCTGCCCTGGCCTTCCAAAGTCCTGGGATTACAGGTGTGAGCCACCACACCTGGCCTTAGGCATCATCTTTATCTTATAACAGAGGAGAGACTATAAAAAAAACTGGGTTAGACTTGAGCAAGCTCAGCTGGGACTGTCAAGGCCTGACCTGAGGTGTTATTTAGGAAAAGAATAATCCCGACTTTTGGAAGCATATTAAAGTGATTGTCCTGAGTCTCTGAGAGCAAGATCATACCTTTGTGGATTTCGGAGGTGGTCTCCATCATGGCAGTGGTAATTCCCAGGTCAGTCGTCTTGGAAGAAACAATTCCTGGGACTGGAAATAAGGACTTGGGCAAGCCTTAGCCTAAGGACAAAAGGAGAACTCTTTCTCTGGGTCTTTTGGCATTTTGCCTGGGAGGGCTTTACTTAGCAGACATACCAGTATACTTCCAGTGGTGGGGGTGGGACAATGTTTGACGGAATAATGCAGGTTGAAATCTATGCATGGAAGGTTTCCCCGTGTTGGGACCTGGTTCTCTAGGCGCTAAGAAGAGCCACATCTTATAACAGTTAAAAATTATTCTTCATGCCAGTGGTTCAAATATTAATGCGCATGAGCCAGGAACTGTGGCTCATGCCTGTAATCCCAGCACTTTGGGAGGCCAAGGTGGGCAGATCACGAGGTCAGGAGATCGAGACCATCCTGGCTAACACGGTGAAACCCCGTTTCTACTAAAAATACAAAAAATTAGCTGGGCGTGGTGGCGCATGCCTGTAATCCCAGCTACTCAGGAGGCTGAGGCGAGAGAATGGCGTAAACCCGGGAGACAGAGCTTGCAGTGAGCCGAGATGGTGCCACTGCCCTCCAGCCTGGACGACAGAGCGAGACTCTGTCTCAAAAAAAAAAAAAAAAATTCAAAAAGAAAAACCAAAAACAAATATTAATGTGCATAAATACCACCTGGGAAGTTTGCCATCTATGCAGATATCTGACCCACTTCCAGAAATTCTAATTAAAATTTGAAGTATTTAATGGGCATGGTGGCTCACACCTGTAATCCCAGCACTTTGGGAGGCTGAGGTGGGAGGATTGCTTTGAGACCAGGAGTTTCAGACCAGCCTGGGCAACATGGTGAAGCCCTGTCTCTATAATACACGAATTAGCCAGGCGTGTTGGTGTGCACCTGTAAGTCTCAGTTACTCGGGAGGCTAGGGTAGAAGGATAGATTGAGTCTGGGAGGTTGAGGTTGCAGTGAGCCAAAATTGCGCCAGTGCGCTCCAGCCTAGGCAACAGAGTGAGACTCTGTCTCAATAACAATAATAATAATAATAATAAATAAAATTCTGAATGTGGTCCTTAATCTTATTTATAACAAACACCCTAGATAATTCTAATTCATTTAGTTCACATTTTAGAAGATAGGTGATCTTATATTGTCTCCAGTTGGTTGCTTTTGAACCTTTGTGGAAGCCTTAGGTGGTGTTCTGCTGTGATGAGTCAGTCACTAGAGGAGCCTGTTGTGGGGTTACAAAGGTGTGGCAAAAGGGAGGACGATGCCTCCTCCTATGGTCAGAGCAGTGGGAGCGGTGGTGAGCAAGCTATGTTCTGTAGAGTGGCTGTCTCACTAGGGACATTGTGAGAGGCAGTGGCCTGAGTCAGGTTCCCGGATAGGTGGTAAAGTTGAAGTCTGCAAAGGTTTTTCAGAGGAAGAAATAAGAAGAATTAATTTTGGAGTCAAGGATCCAGACAGTGTAGCATAAAAGGGCTCAAGAGCACAAAGTGGTCTCCAAAAGATGGAAAAACTACCAATTAGCCAGGCGTGGTGGTGTGCACCTGTAGTCCCAGCTGCTTGGGAGGCTGAGGTGAGAGGATCACTTGAGCCTGGGAGGTTGAGGCTGCAGTGAGCTGTCATCACGCCACTGGACTCCAGCCTGGGTGACAGAGCAAGACCCTGTCTCAAAAAACAAAGCAAGACTGCTCTTCCTCCCCACTCTATCCCCAGATGTTAAGTAGTCAGCAAAGACTAATTTCAGTTTCCCTTAAGGGTGACAATCAGGAATAGAAGATACTGCTGCTTTTGGGAACCGCTCTTATTAACTAGGGCTGCCTTGGCAGCTCCCAGGGGTGCTGTGTCTTGACAACCTTCTCCTGTTTTTGTGTTTGGTAACTACCCCACCCCAACCCCTACCCTCTACCGCCCACGCCTCCTCAAACCTCCTCAAGCAGCCCAATGACCAGACACCGCAGCGTCGCCTCTAGAGGGCGCTTGAGTCTCTACCAAATCCCTGAGTGGCCTCACCAGTTTGGGATTCCATTTACATTCCAAGAAATTCCTTTTTAAAGGTTACACAAGAGAGGCAGGCCTGTGGAGCCCTAATTGGTGTTCTTCAGTTGCCAAGCCCAGGCCTAGGTTCTTTCTCTCTCCTTGAGGTCAGGAAATCTTTTTTTTTTTTTTTTTGAGTCAGAGTCTCGCTCTTTCGCCCAGGCTGGAGTGCAATGGCCCGATCTCCGCTCACTGCAACCTCCGCCTCCCGGGTTCAAGCGATCTCCTGCCTCAGCCTCCCGAGTACCTGGGATTACAGGCGTCTGCCACCACACCTGGCTAATTTTTGTAGCTTTAGTAGAGACGGGGTTTCACCACGTTGGTCAGGTTGGTCTCGAACTCCTGAGCTCAAGTGATCCACCCACCTCGGCCTTCCAAAGTGCTGGGATTACAGACCTGAGCCACCGCACCCGACCTAGGAAATATTCTTGAATTTTCCAAAGGTACTCCCTTTCCAGTGCTCCCACCTCCTCCCTGCACCTGCAGGGTGTTGGCGGTGGAGACTCCCACCTTCTTCCATCAGGACCCATTCTCAGGAGTCTAGTGGTCTTGGTAACAGCCCTAATCTCCTTTTTCTGTGTTTTCCCTAGAAGGGTGCAGGACCCTAGAGGTTGCCTGGGCTCAGGGACTGCTGTAAGGGTGGATCTCAGAGCATCCTATGGTAGGTCTGCAAACTAAACCCTGAAAATCAGCCCCCAGAAGTCCCAGTAATGTCCATTTCTAGGCAAGAATAATTAAAAAGTTCTTTTATGTCAACCCAAAGAAAGGCAGTTTTGACCTTTTTGTCCTCGACACATTGTTTGCTCGAAGTAAGAAATGTTCACGTGGAATAGCTGCCATTAATATGGGTGACCTCAAGGTTAGTATCGCTCAGGGAATGCCTTTCATTGTTCTGTATTGTTTGTTTCCCTTTTGTGAAATTCTGTGGCCAAGGGAACTGCATAGTTCCAGGATGCGGTCCAGTAGCACATTACTAATTGCATACTTTAAAATACAGATTTATGCTGCTTCGTTGGGCCATACCAGGAGAGAAACCAGTGCAGGGGGCTATAAAGCGTCAAGGTTATAAACTTCATGGGGCTTTCAGGCAAATAAGGAATTTTTATTAATTCTTTAAATGCAAATGTCCAGTAATGTCTCCACTTGCCCCACCCCCTGCAGCGCTCCAGGTAGGAAAGAATTGCAACCTGCTAGCTGGTGGCCGAATGGAAAAAAGAGTGATTATTCATGGGGTCTCTGATGTCAAATAGTACATACAGCTGAATATAAAAGACCCTCCTTCTCCCCCACAACCTACTCCTTTGCTAAGAGCACAGGTATGAAACACAGATGCAAAATGGAGGAATCCCTCTCATTTGTCCCCCTGGCAGGACATATTTTAGAATAAAACCGGCAAGTACCTTGGCAGGCACCCAGCGTATCAGGTAAATTGTTAACTATCCGACTATTCTTTTACAAGAGCAAAATTGAGTGTGATATTAAAGCAAAGCCTCTTTATTTTAAATTATTAGTTCATAGTCTTGCTTTGGAGATCCCCAAAATGTCCATGCTAAGAACTTTGAAAAGCAGGCTTTTCTTTTTTCTTTTTGAACAATAGACATAAAATTCCAGACCTAGAGTGACAAATCAACACGTATCAGTTACTTTCATTGTCAAGGGCATTTTGGGTGTTCACACTTTATCACATTACTGGTAACCAAGTATTATTCCTGACCTGTGTGTTTGTTTATAATGTATACAGCAGAAGTTTGCTGGCTAAAGAAGGAAGCAACTGCTAATTCTGAGGAGTCAGAGACAGGGTGCTCCCATCCACCTGTGAGCATTGTCTGTAGACACAATAAATAGCACATCTTGCATGTATCTGTGCTCGATGAGGTCAGGCGCCGTATTGGTTTTACCTGTGTGTCTTCAGTGCCTACCTCAGTGCCTGCTACATATTAGGCATTCCATAAGTCAATAAATTCATAAAAGGAATAATAAACACGAGTTTCCTATCTGCAAATGCTATTGTAATAAAATACAAATTTATTTTATTTTATTATTATTATTTTTTGAGACGGAGTTGCGCTCTTGTCGCCCAGGATGGAGTGCAATGGCATGATCTCAGCTCACTGCAACCTCCGCCTCCCGGGTTCAAGCGATTCTCCTGTCTCAACCTCCCATCTCAGCCTCCCGGGTAGCTGGGATTAGAGGCGCATGTCACCACGCCCGGCTAATTTTTGTATTTTTAGTAGAGACAGAGTTTCATCATATCGGTCAGGCTGCTCTCAAACTCCTGACCTCAGGTGATCCGCCCGCCTTGGCCTCCTAAAGTGCTGGGATTACAGGTGTGAGCCACCGTGCCTGGCCTTGTTATTATTTATTTATTTATTTATTTGAGACAGGGTCTCCCTCTGTCTCCCAGGCTGGAGTGCAGTGGTGCCATCTCAGCTCACTGCAACCTCAGCCTCCCAGGTTCAAGTGATTCTTCCGCCTCAGCCTCCTGAGTAGCTGGGATTACAGGCGTGCCACCACAGCCCCGCTAATTTTTTTTTTTTTTTTGAGACGAAGTCTCGCTCTTGTCCCCCAGGCTGGAGTGCAATGGTACTATCTCCATACACAGATAATTTTTGTATTTTTAGTAGAGATGGGGTTTCACCATGTTGGCCAGGCTGGTCTCGAACTCCTGACCTCAGGTGATCCGCCTGCCTTGGCCTCCCAAAGTGCTGGGATTACAGGCATAAGCCACTGCGCCCAGCTGTCATCATATTTTTTATTGTGGTAAAATATAACATAAAACTTACTATTTTAATCATTTTTAAGTGTACAGTTATTGTGGCATACTGGTTCTAAATAGATTCTTAGAGTGCAAATACTACCCTGGGGGTGGGGGGTTCTCAAAATTCTTTATGCTAAGGATCTTCAGACCTACTGTGGTTGGAAATCATTGGTAGTCTATTTCCTAATAAGAAGTCATCTAATCTTGCAGGAGTTTGAGACCAGCCTGGACCACATGGTGAAACCTTGTCTCTACAGAAATTACAAAAATTAGCTGGCATGGTAGTGCATGCTTGTGGCCCCAGCTACTTGGGAGGCTGAGGTGGGATGATCATCTGAGCCCAGGGAGGTCGAGGCTGCAACAAACCGTGATCATGCCGCTGCACTCCAGCCTGGGTGGCTGAGTTTGTTTGTCTCAAACAAACAAAAACAAAAAGAAGTCATCCAAGCGTGACTATTTCCATTGTTGTGTGTCTTCAGGGAGTGATATGTTTAATGCCGATAAAAGTGTTACAATGTTCTTCCTTGTACTGACTTGAAACCTGTCTCCCTGTATTTTCCCATTGGTCTTATTGATTTTAGTTTGAGGAAATGGGATTAGTACATTATGTCTTTTTCCAAAGAACAGCCTTTATCAGTGGCTGGCTTTTCATTTTTTTTCCTTTAAAAGCAACTTACTATAAACTAGAATCTTGGTCAAATCTAACCAAAATTCCTCCTATTGTAATTTAAAATGGAAAAAATTAAAAATTTTGCTCTTTCTATCAATTCTGGACCTTAAAAGACATGGCTAACTATTAAAAAAATATATAGGGTAATTCAGGGCGCTGAACCCAAACTGGCAACCCTCGCACAGCATGTGCTACCTCTAGCGTGTGCTTTATTGTCAGAAACTTAATTCCCAGAGGTAGGACAAACACAGGAGATGAAGAGATGTATTTTCGAGTGGAGAGCTGTGGTCCGCTCCCATTCCCTTTATCTGCAGATACTTCTTGCTTCCTTCCCACCTAGTGAGATTTGTGCCTTCTTTTTGAGGCAGGGGGTGGGACCCAACTCCGGAGGCAAGGCTTGGACACTGGACCAAACTGAGGACCAGCTAGTTCCAACCCATCTGGTCTGCTGATCTGGAGAGTGAACACGTCCTGCCTTTGGGCCCCTTAGACCAGCTATCCAGAGATTTTTACTCCTCCAGTGCTACGTGGGGCCGACTGCCCATGAACTCAGTAGGAAGCAGTTACAGAAGATGGACCTCCGCCCTTCTGCAGCCCCCTTGAGATTAAGGAGTTATCTAGGCCGGGCGCGGTGGCTCACGCCTGTAATCCCAGCACTTTGGGAGGCCAAGGCGGGCGGATCACGAGGTTAGGAGATCCAGACCATCCTGGCTCACACGATGAAACCCCGTCTCTACTAAAAATAAAAAAAATAAAAAATAAAATAAAAATAAAAATAAAAAAATCAGCCAAGCGTGGTGGCGGGCACCCAGCTACTCAGGAGGCTGAAGCAGGAGAATGGCGTGAACCTGGGAGGCGGAGCTTGCAGTGAGCCCAGATCACCCCACTGCACACTGCACTCTAGCCTGGGCGACAGAGTGAGACTCTGTCTCAAACAAACAAAAAAAATGGAGTATCTAATCTCTGAGCAGGGAGTGAGGCAGGAGGAGGACTCGACTCCGGAGGCGGGGCTTGGACACTGGACCAAACCAAGGACTAGCTAAAACAGGTCCTGCCAGGCACGGTGACTCAGGCCTGTAATCCCAGCACTTTGAGAGACCGAGACGGGCAGATCATCTGAGGTCGGGAATTCGAGACCAGCCTGACCAACATGGAGAAACCCCATCTCTACTAAAAATACAAAATTAGCTGGGCCTGATGGTCCGTGCCTATAATCCCAGCTACTCGGGAGGCTGAGGCAGGAGAATCGCTTGAACCCAGGAGGTGGAGGTTGCAGTGAGCCGAAATCGTGCCATTGCACTCCAGCCTGGGCAACAAGTGGGAAACTCCTTCTCAGAAAACAAAAAACAAAAAGCAGGTCCTGGTGGAAGCAGCTTTCTGTAAGACACACCCACTAGTGTGCCATGTCAGATTACCATTGCTATGGCAACACTCATGTTGAAGCTACTGCCCCTTTCTATGGCAACAACTCTGATAACCCAGAAGTTACCACCCTCATCCTAGAAATGTCTGCATAAACTGCACTTTAATTTGCATATAATTAAAAGTGGGTATAGATACGAGTACAGAACTGCCTGTGAGCTGCTCATCTGGGCACACAGCGCATGGAGCAGCCCTGCTTTCTAATGCCACCACTCACCCTTGGATTCTGTGAACCCCAAATATCTGAGACAGATCTTAGTTAATTTGGAAAGTTAATTTTGCCAATAAATAGGTGACACAGCCTCAGGAGGGCCTGATGACATGTGCCAAAGGTGGTCAGAGGACTATTTGGTTTTATACATTTTAGGAAGTCATGAGATATCAATCAACATATATAAGATGAACATTGGTTTGGTCCAGAAAGGCAGGACAACTCTAAGTGCGGAGGGGGCTTCCAAGTCATAGGTAGATAAGAGACAAATGGTTACATTACTTTGAGTTTCTGATTAGCCTCTCCAAAGGAGGCAATCAGATAGGCATTTATCTCAGTGAACAGAGGGGTGACTTCGAATAGAATGGGAGGCAGTTTTGCCCTAAGCAGTTCCCAGCTTGACTTTTCCCTTTAGCTTAATGATTTTGGGACTCCAAGATTTTCCTTTCACAATTCTTTCCTGGGTGAAGCTAAGAACCCTCCTGGGCTAAACCCTAATTTTGGGGCTTGCCTGTCCTGCATCATTTTCAGCCATGTGATAGGCCCTCCCATTCAACTAGACTCCTGGCTTTACATTTTGATGAGGAATTATTATACTCAGAACACAGTGGGCCTAGTCCTAGGTCACACTCCAATGAATGCCAAAGGAAGGTTGACTACTGAGTCAAAGACAAAATAACAAAACAAGCCGGTTGGAGCTGCCAGTCCTTACTTGGCTGCCTCTTATGTTTCTCTGATTACCAGAGCCAGAATTAGCTATGAGTGGGAGACCACGCTCTTTTTCTTCACCTCCCACTGCTTGTTGATTCACGTGGGCATTTCAAAAGGATTCCCAAGTCCAAAATAATTTGCAATGAATACAAATATACTTCATTTCTAATTTTGGTCTTTTTTTTCAGTTCAGTATATGAAAATTCATTTATTTAGTGAAACCCTACATTAAAGCATCCCAACACAAAGCAGATTCGACTGTAACATAATTGGTGATTGGCTCATCTCATAGGCTTATATGATCAGTGTGTTAACATACAACAGGACTGTACCCTTTTACATGATTGAGTGTTTTGGATCTCACTCACACACAAAAACCCTGCCATAATGCTGTATCAATTAGAGCTGTTCAAATGTGAAGCTGCATTGGAAAATGGGAAACTTTATCACCATATATATGTATATTTTTTGAGACAGAGTTTCGCTCTTTTGCCCAGGCTGGAGTGAAGTGGCATGATCCCAGGTTTTATTAAAGTCTGCAAAGGGATTTTGTACCTGATAGTTAAATAAAGTAATTAAATAAATACACTTTCTTTAACTGTATGGGAACCAATATCTAAATGTGACTTTTGTACTTGCTTTCAGAAGTCACTTCTTGGACAAGATCTTGAAAGTTTAGCACCTTGGTAGTTATTTCCACAAGTGATCCTTTGGCAAAACTTACTTATACCATGGTATGGAATCAAAAGGAGCTATCTTAACCTGGTTTTCTTTTCTCTCATCTCAAAAAACCACTTCTGCTCATTCAGAATTTATCAGTATCCCTGTAATTCTTTTTAGTCTTGTTCTAAGAATTACCTGACAGTATTAATAAAGGCTGACTAGCTTTAGTTATGACTCCAGAGTTGGATTTAGCTAAACCAACCCAATTAGGCCATCAGTGCTAAGGGCAGCATCGGCCTTTCATAGTGACAACCGGCCTATCCCCTTCCTTTCCACCAGGCAGGAAGGAAACACTTTTGTCATTTCTAACCAACAAGGAAACATTTTCTGGTTGCTCCTTAACAGAAAACAGGAAATTCTGTTGGTCATTTTCCCATGGTAATCATCTAAATACCTATCTCTTGATAGATCCCAGATAATTCTAGGACTGGAAGAGAAGCCTCAGATCATATGGTCCGTTTCCATGACAGCCCTTTATACCCATATTAAAAAGTCTAAGTCGGCTCTCAGCCATCTCCTCACCATATTACATGGTATTTTCTCTACGGGAGTTCATAGTATTCACCTCCTCTCTTGGAAACAAAAAAGCATTCCTCTTACTCCTCTCTGAAGCACTGGAGAGTGTCCCCAGTATAGTATTTGATGTCTTTGCATGTAGAGGGACAGTTTTTTCAAAGCAAAAGACAGAGGAGAGGTGATGGGGAAGGAGGAGAGAAGAGAGAGAGGGAGTAGGGGAGGAGCAGGGGAAGGGGCAGAAGAAGAAGAAGAGACTGTTGCAGATAAAAAGAGACTTGAGGTCAAGCGAGGTAGCTCACGCCTGTAATCTAAGCATTTGGGGAGGCCAAGGCGGGTGAATCACCTGAGGTCAGGAGGTTGAGACCAGCCTGGCCAATATGGTGTAACCCTGTCTCTACTAAAAATACAAAAATTAGCCAAGAGTGGTGGCATGTGCCTGTAATCCCAGCTACTCAGGAGACTGAGGCAGGAGGATCGCTTGAACCCAGGATGTGGAGGTTGCAATGAGCTGAGATCGTGCCACTGCACTCCAGCCTGGGCGACAAGAACAAAAAAACTCCGTCTCAAAATAATAAATAATAATAAATAAATAAATAAAGAGAGACTTGACAGCCTTATCAGCTAACTGCAATTGATGGGCCTAGTTTAGATCTTGATTTGAGCAAAATAATTGTAAAAGGATACTTTTGAGATAGTTGAGAAATCTGCACATGGACTAGGTACTAACTAGATGATACTAAGAAATGATTGCTAGTTTTGTTCGACACAATCATTGTATTGGAGTTATGTTAACAAAAACTTCTTTTCTGTTAGGAATACAAACTGAAGGATTTATAGTTGAAATGATAATATATCTGGTATTTGCTTTAAAATATTCCAGAAAAACAAGATAAAATAAGATTGGATAAATGCTAATTACTGAAACTATGTACAATGAACTAAGATTCATTACTTGCTTTACAATTATTTGTATATACTTAAAAATTTCCTAGGATACAATTTTCCGGGTTGTTTTTTAAGAGCAAGGAAGAGCACATCTTTCTTTCATTTTTTCCCCACTGTTAATTTTTTGTTGTGATTATTCTAGTGGCAGAGAAGACATATTATTCAATCCAGGTCTTGCCTGTATTATTTATTTATTTATTTATTTAGACAGAGTCTCCCTCCGTCACCCAAGCTGGAGGGTAGTGGTGCGATCTCGGCTCACTGCAACCTCCACCTCCCAGGTTCAAGCAATTCTGTGTCTCAGCCTCCTGAGTAGCTACGACTACAGGTGTGTACCACCATGCCTGGCTAATTTTTGCCTGCATTATTTTTAATAATGATAAAGTAACTCAATAGTTGATCACTAAATCGAATAACTACAAGGCTGGTTTTTTTATTTTTTATTTTTTAGTGCTAACTACTATATTTCATGTGCTTTATATTTAATTAATAAGTATAGAGGAGGTTATTTTTTCCTTTTGCAGTTGAGGAAACTGAGGCTCAGAGAGGCTACAGTAACAACTGCAAGGTTAATAGAGCCAGCAGATGATGAAGGCTGAGATTTGGAAACAGATCTAGTTCCCAAACCTGTGCTTTTTGCACTATCATCTTACCTCTCATTCTGTTTGTGGTTTGGGGCCTTGCTAACTGGTGACAGCCAAGTTAGCTGGCAACTAAGAGTGAGTTTCTTAAAATGTAAATCAGACTATATCACTTTGCTACAGAAAACCTTCCAAAGACTTCCAGACTGAGTAAAATCCCAATTATTTTCAGAAGCCATAGGGCTCTTCCTGATCCCCTCCATCCCTGCCACCCCATGCCCCTCATCTCTTTCAACTACCACTTTGCTCGCTCTGCTGCAGCCTGGCGCAATATTCTAAGAACTTTTCCTTAACTGTCTAAGCTTCCTGCTTAGGCCCTTCCCTTGATATTCCCTCTGCCTGAAATGCTCTTTCCCAGATACCACATGGGTCACTTTCTTCCCTCTCCCCTAATTTCCTTCAGTCTTTGCTCAAATGTATTCTTCTTCTTTTCAAATACATATAATTTTAAATTTTATTTATTTATTTATTTTTGAGACAGGGTCTCACTCTGTAGCCCAGGCTGGACTGCAGTGGCACAATCTTGGCTCACTGCAGCCTCCGCCTCCCAGCCCCAAATGATCCTCCTGCTGCTCTGTCTTCAGCCTTCCAAGTAACTAGGACCATGGACGTACACCATCCCACCCAGTTATTTTTTATTTCTATTTTTTGTAAAGACAGAGTCTTGCTGTGTTGCCCAGGCTGGTCTCAAACTTCTGGCCTCAAACGATCATCCCACCTTGGCCTCCCACAGTGCTGGAATTACAGGCATGAGCCACTGCCCCCTGCCCTTCCTTATCTGTGTTCATCGCACTCATCACTACCTGACATTATTATGTACTTATTTATTTATCTATTACCCCTGAGTAGAGTGTAAACTCGGTGAGGACAGCAGTTTTTTCCATTCACTGCTGTATCCCTAGCACCTAGACCAGTGCCTGGCACACAGTAGCTGCCCAGTAGTACTTGCTGAATCACTGAATGACTCTCAACCTCATGAGTGCGGTGCTGTGAGTCACCGGGTTACTACATCATGCCCAGACTGGGCAACCTGGGGGCGCTGAAATGGAATCACCGGTAAAGATCTGCAGCTTCCTCTGTGATGTGGGTGTGGTGGGAAGATTTGCATTCTGAATCCATCATTTCCTTGCTGCCGGACTGTGAGCAAGTTTCTCAACTCTCTGTAGTCTTCGTTGTGTCATATGTAAAATGGAGATAATAATTATTAGATAATTACATAATTATCAGATAATTATGTAGAATACTGAAAAAGTTATCCAGTTCAAACCTCCTTTTTATGGTAAATCAGAAGTTCCCCCTCAGCTCCATAAACTTCATTTGCTTTCACAATCCCAGACATCTGATTAGGCAGCCAAGAGCTCTGAGAGGCCTTTGGCCGGAAACTAAGGATTTATGAGAGCCAATGTTCTCTGTCTCTCCTGTTTGAGCATGTAGATGACATGGAATAACCTCTCTGATGTATTGAATTCGTTTCTCCAGTGTCGTTTATGCTGCCAGATGATCACTTCCCAGTTTGATAAAAATCACTTCATAATGGGGATTAGATGGTACCAAAATGACAGTGGTCTCTGCTGGATCTGACAAATTCTCTCTCTCTCTTTTTTTAACCCCAAATCTCTAGTATGCCAAAAGTTTGCACAAAGGCTTATTGTTGTTATAATTGTCTAGGACTTAATAAATTAGCTATTGTCCTGAGATAACCTCAAAACTCCTGGCTAGGAGGTTAAAAACGATTTTTAAGGGAGCATAAATATGGACACACTGGTAAAAAAGTTTTTCATCCCGTGTAGCATTTTTTTTAGGTTTGAGTGGAAAGTGGTGTGTGACCACAGGAATGTACATTAACAAAAGCAGTAAGCTAATTAAATAACACACAAATGTTGTATTGTCTGGGTATTAATTCTTCAAGGTCATGTCTTAGTTTATAATGGCAAAGGGAATTTATTAAGGGAGAATTATTTGACAGGAATCTTTTTGTTATTATAAGTTACATGCAGGTTAAGATAATCAACAATATTTTTTCTATAAGAACCATAAACAAGAGAAATCCTGCAACATATACTTCTTGCTTATTACATTATGGTGTTTAGCTTACAGGAACTTGGGAGGAGATAAGAAAAAAGAAGAGAAGAGGAGAGGAGGCAAACACTCATTGGGCGTTGTATTCGTCTGTTTTCATGCTGCTGATAAAGACATACCCAAGACTGGGTAATTTATAAAAGAGGTTTAATGGACTCACAGTTCCATGTGGCTGGGGAGGCCTCGCAATCATGGCAGAACGTGAATGGCACGTCTTACATGGCAGCAGGCAAGTAAAGAATAAGAACCGAGCAAAAGGGGTGTCCCCTTATAAAACCATCAGATCTTGTGAGACTTATTCACTACCATGAGAACAGTATGGGGGAAACCGCCCCCATGATTCAATTATCTCCCACCAGGTCCCTCTTACAACACGTGGGAATTATGGGAGCTACAATTCAAGATGAGATTTGGGTTGGGACACAGCCAAACCATATCAGATGTTAAACTGGAGGTTAATGTTCTAGTCAGTTGGCTATAGCGAGAGAGACTGAGAGTTGCCCTAGTTTCTGAGGTTTAATACCTAACAGAGCAGGAAGCAAATGAGCACTGAGCCATGTGTGCACCTTTTTCCTGCCATCCTTAAACAAACATAGCTGCAGTCCAAGGGTGCAAAGGTGGGTTTGGCACTGGAGCTGGGTTTCCTGGTGACTTTACTCTCTGTCTTGGCATTTGGTCTGTGTTTATAGTCAAAGCAACAGACATGAGGTAATGAAGCAGAGAAGGGAATCACAGAATAATGACCATAACATAAAGGCACTGTTTACTCTGAACCTTTTGAAGGATGGAGGAGGATGTGAGAGTCAGCTGCATTGCATCTGCCTTGGGGTCATCTGCGGCCTAGACTTGCTCTATTCTGTGTCCATGATCACCCAGTATTACACCACAGCTATTGGAGGTCAAGGGGGCTGTGAAAAGCATGTGATGTAATCACCCTTCCAGGGATTCCTGTTGAGACTAGTGATGATAGCTGAGTGCCAGGAACTCCTTGGTAGTGGGCATAAAAAGGTGCTTAATAAATAGTTGAGTAACTTGACTCTTACGCAGCCTATAGTCATGGTCTCCATTCCTTTAAAAATATAACCCAGGGTATGGTAGGGCTACACCTGGGGAACTGAGAGACTGGGGACTAGTGTTACTAATGCATCCTTGTTTCATCTGGAGGTGACAGTAGGGATAGGATTCATTTAGGAAAGGCAAATAACACACTGAAGGACATGAGGCTACAAGAGAGACAGTGGGCCATATCCCACCTCAGGGACCCAAAGGACACAGTCTAAATGGCAGCTTCAAGTGTGACAATTTGAGATGGAGTTTTGCTCTTGTTGCCCAGGCTGGAGTGCAATGGCGTGATCTCGGCTTACTGCAACCTCCGCCTCCTGGGTTCAAGCGATTCTCCTGCCTCAGCCTCCTGAGTTGTTGGGATTACAGGCCCCTGCCACCATGCCCGGCTAATTTTGTATTTTTAGTAGAGATGGGGTTTCTCCATGTTGGTCAGGCTGGTCTCAAACTCCCAACCTCAGGTGATCTGCCCGCCTCAGCCTCCCAAAGTGCTGGGATTACATGAGCCACCGTGCCCGGCCTCCTCTACTAATGTTTTAGGGACTTACACAAGTTTAGTTCAAAAAGACTTTTTGGAAAGAGCTATGAAATATAATCTATTGCAGCAGTATGGAGACTCAGTGGAGAAACGGCTATGAGCTACCCTTTGACGAAGGTATTGCAGAGCACCTCTAAGAAGTAACTTTTTTTTTTAGAAAAAACTTCTGTTTTAGGTTCAGGGATACTCGTGCAGGTTTGTTATATAGGTAAACTTGTGTCACAGGGTTTGCTGTACAGGTTATTTCATCACCCAGGTACTAAGCCTAGCACCCAGCAGTTATTTTCCACTCCTCTCCCTCCTCCCCTCCTCCACCCTCAAAGGAGAACCCAGTGTCTGCTGTTCCCTTCTTTGTGTTTATGATTTCTCATCATTTAGCTCCCACTTATAAGTGAGAGCATGTGGTATTTGGTTTTCTGTTCCTGTGTTAGTTTGCTAAGGATAATGGCTTCCAGCTCCATCCATGTTCCTGCAAAAGACATGATCTGGTTCTTTTTTATGGCTGTGTAGTATTCCATGGTGTATATATACCATAGTTCCTTTATCCAATCTGTCATCAATGGGCATTTAGGATGATTCCATGTCTTCGCTATTACGAATAGTGCTGCAATGGAAAGCAGTGTGGTGATTCCTCAAAAAGCTAAAAGCAGAACTACCATTCAAGCCAGCAATCCCATTATGGGTATATACCCAGAGGACTATAAATCATTCTATCATAAAGACACATGCATGTGAATATTCACTGCAGCACTATTCACAATGGCAAAGAAATGACTATGAGATGTTAGTGACTAACTGCCAAGGCAACAAGGGACATCAGAGCACATGAAGCTTTGCCAGTAGGGTAGGCCATGGCAGGAGGGAACAGCATGGAGCCTGAGACTAAAGAGCCTGGTCCCTCTTGAGCACAGTAATCCAGTCTGGTTATCACAAACTGAAATAAATCCAATAATGGAATAGTCAGAGAGCAGAGTCTGGAGTTCAAGTTGTTTCTGGACCTGCATAATGTAACGTAACGTAACGTAACGTAACGTAACGTAACGTAACGTAACGTAACGTAACGTAACGTAGCGTAGCGTAGCGTAGCGTAACGTAACGTAACGTAACGTAACGTCAGAACAGGCAGCTCAGAGTGGCTCTGTCACCAGGCAGGTAGCATGGCTGCTCTCAGAGGCAGAGATCACCAAAGGATTCAGTAGCAAGGAGTGCAACTAGAACCCAGTGGTGGAATCCGAGAGCGTGCACGTGTCCCTTTACATGGGAAAAGACTTCCCAGTGAGCCCTTTTGGCAAAAGAGGCACCAAATTGAGGAAAACAAATTGTTTCTTAATGGCAGTGACACAGAAGAGTTAGCAGTTTCTGATTTTGCCAAATCCAATCCTTCGTTAACAGCATAAATCAGGTTAAAGTGGAATATTTGTTTTCACGTTGTTTGTTGTGATTTGAACACTGATGTCATTACTTCCTCATTTCCAGTTTTATGCTTTTCTCTATTTCCCACTGGAACCAGTCAGCTAAAGAATATTTGGCTGGTGGACAACAGGAAAATACCATGCATAGCAACTGAATATGTATGTGCTATGGAAAAATCTCCTGGCCCTATAAAATCAACAAGGAAAATTCCTAGCACAGATGCAATAGTGACTTCTCACGTTAACTATAGTTCATTTCACGTAATCCTTATGTTCTAGAAACAACATCTGTTCATCCTGCTGTAGATCTGTTGGAAGCCCAGGCGTGAGAATGCAGGAAAAATTTTCCAAGCCAAATTACTATGTAATACTAATAGTGATACTTCATTATGTGAGACACTTGTTGGCGTATTTTTCTTTTAGGCTTCTTGCAAAATGGTGCAGATGGTATCACATAGTGGAGGTAGTGGCTGCTTCTCGGGATCAGGGCTTGCTTACATGCTCTCCCCACCTCAACTTTCTGCTAAGAGTCACTAGAGGGGCCAAGTGAGACTTTAGATAGGACCAGCATTTGCACGAGGTGGAAGATCTCTCCAATACCACACCTGAGGTGAGACAGGAAGAAGAATAGAGCCTACGCCAGTAAGTCAGGTGCTGTCACCATGCTTTGAACTCCATGGACGTTTAGCAGGCTGTGAGGAGTCTGGGAGGGTGGACAGGAATGGGACCTGGGGAAGGAGAGCAGCAGGAACTTGGGGGGACAGATGTGCGCAGGAGCCTGGAATTGTGAGCCTGGTCCAATAGGCCAGGCTGTGGTTCCCCTCGAACACAAGAGGGAAGGAGATGCCTCTGCTTTTCCTCAATGAGTGAGTGCTGGGATGGAAAGTGGAGCAGAGGGTCAGGACCCAGATTGCGATTAGAAAGTTATCATAAAGCCACTAAGGTCAATCAGGCAAGGAGGAAGCAAGCAAGAAAGATGCCAACAACTAGTCGGGCATGGTGGCTCACGCCTGTAATCCCAACAATTTGGGAGGCTGAAGCGGGTGGATCTCTTGTGGTCAGGAGATCGAGACCAGCCTGGTCAACATGGCGAAACACCCTCTCTACTACAAATACAAAAATTAACCGGATGTGATGATGCACGCCTCTAATCCCAGCTACTTGGAAGGCAGAGGCAGGAGAATCGCTTGAACCTGGGAAGCAGAGGTTGCAGTGAGCCAAGATCACACCACTGCACTCCAGCCTGGGCGACAGAGTGAGACTCTGTCAAAATCAATCAATCAATCAATCAATCAACAACTGCAAACACCAGCAGCTTAATGTAAAAGGACCCCAGGCCCTCCGGAGAGGTTAAGTTCTGGGCAAGAGGCCAGACCAACAGAACCGGGATAATTGGCTTTTTTGCCACCACTTTCTTCTCTCTCTAAGCCATCTTATATTGCATTTGGATTTTTCTTCCTAAAACAAAACTTGAGATACATTACTCTGTGCTCAGAGAGGTTTGGATGACTCCCTTTTGCCCAATGGACCAAGTTCCAACTCCTTAGCCAGGTGTTCAAGAGCTTTGACAATCTGGCCTTCAACAACCTTTCCAACCTTATCATCCACTGCTCACCTTCCTAATCCTCCTATTCTGGAGAGAGTGGTGTTTTTTCATTGTCCGCACAGAATTTGCTTTCTTGCTCTCTGAGAACCCAGGATGAGATGAAAACCGTCTCAACTGTCTTCTCGTCTTGCCATAGGAAATCTGGATTTGTCGACCAGGCTGCCAGTTATGGTAGCCACTTCTTTGCTCACATGTGATTTCACGTCTCAGCAACATTTGACAGTCTTCTTCCTGAAATCTCACTCTCTCATTTCTCTCACCTTCTCTTAATTATTCTCCAATGGCACTTGCTGCTCTTTCTAAATCCTTGTTTGTTTTTCTTCTTGTGGTTGAGCAGCAAATGCAGAGGTAACTTAGGGATTTGTCCAAGGCCCTGTTCTTTGCCTACATTCTTTTTTTTTTTTTTTTTTTTTTTTTTTTTTGAGACAGACTCTCACTCTGTCATCCAGGCTGGAGTGAGGTGGTGTGATCTTGGCTCACTGCAACCTCCGCCTCCCGGGTTCAAGCAATTCTCCTGCCTCAGCCTCCCAAGTAGCTGGGACTACAGGCATGTGCCACCACACTTGGCTAATTTTTTATATTTTTAGTAGAGATGGGGTTTCACCATGTCGGCCAGGCTGGTCTCAAACTCCTGACCTCGTGATCTGCCCGCCTCGGCCTCCCAAAGTGCTGGGATTACAGGCATGAGCCACCGCGCCCAGCCCTGCCTATGTTCTTATCCTGGTCATCTCATCTGTGGTAGACTATATTATGGATCCCAATTTTATCCTCTCTCCCACTTCCTGCATCCAGGGTGTCATCTCAGGCAGAATATACTTCTGCCCTTGATGTGGGACTTGGACGTGTAACTTGCTTTTGGTACTAATATATTGACAGAAGTACAGGTGTATCATGAGCCCCCACCTTTTATTTATTGTAAATTTTTATTTTTATTTTTTTGAGACAGAGTCTCACTCTATCGCCCAGACTGGAGTGGCACAATCACAGCTCCCTACAGCCTCAACCTCTTGGGCTCAGTCAGTCCTCCCACCTCAGGCTCCCAAGTAGCTGGGACTACAGGCGTGTGCCACCAGGCCCGGCTAATTTTTGTATTTTTGGGTAGAGACAGGGTTTTGCCATGTTGCCCAGGCTGGTCTCTAATTCATGGGCTCAAATGATCCTCCTCCTCCTGTTGGCCTCCCAAAGTGTTTGGATTGCAGGTGTGAGCTACTGCGCCCGGCCCCCAGGTCTTTCTCAAGGCCTCCAGTGCTTCCTCTTGAGCCATCGCCATTGCCTGGCTGGCCTGTTGGTCCCAGGAGGATGAGAGACAGAGTAGAGCTGCCCACCTGACCCACAGACCTGCAGACAGAAGCAGAGATGCCTCACTTGAACCCCGGGCAATCTGCAGATGGCAGCAAAAATCAATGGTTTTACAACACTGAGTGTTGGGAATGGTAATGTAGCAATAACAAATCAACATATCATCGGTTTACTTATGCCTTCCAAGTACAGATGTTCAGCCTTTGACGTTGCTTCTTTTGTGCTCTAGACTTGTGTATCTGGCTACTTGGCATCTCCACTCACTGGCTAACATGCATCTCAAACCAAAAGAATCCATGATGGAACTCTTTATTTTCATGCCTAAATCTGCTCTTATACCATCATCCTTCCAGTTATCAAGCCAAAAAACTAGGAGTCAGTCTTCATTCCCCTTTCCTTCATTTCCCACGTTTAATCCATTAGCAAGCCTTGTGGGTTTTCCTACAGAGCACTGCATATAAACACAGCCACTTTTCTCTATCTTCATCCACATGCCACCTCGTGTTTGGAAAACTTCCGTAACCTTTTAATGGTTCTTTCTGCTTTCATTTTGGTTCTTTCTTCAATCCATTCAGCTAGCGGGACCTTTTTTAAAAAAATAAATCCCTCCCATTGCTACTCATCATTTTCTAGAATAAATCTAAACTCCTGCAAGGTTCTCATGTTCTGGCCCTTGCTGGCTTCTTCAGACCTCATTTTATGCCATGCTCTGGCCTCATGGGTCTTCTTGCTGTCTGCACTTCAAGTGCTGCCAGCTTGTTCTGACCTGGGGATATCACACTTGTTATTCCCTTTAATAAGAGTGTTTTCTCCCATCTATTTATTTCTCCTATCTATCTATCTATCTATCTATCTATCTATCTATCTGGAAGTCTACCACCTTCTCACCATATGGTTATCAGCTTAAATATTACCTCCTCAAAGAGGTAATATTTAAGGTGTGACTGTTTTATTTTAGGTAGCTCCCACTCACACTATCTGCAAACTGAGTGTGTGGCCGATACTCCTGCAATGGAGACCTGGCTGCTGCAGCTGCTGGAGGGCCAGTGGCAGACAGTCTCCAGCTGTCAGCCCCTATAGGAATTGCTTCAGCCACAGAGAGATTTCCCCAATGCCATGCCCCATCCTAGGGTGGCCAGCATCCAGTGGGATATCTGAAGGCCTGTCTGCCTCAGGTCAACTTGGGATGACCCTGAAGGGTCATTCCACTTCTGCCTTCCTTCTGGGGTTGGCTGAGGCTATCACTAGGCATGCTTTGCAGCTCACCTTCTCTCTCTGCTCACTTCCAGTTTCTCCTCCCGCTCTCCACTGACATTGACACTCCTTGATAAATGCTCTGCATGCTAAAGTCCATTTCAGTGTGGCTTTCTCCACGGCAGTGAAGCATCATTTCCTTCTCAGTGTTTACAAATCTTTGAAATTTTGTTTATAGGTTGGTTGTTTGTTTCTCTTACTAGAATCTAAGTTATATGAATGTAGGGACCTACCTGACTTCTTTACTCCTGTGTCCTTAGTGCCCTGACCAGCCTGGTATGTCATTATCATCACTGTAGCAAACACCTGGTATTGATGATATGCCAGACACTGTTCTAAGTATATTCATCCACTTTATCTTCCCAACAACCTTGTGAGGTAGGTGCTAGTATCTTCTCCACGTAGAGACTGGGATGCTAAAATACAGAAAGCTTAGTTGGCTAGCCCAGGGTCACACAACTGGTAAGTGACAGGGCCAGTGTTTGAACCCAAGCAATCTGGCTCTAGATTACACGTACATAACCGCTCCATTATGCTGGTTTTTTTTTTTTTTTTTTTTTTTTTTTTTTTTTTGCAGCGGCTGTTCAATAGATGTTTCTTAAATGTTTGAATAAATAAAAAATAGCTGGGTGTAATCTGAAGACATCATCTAATTATTCATTTAATGACTATTGTTTGAGCACCTACAATATGCCAGACACTGTGATCTGCCTGGGGATGCAATGTGAACAAAGCAAACGGGACCTCTCCCTCAAAGAGCTTGCACAGTATGAAGGAAGAGAATAGACTATATATGACAACGATTATATCATTGCACATTGTTACCTACTGGCCATTATCCAAATGCATGGTTTCCTTTTCAGGCAATCGGAGTACCACTTATCCACCCAGACCTCTTCTATAGGGTATACTATCAGCTAACAGGACCATGGTGACAGCATTTCCTACAGTCAGTGATTAAAAAAAAAAAAAATTGAAGGGCACTTACCTTTCTCAGCCTTAGCAGGAAGAAGAGAATGGGGATGATGAAGCTTCTGTTGCTGATGGTGACTAGCTGTAGGGCAGAGGTCCCCAACCCCCATTAGGAACCAGACCACACAGCAGGAAGTGAGTGGCAGCAAGCAAGCTAAGCTTCGTCTGTATTTACAGCCACTCCCCATCACTTGCATTAACCCCCGAGCTCCGCCTCCTGTTAGATTAGTGGTGGCATTAGATTCTTACAGGAGCGTGAACCCTACTGTGAACTGTGCATATGAGGAATCCAGGTTGCGCGTTCCTTATGAGAATCTAATGCCTGATGATCTGTTGCTGTCTTCCATCACCTCCAGATGGGACCATCTAGTTGCAGGAAAACAAGCTCAGGGCTCCTACTGATTCTATATTATGGTGAGTTGTATAATTATTTCATTATATATTACAATGCAATAATAATAGCAATAAAGTGCACAAGAAATGTAATACACTCGAATCATCCCAAACCAGCACCAACCCATTGCCCCCTACACATCCCTGCCTTGTGTCTATGGAAAAATTGTCTTCCATGAAACCAGTTCCTGGTGCCAAAAAGGTTGGGAACTGCTGCTGTAGGGAGTCACCTACAGCTCCTAACTCAATTCATTGTCTCAGGCCTCAATTCCTGTATCATTCCAGCAAATGATCCTGAAGGAAGACAGAGATCCAGGGGGAGCCAGGGTCATTAGCTGCCTCTGCAGACCGAGGAAGCATGTGCTCAGGAGGAGGTGTTTCAGTGTGATGACTGAGAGCATGGACTCTGGGGCGCAGACTTGAGCTTGGACTTTGGATGCGTCTCTTACTAACAGTGATACAACAGCCTACTTACCTGAGCTTCCCTTCCTTATGTGTAGAATGGGAATAATAATAATAATAGCACCCGCCTCAGAGGTTACCATAAAATTGTGAAGATAACTCATATAAAGCAGCCCTCAGTGACAACAGTATTTGGATTGCAGGGGAGTCTGGGTGTCTGTTATCACAGTTGTTATAAACCACAACAGGGAGCTCTGTCCCCCTTGCCTAGTGAGATTCAAAAGCTGGGAAGCTGATGCTAGACCTAGTTCAGATCGTCTTCTCTAGAATGTCTTCCACAGTCTCATTCGGGGCTTCCTCAATGCTGACTTGTAACTTACTGATAGCATTTCTTCCAGGGCACCACATTATTTCTTGTTTGCGTTATTTCCCCAGTCAGGCCTCTCTTGGCTAGTGTTTGAATTGTATTAGTCTTTTCTCCTTTTCCACCCCTTAATTTTTCATTCCCAACTGTTGGCATGAGGACACTTGCATTCTGTATGGAAGGAATTAAGTGCTAATCTGTGGTGCCATAAAGAAATGTCTTCTCTTTGTAGGGTGTAATAATGATCTCTGCTGTGTTAGCAAGGTCAGTGCTTTGGACTTCTAGGACTAGTAGCCTAAACTTGTACGAGTTTTAGATGCTCAGGAACACTACTTCTTATTCTTTCTTCTCTCTTCTCTTCTGTTCTTCCCCCCTCCTCCCCCTCCTCCCCCTCCTCCCCCTCCTTCCCCTCCTTCTTCTCCTCCTCTTCTTCCCCCTCCTCCTTTCTTCCTCCTTTCCTCCCCCTCCTCCTCCTCTTCTTCTTCCTCCTTCTCCTCCTTCCTCTCCTTCCTCTCCTTCCTTCCTCCTTCTTCTCCTTCCTTGCCCCTTCTTCTTCTCCTTCCTTCCCCCTTCTTCTTCTCCTTCCTTCCCCCTTCTTCTCCCCCTTCCTTCCCCCTTCTTCTCCCTTCCCCTTATTTTCTGCCTTCCCCTCTTCCTCCTGCTCCTCCTCCTCCTTCTGGAGTCTCACTCTGTTGCCCAGGCTGGAGTGCAGTGATGCTATCACTGCTTACTGCAGCTTTGAGCTCCAGGGCTCAAGCCATCCTCCCACTTCAGCCTCCCCAGTAGGAGGGACTACAGGTGCACAACACCATGCCCAGCTAATTTAAGTTTTTTTTTTTTTTTTTTTAAGACAGAGTCTTGGCCGGGCATGGTGGCTCACGCCTATAATCCCAGCACTTTGGGAGGCCGAGGTGGGCCAATCACTTGAGGTCAGGAGTTTGAGGCCAGCCTGGCCAACATGGTGAAACCCTGTCTCTACTAAAAATACAAAAATATTAGCCAGGTGTGTTGGCGCATGCCTGTAATCCCAGCTACTTGGGAGGCTGATGCAGGAGAATCACATGAACCAAGAAGGCGGAGGTCACAGTGAGCCGAGATGGTGGCACTGCACTCCAACCTGGGCAACAGAGCGAGACTCCATCTCCCAAAAAAAAAAATAATAAAAAATAAAATAAAGACAGTCTCACTATATTGCCCAGGCTGGTCTCAAACTCCTGGCTTTAAGTGATCCTCCCACCTCAGCCTCCCAAGGTACTGGGATTACAGGTGTGAGCCACCACGCCTGGCCTCAGGGACAATTTTTTTTCTTTTTTTTTTTTTTTTTTTTGAGACGGAGTCTTGCTCTGTCACCCAGGCTGGAGTGCAGTGGCGTGATCTCGGCTCACTGCAAGCTCCACCTGCTGGGTTCATGCCATTCTCCTGCCTCAGCCTCCTGAGTAGCTGGGACTGCAGGTGCCCGCCACCATGCCTGGCTAATTTTTTTGTATTTTTAGTAGAGACGGGGTTTCACTGTGTTAGCCAGGATGGTCTCGATCTCCTGACCTCATGATCCGCCTGCCTTGGCGCCCAAAGTGCTGGGATTATAGGCATGAGCCACTGTGCCCTGCCTTTTTTTTTTTTTTTTTTGACAGAGTCTCGCTCTGTTGACCAGGCTGGAGTGCAGTGGCATGATCTCAGCTCACTGCAACCTTCACCTCCCAGGTTCAAGTGATTCCCCTGCCTCAGCCCTCTGAGTAGCTGGAATTACAGGTGCCTGCCACCATGGCCCGCTAATCTTTGTATTTTTAGTAGAGATGGGGTTTCACCATGTTGGCCAGACTGGTCTTAAACTCCTCACCTCAAGTGATCCACCCACCTCAGCCTCCCAAAGTGTTGGGATTACAGGCGTAAGCCACTGTGCCTGGCCTCAGGAACACTTCTTAATGATTTTTTTTTCTTGCCTTAAGAAAACTTGAAGCAACTTCTTTTGTTAGTCTTTTTAGTCTTCTCCCTTCCTTCACTATTGTTGTTATTATTTTAGAGTCAGGGTCTCACTCTGTCATCCAGACTGGAGTGCAGTGGCATGATCATAACTCACTGCAACCTCAAAGACTCCTGAGCTCAAGGGATCCTTCTACCTCAGCCTCCAGAGTAGCTGGGACTGTAGACATGCACCACCACACCTGGCTAATTTTTAATTTTTTTTTTTTTTTTTTTTTTTTGAGACAGAGTCTTGCTCTGTTGCCCAGGCTGGAGTGCAATGGCGTGATCTCGGCTCAGTGCAAACTCCGCCTCCCAGGTTCAAGCAATTCTCCTGTCTCAGCCTCTTGAGTAGCTGGGATTATAGGCACCCACCACAATGCCTGGCTAATTTTTGTATTTTTAGTAAAGACAGGGTTTCACCATGTTGGCCAGGCTAGTTTCAAACTCCTGATCTCAGGTGATCTGCCCACCTCGGCCTCCCAAAGTGCTGGTATTACAGGCGTGAGCCACCACGCCCAGCCTTAAATTTTTTTTTTTAGAGATTGGATCTCGCTTTGTTGCCTAGGCTGGTCTCAAACTCGTGGGCTCAAGCAAGCCTCCTGCCTCAGCCTCCCAAAGTGCTGGGATTATAGGTGTGAGCCACGCGTCTGGCCCTCCCTTCCTTTATAGAGGAAGAAATAGGCAAAGAAAAGTTAGGAGGTAAGCAGGAAGCGAGTCTTCTTAAATGGAATCATAGGTGAGTTTGAGATTTACAGGAGAGGCTCAAACGGGTGATTTGGAGGATGCACCTGGGCCCAGAAAAAGACACAAGAACATCTGGCTGTCTGGACTGTATAAAGGAGTGAAGACTTCTCTTTACAACAACCATAAATAGTTTTGGATGTGAATTTCTGAAGCTTAAGGAACAAAATATTCAGCAAAATCTCTGGGTCACAGATGATTGGCTCCTTGCTCTGGAATAGCAATGCTTAATGTTGAGAAGCTTCAAACCTTTGAAATCTGTCATTGCCCAAAGCCTGAGAATAACTCACTAAATCCCAGGTTGACCTCCCTATAGCATCAGCTTGCAGTTCATGACAAATAAGGCAGGGAGAGAATTTATAGAGTTAATTACTAGGCTTGGTTCTATTAAATGTGCAAAGCACACATGCAAGGGGCTGGAGCTTTGACATGAGTGGAGAGACTTGAATTCTTTCGCAGCTGGAATGTGCCGGAACTTCCCAAAGGCTTGAAAGAATGCCTAGAATTTATTTTTTCTTTTATGGTCACTGTTATTTCTCACAGAGGCAAGTGAATCTTCCCAAGCTACCATGACGGGAGTCGAGGAGCTCCTGGCAGGCTTGTGGGGAACAAAGCCAGCCAGCTCTCCATGGCTTGGGCGGGCAGGGATCCCTGACTTTCTCTCACATGGGGGGCCGACAGGAGCTGTTGTAAATCTTTAAAGCCAAAAGGAAAATTAACGAGCGCAGCACAGAGCAGGACCTTGTCAGCTCGGTAATGGGTGGTGGGAGGAAGAATTCTGCTGCTTCCTCCTGGGCATTAAGTGTAACTCAAAAACTCCTGTTTTGTGGCCATTGTCCAATTATAACAGCTTTCTACTCTGGAGAATTTAGTCATTGACTGCTTTCAAGTCACCTGGGGGAAAACAGTATTCAATACGATCAAGAGGATGAGGTCTCTTGTTCTGAATTTTCCCTTTAGTGATGGAAACAAAATACTTCTCTGAATCCATTTAGGGCATTGAGCACTCCCAAAAGAAGCCCTACAATGGAGAGAAAGAGCGGGGATTATTAGAGAGATCTTCTGAAGGACCTCCCCCACTAGAATGGAGAGTGTAGAATGCAGAGTAGGGATTTTGTGTCATGCGCTGCTATATCTCCAGAACCTAGAACTGGTCCTATCGCACAGGAGGCTGACAAGAAATAGGTGCTAAAGTAACGAATGAAGATCTACAATCCAACAAATGACACTGTTCGGGAGCTCAGAGCTTTAAAGCAGTGTGATGTAGTTGCAGGAGCGTAGGGTGTGGAATCAGGCAGATATAGTGTTGTTGGATTGTAGATCTTCATTTGCTCATTTAGCACCTATAGGTTTATTCATTAACTTAACACCTATAGGTTTTGGCTCTGCTAGTTTGCTAGCTGTCTGGCCTATGGCAAGTTACTTTACTCCCCTTAATCTCGTGGTCTTCATCTGTAAAATGAAATAATAATCCCAACTTCAAAGTTGTTCTGAGGATTCCTTGAGATGATGACTGTGATGGTGTTTGACACTCTGAAAATGCTGATCCCAACCCTATCTCTCCTTAAATCATGTCAGTTCAGTAAGGAATTTACATAATGAACTATCTATTCAGTGGGAGAGTTAGAAAGCGGAAGCATCTGTTTATTGCCACAAAAATTTATAGATTAAGTTTGGGCAACATAGGGAGAACCTATATCTTCTTAAAAAAAAAAAAATTATCCGGGCATGGTGGCAAATGCCTGTAGTCCCAACTACTCGGGTGGGAGGATCACTTGAGCCACCGGGGGTCAAGGCTGCAGTGAGCTGTGATCTTGCCACGGCATTCCAATCAAGATGATAGAGCGACACCCTGTCTTAAAAAAAGTTGATAGTTTATACATTTATTTATTCATTTACAGATCTGTAGATTACAAATTACTCGTGATGTCTTAAGGTATTTGTTGTTTTGTTCTTACACGTGTGTTATTTTGTGTTTACAAAAGGAAAAGACATTTCATAAAGCTATTGAATCCCGAAAAGTCAACTTTAATTTTATTTTTATTTTTTGAGGCAGGGGCTCACTCTGTTGCCCAGGTTAGAGTTAGGTGGCGTAATAATGGTTCACTGCAGCCACGATCTTCCGGGCTCAAGCAATCCTCTTACCTCAACCTCCCAACTAGCTGGGACCATAGGTGCGTGGCACCATGCCCGGCTAATTTTTAAATTTTTTTGATTAATTAAGTGGGATCTCCCTATGCTACCCAGGCCAGTTTTGAACTCCTAGGGTCAAGGGATCCTCCTGCCTCAGCCTCCCAAAGTGCTGGGATTATAGATGTAAGCCTGAACAATATGAGGCTTTAAACACTACTTCTCAAAGAGCCTTAGCCAGTTCTGGTAGGATAATAACCTCGGGGCAAGTGAAAACTTGGAGAGGCAGGTTGTTCCTAAACTTAATCTTCTCTCTTGAAGCATTTGGTGAAACCTATAAAATTTGGGGGCGTGCAAATTAAGTGTACTTGTAAATATGGTCTGAAAAAATGCATTCACTGTATTTTTGCTTCCCACTGTTTAGTATAACATTTATCAGAGAGGCAGAAAACATGCGGATAAAAATATCCAGTTGTGTATTCTCAGTTGGTATCAAAAGCTAGGTCACTGAAGGTCACTGCCCAGCAAGTCCCCATGTGTAAGAGAGTGTTGGTATGTAAGAGTGTTTCTGATGTTAAGGAATTCTGTTTGCTGTGATGCGAGTTGTGTACATCTCCTTGATTTTTCTCCCCATATGTAACCAAAAAAATGCTATCCTGGATTTTATTTCTCTTTCACAGGAATGGGAAGGAAAAGTGTGGAGTCCGTGTGGATTTCTCTTATTTTATCTGTGGCTTGAATGTACATTTCTGAGAGAGGGTAAGTGAATCCACTCTCCATGTTTTCCTTTCTCAATGTTACTTCCTGTTCACCTTTCTCCTTATTCTTAAGCCTCTGAGGGTTACAATGGGGTGTGTGTGCAGGACTGCTACTGCCTAAGGGAAAATTACAAAGCTGCCTAGGCAGCCTGATTTATGAGGCATTGAAAGGCACATCTGACCAAAAATATCCCCACCACTGGCCTGCCACCAGTGCCTGAAATACCTATGATTAGAATCACCCATTAAAATGTTTTCTGCAGGCCGGGCATGGTGGCTCACGTCTGTAATCCCAGCACTATGGGAAGCCGAGGCGGGCGGATCACCTGAGGTCAGGAGTTGGAGACCAGCCTGGCCAACATGGTGAAACTCCATCTCTACTAAAAATACAAAAATGAGCCGGGCGTGGTGGCGGGCGCCTGTAATACCAGCTACCTGGGAGGCTGAGGCAGGAGAATCGCTTGAACCCAGGGGGTGGAGGTTGCAGTGAGCTGAGGCTGAGGTTGCTCCACTGCACTCCAGCCTGGGTGACAGAGTGAGACTATCTCAAAAAAAAAAAAAAAAAGAAAGAAAAAAAAGTTTGCAGACATGCCTGGCTTCTTTGGGTCATGAAGGCATTGTGTTAGGAGAAAATTGGGAAGTGGGAAAGTGGGAAAGTATTGCATTATAATGATTTATATTATGAACCTATCAATCTCTTGGTCAAGAGTAACATCTTGATAAGTAAGTAGACTGAGGCTGGAGGGAAAGTTGGGAGTTGAGAGCTTTGTCCAGCATCTTGGTGTACACCCTGTGCAGGATGAAGTCGACAGGTAGCTGGGGAGAGATTGTACAAAGTGGATTGAGGGGTAGAGATAGCAAAGACAAATTTAGGTATTTCACAGGTCTATACAAGGCCAGGTTAGGAAGTAAGGGTACATAATTGCCAGAGGAATCTCCTTTCTGACTGACTTTAAGGAATCTCTCTTACCGACTCTACAGGGCTGTTATGTGAGGTTCTTTCAATTTTCCTTTTCCATCATCTTAGTTTTGGGGTAACCATAACAGGACTAATGATTCTGTTATTCATAAAATAATATTTGTGACAAAGGCCAAGTAGATTCATATCCGACAAATCCAAGTGGATTTGTCGAGTCTATTCTGTAAAAGTGTCCAGAGCAGTGCTTCTCAAAGTCTTGTCTGTAGACCACCTCTATCTGAGTTACCACAGGTGCTTATGAAAATCTCCCTCCCCGGGCCCCATCTAGACCTTTGGAAACAAGACTCTCTGAGGTAGAGGCCTGGGTCTCTGCATTAAAAACAGCTGTGGGGCCGGGCGCGGTGGCGCACGCCTGTAATCCCAGCACTTTGGGAGGCCGAGGCGGGCGGATCACGAGGTCAGGAGATCGAGACCGTCCTGGCTAACACGGTGAAACCCCGTCTCTACTAAAAATACAAAAAATTAGCCGGGCGTGGTGGTGGGCGCCTGTAGTCCCCGCTACTCGGGAGGCTGAGGCAGGATAATGGCGTGAACCCGGGAGGCGGAGGTTGCAGTGAGCCGAGATCGTGCCACTGCACTCCAGCCTGGGCCACAGATTAAGACTCGGTCTAAAAAAAAAAAAATCAATTTTAGTATATGGTAAAAGTAATGGGTTTCCCTAATTTCCTGGTTACCATTGTTTACGGTTTCTGTATTATTTCACCTTCTGTAGCTTTTCTGGCTCTTCAAACACAATTAACAGCAGGAAAATTAGATGGAAAATTTTTGTAATAAATATTCAGAAATACCTTACATAAATCATGGTGTCTAGCAATGGAAGAATTGATTAACTGAATATATTCTACCTTGAAATATTCTGCATATTTTTACTAGAACAAACTGCCTTTTTTTATTTTTATTTTTTAATTTGAGACAGAGTTTTGCTCTGTTGCCCAGGCTGGAGGGCAGTGGTGTCATCTCAGCTCACTGCAGCCTCCACCACCTGCAAACTGCCTTTTTCTAGCTGTTGCTTTCCTTGATTCTCTTATATCATTATCTTTTGTTTCCTGCCCCTATCTCCCTCCCCTTGGTTGACAAAGTGCCTACATTCTCTATTTTTTCCCATTTCCTTGTCTCTCTCTGGTGTAATTCCTTCTCATTCATCTTGCAAGCAGAATTTCTCTATACAGCAAAGGTCAGAGCTGACAGGACTGATCTGAAATGCTGTTGAATTTCATAGTTGCTCATTCAAGATCATTACTGATACATGCAAAAGTGGACCTTCTGCCAAAATCGACCTCAGAAAATCAGACCAAGAGGAAAAGGGCAAAGGTAAAGAAGAGACTCTTGCTGGGCAGCGGCTGATGCCTGTAATCCTAGCACTTTGGGAGGCTGAGGAGGGAGGATTGCTTAAGCCCAGGAGTTCGAGACCAGCCTGGGCAACATAGCCAGAACCCAGTCTCTACAAATAATTAAAAAACAATCAGCTGGGTGTGGTGGCGTGCATCCAGCTGGGACCACAGGCTACTCAAGAGGCTGAGGCAAGGGGATTGCTTGAGTCCAGGAGGTTGAGGCTGCAGTGAGCTGTGATCACGCCACCACACTCCGGCCTGTGTGACAGAGTGAGACCTTGTCTCGAAAAAATTAAAAAAAAAAAAAAAAAAAAAAAAAAGAAGGGACTCTTACCATTTCCATTTCCTCTTAATATAAATGACATTAGGCAGCATTACTCTGATGGCGCTGTAACCATAGGAAGGAGTAGAAAATGACACAGCCACATAGTGGTATGATAGAATACATTACAATTTGGAGTGTGTAAAAAAAAAACCGGAAGAAAATGCTGATTTTCAATTCTCTTCCCTCAACTAAAGAAACAGGCGTGAAGGAAAATGGTGCAGTTGGCATTATCTCACATGGACTCCTTTCTAAATGCAAGAATGCCCTTTTAGGAGCTGAAATATGAACACTGTGAGTTAGAATGCATGGGTTCAAATTCAGACTTCACAATTATTATCTGACTGTCCTTGAACAATTTAATCAGTCTCCTGCACCTCTGTTTCTTCCTCTGAGAAATGGGAATAATAATAGCATGCACCTCAGGGGTGGTTAGGAGCATAAAATGGGGATAACACCTGTAAAGCACTAAGAAAAGTGCCTTGCATGTAGTAAACTCTTAATTGCTGCTTGCTAGCATTGATATATTTTTTCTTTTTTGAGACAGTGTCTTGCTCTGTTGCCCAGGCTGGAGTATGGCGGCAAGATCATGGCTCACTGCAGCCTCGACCTCCTGGGCTCAAGTGATCCTCACCTCAGCCTCCTGAATAGCTAGGACTATAGGCACACACCACCATGCCCTGCTAATTGTTTTATTTTTTTGGAGAGACGTGGTCTCACTATGTTACCCAGGCTGGTCTCGAACTCCTGAGCTCAAGCAATCCTCTCACCTTGGCCTTCCAAAGTGCTGGGATTATTTTTTATTCACCAAGTTTGAAATCTTTGGTAGTGTCCTAGCTGAGGAGGCATCCAGGGAGTTTCTGGGCAGAATAGTTAACCGATACTGTGAAAATCTGCTAACAGTGGTTGTTTTGCTTTTTGGGAAGCAGCGTTCCTTGTCTGGCTGCTGTTCCCCCCTGGTCACATGGGCACACTATGATTAAATCATTCCTAGTAAATCTTGGATATTCTTGGATTTAATAATAAATTAATTACTAATGATCACACTTTGGAACATGTTTCCCTGCCTGTGACATACTAAGAAACTAGAAACGTATTCAGCATTTACCAAAACACTCTTCCTTTTTTTTTTTAAGACAGGGTCTCACTCTGTGGCCCAGGCTGGAGTGCAGTGTTGCAATTATGGCCTTGATCTCCCAGGCTCAAATGATCCTCCCACCTCAGCCTCCCAGGTAGCTGGGATTACAGGCATGCACCACCACACCCAGCTAATTTTTTGTGGGTTTTGTAGAGATGAGGTCCTCCTATGTTGCCGAGGCTGGTCTTAAACTCTTGGGCTCAAGTGATCCGCCCACCTTGGCCTCACCAAGTACTGGCATTACAGGCGTGAGTCACCGCACCTGGCCAAAACCCTCTCTTAATGGAACATACATCTCACATTCTGGAAATATCTATTATCCCAGTGCATATTTCTTTCTTTCTCATGACTAACATTCTGCTTTTTTAGTTATTCACATACATAAACTGACTGATAATAAATCTGGGAATTTGTCATTTAAAAAAATGCACATTTCAAACACAATCAGTAATCCTCAAACAGTAGAGACATGTTTACATTTCTTTGGTTAAAGTGTAGGAACACAGGGACTAGGGAATCATTTTTTAAAAAGTATTTTCAGACAAATCATTTTCTGAGAGACTTAAAAAAAGAAACTGTCAGTCATTTGAGGCATACCCTTTTGCTTCTATTCCATTTTTATCATACCAATCTCTCTTGCAAAATTGATGTTATTCATAAATGTTTTCCTTCCAAACTGTGGGAAATAAGATGTGAGTTTGGCCCTTTGATAAAGTTAGGCTCAGGGACTGCTTATCATTGAAACAATGAGCACAAAAGCGATTCAGTCCTGGGACTTCTCACAAAACTCAGCGGGCCAGGCGGTGCTCACTCTTGTTCTCAGGCATTCCAGGGGAGTGGCAGAGGGACAGCCAGCACGAGACATTTTCAAGGTTGTTTTTCCCACCCTTTAGAATTGGTAAATCTCCGATCGTTTAGAAAAGGATTTGTTTTGCAAGAACCTAAAGTGTCCCCAAGAACTATGTTTACCCATAATAGGCCTTGCTCTCTGTTTAACAGAGCCAGATGGACACTGCTATTTGGCTCATGGTCATATCCCCACAGATTTGACCTCATTTAGAGGACACTATTAAAAGATTATCCTATTATTGAGAATTTCCATTGCATCAAATAGCAAATATTAGTAAGATTCCTCTACAGGGAAAATGATGTAAGAAGAGGGTAAGACTGTGTTGACCTCAGGCAAATCACATGGATAGGTATGTGGCAATTATGAAACTCAGTGCTGACTAATAAAGCCCAGCGGCACACAGAGTAAAGGTCCAGGAGCAGAGACTTTCCCAGTAGCTCTCGAAGGAAGTGTTGAGGTTCCACTGAAGCCATAGATGGAAATCTTATTTGACTCCGTTGCCTTAGTACCAAGATGGTTATTTTGAAAGAGGCTAAGGAGGAGAAAGTGCATGTAGCAGGATGGCAGGATGGGATGTGGGGATGATGGGATGATGGGATGTTGGGATGATGGGATGATGGGATGATGGGATGATGGGATGTTGGGATGACGAGATGTTGGGATGTTGGGATGTTGGGATGTTGGGATGATGGGATGATGGGATGTTGGGATGACGAGATGTTGGGATGTTGGGATGTTGGGATGTTGGGATGATGGGATGATGGGATGTTGGGATGATGGGATGTTGGAATGTTGGGATGATGGGATGATGGGATGTTGGGATAATGGGATGTTGGGATGATGGGATGATGGGATGTGAGGATGTTGGGATGTTGGGATGATGGGATGATGGGATGTTGGGATGATGGGATGTGGGGATGTTGGGATGATGGGATGATGGGATGTTGGGATGATGGGACGATGGGATGTTGGGATATTGGGATGATGGGATGTTGGGATGATGGGATGTTGGGATGATGGGATGTTGGGATGATGGGATGATGGGATGTTGGGATAATGGAATGTTGGGATGATGGGATGATGGGATGTGAGGATGTTGGGATGTTGGGATGATGGGATGATGGGATGTTGGGATGATGGGATGTTGGGATGTTGGGATGATGGGATGTGGGGATGTTGGGATGATGGGATGATGGGATGATGGGATGTTGGGATGATGGGACGATGGGATGTTGGGATATTGGGATGATGGGATGTTGGGATGATGGGATGTTGGGATGATGGGATGTTGGGATGTTGGGATGTTGGGATGATGGCATGTTGGGATGATGGGATGTTGGGATGTTGGGATGATGGGATGTTGGGATGATGGGATGATGGGATGTTGGGATAATGGGATGTTGGGATGATGGGATGATGGGATGTGGGGATGTTGGGATGTTGGGATGATGGGATGATGGGATGTTGGGATGATGGGATGTTGGGATGTTGGGATGATGGCATGTTGGGATGATGGGATGATGGGAATGGGAATGGGGTCATGAGGGGGACAGCTCCATTTTCTTCTTTGCATTTACAAAATGGGGAACATAAGGTTTCTTTCTTTTCCTTTTCCTTTTTTTTTCCACTTTGGAAGCCAAATGATGCTCATAGGAAATTTAAAACTGCACTGGAAGGCTGCAAGTGATTTGAGAATTAAGACCTTAAGAAACGGTTTTAATAGTAACCTATCTTTTTGAATGTTGCTGGAAAAGGTACTTGAAAGAGCAATGAAGGAAGCAGATTCTAGTCAAAGGGGACTGGGAAGACACTGGGACCCAACAATTTGGTAAACTAGAAAAAATTAAACTTTCAGTTCTGATTTTACTTGAACACACTTTAAAAACAATTGGTTAAATTTTTTTTTATAAAATAAATTACAGGTCGGGTGCAGTGGCTCACGCCTGTAATCCCAGCATTTTGGGAGGCCAAGGCAGGTGGATCACCTGAGGTCAGGAGTTCGAGACCAACCTGGCCAACATGGTGAAACTCTGTCTCCACTAAAAATACAAAAATTAGTCAGGCGCGGTGGTGAGTGCCTGTAATCCCAGCTACTCGGGAGACTGAGGCAGGAGAATTGCTTGAACCCGGGAGGCGAAGGCTGCAGTGAGCCAAGATCAGGCCACTGCACTCCAGCCTGGGTAATGGAGCAAGGCTCTGTCTCAAAAAAAAAAAAATTACAAAAGTAGTACATGATTAGTGAAAGAAAGTCAAGCAATACAAATGTATGTAAAATAAGAAAGGAAAAATCTCCTTCATTCTTTGCCAGACAGGGACCAATACTGTTATAATCTGTCTCTCTTTCATAACTTTTATTTATGTATTTGAGACAGGGTCTTAATCAGTCACCCAGGCTGGAATACAGTGGTATGATCATAGCTCACTGTAACCTTGAATTCACTGTAACCTTGAACTCCTATGCTCAAGACATCCTGCTGCCTCACCCTCCTGAGTAGCTGAAACTACAGGTGGGCACCATCATACCTGGCTATTTTTCTTTTTTTAAGAGATGGGGGTCTCACTCATTGCCCAGGCTGGTCCCAAACTCCTGGCCTTACGAATCCTCCCATCTCAGCCTCTAAAAGTGCTATGATTGCAGTTGTGAGCCACTGTGTCTGGCCCTCTTTCAGAACTTTAAAAACACTATATATACTATAAATGTGTTTTTGGGGTGGGGCTAATTATGTATGTTCTGCGATTTTTTTAACTTAATGTTTTATGGACTTTTTTCTACTCTTTTTAAAAAAATTCTACTCTTTGGCCGGGCATGGTGGCTCATGCCTGTAATCCCAGCACTTTGGGAGGCCCAGATGGGCAGATCACGAGGTCAGGAGATCGAGACCATCCTGGCTAACACGGTGAAACCCCGTCTCTACTAAAAATATAAAAAATAGCCGGGCGTGTTGGCGGTTGCCTGTAGTCCCAGCTACTCGGGAGGCTGAGGCAGGAGAATGGCATGAACCCGGGAGGCGGAGCTTGCAGTGAGCCGAGATCGCGCCACTGCACTCCAGCCTGGGGGACAGAGCGAGACTCCAGCCTGGGGGATAGAGCGAGACTCCCTCTCAAAAAACAAAACAAACAAAACAAAACAAAACAAAAATTTCTACTCTTTTTGAAGTGGGTATTCGTTATTTTAAATAAAGTGAAATGGAAAATTCTGTATCTGATGTATTTAAAAAATATTTTTTGGCATGCTATACTTACCAACATGTTTTATAAGTTGCTTCTAAATGATAACCGTACTAGATAGTGGTCCACCTACCAGGATAAGATAGGATAGGTAAGAAGCTAAGAGACATGCTGCAGGTGAAAAAGCAGATTTCATAAGACTATGTTTAGTATAATTCCAATGATATAAAACGTACATATGTATGCACAGAAAACAGTCTATGTTATAGACACCAGAGTGCTAATGGCTCTTATCCCAGGATGGCTGGCGTATAAATATTTTTTTCCCGTTATGCTTTTTCTGTGTTTTCAACAATGAACATTTATTACTTTTAAAATTAGTTAAAATTAATGTAATATAAAAATCACAATGTATCTGATGAAAAAAGTTTGTGTCTAAAGGCTACAGAAAATAAATCCATCTGAGTTAGCTTCCACTCCATTCCAAAACCCCGGAGTAACAGAAAGTCGGGTCTTCTTTTATTTTCTTATATTAATGAATTAGATTTAAGTTCCCTCATTATGAGAAGATAATCTTTAGCATCACTGAAAGAGTTAAGAAATGAGACAAAAATCAGATCATATTCCTTTATTACATATATGAAATATAAAAACAAATTAACAAAGCAATATATATATATATTTGCAAGTCCACAGGACTTCAGAGAAAAAAAGGTTCTGTATGTGAAATTATTCATATGGCACTGTGTTCATGTTTTGTATATTCAAGTACAAAAGAAACTATGTATAGTGGTTATGCGTGGGTACAGAAGATGAATAATAATGAAAAACTGTGATTTTTTGACTATCACATACATTGTGTTAAAAAACAGGTAAATATAATGACTATTACTGTTAAGAAAGACAAGGAGGAAAACTGTTTCAATGTTCAGGTTTAAATACTAAGCACAAAAATATAACAAATTCTGTGTCTACAATAATTTTTGAAGTGTATACAAGTGCATTGCAAATGAGCTCTTTAAAATTTAAAGTCCATTTCCCCTTTAGCCAAGCATATGTCTACATTTATGATTTCTTTCTCTTATTTTAAAGTCTCTTCTGGTTTAGTTTTTTAAAAAGTTTCATCATGGCTGTCATCTTGGAATCTAGCCTCCAGCTCAAAGCTGAGACTTCACGCATACATATTCTCCTTTCTGGTTGCATCTTCACCTAGTTTCTCCAAGTATTCAGAGTTAAATAGCACAACTTCTTTTATATGGTCACTTTTGTCCACATGTAGTGGCAGTGCTGCTGCTTCAGTAGGCTTTCTCACACACCCTTTTCCTTCTTTCAACAGCAGTCACCAAACGTTCACAACACAAGTGGTAGGTAGTAAAGTGCTTTATACAAGGAAATACTATATACACATGGAGAGGTTCCATTTAACACCTACAGACCAAAGTTCATGCGTAACACACAAGAGAAGGCTCTTTAACAAACACCTTTTCTGATAGTAGGGTTAGGGATTCCTTAAAACGTCATTCATTACTTTAAGTAGCATCAAACGTAAGTAACATCGCTGAAGCTGGAAGGCGTCCTTGTTAGAGGTACTGCCCTTAATGGATTACTGCTAAATGTCATGCTGCTATTAAAATATTCTTAATAGTTAAGAATTTCAGAATCAGTCCCATAGAAAACAGATATCAGTGTAGGGGTTTTCATTTCTCTTCATGAAATAAAACTGTATTTAAACATGGGTCCAGAAGAGATAAGTTAGATAAGACCCATGCATTCAAACATTTCTATATGTTTTGGCACTTTAAAAAATTCCAGTTTCCTGTCTGAGGTCTTCTTGCTCTAAAGTTTGTGTTTTGTACATAGACAAGTGCCATTATGTGCTATCCATCTTAATGCTACTTGCACTCTCTTTTTAAAATATCCATGACTTTTCTTCCAAGAGAAGGTTTCCAGTGCTGGACAAAGCTTTTCATATTCACAATTAGTTTGCCTGTTCTTATATCCTCATGTCCTGCTACAAGGTATTCCAAACCTAAAAAAGAACAAAATTAGGGGCTATACAGTATCATACTTTGTTGAAGGGAGAGATGTGACTCCAGCAGGTTTTCTTTTGCATTTATTTTGAGACAAGGTCTTGCTCTGTTACCCAGGCTGGAGTGTAGTGGCATAATCCTGGCTCACTGCAGCCTCAATCTCCTGGGTTTAGGTAATCCTCCCTCCTCAGCCTCCCAAGTACTTGGTACTACAGTTGTGCGCCACCACTCCCAGCTAATTTTTTCATATTTTTTGTCGAGATGGGGTTTCATCATGTTGCCCAGGCTGGTCTCGAGCTCCTGAACTCAAGCCATCTGCCCACCTCGGCCTCCCAAAGTGCTGGGATTACAGGTGTGAGCCACCACGCCTGCCTGACTCCAGCAGTTTTATATATTCAGGGTTGGAATAAGGAGTAAGAAACATTAATAGCTGCCATTTAGTAAGCATTTACTATGCTTAGTGCATGTATGCTTTACATGTATGATCTCATTTAGCTTTGAAAATAACCCTGTGAGGTAGATAATTTTTTCCTTCTTGTTTTGCAAATGAGGAAACTGAGGCTCAGCAAGGCTAAGAAACTTGTTCGATATCTTTTTGTAAGTATAGCAGCATCTGGACTCAAACTCAGGTCATGCTGAGTCTAGAACCTTTCCTTTGTACTATACCATGCTCTATGACAAAAGAACTGAGGGTTCTAAGGACACTTATCATACTGCCCTAGATCAGTACATCTTGGATACTCACTGTGTATGGTAGTGTATATTAAGGAGGTTTTTTTTTTGTTTTTGTTTTGTTTTGTTTTGATTTTGGATGGAATCTCGCTCTGTTGTCCAGGCTGGAGTACAGGGGTGCCGTCTTGGCTCACTGCAACCTCTGCCTCCTGGGTTTAAGCAATTCTTGTGCCTCGGCTTCCCAAATAGCTGGGATTGCAGGCATGCACCACCATGCCTGGCTAATTTTTGTTATTTTTAGTAGAGACAGGGTTTTACCATGTTGGCCAGGCTGGTCTCGAACTCCTGACCTCAGGTGATCTGCCTGCCTCGGCCTCCCAAAGTGCTGGGATTATAGGCATGAGCCACTGTGCCCAGCCTAAGGAGGATTTTTATAAAAGTGAAACAAGCATTTGGGAAAACATATAGGAAAGAAGCTATGAATTTAGAAAATAACACATATTCCCTATATAAAGCCTATGTGTTTTTGGAATAGGATGTTTGTTTGTCATACATTAAAAAAAAAACTAAATAAATGATAAAACTTGCCTAGATCTTGTGATGACCTTGTATTCAAAATTCGTTTCAAGCTTTAGATAACAAATTTTAGCTAATATATCCAAGAAATGAAAGGACAGTCTCATCACCTATAGATTAGTAAAAAGAAATACAATAATTGCCCTTAGTTAATGTTTGTAATAACGTAGATTTTGGTATTTAGGAACGATTTTTAAAAATTATAGGGTAGATAAAATAATTATGTTTATAAAATAAAAACTTTCCAATATAAAATAGAGGCACACTTTTAAAAACGAAATTAAGTGAATGCTAGATGCTAAAATTCAACTGAAAATATCAATTTAATTTCACAAGTTGATTCATTGCTCATTTTTCACTGAAATGACTGAGAAAAAAATGTCATCCAAGTAGTAATGAACACCTGTAACAACCATACAGGCCTCTTGGAAAACGGCTTATTCCAGGTTCAGGGCAGGAAGTTGAGCATGGGACATCTTATTGTATTAAAAAACAAGAAAGCTTTCAAAGATGAATGTGTGTCTTTTTAAAAGGACACAGCAGCTAGCAGGAAGGGGTTATAACTTGTCAAAGTTGTGGTAAGTTGAGCACCAAGAAACATAATAATTGTGTTTATGAAAACACATTAAATCCATAGAAATCCATAATTCCAAAATGACACTAAAAAATGAGAAAGCCAGAGAAAAATTAACTTGTCATCTTTAGAGGTAGCTGTTAAAACCATTTCTTACTTTGAAAATTAGAAATTACAGGGAAGGAATGTAGCATTTATCCTGTCTTTACAGTAAGAACTGTATTTCATGATAACCTAGTTGCCCAGCTTGGGAGAGAAAGCCCTCTTACGGAAGAATGCCAGCTAATAAGAGAAGAGAATTCAAAAGAATTAGAAAAACATCATTTCTCAGACTCTAATGAAATTATTGATTCAGGAAAGGATTATCAGTTGGCGATAAAGTCATTAAATGAATGATTAATGGAAAGCTGGATGCTTGTAGAATGCTACATAATATCACACTCACTCTTTTCTATCTCTAAAGGTAAAACAAAACTTTGGCAATGGAGAGATCAGACTGCCTTCATTGTAATCCAAAGGTCAAGCTTAGAGACACTGATGGGAGGTTATCCAGGTACCATGTGCATTTGACATGATTCAACATGAAGCACACCATGATCTCTATAATGGACTCTAGCCAAAATGTTTGTCTTGAATCAATCAAGCCTTTCTTTAGAGATTACAGAAGATAGAAGAGATAGAGGAATAAGCTAAACACCACCATAAATGAACCAACCACACAAATGTTGATGGTCAGATAATGGATAGGGCATCTGACCTGGTTTCCTCAACAAGTCATAAAAAAGGAACTGTGCTAGAATAAAAAAAGAGTTGAAGGACTGAAAAACTAGATATAACGTGTGATCCTGGATTGAATACTGGCAAGGACACATCAGCTGTAGAGGACATTTTGGGATCAGTTGGGAAATAGAAATATGACCTGAGTATTAGATAACATGAAAATCAACTGAAATTGAAGGTAAAGCTTATTAACAGAATAATGCAGGTTACAGAATGGAGCATATACTATGATATCGTTTTGGTTAAAAAATATAATACATACACACAGAGGAAGATTGGAAAGGATTTGCCTAAGCTATTAACAGAGATGATCTCTGGGGGATAGAAATGTGAAATTTAAAAATTTCCCCTAAACGTCTCCCCTCCCCTCCCCTTCCCTCCCCTCTCCTTCTGTTCTTCCTTTTTCTTTCTTTTTTTTTTTTTTTGACAGGGTCTCACTCTGTCACCCAGGCTGACGTGCAGTGGCACCATCTGAACTCTGTAGCCTCCACCTCCCTAGGCTCAGGTAATCCTCCCACCTCTGCCTTCTGAGTAGCTGGGACAACAGGCTCATGCCACTAAACCTGGCTAATTTTTGTATTTTCTGTTAGAGATGGGGTTTCACCATGTTGCCCAGGCTGCCCTCGAACTCCTAGGCTCAAGCAATCCACCCACCTCAACCTCCCAAAGTGCTGGGATTACAGGTGTGAACCACTGCACCCTGCTAAAAGATTATTAAAAGAAACTCATCCTAAACTTCAAAAAAGCTATTATGGTGTTTTCAGAAAAAGAGAAAAAGGAAAATAATGACACAGAGAGGTTTCAAACACTGGAGAGTACAATGTAAAATGAATGAAAAGGCATTTAAATTATAAAAGGCAACCTTAACTTCTGCATGAAAAAGAATCTCAATATTTAATTAACAGACTAGTTAAAAATATAATAGCCTTAAATTGTTTGTATAATGTCTAAAATAATAAACTCCTCATTTAAAAATACAATAATCAATTTTTAAGAAACTTCAAGGTTAGGGCTGGATGCAGTGGCTCTCGCCTGTAATCCCAGTGCTTTGGGAGGCCGAGGTGGGAGGACTGCTTGAGGCCAGGAGTTTGAGACCAGTTTGAGACCATAGCAAGACCCTGTCTACAAAAACACAAACAAACAAAAATTAGCTGGGTTTGGTGGCATGTCTATAGTCCTAGCTACTCAAGAGGCTGAGGCGGGAGGATTGCTTGAGCCTGGGAGGTCGAGGCTGCAGTGAGCAGTGATAGTACCACCACTCTAGCCTGGGCAACAGAGCAGAGAACCCTGTCTTTAAAAAAAGAAAAAAAAAGAAAGAAATCAATCTCAGGGTTAAGTCTAGTATTTTTACATGAATTTACTTTGAAACTACAAATAGAATAAACAGGAATTTACCATTAAAGTATAAATATAAGTTAAATTGATAAAAACAATACTGAATAAAACCATAAATTATGAAGCAGCATCACACCAAAAACAAATATGCAAAACAATGTTCTTTTATACCTCTTATTAGCATTTATATTTTATTTTCCTATCTCTAGGGTTTTGACATCTACTTTGCTACACGTCTGAGAACACGAAGTTTATTTTGTATCCATAGAAAAAGAAGATACAATACTTTAGTGCTAGTTTTGGTGTTCTAAAATATATGACTGATGAATGAGTAAATGTATGCATGAATTAAGAATGAATGAATATGCAGGGATACCCAATAGGATTGTTTCTTTTCCAAAGTAGCCAAGGAAGCAGGTTGGCGTGTAAGGTTTCAGTTTTCTTATCAGCTTTCTTTGGCCTTGGCTGTTGAACTTGTAAAAATGGAAAAACAAAGTAAAATGAAAGAGTGTCTGGTTTTGCTTTGGCAAGTTCCAGTCTTTTCTTCAAAGCAAGTAAACATGTTTTCAAGAATTCTTTAAATAATTGCGCTTATGTTTTCAATTGTGATGAACTCAGTTGATTCTTTGACTTGGCTTGGCAGAAACCTGATTAGGAAGTATAGTTCACTTCCTGGAGGGTGGCTCACATGGTCAAAGCTTTTGTTTTTAATGTCTCACTAAACTGGGCAGACTTTTTTTTTCTTTTGCCAAGACAGTAGGAAAGCTCTTATAAGAGATGCCTCTAAGCACAAATCACTGGGAAATAGAACTTACATGAATTATTTTTAGTGTCCTGTATTCAAAGCTCAGGATTCTTATTACTTCAATTTGTTCTTTGGAATTTTATTTATGTATTTTTAATTTCTTTTGAGATAGGGTCTTGCTCTGTTTGCCCAGGCTGGAGTGCAGTGGCTCAATCATGGCTCACTGCAGTTTTGACCTCCCCGGCTCAAGTGATCCTCCTACCTCAGCCTTCCAAGTAGTTGGGACTACAGGAATTTGCCACCACACCCAGCTAATTATTTAAAAAATTTTTTGTGGATACTGGGTCTCACTATGTTGTCCAAACTGGTCTTGAACTCCTGGGCTCAAGCTATCCTCCCACCTTGGCCTCCTAAAGTACTGAGATTACAGGCGTGAACCACCATGCCCAGTCTATTTATTTATTTATATAATTTAAAACATTATTTTTCACAGTTTCCTTATTAAAATCTAAATTAATTTAAATATATTATTGAAAGGGTAGAAAAGGATGTGAGAGATTGGTCAACACTTGGCCAAAATCAAAAGTTCTGTATCAATGTTGAGTTTGTTTAGACTGAGGGGATATTTTATTGTTAGTTTATGCTCTCTTTCTCTTTCTCTCTCAGTTATCTGCTTCTCTCAAATTTATTAATCAATCAAAGACCGCAAAAGACTTTGTTTTTTTGAGATGGAGTCTTGCTCTGTCACCCAGGCTGGAGTACAGTGGTGCGATCTCAGCTCACTGCAACCTCTGCCTCCTGGGTTCAAGTGATTCTCCTGCCTCAGCCTCCTGGGTAGCTGGGACTACAGGCACATACCACCATACTGGGCTAATTTTTGTATTTTTAGTAGAGATGGGGTTTCACTGTGTTGGCCAGGTTGGGCACAAAAGACTTCTTATTAATGTAACAATGAGTTTATATGGGGAAGGAATAAACTCATATAAACAATGAGTTTATATGGGGAAGAACATAAATAATGCACCTGTTTCATCAGTGCCGCTAAGACACAGATGACAATCACACAAGCAGGGAGATGCAGAGGATTTTTTGAATTATGATTTGTTTTATTAGAACCTGCTAAGTATTATGTTACCATTATCTGGGTACTAATGGTAGGTATTGAAGATACTATGATCAAAAGCCTAAATCCCATCCTCAAATTTGATGAGGGAGACAGAGAAATAAGCAGCTTATAACCCAGGATAACCATGCGCTTGGGGCAAGAACCCCTGTGCTTATTTATTTGTCTTCACTTCTGCTATAACATTTAAAGGTGCAAATCAAATTTCTCTCCATTTCAAGTTGCTCTAAAATCCTACAGTTTTTGTTTTGTTTATTTCTGCTGTTTCTAATTTGAAACCAGAAATATCATTTCATGAAAAACAAGATGATGAGAACTTGAGAACTGTTTTCTCTCCAAGAGAAACAGATGCTTTTCAAGCAATAGTCGAAATGAATTCAATATTATTTCCACAGATGGAATTTTGCATTTGAACTTCCTTTGGGAACAGGTTCTACTGTAATAGGACCTAGCTTTCAGATAAAGAGTAAGTGGCAGATAAATTCATGAAAGTGCTTTCTATGCAACTGGCACCTGGAACCAATCTGAGCCTCCTCTTTTAGGATAGAGAGTATTATATTTCTGGATTTTAAAATATTAAACTTTTATAGAGCACATGGAAGAGAAATAATTTTTCGATGTTAGTTCAAAGAATTCCATTTGGATTTTCCGCAGGAGTCAGATGGTGAAAGGGAGAGATGTTCTTGCTGAGTTTGTTTATGTTGTGCTTCAGAGGATGTAAGACAAGCAGCAAATCAGCAGAGACAAGGTAGGTACTAAGATAGGAAAGTCTAATACTCACCAGGATTGAGGATTGGACAAGTGCATCCTCTGTCCGTCCATGATTCTGGATATAATGTTCGCTTTCCTCGGAAAATCTTCAGTTTGGTAGATTTTAAGACCTTTTTAATCTTCACATTGACCTCAACATGAGTACCTTTATCATGAGCTGATAAAATCTTTATTTTTAGCACTGTTAACACAGAAGTCAAAATGCATAGAATTTCATATTATCATTTGAAGTTTGAATAACACTCAAGTATGCATTTCAGAATATAATGGAAAGGTGAATTGATGATGAGGATGTGAAAATTTGCTTTAAAAATCATTAGGCATTAACTTGGATGGAGTTAGAAGCCATTATTCTAAGGAAAGTAACTCAGGAATGGAAAAGCAAACCTCATTATATTCTCATTTGTAAGTGGGAGCTAAGCTATGAGGATGCAAAGACCTAAGAATGATATAATATACTTTGGGGACTCAGGGGGAAGAGAGGGGATAAGGGATAAAAGACTATATATTGGGTACAGTGTACACTGCTTGGATGATGGGTGTACTAAAATCTCAGAAATCACCACTAAAGAACTCATCCATGTAACCAAAAACCACCTGTTCCCCCAAAACTATTGAAATAAAATAAAATAAAAATACTGAATTAAAAAAATCATAGGCTCATTCAGTTTTGCACTGGCTTTATCTCGTTTATCTATATTAACTATATTCTTATTTGTTAGGCAATTTCAAATGTGACTCCCTCCAATATCATTATCCTAAGAGAATATCAACCATTTGCCTATTGCAATTATAATCTTAAATACATTCAGCTACCACATCTAAACAGAGAGAGGAAACATAGGAAGTAGAATTATCCTGGCTTTTATTTAGGTTCTGACTATATTATTCTTTTGTGGCTGATTGTGTTTAATGTTATGATAGAGAGAAAAATGCTACTCCTAGAATATATTTTGCATATTCCAAAGAGATTATATAATATGATTGACTACTTAATATTCTTCTCCTGGAATAAAATGCAAGCTGACTGGAGTTAGGGAAGCTGTCCCTTAATGGGTGTCCAACCTCTTGACTTCCCTGGGCCACACTGGACCACACATAAAGTACACTAACACTAATGATAGCTGATGAACTGAAACAAAAAGTCTGTGCATAATTTTTGTGATATCCGCCACCACAGATAAACCAAAAAGTCTTCACATTCAAAGGGCTGGACACCCATGCATGATGATGGAGCTCCAGTATTCTGTATGACTTATGATTCTATTACGCCCTCCCATTGATGAAATTGATATGGCTGGGGATTAAGTAATGGAATAATTTGGGGTCGGAAAGAAAGTAAAGCTAAGGATCACTGAGCTACTCAGGAACACTAGGGAACGTAGGGAAGTTCTTTTTTTTTTTTTTTGAGATGGAGTCTTGCTCTGTCATCCAGGCTGGAGTACAATGGTGCGATCTTGGCTCACTGCAACCTCCGCCTCCGAGGTTCAAGCAATTCTTCCTGCCTCAGCCTCCCGAGTAGCTGGGATTACAGGCCACCACGCCCGGCTAATTTTCATATATATATATTTTTTCACAGGGAAGTTCTTATCGGCTTATCCACATCTCCATGGAAGAGTGTGTGTAATGAGAGCACTCTATCTTGGCTGGTCTCATACTCTGCGAATACAGCGTCAGACAGCTATCTTTATGGAGTCATCACATTTTAGACTTCTAAGGGGTCTTAAAAGCTCATGTATTTTATACACGAGGAAGCAAGTTTTAAGAAATTAAGGCCAGGTGCAGGGACTCATGCCTGTAATCCCAGCACTTTGGGAGGCTGAGGTAGGCGGATCACCTGAGGTCAGGACTTTGAGACCAGCCTGGCCAACATACAGTGAAATCCTGTCTCTACTAAAAAATACAAAAAATTTAGCTGGGTGTGGTGGTGCATGCTTGTAGTCCCAGCTACTTGGGAAGCTGAGCCAGGAGAAATGCTTGAAACTGGGAGGCAGAGGTTGCAGTGAGTCCAGATCACGCCACTGCACTCCAGCCTGGGCGACAGAGCAAAACTCCATCTCTCAAAAATAAATAAATAAATAAATAAATAAATAAAACAAATAAATAAAGTGAACCTTTCAAGTTCACATAACTGGTTGGCTAGAGGTAGAGTTTGGGCTAGAACCCTGATGAGATAAATGCATGAAGGACAGGGAGCATAGTGCCCGGCGTGTGGCTAACGCTCAGTAAATGTTCGCTATTATTATTCCACTAGACTTGTAAGCTAAAAGAGAGCAGGGACCTTGTCTGTCACTTCTATTGCTCAATAGATATTTGCTAAAGGAGTAAGCAAGTAAGTCAAGTGTTTTTTTTTTTTTTTTCTATTAAGCCAGGGAATGGGGAGGAGGAAACCAATTTTTTCCAAGTCTTAGCAGTATTGCACTTAATAAGACCAAGATGTTTCATTACATTAAGAGCGTTCAAATTCTTCTTAAGTAGAAAATTAATGCAGTTGTATTAAAAGATTGGTTATTTGTAAATTCAGAGAGCTACCAAGTTGATGTGATAAGGAAAACCAGTTGATATTTTCACTGAATGAACTGACTTTGAACTAAATTATCATATTCTTTGCTCTTAATAGTCAATGCCATTCCCTCTAAACTGCCTTTCCTTTATTGAGCGCTGTACATTTCAAGTTTTCTTCTATTGTTTAGCCAAGTTAGAAAGTAGAGAGGGAAGTGTACATATAATTTTAGATAAGATTCATGAGGTTTTTACCACTTATTTACTTTTTAAAATCTTGTATGAGATTAGAGACAATGTTATCCAGAACCTAAATACTTGGTTTCATAAATGATGACTTAAAATTTTCTCCTCATTGTAGTGTATATTTCAGGCCATATATATTATAGACCAATAAAAAGTCTCAGGCTGGGTGTGGTGGCTCACGCCTGTCATCCCAGCACTTTGGGAGGCCGAGGCAGGCAGATCATTTGAGGTCAGAAGTCCAAAACCAGCCTGGCCAACATGGTGAAACCCCATCTCTGCTAAAAATACAAAAATTAGGTCAGGCGTGGTGGCTCACGCCTATAATCCCAGCACTTTGGGAGGCCGAGGCAGGCGGATCACGAGGTCAGGAGTTCGAGACCAGCCTGACCAACATGGGATAACCCTGTCTCTACTAAAAATACAAAAATTAGCCGGGCATGGTGGCACATGCCTGTAGTCCCAGCTACCTGGGAGGCTGAGGCAGGAGAATTGCTTGAACCTGGGAGGTGGAGGTTGTGGGCGTGGTGGCATATGCCTGTAATCCCAGCTATTCAGGTGGTTGAGGTATGAGAATCGCTTGAACCCAGAAGGTGGAGGTTGCAGTGAGTCTAGATTGTGCCACTGCACTCTAGGCTGGGCAACAAAGCGAGACTCTGTCTAAAAAAAAAAAAAAAAGTCTCAGACACTAGGCAAGAATGTGTTGGCAAGATATGATATCTTAATATATTTAATAGTAAATATAAAGCCATTTGAAGATAGTAACAGTCTTTACTTAGGCAGTGCCATTTCCCTTTTTGTACAGGATGTATTTTCCTGTTATTTGAAAGATAGGGGTATCTAGAGTATACAGAGAGGGTGGGGAAGAGACCCAGGTGGACAGCTGGTCTCAGTGCCTCACAAGTAAGACATCATCTCCCTCCCCCTACCATTTACCGAGCATCAAATATGTGCTAGATAATGTGCTGCATGCTTTTCAAACATCTCATTCCACGAGGAAGGTGGCATGATCCCTATTTTACAGATGAGGAAACAAATTTGGAGAGGTTAAGTCTCCCACCAATAAGCCAGAAATCAAACTCACATAGGTCTGAGTCCAAAGCCTGTGCTCTCAACTATAATGAAATGCTGCCTTAAACTGATTTCTACTCAGTATTACTGTACGACAAACGAACACAAGAGTCACTGAAGTGGCTAGAAATGTCCCTTTTGGATGAATAAGGCAAGAAGTATCCACGAGAAAGGATTTCATGTCATGATTTCTTCTCTCTGCTCTCTGCCTCTTTTTCTTATGGTATAATAACTCTACCTTTGCTCTACAAGCATTCTGTCCTCCCTGGGACATCCATCACCAACTACATCAGGAAAATCTAGCTCAAGACCAGAACACTGTGTTTAGTGTTATTATGTAAGACTAATGCTTTGTGCTTTCATTTATACACAATGTCATCAGTCAGGCCTCCCATTTTCTTAAAAATTCTCTGAACTTAGTGTGAATAGGTTCTCAGAAGCATTCAAGGATTTCAGACTCACCATATGAATATTTCATTCCACAGAATGCCTTGGCATTTCCTAATGTCTGTTCCTTACATTCGCATTTACCTATGGAAAGTAAATTAAAAATGGTGTTAGTTATTAGAAAAGCAAAGAAAGAAAAAATAAGAGATCAGCAAGTGTATCCAGATAACACATCCCTTAAGCCTTGAGTGATGCATACAGTGTAATCTGTAAGTACCAAGGAACCACGAAAGTCATTCAAAAGAAGTAGAGTCTCTTTCTAAATTAGTTATCTTCCAATAAAGTATTCATCCAAGAGAAATACAGAAGGTAGAAACAGTGATGTATTTCAATGCTTGTAATTGATGTTGTGATAAATACAGTCTAGTATTAATATTCCATGCTAACAGGAAGGAAAAACTGAATGGAAAACAATTGTCTTTCTGCAGTTAATGTTCACCACCACAAAAGTGAAATTAAATAAACTGATTGGGCAGTCCCTTGAAGGTAATGTCGTTCAATTTTTTTGTTGTTATCCATTTAAAAAGTATTTATTGAGCACTTTTGGTATGCAAGGCATGGTGCTTCGCACTTCAGCACCATAAAGATAAGCAAGATACAATTCTTGCCTTAAGGCTTGCAATTCAGTAAGGTGAAGAAACCAAGTGTACAAAAAGTGATAAAGTGATAAGTGGTCTGGGAGAGGTACAATATACTTGGGTGGAAGAGTCACATGTGTCTGGGAAGATGGGAAAAAACTTCTTGGATCAAGAAGGATTTAAAAGGGACTTTGAAGAATAAGTAGAATATTTTCTCCCAATAGTTTAAATTATATATTGCCACTATTACATGTGAGAGATTTGCCAGGCCCTATGGAAGACTTTCAAAATGCCTTTGTGCATAGTTTATTTTATGTATGTATGTATGTATGTATGTATGTATGTATGTATATATTTATTTATTTATTTATCTATCGAGATGGAGTCTCATTCTGTCACTCAAGCTGGAGTGCAGTGGCGTGATCTCAGCTCATTGCAACCTCTGTCTCCCGGGTTCAAGCAATTCTCCTGTCTCAGCTTCCTGAGTAGCTGGGACTACAGGTGCACACCACCACGCCTGGCTAATTTTTATATTTTTAGTAGAGACGGAGTTTCACCATATTGGTCAAGCTGGTCTTGAACTCCTGACCTCAGATGATCCACTAGCCTCGGCCTCCCAAAGTGCTGGGATTACAGGTGTGAGCCACTGCGCCCAGCCTGTACATAGTTTATATGTAGCAGGGGACCCCAAACCCCTGGCCGTGGACTGGTACTGGTTTGTGGCCTGTTAGGAACCGGGTCACACAGCAGGAGGTGAGCAGCTTGAGAGAGAGCTGATTTTCATCTGAATTTACAGCCACTTCCCATCACTCAAATTACCGCCTGAGCTCCGCCTCCTGTTAGATGAGCAGCGGCATTAGATGCTCATAAAAGTGCCCACCCTACTGTGAACTGTGCATGTGAGGGCTCTAGGTTGTGCTCTCCTTATGAGAATCTAATGCCTGATGGTCTGAGGTGGAACAGCTTCATCCTGAAACCATCCCCTGCCCCTGCCATCCATGGAAAAATTGTCTTCCATGAAACCGCTCCCTGGTGCCCAAAAGGTTGGGGACCACAGATATATAGCATTCTCATACTCATTTATATATTCGTTTCCTCTCTAGACTGTGTCCCTTCAAGACAATGGCTATATCTTATCAACCTTACATTTCTGGAGCCCAGCATGGATAGGATTTGCACTCACTGATTTAACAATTAGATATACTTTTTCCCCTTTCCTGCCCCCTCCTGCCCTCATGCACTGCATTTCATAGGCATTGAGTGGTCATAACAGCAGCTAGTGCTTACTGAGGAGCACTTACTGTATACCAGGCCGTTTTAAGCATTTTACATTAATTTACTCATTTAATATTCTCATAGGTAGAAATCTGGGAAGATTATAGAGATAAAAGAGTGAGCAGCCAGGTGTGGTGACTCATGCTTGTAATCCCAGCACTTTGGGAGGTCGATATGGGTGGACTGCTTGAGCCCAGGAGTCTAAGACCAGGCTAGGTAACGTAGTAAGACATTGTCTCTACAAAAAAGATTAAAAATTGTCGAGCACGCAGGCGCAATGGTCGGGTTGCGGGGGGCGGGCGGGGGGAGGGAGGGGAGGCGGGGGCAGGGGGCGGGCTGTGATTCTAGAATCTGAACCCCAGCTGGCACTGCCTCCCAAGCCCGCCGCCATGGCCGCCTACAAACTGGTGCTGATCCAGCATGGAGAGTGCATGGAACCTGGAGATCCACTTCAGCAGCTGGTACGACTCCGACCTGAGCCCGGCAGGCCACCAGGAGGTGAAGCGCAGGCGGGCAGGCGCTGCTAGATGTTGGCTATGAGTTTGACATCTGCTTCACCTCAGTGCAGAAGAGAGCGACCCGGACCCTCTGGACAGTGCTAGATGCCATTGATCAGATGTGGCCCACCTGTAATGAGGACTTGGCGCCTCAATGAGCGGCACTATGGGGGTCTGACCGATCTCGGTAAAGCAGAAACTGCTGCAAAGCATGGTGAGGCCCAGGTGAAGATCTGGAGGTGCTCCTATGATGTCCCACCACCCTGCTGGAGCCTGACCATCCTTTCTACAGCAACATCAGTAAGGATCGTAGGTATGCAGACCTCACAGATGATCAGCTATCCTCCTGTGAGAGTCTGAAGGACACTATTGCCAGCGCTCTGCCCTTTTGGAATAAAGAAATAGTTCCCCAGATCAAGGAAGGGAAATGGGTACTGATTGCAGCCCATGGCAACAGCCTCCGGGGCATTGTCAAGCATCTGGAAGGTCTCTCTGAAGAGGCTATCATGGAGCTGAACCTGCTGACTGGTATTCCCATTGTCTGTAAATTGGACAAGAGCTCGAAGCCCATCAGGTGCATGGAGTTCCTGGGGGATGAAGGGACCCTGTGTAAAGCCATGGAAGCTGTGGCTGCCCAGGGCAAGGCCAAGAAGTGAAGGCCGGCGGGCGGACTACTGTCCCCAGGAGCACCCTCCTTGCCTGGTGTGTCCCTCTGCTCATCCCTCCTGCACACGCCACACTGACCACATCTGTAGGCATCTTGAGCTGTAGCTGCAGATGAGGACCAGTGGCTCCCATTTTCGTTTTAGCCATTTTTGTCTCCTGCACCCACTCCCTTCATTCATTCTAGTCAGAATAGCACTTCTAGGGCATGGGTTCTCAGTCCAAGCTGTGGAAAAGCTCCCCTTGTCCAAGAGAGTTTAAAGGTAGTGACTTGGGTTTTTGCGACCGCTTTGTTTACTAAGAACTTGTGGGGGAGGAACCATGCTAAGCCATGACCAATGAGGAGAAGCAAGAGAGCCTGTCTGTCCCCAAGAGCCAGTCCTCTGCTCTTCTGTAGTCAGGCCACTGCCTGGGAGCTCTAGTCATTCCAGTGGAAGATGAATGTAACTCGCATGGTGATGTGACAGCTGTTTCCTCCCTGACCCCAGAGGAGATGGCTCTAGAAGGTTGGGATCAATCCTGAATTTAGCTTAGGTGTTACATTTACTTTTATAAAAAAAAAAAAGTATAGTATATATAAATAATACAAAACCATAATCCTTCTCGGATCTCTTGTGGCAGTTGAAATAGTCCCACATGTGGTCATCAGAAAGTAAGCCATTCCTCATACTAATATGGGATAAGCTCCTTGACCTCAGAGGAGTAGGAGTGCTTCCTGCTGTGTGTTTTAGAATCCCTCTGCTGCCTTGTTTCATGGCAGTAAAATGCCTCTTGGTCCTGTCCAAGTGTGTCTTTCACTGACTGATTTCTGAATCATGTTCTAGTTGCTCGGCCACATGGGTCCAGTGCTCATTTGAGCATCACTGTACTAAATCCTTTCTCCAGGAATGAGTATAATAAAGGAGTTATGTGCAATTAAAAAAATTGGCCTGGTGTGGTAGTATGTGCCTGTAGTCCCAGCTACCCGTGGAGGGGAGCATTGGTGGCACTGAGGTGGGAGGATTGCTTGAGCCCAGGAGGTCAAGGCTGCAGTAAGCCATGATGGCACCACTGCACTCCAGCCTGGACAACAAAGTGAGACTCTGCCAAAAAAAAAAGAAAAGAAATTGTAGTAACCTAAGTGAATAGCCTATGGCCTTTGATAATTCCACAAAGCAGAAGAGTACAGTAACTACTGTGCTATAAAACCTAATGGAACTCCAAATGGCATATACTGTTCCTCAACACAATGCTTTTCTCTTTAACCCTTCAGCCTAGAAGAGCAGACATAGGTCTATTGTTTGATGACCTTTCTTTGGCTGCTTTCCAATACTTCTTTTTCATATGCTTAGAGCTCAAACAATATTTGTTGATCAGGCTTCAGCCCAGATGTGTTTTCTTAAAAGAAATCTGGAAGGGAAGAAAAGCTTGTTTAGTTATGCTAGGTTATTAGGACATTAAAAAAAAAAAGAGCATTGTTTACAGTTCTGTGGTACTAGTTAAGGCCAGTTTTGTTATTTAGGAAGTGAAATTTTACATCTGGTATAAGAAGTGGTAGAAATTAAGGGTGTTTTGTTGGTAAAGTATATTATACTCCTAGTTGAAAGCTGTTTTTATGGAAACTTATGGGAGGTATATAGGTAGGTAGATTGTTTTCAGTGCTTAGAACACTTGTTGAAAAAGGTGCTCAGAAGCACCATTCTATACCCAATGCAGGGAACTCAATAAAGTCTTCCTCAATCTGGCGTTCATCCAGATGAATTTCAGAGACTCTCTGGGGACATCACAGACCTAACAGCTGCTGTGGACATGAGAGTCTGCAGTCATTCTGGTGCCAGCACTTTATGTGCTTGGCTGGAATGCTGCCAACTCTCTAATAACATGCATGATGGGCTTAGTGAATGTCCTATAGTCCTAAAAACTGGATTATTACAGATTTGGTTTAGCAAACTTGGAGAATTATAAAAAGTCATTGTGTGCTTAGAAAAATAGAAGAACACCTTTAAAAGTGGCTATTAAAGTTAAAATCATAAAATTCCAGACTACATAGCATTAAGGCAAAAAAAATTCATAGTAAAGACTTGTTTTCTTTTTCAAATGCTGAAAAGATAAATATGATAACTTCATGTTGCCTTCTCTTTCGCACCTTCTTTCCTGTTGTGATTGAACATGAAGCCATTAGGAAAATTATCACGAGATTATGTTAAGTGAAAAAACCATGATACAGATGGGCAAATAACCTTGTTTCTCAGATTTAGGTTCTTGATTCTTGAAGGGTCCATATGTTCTCTATGAGAAGGTTTTAAAACTGTGATTTCTTTCTGATCTAAAATGTGGATTGATGGGTGGATAGAATTTAGGTGGCGGGTATGTGAATGCACAACTTCTAAAACTTTTCTGGATGTCTGAAATTTTTCATAATAAAATGTTGGGAAAATTATCACAGACATTCTCAATCAACACAACTTTGTGAATTCATACTTCAGCACATCCTCAGCTCCAAGCACATAGCAATATTAGATAAAGGACGGAAAAAAAGACATAGCCTGCATCAAAAACTAGATATTTATCTCTGTGGACTAGAAATGAATGTTTTCAATTTGTTGATACTTCTTGAATTTAAAAAAAATGTAAAGAAAGAAAAGAAATGAATGAATGTGCATTCGGGGGATAGGGCTTTGGGGTCCGCTTTCAGAATCAGGCAGCAGTGGTCAGGAGTTCAGATACAAAGGAGTTAATAGGACAAAAAAGAGATCACAGTCAGACTCACTTTTTAAAGACAGATTGGGTAAGGCTCTCCTTGCTAATGAAAGGAGGCTGGGAAAAAACAATAAACCAACCACGTACACAAAACTCCAAACTATTATTCATGGCCACTTGATGACATTCTTAAAAAGGGCTCTGCATTTCATCCAGCATCTAGTCCTGCAAATTATGTAGCTAGTCCTTAAGTGACCTAGAAATGAATCCAAGTTGCCCTCCTGGTTTTCAAAGAATAGATATAATACAATGAAATTAGATTAGAGATAATCAGTAAACAAATATTCTTTTTTGTTTTTTTGTTTTTGAGATGGAGTCTCCCTCTGTCACCCAGGCTGGAGTGCAGTAGCCTGATCTCACTTTACTGCAACCTCTGCCTTCCAGGTTCAAGTGATTCTCCTGCCTTAGCCTCCCAAGTAGCTGGGATCACAGGTACGCGCCACCACACCCAGCTAATTTTTTTGTATTTTTAAGTAGAGACGGGGTTTTGTCATGTTGGCCAGGCTGGTCTCCAACTCCTGACCTCAGGTGATCCACCCACTTCGGCCTCCCAAAGTGCTGGGATTGCAGGTGTGAGCCACTGTGCCCAGCCCCGGGTAAAAAAAAAAAATATTCTAAAAACCCTGATGTTTGAACAATTAAATATCCTAGACAACTCAATGGATTAAAGCGAAATTCTTAATGGAAATTAGAAAAACATTAGAACTTGAATGATAATGAAGATACTACATATAAAGGCCAATAGGATCCAGCTAAAAGATCTTATAAGGAAATGTATAACCTTAAGAGTACTTGCTAAAAATAAGAAAGACTAAAAGTAAGTGAGTTAATAATCACTGGACTCACAAAGGCAGAAAAGGACTAAAAAAGCAAACTTAGAGAAAACATAAAAAAAAAATAAAGATAAGAGCAGAATTAGTGAAATAAAGAAAAATTAAATAGGTTGGATCAAGTTAACCAAAAGTTAATCTCTGAGAGAAGCAAATTAAGATCAGTATAAGACAATAAGAAAAAAGGCACAGATAAGCTTAGGGACAAAAAGAAGATTAAGGACAGATTGAGTAAAGGTTAAATAAATTATGAGTGAATACCATGTATAACTCTATGCCAATACAATTTTTTAAAATTAAAATAATTGGTGGCTGGGCAAGGTGGCTCACGCCTGTAATCCCAGCACTTCGGGAGGCTGAGGTGGGTGGATCTTAAGGTCAGGAGATCTAGACCATCTTGGCTGACACTGTGAAACCCCATCTCTACTAAAAATACAAAAAATTAGCTGGGCATGGTGGCATGCGCCTGTAGTCCCAGCTACTTGGGAGGCTGAGAATTGCTTGAACCCGGGAGGCAGAGGTTGCAGTGAGCCGAGATTGCACCACTGCACTCCAGCCTGGGTGACAGAGTGAGACTCCAACTCAAAAAAAAAAAGAATCGGTAATTTTCTAGAAAACTTTGATTACCAACACCAAATCACAAATAAAACAAATTAATAACCATGACAGATATTGAATCAGTAATACTTTCGTCTACTCATAGACACTGTGTCTCAATGGTTTTATAGATAAATTCTAACAAAAATTCAAGTAACAGATGATTCTATTTTTATATAAATAATTGCAGAGAATAGAAAAAAAACGTAGTGGGTAAGGGGACCTCCTAACTTTCTCAAATATACAATGCAATACATTAAATTATAGGCCAATATCAGTTATAAACATCAATATGAAAATCCTAAGCAAGCAAATAAATAAATGAAAGATAAAAACCCTAGCAGATCAAATTCAGCAACGTATGAATAAAAATACATCACAGCAAATAAAACTTATCCTAAGACTAAAAGAATAGCTTGATAATAATTGCCATTCTGACAAACAACAGATGCTGGCAAGGCTGTAGAGAAATAGGAATGCATTTACACTGTTGGCAGGAGTGTAAACTAGTTCAACCATTGTGGAAGACAGTGTGGTGATTCCTCAAGGGTCTAGAACCAGAAATATCATTTGGCCCAGCAATCCCATTACTGGGTATACACCCAAAGGATTCTAAATCATTCTACTATAAAGACACCTGCACACGTATGTTTATTGCAGCACTATTTACAATAGCAAAGACTTGGAGCCAACCCAAATGACCATCAATGATAGACTGGATAAAGAAAATGTGACACATATACACCATGGAATACTACGCAGCCATAAAAAAGGATGAGTTCATGTCCTTTGCAGGGACGTGGATGAAGCTGGAAGCCATCATTCTCAGCAAACTAACACAGGAACAGAAAACCAAACACCATATATTCTCACTTATAAGTGGGAGTTGAACAATGAGAACACATGGACACAGGTAGGGGAACAACACACACTGGGGCCTATTAGGGGTGTGGGGGGCGAGGGGAGGGAGAGCATTAGGACAAATACCTAATGCGTGCAGGGCTTAAAACCTAGATGAGGGGTTGATAGGTGCAGCAAACCACTATGGCACATGTATACCTATGTAACAAACCTGCACACTCTGCACATGTATCCTAGAACTTAAAGTAAAAAAAAAAAAAAAAAAAGAATAGTTTGATACCGGAAAAAAATTATTTTCAAATACCACATTGATAGATTACAGGAGGAAAACCATCTGATTTTCTCAAAAGATGCAGAGAAGGCATTCAGCTAAAAGCAAAACTCATTAACGATAAAATTAGAAATAGAAGAGAATGACATTTACTTGATAAAGGCTACCTATCAAAAATCGATATCAAGTTTTATAGTGGTGAAAATTTCAAACTATTTCCATCAAATTTGGGAAAACATTGTACTGCAGTAAAAAAAAATGATGCATGAGAACTACACAAGTGAGACAAAACTGTCCTTATTTGTCAATAATATGATGGCCTACATTAGAAAATCCAAGATAATCCATACATACTGGAATCAGTAAACAAGTTCAGCAAAGTCGCTGGATACAAGCTCAAAATACAAAAAAAAAGTGACACATATACATTTATATCCTTTATATCAATAATCATTTAAAAATACAAAAAAAGTGACACATATACACCATGGAATACTATGCAGCCATAAAAAATGATTTTTAAGAATCATTTTAAAAATTCAGGTAAAGAACACTTTCCCAATAGCAATAAAATCTAAAGGTATCTAGGAGTAAATTTAATGAAAGACAGGTAAAACCATTTTGGAGAAAAGTGACAAATGCTATTGAAAGGCCTTAAAGAGCACCTTAATATATAGAAAGGTATCTTCATGTTTGGGACTACTCAATATTACAAAGCTATCACTTTTTTCAAAATGATCCATAAAGTCAATGCAATTGCAATAAAAATCCCAACAGAGCCTTTTGTGGGATTTAATAAACTTAATCTAAAATTCACACGAAAGGCAAAGAACCGATAGCTAAGATAATTTTAAGAAAGAACAATGAAATGAAGGGACTTGCCATCTCAGATATCAGGACTCATTATAAAACTGTAATAATATATTGTGGTATTGGCTCATGAAACATGATAGACAAGACACAGATCCATTCATGTATAGAAACTTGATATATGATAAGGTAGCATTACAGATAATGGCCTCAGCTGCTCATTCCCATGACCATATCTTAGACATCGCCATTATCGATAACTGCTACTCTTCCAGTCTCAATTTCAAGCATCTCATTCTTTGACTTCTACATCCCATCCTAGCTTGTTTCCAACTCCAACAATCCTTTGAAACCCTGTAATCCTTGACCCTACCTCATTTCACCCTCACATCCCTATTTACCCAGTTTAAATTCTATGAACAATTATTGCCCTCTCTTGCTTCATTCTTGCTTGGAAAAACCTCAACCCAGCTTAAAGTCATCTCTTTGTGTATGCCTACATCCACAGTGCTGAATGTGACTAGGGAAAACACACAACCATGCTGATGGGTGTTACTCTAAATGCCACACCTTTGCTTGAAATGCTCCAATGGCTTCCATCTTACTCCAGGTGAAAGCCAAGGTCCTCATAGTGGCCTCTGCAGCCTCGTTATATTTCCTCTTCCACTTGTCTTCCCAGCTTACTCTGTTCCAGCCACACTGGCCTTCTTGCTGTTTCCTGAATTCCTCCTCAGGGCTTTAAAGACTTGCTGTATCTTCTGCCTAAACTCTCTTTTCTCTGCCACCTGTATAGCTAGCCTTCTTACCTCCTTCAGAATTTTTTTCCCCTCAAATGTCACCTTTCAAAGGGCTTACCCTGATCACCTTATTTAAAAGTATGTCCCTCTAAAACATATCTTATTCCCTGTCCCTGCATTATTTTTCTATTACACTAAACATTCATCATACTAAATACTTTATTTGTTTATTAGCTGTTTTCCTTCACTAGAATGTAGGAGACACAGAAGCAGAGATTTAATGTTTTGTTCACTTTATTTACAGCGCTGCCACATGACAGAGGTACTTAATAAATATCTGTTGGATGAATGAATAAATTTATAAAGAACTACTACAAATTCGTAAGAAAATTATGGATAGGAAATTCACAGAAAAGGAAACCTGAATGGCCAAGAATAAAGACAGGTACTTCTATAACCATTTAAAGTGTAAGCATTTAAAACTGTGAAAACCATTCTTAGGGCAGGTAGCCCGCAAGCTATAGAAAAACAGGTGGCCGACTTGGCCTGAGGGCTGTGGTTTGCCAGCCCCTGGCCTGGTGAAACACCTTCTCAAGTGCACAAAGTCACATACAAGAGAACATTTACGGCAGTGTTATTTATAATGGTGGAAAATTAGAAATTGGAGATATCCTAAATGGCAAACAAACGAGAGAATAAAAATGGTATATTCACATAACCGCTTTTATATGAATTTTTTTGAGATGGATAAACCTCAAAAAACTACATAATCAGGTAAAAAATGTTTTGCTTATTTACATTTCAGAGATGGGCTCTTTCTATGTTGTCCCAGAGTTCAGTGGCTATTTACAGGTGCTATTATGGTGCACTACAGTCTCAGACCTCTGGGCTCAAGTGATCCTCCTGCTTAAGCCTCCTGAGTAGCTGGTACTACAGGTGCACGCCACCAAGCCTGGCTACCAAAAACATTTTAAAAGAGTATATAACGGCCGGGCGCGGTGGCTCACGCCTGTAATCCCAGCACTATGGGAGGCCGAGGTGGGTGGATCATGAGGTCAGGCATTCGAGACCAGCCTGGCCAACATAGTGAAACCCCATCTCTACTAAAAATACAAAAAATTAGCCAGGTGTGGTGGTGGGTGCCTGTAATCACAGCTATTTGGGAGGCTGAGGCAGGAGAATTGCTTGAACCTGGAAGGCGGAGGTTGCAGTGAGCCAAGATTGTGCCACTGCACTCCAGCCTGGGCAACAGAGTGAGACTTTGTCTCAAAAAAAAAAAAAAAAAAAAAGAGTAGATATCATGTGCATGGAATTCTGAAATACTCAATATATATATAGGTAATAAAAACATGGAAGTGGATGATCAACACCAAGTTCACCATTGTGGTTATTCTGTGGACAAAGGGAGGCAACTGGGCTTGGGGCTGGTACATCGGGGACTTCAAAAGCATCTGTAACATTTTATAACCTAAATGAGAATATGAAACAATTACGGCAAAGTGTGAGATTTGCTAACCCTTTGAAGGTGTGTATGGGTGCTCATTGCATAACATTTTTACTACTTGTAATGTTTCATAATAAAATATATTTAACTTGATGTGAGTTTAATTTGGAGCATTTGGTGAGCACTTTATAGCCAAGTGTTGACGCAATATTTCATGCCCACATTTGAGTTTGTGTTAAGGAGCAAGTTAGTGCTAAGTATAATCACTTGCTTTTCTACAAGAAGAGAATAGAGGCAAGATGAACACAGAAGCTGAGGATTCATACCACTATCATGGCATGCCCTTCGAAAGAAGAAACAGAACAATGTCATAGGGAAATTGAGTCAGAGGAAAGAGGAGCCCATATTGAGTAAACTCAAAGAGCTATATTTATGTAGTGAGCAGTGTTTTGGCTTTGGTACAAATCATTTTTCATATTCAGTTAATGTCATTAATTTGATTTTTTTGGCTTCATTATTTGGCTTATATTTAGTTTGTAGAATTACTTTTGCTTTCTAGTTGTAAAAAAGCTATAAACATAAGGAGTTCACATCTAGCTTTTGCTTTGTACCTATTAAGTTAAGCTAGGTTTATAAGAATATTTTTCCTTTCAATGGATCTGTAAATTTCCAAACCTAATATATTCAGTAGGCTTTTTTTTTTTTTTTTTTTTTTTGAGACAAGGTCTTGCTCTGTTACCCAGGCTGGAATGCAGTGGCACGATCACAGCTCACTGTAGCCTTGACCGCTCAAGTGATCCTCCCACCTTAGCCTCTCAAGTAGCTGGGACTACAGGCGTGCACCACCACACTGGGCTAACTTTTTATTTTTGTAGAGATAACTCTTGCTATGTTTCCCAGGCTGGTCTTGAACTCTTAGCCTTAAGCAATCCTTCTGCCTTGGTCTCCCAAAATGCTGGGATTATACTCACCCCACTCAGTAGGCTCTTAACTGTGTTTTAGAGTGAGAAAAACATACCAAAGTATTAACAGTGGAATAATGAGATTTTGGGTGACCTCTTTTTTTTTTTTTTTTACTATGATGTTTTGCATTTTCCAAATTTTCTATACCAACTACATATATTACTCTAATCATCAGAAAACAAACAAAAATGTGTTAAAATACCCCTTAGCTATATTTTACAGTTTCATACTTACAGGAGTCACTACTTTATTATACCATGAAACCCCAGAACTAAAGAGTTCCCCTCATAGGATCCAAAAGCTGGACCCTGGTTTGTCACGTATCACTGTTACATAAGACCAGACCTGAAAATATGATGCCTGGTTACATCCATCTCACCTGAGTGTAGAAGTGCAGAAAACCCCTGCGCATCCTCCCACTCCCAGGCTGGTTCGCTCTTATTGTGCACGGGACGGAAGTCAGGAACTTCATGATACCAGTCTATGTCTGTGTGGCTAACAAAATAGAACATGATAAAGAACGTATTCAGGAATTTTTTAGAACTTGTATAGAAATGAATCTATAGAGATTTAAACCTTATCTTCTGCCTTCCCATTCTTCCTTTTTCCAGAAATAGTGTTTTAAGGAACTATTGTGAAGACAATAATTATTTTGCAAAATGAATTAGATGATCTCTAGAATCTTGCAAGAACAAATTACTTGAGTTTGTAATTAGACAAAAATTATTGGTTTTGTTTTGTTTTGTTTTAAAACGGAGTTTTACTCTTGTTGCCCAGGCTGGAGTGCAATGGTGCAATCTTGGCTCATTGCAAACTCTGCCTTCCGGGTTCAAGCGATTCTGCTGCCTCAGCCTCCTGAGTAGCCGGGATTACTGGTGCCTACCACTATGCCCAGCTAATTTTTTTGTATTTTTAGTAGAGATGGGGTTTCATCATGTTGGCCAGGCTGGCCTCGAACTCCTGACCTCAGGTGATCCACCCGCCTCAGCCTCCCAAAGTGTTGGAATTACAGGCGTGAGCCACCACGCCCAGCCTGACAAAAATTCTTTAAAAGAGATGTGCAAATACATCTTTGCTCCATTAACAGAATGCAAGATTTTCCAAATCACTATAGGTTTTCAAAAGAGCCTGAAATACATGCAGCTGAGAGCAAGAGCCTTGCACATTCACCTGCTGATGCAGTCTCCGGTGATAGGGTCACAGCTCCCCGCACAGTCACATGGTCGACAGCCATAGTCTCCGAAGCCCCAGTATCCCACCATGCACCTGTCACAACGTCGCCCTGCCACCCCAGGCTTGCAAGGGCAGTCACCATTGCTGGGGTCGCAGAAGGTCACTGAGTTGGCAGGAAGGACAGCTGATCCTACTGGATGGCAGGAACACGCTACAACAGAGAGGACACGCAAGGATCAAAGACTGACTGTAGATCACCCGTGTGAACATTAGGCTTGACCATCCCCAAGTGGCTTCCCTTCACCACACAGCATATTTCTGAGACTCCTTCTTTAGCCAGTGAGTGTATGCTCAGAGAATGAAAGCTAATTAAATGACAGATAAGCGAGATATAATCAGAAAAGCATGTCTGCTGCAAAAATAAACACATAATTTATCCTAATATGGAAGGCATGAAATATGAATGCCCTTTGGTTGGGGTGATGAGGACGAACCAGCAAAGAAGACAGGGTGGAAGGATTCAGTGAGAAAGGAAAAGACGTCATGAGAGTATAGTGTTCTGGAAGCCAAAGAAGGTTTCAAGGAGTAGGGCAGCATCAGCTGTGGCAGATGTTGAAAGGTCAAAGAAGATGGGGCATGTGATGGAGTATTGCATTTGAACAGCACAAAAGCTGATGGTGTTCTTCACAGGAAGAGTTTCAGTGTAATACATAGTGAGAGGGAAACCCAGTGGAAGAGGATTCAGGGGAGTATGGGAGTAGAGGAATTTGAGCATGTGAACAGATAGCTCTTTTGAGGAGCTTTGCTTTTTTTTTTGAGAGAGGGTCTCACTCTATCACCAAGACCAGAGTGCAGTGGTACCACCATGGCTCACTGCAGCCTCAACTTCTTGAGCTCAAGCGATCCTCCTGCCTTAGTCTCCCGAGTAGGTGGGACTACAAGCCGGCACCATCATACCTGGCTACTTAAAAAAAATTTTTTTTTTTTTGTAGAGGCAAGGTCTTGCTATGTTGCCCAGGCTGGTCTCAAACTCCTGGCCTCAAGCAATCCTCTCACCTTGGCCTCCTAAGTGCTGGGGCTACAGGCGTGAGACACTGCGCCTGGCCGTAAGTCTTTAATACTAGTCAAAAGTCCTTCTCCTCAGCCCTCTCCCTACTCCTGGAATTACTTATTGCTCACAGTCTGACAACCTGCAGCAGTTTCTTTGTTCTTGGGATGGCAAAAGTAGTTGAACAAAGTGTATATCTATGTGTTTGTATACATACATATATACACTTTTCATATATATGTATGTGTGAAATGTGCTTTCTGGGCTTATCACAAATTCGTGAGCCCTAACTTCAGTTGGATCTCCAAACCAATGCTCACCAACTCTATTTTTGCTTTTTTGAGACAGGGTCTTTTCTTGTTCCAGGCTGGAATGCAGTGGTGCTATCTCCACTCACTGTAGCCTCAACTTCCTGGGCTCAAGCAATCCTCCTGCTTCAGCTTCCCAGGTAGCTGGGACTACAGGCACACGCCACTACGCCCAGCTAATTTTTGTATTTTTTATAGAGATGGGGTTTCACCATGTCCAGGCTGGTCCAAACACCTGGACTCAAGCGATCTGCCCACCTCGACCTCCCAAAGTGCTGGGATTGATTACAGGCGTGAGCCACTGTGCCTAGCCCATCAACTCTATTTATTCAATTTTTCCTGGATTAAAAAATAATAATATTTCTCACAGTGGCTGCCTCAGAAATTCCCTAGGCTTCTCAATCAACCTACCCACTTAGTCTGATTCTAATTCACTGGGAGGGTCCTCTGGATAATCTTTTCTCCATTTCAAAATCTTTTTCATCTTCCCACTGCTTTCTCTGAGAATCAAGTGAGAAACGCTGGGAGAAACCTTGGTTGACGGCTCTGCCTCCCAGAGCCTCTGTGACCTCAGGTGAGAAATATAACTTTCCTGAATCCTGGTTTCCTTATTGTGGTATCTACATCTCATGGAGAGTTCATGCAGTTGACATGATTTTAAATGAAACTACTTCAGCAAGGTGCATAGCACAGTGTCACACACTGAAGAAGCCAGTTCTTCATGCTGCACCTTCTCAACTAATATTCTCAATCCTGTTCTCTGCTTTTTCCCCTTGGAAACTTCTTTTATTGATTATTTTTCCTTTAAAATATCAGTTTGGCTTCAAATCTCCACTACTGACTAACTGTGTGACTTTGAGCAAGATACCTAGGCTCTCATCTCAGTTCCCTTATCTGTAAAGACAATAAAAATAGGAACTATCCTTATGCAGTGGTAAGGATAAAAAGAGATTATGTGTGCAAAGCAGTTAGTGTGATGTCTGGTACATGATTAATAGTAAATTAAATTAACTAATTAATCCAATAGATAATTCTTTTTTTTTTTCTTTAGAGAAGGTTTCACTCTGTCACCCAGGCTGAAGTGCAATGGCACATCACTGCTCACTGCAGCCTCGACCTCCCAGGCTCAAGAGATCCTCCCACCTCAGCCTCCCAAGTAGCTGGGACTATGGGCACATGCCAGCACACCTGGCTAATTTGTAATTTGTTATTTTTTTATAGCGACAGGGTATCACTATGTTGCTCAGGCAGTCTTGAACTCCTGGGCTCAAGCAATGCTCTTGCCTTGGCCTCCCAAGTGCTGGGATTACAGGTGCCAGCCACTGTGCCCATCAGATAATTCTTATAGAGATATAGGACCTATGTTTATCTGAGAAATGGTGCCAGCCCTCAGGGAACTTATAGTCTTGTGGGGGAAACAGAGAAGTAAATAAAAGATTTCCATACATGTGATGTGCTGTAACAGAGGTATACATAAAGCACTGTGGGAACACAGAGGAAAGGTGAAGGCAATACAAGCTGAGGGAATCAGGTGGGATCAACAAAGGAGGGATCATTTAGCGATCTGAGCCAGTTCATAAAAGATGAATAGGAGTTTGCAAGTTGAAAAGGAGGGCAAGGGGCTGGGCGTGGTGGCTCACACCTGTAATCCCTGCACGTTGGGCGGCTGAGGCGGGTGGATCACTTGAGGTCAGGAGATCGAGGCCAGCCTGGCTAACATGGTGAAACCTCATCTCTACTAAAATACAAACATTAGCCGGGCGTGATGGTGCACGCCTGTAGTCCCAGCTACTCGGGAGACTGAGGCAGGAGAATCGCTTGAACCTGGGAGGCCCAGGTTGCAATGAGCTGAGATTGTACCACTGACCTCCAGCCTGGGTGACAGAGCAAGACTCTGTCTCAAAAAAAAAAAAGAAAGAAAAAAGAAAAGGAGGGCAAGGAAGGCAATTGCTGATTCCAGCTCAGTCTTTAGACACTTTCCCCAGTGCATCTTTTTAAAATAAATTTTTCATAAATAAATTGTGGTAAGAAACACACACTATACAGTTGACCGTCTTAGCTATTTTTGGGTGTACCGTTCATCCCTTCTGCATTTTACGTTTCTGCATTGTGTGGGAGCTCTTACTGCTTCCTGGAAATGCTACTCTCTCTGATGCCTCAGTGCTCCTGGCCCTTGGCCATGCCTGTGTGGCCTTTCCCCACCTTGTCCATCTAGATTCTGACAGGATTTCTTGTCCCACTCCCTCCAGACAGTTAGCCACTCTCTCCTCTAAGCTGCCTCTTTGCATATATTTCTATTTTGTCCCTATCACAGTGCATCATTATTATTTTTTCCATTGGAAAAGGATTTTATTTCACCATAAAAATGCAAACTGGAATAAACATCATCTTTCCTAATGCAAATGTTACAGCTATTTTTAAGTATTTCTGAGTTTCACTTTGAAAAGCAAATGACTATAAAATTAACAAGTTTGCAGCCTTAAATCTGTTTGAGACATTCCATGTAAAAATAATTTGGTGAAAAAAAATTTTTTTTTTTGTTTTTTTGTTTTTTTGTTTTTTGTGATGGAGTCTTGCTTTACTGTCCAGGGTGTAGTGCAGTGGTGTGATCTCGGCTCACTGCAACCTCTGTCTCCCGGGTTCAATCTATTCTCCTGCCTCAGCCTCCCAAGTAGCTGGGATTATAGGTGCCTACCACCATACCGGCTATTTTTTTGTATTTTTAATAGAGATGGAGTTTCACCATGTTGGCCAGGCTGGTCTCGAACTCCTGACGTCAAGTGATCTGCCTGAGTCAGCCTCCCAAAGTGCTGGAATTACAGATGTGAGCCACCACGCCCAGCCACTAAACAGTTTCTTAAAATAATTATTTGTTGATATGCCTATCTCTCTTACTAGTAGAGTCTGAATTCATTGACAGAAGGATCTTTATCTTCTTATTTTTGTCTTTGGGGCCCCAGAACAGTGTCTGGTACATCATAGATGCCCTAATCAGCATCTGTGGAATTGACCTGGAGGATATTCCAGGCTGTGGGAATCCTATGTGAAAGAGCCCATGTGGGGAATGTGAGAAGTTTAGTGTGCCTGAGTGTACACTGAGTAGAAAGCAGTTGAAGGAGATGAGGCAGAAGAAAAGCTGTAGAGTCAGGTCGGATGGTAATAGGATTCCAGGTTGTGGAATTGCCTAGCTTTAGAGGTTGAATTTTGTCCTATGGGCATAATGAATCATAAGAAGTTATAAAGCAGAATTATGGCACGGTTACAATTGAATTTTGACAGACACTTTGGAGGCATTGTATAGACTAGAGTGGGGAGAGGCTGGTGGCAGGATAATCAAAGAAAAGAGAGACAGCAAGGAAATGACTAAGACAGTAGGTGTGGGAATGGGAGGTAAGTTTGGATATGAAAAACTTATTTTTTAAAGTTAGAACAGATAGGGTTTGGAGACCATCTGGAAGAGGAAGAAAGAGTTGTTGAGGGACAAATAGAAGTCGGGGAAGATTTTCAGGTGTCTAGTTCATGAAACTGAATAATTAGTGACATTATTCACAAAGATCTAGAAGAGAGGACTAGAGAAAGTTGGGGCAGATAGATCCATGCTGAGGGTGGAGATAGGGAAGGAAGGGAAAGAGAATGAGTTTAGGATCAAACACATTAAGCTTGAGATGCTTAAAGGCTATCTTAAATATATCCTGGAAACATTCTGACACTTAGGAGAAAAGTTGGGGTCATAAATACAGTTTTGAGAGTTGTCACCCAGTGGCAGTTGAAATTAGGAGGGCTAGATGAAACTTCCCAGGGACGGTGTGTAGAGTGAGAAGATGATCAAGGATAGAACACGGTGGAAACATCCATAGGTACTGGCAGTTGGAGGAGCAATAACTTTCAAAAAGATTATTAAGGAGAAGGTAGAGAAGGAGGAGAAAAAAAAAAAAGCCAAAGGATGAGAAAGTTTCAAGCAGTTAACAGTGTCAAACAGTGCAGAATGCTCAAGTCACATACGATGGACAATAGGCCAGCAACACCATCAATCAGGAGGTCATTGGTGACTTTTGTGAGAACAGAAGCTGGAGAAATACAGGCCCTGATGGTGTACTGTGCTACTGTTTAGATCTCTCTTTCATCTCTTTAACCAATAATCATTAGAGCCAAGGTTCTCAAACCAGTATGAATGTGTGAGGTTTGCAAAAAATTTCTAACATCTGTGCAACCTTCCCCCCACGCCCCTCCCCATAAGCTCTCTTTCATTGAGAACCACTACAATAGAGCATGAAATGTTGCTTCTTCTGCCAAAGGTATGAATTATCTTCTTGGATAACCTCATATTCATTCATTTATTAGAATCTCATTCATTGATTCACTCACTCAACCAACAAATGTTAATAATAATAATTCTAATGTTTATGAAGCATTTGTAGTTTCCAAAATGTGGTCACTCCTTAGCCAAACATGTAAGGTCCTTCATAGCAGAGGCCTAGCCTACTTTTCCAGTCCTTCCTCTCATTATTCTCTTGCATATAGCCCTTGTTCTAATTAATTAGGACAATTTCTAGACACACCCTCCATCTTTCTTGTTTCTTTGCCTTTATTAATTTCAACAGTGAAATCTTTCTTCCCATAACAATCTTTCAAAATTCTATATGTCCTTCAAAACCTATATCTAATGTCACCCCTAAGGGTTGCTGCAATTCAACCATTTGGGGGGATTAGCGTGCTCAAGGTGGGAGCTCTGTTGGTATCTTCCTTGTTAAAGACAGAACTTTTGACATACAATGATATTCAGAAAAGAAAAGTGGGATTCAACACCCTTTCCTCTGCCACCCCTTCCCACCTCACCAAATGTGAAGCCAGAGCAGTAGCTCCACTTGCCCACAAGGGACAGGTCCACCTTATTTTAGAAATCATTCCTTATTCCAATGCAGTTGAGTATGATTTACCCTTTCTTTGTAACCCTCCAGTGCTTTAAAGAAACATTTCTTCTTATAGCTCTGATCACATTCTACTTTGCATTAGGCAGTTGGGGGTTTTCTTTGTCTATCACACCGGTCTGTAAGCTCTTTGAAGTGGAGCATGGGCCTCACTCACCTATCCCCTGCAGTGCTTAGCGGAGGCAGACTTGAGTTTAACTCCTAGCTGAAATTTGTTTTACCTTTCTGAGCCCCACATTTCTATTTTACCAGGTTCTGTTGAGGACTAAACCAGAGATAATGTACGTCACTAGCACTTAGTAAGACGTTAGCAAATGGTAGATTACAGCTGCTCAAAAATGACCCTTGAACTGAATTAAAAGGCTATGATATAAGCACTATTTACAAAGGACAATGGAGGAAAACAGCATAGGAGACACTGTTTGAAAGGCTAATAATGTGTATATTTAAGGCAGCGTTTATTTACCCATTCACTTACTCAACAAACATTTAATGAGCACCTGCTATGTGCTAAGTACTGTGCAAATTGCTAGGGATCTAACTTGAATAAAACAGTCTTGGTCCTTAAAGAGATCCCAAGTTTAAAAGAATTATTCCAAGATTTTAAAGATCTTTATACCGGAGGAAAGTAAAGATTTTGCCTCTAAAACATTGAGGTTCTAAGGAGAACATCTTTATATTCATACAGTTATGATAAGCACTGTCTCTACATTAAATTTCCTAATTTTTTTCTTCACTTGGTTTTTATTATGAGAACATTTAGGCATTTTTCTCTTAAAGTATCAAAGCACTATTGATTTATGGTTTGTTTCTAATTAAGAAATAATTCATTTGGATTATATAATATGCAATATGAATATATCAAAATGCTATATTCAAAACAGTGTAGACATTACTTAAAATGAAATCACATAATCTAGTATGAAAATTATATAATTTTGAGATGACGAAACCTATAGTTACTATATCACTCAGTCAAGTCAATTTGGTTCTTAAAGCAGATAGGAGAGATTTAGCCAGAAGAAAGATATTATAAGAACCCCTTCTATGGTAATATATGGTAGTCCACCACTCCTATCTTTTCCTCTAATAGAAAATTCAAGCATTTCCAGGAGTTGACCTCTCCCTTCTACCATATATTTTAAAAGCTACACTCATTTCAGGAATGGCCAGAGAAGAATGTGTTTCTGTCATATGTGCTAGTAGATTTCTGTCAGCGTGACTTCTCACATAATTACAAGATAAAGATACCATTTGGAAACTATGCAGAACTAGCTCCAGGCCGAAGGCCCTGACATCTTTCATGGCATACTTTTTCAAGACTCACACCGAGGTCTGCCTTGCATACTTATCTCCTGAAGCTTGATAGCAGTCAATATCTGACACATACAATCTACTTTTCTTATTTTCTTCCAAAATGCAAACATATTTTCTTCTTGTTTGGAAGGAAAAAGGATCTCCTCAGGTTCTGGTTCAGTTCTGATTCCCCAACACATATTTCTTACTAATTGTTGATTCTAAAATGCAACCCAAGAACTTATTTTTTCACAATAAATGTCAAAGTTATGACCCAGAGTGACAGAAGTTCTTAACTTCAGCTTTGTCTTTGTTGTTGTTTGTTTGTTTTTTGAGACAGAGTCTTGCTCTGTTGCTCAGGCTAGAGTGCAGTGGCGTAATCTTGGCTGACTACAACCTCCGCCTCCCAGGTTCAAGCTATTCTCATGCCTCAGCCTCCTGAGTAGCTGGGATTACAGGCACGTGCCACCACGCCTGGCTAATTGTGGTATTTTTAGTAGAGACGGGGTTTTGCCAGTTGGTCAGGCTGGTCTTGACCTCCTGACCTCAAGTGATCCACCTGCCTCAGCCTCCCAAAGTGTTGGGATTACAGGCGTGAGCCACCATGCCCGGCCTGTCTTCTTGTTAGACCCAACAGTTGAACCATCATCATATACTATTATGCTGACATTAATTATTCTTTTCGTTATAATTTTTAGTGTTCACAGCTGTGGTGAACTGTCCTTAAGAGCCAAAATATTACACTGAGTGGTAACCAGGTATATTTAGAAGCTGTATGGCCTGTCTAGGTGGTAAATCATTCATCACTGGAGTCATCATTTTCCCCCCAAAACATCTGCCCTAACCTGCTCTCACCCACAACCATGGTGGCAAAACAAAATTATTAAAAATGTCAATTTAATTTCCGGATATTTTCACAAGAGTTCATCAATAATGCATGAGACTTACTTTGAATAGTACCTTTTTTTGGGGGGGACAGAGTTTCGCTCTTGTCGCCCAGGTTGGAGTGCAATGGTGTGATCTCTGCTCACTGCAACCTCTGCCTCCTGGGTCCAAGTGATTCTCCTGCCCCAGCCTCCTGAGTAGCTGGGATTACAGGCACCCGCCACCACGCCCAGCTAATTTTTGTATTTTTAGTGGAGATGGGGTTTTACCATGCTGGCCAGACTGGTCTCAAACTCCTGACCTCAGGTGATCCACTCGCCTCAGCCTCCCAAACTGCTGGGATTACAGGCATGAGCTACTATGCCTGGCTGGTACCTTCTTTACCCAAGTGTTCTACTGGAAGAAAATCTATGGTAACAGTGCAAAAGTTTTGAAACAGATGAGGTAGAGGAAATGAGTACTTTACAAAAGATTTCACAACAGATTCCCTTCAAGTAATGAATTTAGATAATTGCTGAATATGATAGAAATTTTATCTATAGTTATATGTTTGCAGCAATACATCTGAAAGTGAAGCAGGGCCCCTGCAGCATTTATAGAAAAGGAGGCAATGCTGCTGTGTAGGACTTTCTAGCAGGAAACACACCTGTTAATGAAACGATGGATGGGCACATTTTCAAATATCTTGTGTGTGCATAAGGCTCTAAAACTAATATTTGTATCAATCACAAAGGCTGACAATAAATACAGTTGTTTGGAAATTTGCTGTAAGATTTCTTAGAAGACAGAAAATAAAATAGAAGCAATATAATAAAGTTGGTAAGAGCACAAGCTTGGGAATCAGACTAGATGACTAGATTCTATCCAGAACTAGATTCTGGTGATGAGGCTTATTATTTACAAGACTTTGTGAAATTAACTTCTTCAGCTGTCAGTTTTCTCATTAATGAAGGAAGCCACAGAGATGTTTTGTGAGGTTTGAGATCATGTATGTAAATATTTAGCAATGTATCAGGCATCTAGTGGCACCAAATGCTAAAAAAAAAAAGGATATTATTATCTAGATGAAACGTATTCGTATAAAAATGCTCACCACTCGTTCATTCATTCACTTGCAACTTTACCAAAGGGTTATTGAACTTTAAGGTTAACATGAACTATGCTAGGGGCCGAAGATACAAAGATGACTACAAAAAGTCATATCTCTTGAGTGAGGGAAGAGAGAAGTGTAGATAATGACAGGGCAGTAAGCATTATACCCGAGGTAGTTCAGGGTGCATGAGAATACAGGAGCAACAAACTGCCTCATTGTAGATATGTTTTTTTTTTTAAAGGAAACTAATGATTGAACTGGCTTTCAAAATAGCCTCCTTGCCTTTGTATCAGAGAGGAACACTGCTTTCTTGACTACTCTAAGTTCTATGGAATTAAGTTACTCTCCTGTTATATGTTCCTTTCCTTGGACAAAAAAAATTAACTTATTGGCCAGGTGCGGAAGCTCATGCCTGTAATCACAGCACTTTGAGAGGGCGAGGCAGGCAGATCGCTTAGGGTCAGGATTTAGAGACCAGCCCGAGAAACATGGTGAAAGTCCGTCTCTACTAAAAATACAAAAATTAGCTGGGTATGGTGGTGCATCCCTGTAATCCCAAATACTCAGGAGGCTGAGGCAGGAGAATCGCTTGAACCTGGGAAGCGGAGGCTGCAGTGAGCCGAGATCACGCCACTGCACTCCAGCCTGGGTGATAGAGCAAGAACCTGTCTCAATTGAAAAAAAAAAAAAAAAGAAAAAGAAAAAAAATTAACCTATTACTCTTATTTTGTGGATCAGAGTATGTTGAAAAAAAGGAGGGTGTGATCTATGGTCCTGCTGCCCTGAAATGTCATATAGGACAAGAGTCACAGCGGTCAACCTGCATGAATATAAAAAGTACACAAACACAAGCACAAGACAGGAACATAATGGAACCATTATGGCTCCCTTTATTCTGAAGAGATTGCTATAGCCTTTGATGATGGAGTCAAAGGAGGTAATTGCTGCCGGTTCATCTTTATTCCCACCTTCCACTAGAACTCTAGGAGTCTGCCTGTCTTCCACTGAGGGAGTGATCTGTGATCTTAAGCTCATTGTTGAAACCACCAATGGAATTCAGCATCTTACCGCTCTGAAACTGGCCTCCTTTAATATTACCTGATGGCTCTAACTTTTGTTATTTTGTTATAAAAGCTACACTGGGAGAAAAATACCCTAAAAGTATTTGCTCCTGATTTAGCTTTTCTAAAAACAGAACTCAAAGTTCAAGGCCCTTAGCTGGGAAAGAAGCTGCTTGTCAAGATCTTTCACCAAGACCCCGGCGGCCACTCCCTCCGCGCGGCCACTCCCTCGGCAGCGCCTCCAGGCTCCCAACATTGTTTTCTCCTGAAAAGGCCAAGGCCCTACAGAATTTCTGAGGGGGATTTTTAATAGTGAAGTCATTCCAAAAGCTGCCCAGCTGCCTGCTGAATTCTTAGAGCAAGGGGGACTTAAGGGAGATGATTTCGAGACACAGCTTTAAGAAGAAACGACACAATTTGAACTGTTATACATAAATAGAGTGTGAAGTTAAATAGTAGAAAAAATGAGATCTTTTATCTTTTTTTTCTTTTTGGCACTGTTTTCTTCTTTCCTTCTGCTATCAACTATTTTTGCTAGTGGATGAAAAGCTATAAAAAAATAAGAAAAAGTTGTAAATGTGCTTTACTCTGTGAAAGGCCATATGGTACCCCTTTACTATCCTAGGGAACATTTTTCTATTGATCCTTGCAATGTTATATACATTACGTTCAATGGTAGCTAGTTCCACAATATTCAAGGGGTATTTAATTTCAAATAAAATTATGGCCAGGCATGGTGGCTCATGCCTGTAATCCCAGCACTTTGGGAGGCCAAGGCAGGTAAAATCACTTGAGGCCAGGAGTTCAAGACCAGTCTGGTCATCATGGTGAAACCCCATCTCTACTCAAAATACAAAAATCAGCTGGGTGTGGCGGTGCAAACCTGTAATCCCAGCTACTTGGGAGGATGAGGCACAAGAATGGTTTGAACCTGGGAGGTGAAGGTTGCAGTGAGCGGAGATCACGCCACTGCACGCTAACCTGGGCAACAGAGCGAGACTGTCTCAAAAAAAAAAAAATGACGCTTGAATCAGTTTAATAAGAAAACAATCTGAATTATGATTTGCCTTTCATTTACTGAAGTTCAGTGTCTCCTGAGTTTTTGTACATCCTACCCAAAAGAGGGGTAGGATGCATGAGATCTGCCTCTAAAGCTTTAAAAAATAAATGTACAGTATTTAAGTCTGTTTCCTGTCTTCTATACACATTTAAATGCATACTGCAAATAAATACAAAAGTCATAGCCTTTATTTTATTTTATTTTGAGACAAGTCTTGCTCTGTCGCCCAGGCTGGAGTGCAATGGCGTGATCTTGGTTTACTGCAACCTCCACCTCCTGGGTTCAAGTGATTCTCCTGCCTCAGCCTCCTGAGTAGCTGGGGTTACAGGTGTGTGCCACCACACCTGGCTAATTTTTGTATTTTCAGTAGAGACAAGGTTTCACCATGTTGGCCAGGCTGGTCTTGAACTCCTGACCGCAAGTGATCTGCCCGCCTCGGCCTCCCAAAGTGCTGGGATTACAGGCGCTCAGCCATAGCCTTTATTTTTAATGCTTGCTATGTGACTACTGCTCAGATTCCCTATTTAATTTCTGTATCATTCCTTTCATGTTTACTAGTTGTAGCTGGGCCAGTTACTATTTATTCCTGGGTATATCTAAGAGATCTTAGGCAGCTAAAAAGCCAATTTTATATTCTTGATTTGCTACTTTAATTAAAACTGAAGAAAGCACTTTTGCATATACAGACAAATTTTATCATGGGAAAACTTGGGTGCACCATTCTCTCCCTTCCTCCCTCCCTCCCTCTTTTCTTTTCTCTTTTCTTTCTTTCCCTCCCTCCCTCTTTCTTTTTCTTTCCTTTCCTTCCCCTTCCCCTTCCCCTTTCCCTCCCTCCCATACTCACTTCCTTCCTTCCTTCCTTATTTTTCCACCTGTTCAGCCTCCTGTATTTCCAATCTATGCAGGCACCTAGCCAGGAACTGGAGTTATCCCTAGCTCCTTTTTCCTTTGGAGAAACAAACCTAACTGTGTCTATCTTCGATCTCGCCTTTGAACTGATGCGGTTCATCCTGCCATAATCTGTCATGCTCCCCTTTTTTTTTCATAACACTTATTATAGCTTTTAATTACATATTTACTTGGGTAAATTTATTTAGAGTCTATTTCCACGGGGATAGAGACAATTTTGTTGTACAGACAGTGACTAGAATAGGCCTGCCACATGAGAGGCACTGAATAAATTTAGGTTGAGTTTTTTAAATTGAACTATTTGTGTCATTTAAAAAATATTTCTTAATAATTGATGATCTTATGGCCTCCAATAATCTTCTGATTTTTCACCTCACTGCCGTCACTATAGTACATTGTAAAGGGCTAGAGGATAGGAACCACATCGTTTTATCGCTGTATCCCCCAAACCTAGGTCAATGCCTGACCCATTTTAGCAAATCACTCACCTTTGTTACATTAATAAATGAACGTGCATCTTAATAAGCAACAATCATGAAATGATTTTATGTTTTGATGAACCTCCTAGAAGGTCCATACTGCTCTTTATAGGTTTCTGTGAATAATATCTTAACACCACAGGATTGTAGTACTGGATACTGGATACTAGAAACAGAAAACCACCCCAACAAATCTATGGTAAACTCAAATGGTCAAAACAAAGCAGATTATTCTGCACCTTCCCAGAGCAAGACTATATCCTATATTTAATGCTTCAGTCAGTCCAGCTTTATTATTTATTTTTTGTAAGAAAAGTTCTTTCCAGGCACGGTGGTTCACACCTGTAACCTCAGTACTTTGGGAGGTTGAGGCCGGAGGTTCACTTGAGCCCAGGAGTTCAAGACCAGCCTGGGCAACACAGCAAGAGCCCCTCTCTACAAAAAATAAAAAAAAAAAATTAGCTGAGTGTGGTGGCATGTGCATGTAGTCCCAACTACTCGAGAGGCTGAGATGGGAGGATTATTTAAACCCAAGAGGTCAAGGCTGCAGTGAGCTGTGATCATGCCATTGCACTCCATTCAGCCTGGGTGACAGAGCAAAAACCCTGTCTCAAAAAAAAAAAAAAAGTTATTTATTCTAACTTGATAGGGGACATTCTCCACCCGTAAGTACCTTTCACTGGCAGCAAAATTTCTTTCACATTAATCAATCTGAAATTCCTTTCACCCAATTATATCCAATTAGAACTCTTTGTTCAAGGAAAGTAAATTATTTTTTGCCACACCTCTACTTCCCCCTTACACCTTTTGAGTATTTATAGAAAGTTGCTGTAGTATCCTTGAGAAATTTCCTGGATAATCTGACAATATTTATCATCTTTCACACTTATTCATTAGTATCTCTCTTTTCTTGATGGTTTTTGTTGGCCTATCTGGAATATTCTCCAGTCATTTCCATCTTTCCTATACTAAGATTCCTTAGGATGAAATCAGTTCTTTAGATTCAAATACTACATGGCTATTTATCAGTAAGCAGGGCCTTACAAAACTAAAGGCTTTTACTTTTTTTTTTTTTTCAAAAAAACTAGGTTCTTTAAAAATTATTTTTGCCTTTAAAATATATATTTTATTATTTCTTCCTTTGGGTTTTGATTCTGTTGTCATTAACTGGGTCACGGTGTGTAATACAGTTCTTTGGATCTTTGCAGGTCATGGGATCTTTGTAGTCAGACTAACCTGGGTTCAAATCCCAGCCTTGGCACTGACCAGCTATGTGAACATGGGCAAATTATATACAGTCATCCCTCAACATCCGTGGATTCAGCATCCATAGAATCAACCCACTGTGGATCAAAAATATTTGAGGAGAAACCCAGTAAAAAATAGCAATACAACAATACAACTAAACACTACAGTATAACAACTATTTACACAGCATTTACATTGTATTAGGTATTATAAGTAACCTAGAGATGATTTACAGTATACAGGGGGGTGTGCATAGGTTATATGAAAATACTAAGCCATTTCATATAAGGGACTTGAGCATCCATGAATTTTGGTATCCTCGGGGATCCTGGAACCAATCCCTCGAGGATACTGTGGATGGAGGAACAGGGACAACTGTAATCAATTTAAGTCTCAGTGTCTTCATTTGTAAAATAGAAAATATAGCACATAAAGCTATAACTTAGCACATAAACATTGCTAAATTACCTACCACGAGGTCTGGTCCATGACAGCCATTCACCAAATGCTCATTCTCTTCTTTATGCACCTTCTAATTTTGTCCAGACCTTCTGAAGATTTTGATATTTTCTAATTGTTTGCTTGATTATTACATGTCCTCATCAAAAGTAGAATGGTATACTATTTATTTATTCAGTGAATTACTGCATTCCACTTTCTTCTTGGAAGACATTTTAGAGAATTTCATGACCTTGTCCACTTCTCTTCCCAAATGTGACTGATTTTTATTATCCATCAATTTGTAAAGTTTTGGCTGGGTGTAGTGGCTCCAGCCTGTAATCCCAGCACTTTAGGAGGCCAAGGTGGGAGGATCACTTGAGCTCAGGAGTTCAAGACCAGCCTGGGGAACATAGTGAGACCCTGTCTATACTAAAAATAAAAAATTAAAAAATTAGCTGGGCATGATGGCACATGCCTGTAGTCCCAGCTACTCAGAAGGCTGAGGCAGGAGAATTGCTTGAGCCCAGGAGTTTGAGGCTGCAATGAGCCATGTTCATGACACTGCACTCCAGCCTGTGCGATAGAGTGAGACTCTGCCTCAAAAAAAAAATAAAATAAAAAATAATCGTAGCTTCTCTTTTTTTGATGAATTTCAATATGTGTTATTTAATCTTTTTAAAGGATTGCCTTAGTATGATTATTATGTTATGACATATCTATTTTCTCTATTTCTCTCACTTCTTAAACTCTGGTTTTACTTCTTGGATTAAAAAAAAAAAAAAAAGCTGAGATTAAAGTTTCCCAACTATTACTGCCAAGTTACTGTTCTATTTAAAGTGTGGTTTCCACAAACAGTTACTTCATATTGATTCTATGCTGGAATCATTCACAGTTGCTTTCAATATAAAACAAGGATGTCTATGTTGTTTATATGGTATAAAATGAACTCACGTGACTTTGCCAAACCTACAATTTGAAAGAAAAAGCCCACAAGTTACTATTTGAAGAGACCTCAATAACCTTTGGGAAGGAATGGACTGGTTCACAGGCACGAGAATAAACAAATGAAAGGTGCTTATGTTTTCTTACATGTGTAATTGTGGTAAGGTATTCTGGATTTAATTAGTGTAAAAATTGTACTTGAAAGATAGACTGAAATGGAAGCATCACTATACAGGAGGTAAAATGAAATAACTGTTTAAGAGAGATCAGTGCAAACGGAAATGCAGAGACTCTTCCTGAGAGCATCATGAGAAGGGGCTATTTGAGTAGAATGTGAAGAATGGCAATAGAGACTGAGGCAAGAGAGTCATCCACCCAAAGCACCTGCATCTCCAACAGCTGAGTAGTTTTCACCTAAGCCAGAAAGAAGGAAAAAAAAAAAAAGATCTGGATGATATAACCCTTTCTTTACAAAGATAGCTGGTTCATTTGGGTAGGTAGCCATGAAACCAGATGCTATCTTGGTAAATGCTTGGTTTGGGTTTTAGGGCAGAGAGACCAAGTTTATTTTTATTCACTCTGTGCTAAAGGGCAATTGACTACATTTATTTTGGCCCATCAGGGAGGAAGGAAGGGCATGCCAATCTTTCAAGAGGTTGTTTACTTTGACAGAGAATGAATTCTGCTTTCTTTTCCATTTTCTGATTTTCCTTTTAATATGGAGAAAGACTATGTAATAGTTTAAAATATGTGTCTTGGCATAAAAGTCAATAAATTTATTGTAAAGGAATTAACTGGTTGTTTCCTAAAAGGAGTTAATTCTGTTCTACAGGCATTTCTTTAAACACCTGTTTCAAACAGTGTATTCTTCTAAAGTGAGGATTTTTTTTTTTTTTTTTTTTTTTTTTTTTTTTTTTACTTAGGGTCTCAGTCTGCCACCCTGGTTGTGTAGTGCAGTGGTGTGATCATGGCTCACTGCAGCCTCAAACTCCTGGGCACAAGTGGTCCTCCTGCCTGAGCCTCCTGAGTTGCTGGGACTACAAGTGCATACCATCATGCTCAGCTAATTAATTTTTTTTTAAAGAGAGCTTATGCTAGAGACAAGACTGCTATAAGCAGTGGTTTTCAAATGCTGAGCCAAGAGGCCAAAAGGCTGAATCAGAGTCACCAACGATGCTTTTTAAAGGAATGCAGATTTCTGTCCGGACGCCCTGTTGGAGATTCTGATTCAGTGTATTCTGGGCAGGACTCTAAGATTGCACATTTTGAGTAAGTGCTCCCTGGTGATTCTGACCCACAGCCAGGTTTGGGAACCAATGACTTGAGGTGAGAGAAGTGGGGCTGTGAAAGTGGAGGCAAGACCTTGTCCAAACCGTTCTACTTTTGACTCAGAGTCTGAGTCTGACTTCCTGATGAAAAATGACCTGAGAGTTTGAAACTGGCCGTGGTGAGAATGTTTCAACCACAGAAATTGCTAAATGGTGTGAATCAGGTCAGGGTTCCCTCCCACCACGAACCCTGCCGCAAAAGCCAGTACACAATTATCTAGGAAGGTTATTCTCTTTTTTCTTTCTTTCTTTTTCTTTTCTTCCCTTTCTTTTTTCTTTCTTTCTTTCTTTTTTTTTTTTTTTTTGAGACAGAGTCTCCCTCTGTTGCCCAGGTTGGAGTGCAGTGGTGCAATCTTGGCTCATTGCAACTTCTGCCTCCTCGGTTCAAGTGATTCTCCTGCCTCAGCCTCCCAAGTAGCTGGGACTACAGGCGCCCTCCACCATTCCCAACTAATTTTTGTATTTTTAGTAGAGACAGGGTTTCACCATGTTGGCTAGGCTGGTCTTGAACTCCTGACCTCAGGTGATCTGCCCACTTGGCCTCCCAAAGTGCTGAGATTACAGGTGTGAGCCACCACCCCTGCTGTCACATTTTAAAAATATGCCTGCTATAGAAAAATCTACCTGTGTTATAGGTTACCAAAGTCACATAGGTGACTTTAAAGGTTTCAAGTGAGTTACTCTAAAAGAGACTATCCACTTTTTGAACAGAGAGATGAGATTCCTCAAAGTACCTCAGTACACAGTGAGAATTACATTCCCCTTTTTCCTTCTGTGCCTGAGCAACGAGTCACTTTGAGCCTCCATTTCTGTTCTCAGCCCTAGGTTCAGCTGGAGAGATTCATGTTTTCCCTTGTGTTTACAGACCTTAAATGCACTGTCCTTTCAAAAATTTTTTTTTCCTAAGCTGTAGAAATAAATTCAGTTTCAGTGATCTCCCCAGTCTTAAAAAAACAAACAACATCCCTGGAATCCTCAGAAGTGATTTCTTGGCATGGTAATGTGTAGTTGATTGTGCTGGGTCCAACAGTAGACTCTGATTAAGGTTGAAATAAAGAGGAAGTGAGAACAGGGATGATTTAATTGCTCACAAGAAATAAATCTATTGGCTAGAAGATTTGGTTCAGGGCCTCGTTTCTTCAGGTTTGATGAATTTATAACCATTAAGTAAAAATGTACACATAAAACCATAGCATTTAGCATGGTGCTTCTCAGGAGAGTGGGAGGAAAAATCTCCTAGAACATTCGTGGAACCAGTAAGTCCTTGGCTTAACCTGGCAGGAAACTAGCTACCTAACTGCAAACAAAACCCCAAGATTAATGCCATCAATATTTGTTGAATGAATCAACATGCCCAGGTACGTATTTTATTACATGTATCATAGATGCTGTGAGGAAGAACATCATCAATTTGTTTCATTTTCTAGATCAACTCATTAAAAATGACTGAGATTAGAAAGCTGGACAAACTGGCTGGGCGCGGTGGCTCACGCATGAAATCTCAGCACTTTGGGAGGCCGAGGAAGGTGAATCACTTGAGGTCAGGAGTTCGAGACCAGCCTGGCCAACATAGGGAAACCCCGTCTCTACTAAAAATACAAAAATTAGCTGGGTGTGGTGACGAGCACCTGTAATCCCAGCTGCTCGGGTGGCTGAGGCAGGAGAATCATTTGAACCTAAGAGGCAGAGGTTGTAGTGAGCCAAGATTGCGCCATTGCACTCCAGCCTGGGCAACAGGGAGAGACTCCGTCTCAAAAGAACAAAAAAAAAACAAAAAAAAAGAAAAAAAAAAAAAGAAATCAGGACAAACTGTATTTCAGCAATTTTACAGGAAAAAACAGAAACAGCCATCTAAGAAGTAGGGAGGGATCTTTTCAAGGAAGTCTTCCCTAAATTGTCCTCACTCACCCCCACACTCTCCCTAAGGCACTTGCTGTATCTTTTTCATTGCACTTTCCTCTTGTAAAATGGGTGGTAATAATGTTACCTACATTGAAGTGCTTTAGTGAAAGTTAAAAAAGTGAAAACATACACAGCCCTTTGAATAGTGACCAGAAAATAGTATGCACTCAATATACGTCAGCAATTACTATGATATTGTCATCATCATCACCACCACAGAGTACTGAAATGATCTATTATTATACATTTCTCCTCATCTAGAATGTAACATCTCTTAGGGAAGATCTTCTGATTTTCACAGACTTAATGTTGGCACAGGGGAAGCACTCAATAAATGTTTTCTGAACTAAACTGAGCTACAACTTATGTGCTTCTAGTAAATTTATCTCAACTGTTGCTTCAGGTTTTCAATGGTTTTTTTTTTTTTTGGTTTTTTTTTTTTTTGAGACATAGTCTTGCTCTGGAGGCTCCCAGGCTGGAGTGCAATGGCGCAATCTTGGCTCACTGCAACCTCTGCCTCCCAGGTGCGAGCGATTCTCCTGCCTCAGCCTCCTAAGCAGGTGGGATTACATGTGCCTGCCACCATGCCTGGCTAATTTTGTATTTTTAGTAGAGACGGAGTTTCACCATGTTGGCCAGGCTGGTCTCGAACTCCTGACCTCAGGTGATCCACCGGCCTTGGCCTCCCAAAGTGCTGGGATTACAGGTGTGAGCCACCACCCCTGGCCCAGTTCTAACTTTTGAGAAGATAAAAACTGGAAAAGAAGAGAGAGAAGAAGAAAAGGGCTGTCATATGTTCATTGCTGGCAGTCCAATAGACTAGATTGCCCAAGCCTAGTTAATATTATGTTTATGATTATTTCACTGATAGAAATGTAAGGTTCATTATTTCCTTGGTACGCATTTGTAGGCTCTAGCACTTGGAAATGGGGAACAAATATATAGAAAAAAATCTTCTAGCGTGTGTCTTCCCAAGTAAAGTCTTCATATAGATATGGCCAGTATAACAACATTTTCCAGTGTGTGCTATAGAACACGGGTCCCAAAAGATGCTTTGAAAGAAAAGCATTCTCTGGTTAAATTGGAGAGATGTCAAAACTCCGAAACAGGTTTATAATAAACATTAGCATATTAGGCTCTGAGACATACTGAAGTGAAGAAACCTTTGATTAATTTATTTCCTAAATTTGAAGGCCATAGCAAAATTTCCCCTCACATAATTTCTATTAACATTTCATAGAATTAGAACTCTGCAGATCAAACTCTGGAAAATGCTGTACCACAGAAACATATTTATTCAGATTTCCATTTTTTCTCAGTAAACCTCTACATAATTTATTCTAAAATATTCTAAGCCTATATGCACACAAATAGAGATGTAAACCTTCGTTAATTTGGATGTTTGCTTAACTAGGCTGTTCTGGCTAACTCTGAAAAATTTAACTGTAAATTAAGTGCATAGAACCCTTGTTGAAAAGCATTCAAGAGCACTCTCAACCTTAAAAAAAAATTTTTAAGAGATGGGAAATTTCTCTGCTGCCCAGGCTGGAGTGCAGTGGCGTGATCCTAACTCACTGCAGCCTCGAATTTTGGAGGCTCAAGTGATCCTCCCTCCTCAGCCTCCTGAGGAGCTGGGATGTCAGCTGTGTGCCATCATGCCTGGCTACTCTGAACCTTTAATATGATTCAATAGCTCTGGGGTAGGATCAGAGGTTCTGAATTGCTAATCAGCAACCAGATGATGCCAATGCGGCTGGTCTGCAGACCACACACAGAGTAGCAGTTTGCTTTTCTGCCTTGGTAAGCTCAGTAAAATAAATATAATAAAATTGTTATTTTGAATAACATTGTACTTGTTGTTGATGGAACCACATACTGAAATAGTTTAAATTTTTAAAATATCAACTTGTTTTCTTGATACTACCTTCCTCATAAAAGTAAAGTGGGAAATAATGGGGGGAAAACATCTAGCTATAAGAATATCGCTGTCAGCACCTCACATGAAATCTGGTAATTATAGGTACTTAATAAATGTTAAATATGTTAACTTATTTGTCATAAGCTTTATTATCAGTTATAACTGAAGCAGTGACAAAGAGGTGACATAGGGATACATCTACTAAGGAGGGAATTAATGATATGAAAATATTACTAAAGAGTAATGAAAATGCTCTCAAACATACTCCTAATCAAACAACGTAGGTAGAGAGTACGTAGGTAGAGAGAACTGGATGTGCTGATAAATGTTGGGATCTACTGCAGGCTCAGAAAAAGAGAAGAACCAGAGTAATATTCTGGAAGCAGATGCCAGTAAGGAAACGTAAGCTAGGGAAGCAGACACAGGCATCTCTGCCCCAAATGTATCCTGGAATAGTCACAAAGCGAATGGAGATAGGCTTTCCTAGGGAAGCCTACCCAGGGATCGGGGAGCTGTCTGGAGAGGGAAAGAAAGAAATACAGATCTTCCCTATGAACCCATCTACCTCCTATACATTATGCTAAAAGAACTAAATTGGTGTTGGTTATTTTCATAATTTTCCTACTTGGTGCATTAAGTACCATCCAAGTATTTGTTAACTAGGAATGATTACTAATATGACTTAGTAGTAGTAGTTTTTAGCTTCAAGTTTTTCAGTAGCCAGATGTAGCTGAATCCATAACAACATATAAGGGGATCAGAAACTTGTTACAATTATGTTAGAATTACAGACAAATATGTTACAATTACCTTATTATGTTTCAGGGCAATTTTTTTTTTAAGAGTATCTTAATGTGGTCTTGATGGAGTTTTCCTTGAAATGACTTTGGAGCCTTTGGTCTTCTGGTACTTGGGTATTATCTATAAATATACATGGCTATATCTATAAATATCAACCAGGCAATTATAGTAGATGACGCACATGGACTGATTATCAACTACTTGTTGGTAGTTCAACTCGAGAGTTACTCTTGCTCCCTGACTGAGATGTCCAAGATGCAGGCACTTTCAGCCAACCACTTACCTGCCCTACTTCCCTCATCCTCACACTGCTTTAACCACCTCCTCACTCTTTCCTGTCTCTATGGCCAGGACTTTTTTCAGTTGTCAGAATATGCTATATTCTTTCTTCCTTCTGTTCCTTTTTGGCAAATCCTGTTGATTTTTCTCTCTGATGGGAATATCTCTACTCATGCTTTGTTAATTTCCATTAAACTTCAGGTCTCAGGTTCTCAAAACTCAGAACACTCCACTCTTGCTGACTGCCCCTCTGATGTGCTCCCCTCCACACTCCGTAACACAATACTTATTATACTTCTGTGTATGAGTGTGTGTGTGTATACCACTAGTTGCCTATATATACATATGTGTATGTATACATTACAGATAACTCACTAGACTTTGTTAGCTTTGTCAAAAGATGGTGTCTCTTTTGCTTACAGTTGTAATTCCCAGAAACTAGCACACCTAGCACATAGTAGCACTGAGTAAGAATGAGTTGAGTGAAGGAATAAGCTTTAAAAATATTCTAATTGCTCAAGTTCGTTGATGAATGTTCAGACATTTTCATGGATTGAAAAAATAATAAAAAGTTACGGGTGTTGTTTAATTTTAGCTGCATTCTCACAATTTGCTTATGTTTTTCACAGACCTGGTAGTTTGGGAACCAAAACCTATAGAACTTGTTTTGCACAAGTCTCTAGATGAGCTGTATAAGTAACAGTAACTACTAACAAGAGGTCACTTTTTTTCCTAACTCCTCTTTCATACTCTTTTTATAAAACTCTGAAGCTATGAGTATTCTAGGATTTAAAAAGCTAGGGCTGGTGACCTTTTTACATTTAGTAAGAATATGAGCCATATCTTGAACATAGAACAGTAACAAAAAAAACTAAAACAAAATAAACAAAAAGGTATTTATTTTGGCTCCAACTTTGCCAGTAAGTGTTTTCTTTTTTCTCTTTTTAATTGGTCAGACTTAGGCACTATAAAAGGGCTTCATCTGTTTTAATTCTTTGTACATTTACCTATCTTATGACTTTACAAAGCCAAACAATTTAAAAATCAGTAAAGTAAAATGCAATGAATAATATGTAATGCTTTGAAATTAATCTGAGCTATACATCATTAAAATACATTGCAAATATATCACACTATACTAATTGAATTATTGTGATGGCTCCTAGTACCCTAGAAAATAAATACCAACATTTTTAGGTTGGCAGTTAAGGCCCTCTCAAATCTAGCCCCAATCAATCCTCCAACGTTTTCTTGCACTATTCCCCTTGGTATTCTACTCTTTATTCTAATGGAAGTGACTAGCTGTTTGCTACACAAGCACATAGAAGAGGCTCAAATGTTAGCAAAATGTTAGAAACTGGCTTTGTTAACCAATGTAAAATTTGGGGGGGCGGGGCATGCTTTATTGAGATCAGTGTTTCTCAAACTTTACTGTGCATCAGAATCACCTGGAGGGCTTGTGAAAACTCGGATTGCTGGGCCCCATCTGCAGAATTTCTGATTCAGTTGATCTGTCTCAGGGTCCGAGAATTTACAAGTCTAACAGATTTCCCAGGTGATGCTGATGGTGCTGGTCCAAGAGCCACACTTTGAGAATCACTAGTTTGCTTGCTAACTTCAACTAAAGCTGAATGCTGAAAGTGCAAGTTCAATATGAATTGAGCTGCCTTTGTGTAACACAAGAACAGTCTTTTGAAAACTAAGTCAGACCATGCCACTTCTCTGCTGAAAACCCTTGCAGTGGCTCATCATTTTACTCCAAGTAAAAGCTGGTGAGCTTACAGTGGCTCATCAGTACATATTAGATTTTCTCCCCTCCCCAGTCACCTCTCTAGTCTCATCTCCTGACACCCCCAACTCTCATTCTGATGCAGCCACGCTAACCCCCATGTTATTTCCTTTGTCACATCAGGCACCTTCCTGTCTTAAGACGTTCACTTTAGGTATTCCCTCTCCTTAGAATGTTCTTTCCCCAGTTAACTCTTTGGTGAACTTCTTCACTGTCTTCAAATCTTAGCTGAAATCTCACCTTCCCAGTGCTGGGGACTACCCTCATCATCCTGTCCCTTACTGTACCCTGCCACTCCTCTTCCCACCCCAAGCCCTTGGTTCCCTGGATCCCTTCCCTCTTGTTTTATTTTTTTCTTCTTTGATGACACTAGCCCTTATGAACTTCTCACATACTGTATATTTCACTTATTAGTTATATTTATTGTCTGTCTCCTCTATCAGAATATAAGCTCCTTGAGGGCAAGGATCTTTGTCTTATTCTCTGATGCATCTTAAGCACCTGGCACATAGTAGGCGCTCAATAAAAGTAACTGGATGAATGAATACATGAACACATTAGGTATACTGTACAGCATACTGTTCAAGGAAATGCTATATAACTGTATCTTTTTGAAAATGTTACCTGTTGCCCTACAAGATAACTTATCCAAGTTAGTGACAAATTATTTTTCTTTTCTCTTTTATCTGCTTAGTAGTTCAGACATTCTCATTTTTAGACATTTCTACTAGTGGTCTGAGGCTATGGGATACACACGTATATATATCTATTCATTTAAACATATTCTGTACAAAATGGTGTCAGGACTATGTTCTAAGACACCATTATTATAAGCAGAGACCATTTTGTTAGCACATGGAGATTAGGATCTATATTTTAGACCCTAAGGAGCTGCAGATTTTAAGGAAGTAATTATCTTTAAATAAGGTATTTTTGATCAATAAAGAGTAGAAACGCTATAGTATTATTTTCCACTTTCTGGCTTATAGGACATGACAGTTATTATAATACTAGTTTTCATTTTTATTTCTTTATTGTTATTTTATTTATTTATTTATTTATTTATTTATTTATTTATTTATTTATTTTTGAGACAGAGTCTTGCTCTGTCGCCCAGGCTGGAGTGCAGTGGCATGATCTCGGCTCACTGCAAGCTCCGCATCCCGGGTTCACGCCATTCTCCTGCCTCAGCCTCCCGAGTAGCTGGAACTACAGGCGCCCGCCACCACGCCCGGCTAATTTTTTGTATTTTTAGTAGAGATGGGGTTTCACCGTGTTAGCCAGGATGGTCTCGGTCTCCCAAAGTGCTGTAATTACAGGCCTGAGCCACTGCGCCCAGCCTCTTTATTGTTATTTTTAAATATAATATTAAAAATAGAGACAGGGTCTTCTTCTGTTGCCCAGGCTGGTCTCAAACTCCTCGGCTCAAGTGATCCTCCCACCTCAGCCTCCCAGAGTGCTGGGATTACAGATGCGAGCCACCCCACCTGGCGTAGTTTTCGTTTCTTGAGGGCTTATTCTATGACAGGCAATGTGCCATCTCTTTTATCTTATATACACACTTTGTCTTATATAGTTCTCATTACACTACAGGCAGGAATTTTACATATGAAGAAACTGAAGTCTGAAGAGCTTCAATAGCTGGCATAACATCACACAGCTGGCAATTGGCAGTGAAGGCATTGAATCTACATCTGTTTGAAACCTATTAAATATTACAAAGTCTGAGTACAAACAAGGAGCAGGAGTAAAACAGGATGCTGGGAGAAATATTATGACACAGATCCAGATTTGGGGCTTGGTGTGGAAAGTGAGCAGTACTATATTTTATCTGCCATTATTTAAGAGAAAAAGCTTTTAACAAGCAAGCCTGTTCAAATTGCACATTGATATCTTCTCCCTGATGTTAAAAAAATATTTTTAAAGAGCAATATAGTTTTTCCTTTAAAAAACTCGCAAATAACCCCAAGGTTTTAAATGCTTATTTCCCATTGTAGTGCTTTCTTCCTGTCACTGTTTTTGAGCTAGAACATGGAGTCCTTGGTAGGGAAAGGAAGGGCATGATCATCAATCTCCATTAATAGTCTTGAGTGGCTTCTGTTATCTGATGATTTCTGAGCTGAGAGAGGGTAAATACTGATGTGGTTAGATGAGCTATTCATCCACAGTTGACATTTACATAAGCCCTGCATGCACCCTTTACATTCACATAATTCAGATAATGTCCTATGAATCGGATAGATCTTTTCAAATTCTATTCTTTTTTCAAATAAACCTCTTTTTCTTTTCTTTCCTTTCCTTCCTTTCTCTCTCTCTCTCTCTCTCTTTTTTTTTTTTTGGAAAGGTTTGGCTCTATTGCTCAGGCTGGAGTGCAGTGGCACTATCCCAGCTCATTGCAACCTCTGCCTGCTGGATTCAAGCCATCCTCCCACCTCAGCCTCCCAAATAGCTGAAACTACAGGCCTACAGCACCATACCCAGCTATTTTTGTAGTTTTTGTAGAGACAGGGTTTTGCCATGTTGCCCAGGCTGGTCTCGAACTTGTAAGCTCAAACGATCCGCCTGCCTTGGCCTCCCAAAGTGCTGGGATTACAGACATAAGGCACCATGCCTGGCCTCCAAATAAACCTCTTCTCAGAGTTATGTCAATAAAAAAGCAGAACCCATGCTATAAGAGTTTAGTATTTTGGGGGAGAGCATAAAATTAATATGATTTCCTAAATTAGTTATGATAGTGAGGATACATTAGAGCAGTGTCAATCAAAATGGATTTATAAGGAAACCAAAACTAGTCTTTTTTCATGTTTAAGTTCACTGTTAAGGTAAAAGAATAATCCAAGTGCAGTAACTATCCTTTATTTCATCAGCTTGAGTCCATTTATTGTCTACCTTCTACTCACAAGTAGTCTTAAGATCTTAAATAGCTCTCCCTCTTCATCACTCTTTTTTCTATTAGTCATCCTGTTTACCAAAATGCAGTGCTATAGGAAATAATTTTACTTTATGGAGAATGAGAAAGGAAATTACTTTGATGAATATTATACTGTTTTCACCCAACTGGTTGAAAATTCTTGCCTCTTATCAATGAAGAAATTAACCGATATCTGTGAGTGTGTTATCTCAGAACCTCAATGACCTCCTTCTTTTGGGTTAGCAGAATGAGGGATAAAGAGATTCATCTCTTGTACAAATCAGCCTATTTTCTGGAAACCACAGGTTACTTACGTTTGCAAGCATCTGGAGCTGAGAAGGGTCTCCGCAGGTCACGATAGAAGCCTGGCTTGCACCTCTGGCAATACTGTCCTTCTGTGTTGTGCTGACAGTCATCACAGACACCACCACTACGATTCCCTGATGCCTCCCACACATTAACGTCGAAGTGACAGGTATCAGCATGCCCATTACACTTGCAGGCTGGAAATAAGAAGCGTGGAGAGAAACACTAATAAGTAAAAATAAAATGATGGGTTATCTCATATTCAGATAGGTAAAAATAGGATGAGTTGGCCAGGCGTGGTAGCTCACACCTGTAATCCCAGCACTTGTGGGAGGCTGAGGCAGGTGGATCACCTGAGGCCAGGAGTTTGAGACCAGCCTGGCCAACACAGTGAAACTCCATCTCTACTAAATACAAAAAAATTAGCCAGGTGCGGTGGCACACGCCTGTAGTCCCAGCTACTTGGGAGGCTGAGGCAGGAGAATTGCTTGAACCCAGGAGGTGGAGGTTGCAGTGAGCTGAGATTGCGCCACTGCACTCCAGCCTCTGTCTCAAAATAAATAAATAAATAAACTAAAAATAGGATAAACTGATTGTTAATGTTTAGTTTTAGTTTCTGAGTAGTTAACAATACAAAAATCAAAGCAATATAGAAAGGTATCCATTGAGAAATCTAGCCTCGGCCTCCCCATTTACCCTGTTTTTCCTGATTTCAATAGGTTACTACTTTTTTTTAAAAGGGTTTCTTGTGTAGCCTTCCAGTTTTTCATTATAGGCTGTTAATTAAAAAAAATAAGTTTCAGGAGATGCATGAAAATCAACAAAGTGTAGATTTGTCTAGTTGGGCAGAGATATTATGATGAACTTACCAACGGGGATTGACATTTATTATGGAAAGATTACAGGAGTGACAACCAGTTTTTTACCCTCTCTTTTGGTAACACTTCACAATTCCCATTCCTGATACATCTCAAGGGTCATCCCTGTGGGTCTCCTGTCCTTGCTAAGAAAAGCTGAGATTGTCAGGCCTTATGTGGAAAGGAGCATTCATATTGCAGATGTAGGCATGAATTCATGCTTACTAATGAGCCTGGAAGGAAGCTTCTGGTGGACAGAGCTTAGTAAGTTGGCAAGTAGATTGATTTATCTTTCATAAAGTATATTCTTCAGCTGTTGAACTGGTGAGTAGAAGGTGGACTCCTATTGAAGCCTCAATTTTCTTACAGAAGAGGCCTGCAGTATTTATTATATAACAATTCTTCAAAGGCATTTCTAAGATTATAAGTCAATAGCATCAAGTGACATGTCTCTGTGTTCTATACGTATTTAGATAGGCAGCTGATTTCTGTGGAAAGAGCCAGAAAGTCACCCTAGGAATTCAGGAGAAATTCTTTAGATTCTCTTCATGAGTGATTTAGAATAAGAATCCAGATTTTTGTGGAGGTCAAATGTATTTGAAAATGTTTGTGCTATTGTTTTTCATTGTTTCCTTGATGTGTTATGAAATTCTGACCAGATTCATATCTTTTAAAAGTATATTACAAGATAATTTAAGATGGATTCTTACAGGAAATCCTTTACATTTCCTAGAAACAAAAACAAATCAGTTATGACTCCAAATTACGTATGGGAAGAGACTTCTCACAGTTTTACCCACAGAACCTGCTTTTAAATTCTTGTAAAAGAGAGGTTCGTGAGCGTTAACATTGTGATGGGCACGCGCATTTCTCTGAACATTTTAAATTGCAAAGAAAAAAATGGCTCATGTTCCCATATTTTAACCTTCCTATTTAATCTCCAGCCTCAAACCTCAAGTTAGTTAGTCCTTGTAGAGAAATCTCATTCTTAACTTACTGGCTTAATTTCAAATCTAATCTTTCATTTCAAGCATCATAAAGTGAAAAAAAAAGGCAATGTGGTATTATGGGAAAAAGTACCTAATATGGAGTCTTGAAACTTGGGATCAAGTCCCCACTATCATTTACTAACTTTGGCAAATCACTTAATCTTACTGAGCCTCAGTTTCCTGATCTCTATAATGGGATTAACACCACGTGCTTTATTGGGTAGTTTTGAGAACTGAATTCAACATAGCTATTTTCATGTTTATAATTCACCATCTCAGCAATGAGAGTACAACAGAATCAGATGTTCTCGTGTCTATTCATGTATTTATTTATTTATTTAGAGACAGAGTTTCCCTCTGTCACCCAGGCTGGAGTTCAGTGGCGTGATCTCGGCTCACTGCAACCTTCACCTCCCGGTTTCAAGTGATTCTTGTGCCTCAGCCTCCCAAGTAGCTGGGCTTACAGGTGCACGCCACCATGCCCGGCTAATTTTTTCTTTCTTTCTTTCTTTTTTTTTTTTTTTTTTTTTTGTATTTTTAGTAGAGATGGGATTTCACCATGTTGGCCAGGCTGGTCTTGAACTCCTGGTCTCAAGTGATCCACCCGCCTTGGCCTCCCAAAGTGCTGAAATTACAGGTGTGAGCCATCCTCCTGTTTTTATTATGTCAAATTATAAAAGAGTTCTTAGCTCCCACAAAGTATCCAAGCAAATAGGCAACATATTCTTGGCAAAACAGTCACATTGGCAATGTAATGAACGGCAACTGTTTTCAGTGGCTGAAGCCTCAGTGGGCAGTGATATGGCTATGTTTGTGTAGGGTCTAGTGTTTGTCACCCACCACTTTGTGTTGTATTTCTAGAGACAACAAGGAGTCCACAGATGCGTTGACTTTACAAAGAAAGCTTTTGAGTATCGTGGGCTTGTTACTTACTTCTGCACTCGTTGGGAGCCCCCGTTTTGCCATCAGCTGCCTCCCATGGCCGGTCATTGTATAACGGGGCACAGTGCTGGCAGTGGCTGCCTGCTGTGTTGTGCTTACACATACACTTCCCATGGACCTACAAGCAACATCAAGTGAGAACTATGAGCACACATGTCGCCAAAGAAGAACAGAACATGCTTCCCACAATCTAATCTCATGGATTGGCTTTAGTCATAAGATGTTCATTCACTTTCCTGAAGAAGTTAGCCATCAAGAGGAGAGATGCTTTCTTTAGTTTGTCTTATCATCTTTTGAAAAATTCAAAAGATTAAGTAATATAGTTTCTTGGCTGAAGGGTATATGACCCTATAGAGCAATTCTAAGGTACTGGCTGAGCAAACACTTGAATTCTAAAGTACTGGCTAAGTTTTTAATATCTTTAATTTTTTAAAATTCTTTATGCAAAAGTAACATACCTTCATTCTAGAAAGTTTAGAAATCCATAATCTCATTGCAAAATGACATTAATATAACATTTGGAGCATATAATTCCAGTACTTAAAAAAATTATATTTACAATCTTTTTCACATAATATATTGTGAATATCTTTCCATTTTGTTAAATATTCTCATATAATACACACCCTAATGGCACCCCGTATGATGTACAATTATCTGACCACCTATTTTATTGTAATTTAGGTTTTTAAATGTATGTATATATTATATTCAATGCTATAATGAATATCATTGTAGCTAAGTATTTGAGTGCATCTTTAATTATTTCCTTTGAATGTATTTTCTAGAAGTAATATTGAAAATATGTGTATTGTTAGGGCTTTGAATACAGTTTGTCCTAATGACTGGGCATTTTTTTTTCCTCCCCATAGTTCAGAGTAATATAGGGTTTATTAAAATAGTATTTCTCCCAGAGAGAAATACTTCAGTAGAATTCTTAGAAACATGGGAATTTTAATATTTTTTGTATTATTTCACTGATAACTTCTAAAAATTAATGTTTGGAATCATCTGAACTATCTCCTGATAACTGAGACTTGCAATGAATTTCAACCAAGATGCATTCCAGTACCAAGATTATTTATTTACATGATGTCATGACTGTACAAAGGAAAGGTTTGCAAAGTAGCTCAGAATGGGGTCCATAAGTGTGGATCTAAGAGGTTTTATATTTTTTCCTTGAGAAACAGTGTTAAAGGTAACATAAAGGTAACAAATTATATCAACTAGTCAACAAATATTTAATGGGTACCTACAAGGGAGAGTCACTATGCTAGGCCATGTTTGGTACACAAAGTATTAGAAAACTTTCCTGTCTTTAAGAAAGATAAAATGTATAATAGCTGGAGAAAAAAGAGTTACATAGAAGAAAATAACAGATAAACAAGACAATAAACAAATACCTAAGAAGCAAAATAATGCTGGCGTTCAAAAGATGCAGAAATCACCACAGGCTGACAGCTGTGGAGGGCTTTATGAGAAAGGTGGAGATTGGAGCTGGCCCTTGACACATGGGTGGCATTTTTAACAGACAGAAGGGAAGAAACTTTTCAGGAAAAGGAAACAAAATGAACCAAGGTGTAAGGAGAATCTGTGAGCAAAGTTTATTTCAATGCATCTAAAATATTTTGATTGTGACAAAAAATGAATTACTAAAAATGACATGTGCTCAGAGTGGCCAAACCAAAATGAGTCCCTAAGGTAAAGTTCAACAAACCTGAAAACAGCCACACCGATACACTGATATACTACTGCTTGACCTAAGATAACACTCAAGTAACTTGTGTCATCTCATCCAGGACTTTCTTTCTTTTAATACTTTCCTACCACTGGTGGTCGCACTCTGCAAGTGGCCTGTGCAATTATCCGAGTGTGCTATATGACTGCTATGGGCCTTATGCTCACATAATGTCCAAGTTCAGGAGTTACACACAGGGCTTAGAGGACTTCGGGCTGCGTGTGAGTGAACATGATGCCTAAGAGTTAGCTGGAAAATTTCATAAGCAATATGTTGGTGGCCATCTTGCTAAATTTCATTTCAGTGTATTGTCATGTAAGGTTCTCATGCTTCATGAAAATTATAGAAGTTCTTTTAATTCTCAGGGATTAGTGAGTATACAGATTTTTTAAAAATAGGGTAAATTGGCTCCTTGAAAAAAAGATGATGTTGCAAAAATTTTTGTTAATTTTCTTTATAGAAATGCAACTAATACTATAGATTCAATTCACTGGTTTTGGTCTTGGAATCCCCAAGTATGAATTGAGTTATGATAATCTACCTTCTTGGCCTTCTCTTCATGGCTCTCTGATATGAAAAGTTTCTATATCAAAATTCCATGGAATTATAAGGGTTCACTACAAATCTCCATTCACACATCCAGGCAAGCTCTAAAGACAAATCTGCACTTAAATTTTGAGAGCTGCAGGAATTCAACTTCTACTGCTCTATAAAAATGAGATTTTTTTCATCCTAGCTCCTGGGTATCTGATTTTTCCTATCCATTTTTTATTATAAAATATATGAAGTAGAGATGCCTCAGACATATTACTTTTATTGAACATTTTAAATTCAGTGTTCTCTCTCATCATGAAAAAATATAAACTCTTGCCAATCAAATAACTTCTATGTGGCAAATTTCTGTAAAAGCTCTCAGGAAAAGTTGATGATTCTTTGTTTTACTTGTAGTACTAAATGCTGACTTCAAAGAAAAGAGAGTCTTTGAGAAAATGACTGTGTAGGAAAAATCTTCCGAGGCTGAAGAATTTAGTAAGATGAAGGCATCCTTATGTAGCTGGCAGAAGTAACACAATGGAGACTAGTAGGAAAAACAGTTTTGTAATTATCTAAATCCTACATGTCAAAAAAAAAAAACACCCACACACAAAAAAGCAAAACATACATAAAAACACATAAATAATCTGATAGAATTGGAGTCAGAGTTCCTGCTGTTAAGGGAGTTCTATCTAAGGAGGGCATTAGGGAAAATGTTAAGGGGTGTAAAGTAAATATGATAAAAAACAAAGTCAATTAGTGCTGTCTGTATAAAACTTCTAAGTGCAGTCCCTGAGTCTGTGTCCTGAAGGGTACATGGGATTTTCCTTAGGGAGCAAAGACAAGAATATAAAAACCCTAAAGGAATAGTCAGGGACAATCAATAAATAAACCAGAGGTATGTGTTCGAGAGGTAGGTTCAATCCAGATCACAGAACACACTAAACATTAGCTTAAAGAGGCTGAAATTTATCCTGTAAGCAATGCAGATCCATTGAAGATTTTTGAGTAAGGAAATGATGTGAAAGATATATTAAATATACTTTCTTTTCTTCTCTTTTTTTAAAAATATTATTTCTATCTCTCTCCTATCTTGCCTGTTATGTTCTTTCTTCCCTTTTTCCTTTTATGGTTTCTTCTCCAGCTTTCCCCCCAGCTCATGCCTTACAATAACCAGTGGCACCCACATGTATTTTCTGAAAATATTCAGAAGTTGAAAAGGTTGTTAATTTCTTTTTCCTGATTTTCCAGTTACATCAGCATGTTAATTCTTATGTAGTTTTTTTGCATCCTCTCCATTTTTTAATTTTACTTATTTATTTTTAATTTTTTTTAGAGACAGGGTCTTGCTTTGTTGCTCAGGCTGAAGTGTAATGGTGTGATCACAGATCACTGACACCTTGAATTCCTGGGCGGAAGTGATCCTCCCATCTGAGTCTCCCGAGTAGCTTGGACAACAGGCACATGTCACCATGCCCAGCTAATTTTTGTATTTTTTGTAAAGATAGGGTTTCACTACATTGCCCAGGCTGGTCTCCAATTCCTAGGCTCAAGTGATCCTCCCACCTCAGCCTCCTAAAGGGTTGGGATCACAGGCATGAGCCCCTATGCCTGGCCCTCTTTTCCACTTTTTAGCAACCGTTTATTGAATACTGTATGAAGCAAGATGCTGCAAAGTACTGTGAGTCCTCTTCAAAGGAGCTCAACCATCATCATAGGTTCAACTTATCAGGTTTGGTCTTGGAAGGCCTAAGGCCTATACGTAATATCACCCAACACATGGGTTCATCCTGCCACAAATCTCAGGCCTCAGGAGTCCGCAGATATTTAGAGTTACCTCGTCAAACATTCACATGTATCACAAGATAATGTTGGACAAGTCAATTCCCTCTACAGCGAGGATTTCAGAGCATTCCCTTGATCCCACATGCCAAGGATTGGGATGAACCTCCCGGGGTCTGAAAGATGCTAGCCCAGCAAATTTTTCTGCATACAGAAAAATTCAAGGAGCTGTCATTTTGAGAATTACCAAAAATAGCTGTAAATCATTACCTAGACAATTTGAAACAAGAAATCCTTCCTCAGCAATACAACTGTTGCTGTTCAAGCTTGAAAGATCATCCACTATTTGATGCTCGTGAAAAATGTGCAAGTAAAACTAGGTCTTCATTGAAAAAAAAAAAAAACAGAAAAAGGAAACTTTAGTAATAGGTTAAACATAGCTCTTGTTTGGTATACAAACATGAACTAGATAAGGAGCAGGAAAATGGGATTATGTATTTAAGGTTGAGTTGAAGAAAAGCGGTGTCTAGTTATCTAATTAAAAAATGAGTAATTTACCTTAACAGCAAAACTACAACTTCTAATGACCCAAGAGGTGAATAGAATTTTGGATATTCTATGATTTCCATAAACTTCCCTGTTATGCTAAGAATACTCTTCTCTGCCAATGTCAAAAGTTTTCACACTCGTATTTAATTGAGTTTATTTGCTACTAATATTAACGCACTTGCCAGTCATTTTTAGCACATTTATCTTACAGGAAGGGACTCATACACACATTGAACCAGTCAGTCAAGGAATTACTGGAACAGCATGCTCGTTAAGAGCTGTTTACTTTGGTGATAATATCATATATTAAAGCCAAATAGGCATGGAAGATAAAATATTATTTCCTCATATTTGAGGCAAGAGACATAAGAATTTAGGTCAGGGGGAGGTGAAATAGGGAAATTATTATCTTTTAGATTCATAACTGGAAGATACACGGGACTTGCCTAGAAAAGCTGCTTTTTCATTGTCCTTCCTTTTGGGGCAGAACGCTTTCAGTAGTCAGCAATCATGTGGTTGAGTTTGAAACTGACCAGCCAGGAGGTTGTGGGAAGCTGTTCATTGACAGCATCAAGCATATGGGATGGATGCTTACCAAGATTGTTGTAGAATATTTAAACATGGAAGATTGGCTTAAACAACTTTTAGGTTCCTTCTAGTCTTAAGGTTCTATGATTTCAAGGCCTGTTTCTCTGTATTGTAAATACTATTTGGTTGCAGAAACTACCCAAAATCCTTTTTGAGCCCCCAGATTAGGCTTAAATGACATATAGCTGGATCCTGTTGCCACTTACCAATGCAGAACATTCCTGGAATCATCTGAAAATCAAACGAGGAAGAGCTAAGAGAGTATTTCCTCTTTCCTGCAGCAACTACCCAATGTGACACAAATGGAAAAGTAAATAAATATTAATAGTCTCTGAAGACAGACTTTCATTCATCTATATTGACTATACTTAAATGAAAATAAATACGATCCTTTTTTATTTCTCTCCTTCAGCTTTCTTCTCTCTCTACTGCATGTTTCCCATTGCTTGTGACTATGGTACTCTTGGACTAAATGTTATTCTAGTTCCTCCTCCCAAATAAAGATGTACTTTATCTCCAGTGATGTACCACAGACGTTGACCATAATGGAATTACAAAAGCAGAAAATCCACCTGGTTAATGCTTTGAAGGACTTACATTAACTAAATTATTCTAGGAATGTCTGATAAAATTTGCTTCCCAATTGCTTTCCAAGAAAGAAAGGAACAACTATTGTTTGAGTCTCTTGTTGATCATGTCCTACTAAAAATTATAATGAAAGTTAATGAAAAAAAGATTTGTTTTAGAGCAAAGTACACAGAAATCTTTGAATTTCATCAGTTGAATAATTTCCTTGTGCTACTGTGTCATTATTATTTATATACATGATTTCAATTTGTTACCATGCAAATTTTAATTCCAATTGAAAATGAATATTCTCTTAGACCATCATGGGAACTTTAAAAAAATGTTTGTGAAAAGAGGATACAAACAGTGCTTATTCTATGGACCATAGAAAAATGCCCCCTTAACGACAGCTGCAGCAATTCATGGACCTCTATAGCTATGACACATAATTTAGAGAGTGAAACAATGCTATACAGCAATTGAAGACCAAATGTGAAGGCAAAAACTGATTAATTTCTAAAGAGATAGTATGCCCCTTTTAGAGAAAAGGATTAAACTTCTAAAATAATGAACTTGTTATTCATGAAAAGAAATAAATTCTAATAATGGGCTAGCCTGTTAGAACCTGCTGCTCTTATTCAGGACAAAAACATGCACAACAAATGCTACAACACAACCTTTGAATAGAAAGCATTGTGATAAAAACATGTTTTTTCATTAACGAATAAAATATGCCCTTTCCCATTAAAGGTTTGCATGTTTTAATTTAACAGAAGAAGTAGAAGTTCTATGGTGAATATCAAGCATAATAATTGAGTTTGGTGAAAAGGAGGCCTGAAACCTACTGTCAGAATGGGGCAAAATAGGTTGAAGGCTGAGTGTTTCAAACTCTTGCCCAATAATATAAGTAGTAAAAATGCAAGTAGAAATGAAAAGCTTTACTGCTTATTCTTTGTCTATACTTGAACACTTGAGGAAACCCACTCATAAAAAAGCATGGGCAATAAAATAAAGATAGGCATAGTGTAAAAACAATTATAATTAAAGAATAAAAATTAACCAGTACTTAAGGCTTCATTTCCCCCAGCTAAGCTGTAACCTGAAATTCTTTCTGTATAAATTCATTCCTTTAGCTCTAGAATGATGTTTTAGGTTCAAGACCTCCTTACAAAAATGCACTTACCCTCAGGAGGGGCAAATCCTTATATTATTAGCAAAAACATGTCAGCAGAGATTATAATCATGTTTTCAATCCTAGAACTGGGACTTCCCGGAGGAGGGAAAGGGAATGTCTTAAGGGGAGAGAGGAGCCAAAAACAAACTGTGCCTACTTCACTAATTTGCCAAGACCTTGCTCTGATGGACAGACCTGAAAAAACCATGAATGGAGCCAATGCAAATTCCCTAAGAAAACGGCATTTAGTGTACAGCATGGGAATCATACATTATCCGCCTCTCTCTACTAGATTGTAAGACCTTGCAGGGAACAAACAGTGGCTTAAATGTCTTTGAATCCCTGGTAACTGACATACAATGGGTTTCCAATAAACGTGTATTTTTTTTTCATTCAGGGAATATATATATTATGAAGCCTTGAGAACTCAAGTTACCGAGCTTAGTCTCATTTTTAAAACTGCCAAGAAGGCAGGGTGATAATTATGCATTTGAAGTGGGAACGAGATAATTTCACTTGTCACATTTAGCTTTGTCCAGATTGCTTCCTATAAGGGGTATACAGGTTTATACCTGGGCAAGGCATGTTGATAAATATGTCCTCATGCGTAGTGGTCATCTCCTGGAGATCTATTGTAAGCTCAAGGAATGTGGGTCAGTTATGGACCTGATGATAAATAACAACAACAATAGTAATAGTAACTAACACTGAGTAGCTCTTACTATATACCCAGGCACCATTCTAGGCATTGTATAAATATTAACTCAATTCCTTTACACGAAAACCCCATACAGTAGGTATAACTATTATTGCCCAGTTTCACAAAGGAGAAAACAAAGGCCCAAAGAGTTTAAGTAATCGGCCCAAGGCCACAAAGCCAATAAGTGGTAAAGCTACCTGAACTCCAGCAGTCTCACTCTAGCATCCTCATCTTAACCCCTAAACTATGCCATTGTAAGACCCTTGGCAGAAGGATTTTGAGGGGTCCACTTTGGCCAAGTCTCTTCGGGATGACACTTTTATAAATAAAATTGGTGTGTCCTCCCAAAACTTGTCCTTTAAGTAAGAGCTGTCCAGGACAGAGTCGGGTTTGGACTCATGGTGAGCCACTTCATGAGTGTTCTGTGCTTGAATGGATTATCGGTTCTATTCCTCTGGAAGAAGCCAAGCAGTTTTGAAGACAGGTGAATACAGAGAGACTGGCCCCAATTTCCCACACCTGGCATAAAGTTCAGGCAAGTAAGGGTAGAGAATACTTTTTGATCTTCACTGGTTCTATGTAAAACCTTTCTATCTGCGCACTGGAGATTCTGATGCCTTCTAGGGGAATTTCCAGGCCACTGCAAGCCTCAACAAGTCCTTACTAGGAACTCCTTTGAATACATTTACAAACAGAGATGACAGCAGGAATGTAAATAAACTCTAATTAAAGATTTGCTCTTTGTGGATAGCACCTCCTTTATGTTATTTACCATCCCTATTAGATACGATCTGGTAAGAATGGTAATAGGTAGTGTGATGACTTCTAGTCAGTTTAAATCTAGTTATGAAGAATAAGAAGTACACTGTGCATAACCGAATGATTTAGGTAAATTTTTAAATTGAGGTTGCTGGCTTATTTCCATTTTTTCATGTACAAAATTTTATATGCCCCAAAGCTTTGAATTATTTATCTAAGTCCAAGTTCATCTGTGCCATGGCATATGCTACTTACCATAAGAAATCAGGAGTTGAAGAGTATTCAGAAGTGCAAGTGTGCATGTGCATGCACACGTGCGCGCACACACACACTCACACACAAATTTCCAAATGCGACCCCATCTGTGTACATTGACTGGCCACATCTGTATACATCTATATATATACACGGTGGGCACTGATTCCGAGACTGCTTAAAGTTGTGATTCAGTAGATCTTTTTTTTTTTTTTTTTTGGTAGTATTACAGCTAGAACTAAGACCTAAAGTCAAGTTTTGTGGTTTATCTTTCTCTATACAGCATGGCCACTTTTGTAAAAATTAGATGATTAGCCAAAAATGAAATAAAGCAAAAACAAACCCCCAAACCCACCCATCTGCAGGAAGGAAGGCAGAAACTGCTCAAGGGCAGAGAAAAGCGCAGCTTGGCCTTTTCAAATAAATCACAAAACACGTTTGAGTTTAAAAATAGTGTTGATAACATAACCTCACTTAGGCTGGGCGTGGTGGCTCACACCTGTAATCTCAGCACTTTGGGAGGCCATGGAGGGTGGATGGCTTCCACTCATAAATTGGAGACCAGCCTCGGCAACATGGCAATACCTCATCTCTACAAAAAATACAAAAATTACCCGGGTGTGCTGGTGAACACCTATAGTCCCAGCTACTCGGGAGGCTGAGGTTGAGGATCCCTTGAGCCTGGGAGGCAGACGTTGTAATGAGCCGAGACTGTGCCACTGCAATCCAGCCTGGGCCAGAGCCAGACCTTGTCTCGAAAAACAAAACAAAAACCTCACTTAAAAAGCCAAGTGAAAGAAGGTTTTAAAATATTTCCATTATTTTAGGCCAGGTGCTGTGGCTCATGCCTGTAATCCCAGCACTTTGGGAGGCCAAGGCGGGCAGATCACTTGAGGTCAGGATTTCGAGAGCGGCCTGGCCAGCATAGTGAAACTCTGTCTCTACGAAAAATAATAAAATTAGCTGGGCATGGTGGTGTGTGCTGTAATTCCACTTACTTGGGAGGCTGAGGCAGGAGAATCACTTGAACCCGGAAGGCAGAGGTTGCAGTGAGCCAAGATCGTGCCACTGCACTCCAGCCTGGGTGACAGAGTGAGACTCTGTCTCAAAAAAAAAAAAAAAAAAAAAAAAAATCCATTGTTTTAAAACTATATAATTGGCTCAAGAGTATTTTTTGCAAGTGAGCAGTACAGTTTAAATTTGGGCTGAGTAATTTTAGGTAGGAGTCTGTCTTACTCTTCAGAATAATGATTTCCTAGAACAAAACAAATCTCTCTTTTGTGAGGCCAGCGATAGACTATCTTTATTGATAACTGTGGACTTTAGGTTCAAATATAGCATCTTTTGGGAAACCTTACTACCAAAATTACCTTTCCTGCTGTCGGGGAAAAATAGTGAAAGACTCTGAAATCCACTCCCTGTGCCCACCACCAAGAGATTACCAAGTGTGTTACCGCAGCACACCCTCGCTAGGTTTTCTTGGCCTTTTATCATCATTCAGCTATTTTACAACTCTGTAAGTTGTAGGAAATGATTAATAATGCAAATAATTTCTGTCCATAGAAATGCAAATCAGTTGTGTCTGGTAGAATGCAATTGATCATTGCCCTTCATATTGACTTGTTTTGCATCTATTTGTAAATACATTTCAGCATTATTTTTTTTTTGAGACACAGTCTTACTCTGTTGCCCAAGCTGGAGTACAGTGGCACTATCTTGGTTCACTGCAACCTCTGCCTCCCGGGTTCAAGCGATTCTCCTGCCTCAGCCTCCTGAGTAACTGGGATTACAGGCGCCACCACACCCGGCTAATTTTTGTATTTTTAATAGAGATGGGGTTTCGCCATGCTGGCCAGGCTGGTCTCAAACTCCTTACCTCAGGTGATCTGCACACCTCAGCCTCTCAAAGTGCTGGGATTACAGGCATGAGCCACTGTGCCTGGCCTATTTCAGCATTCTTTATTTGCCTATATATGTGTGATTCTTTGAATTTTCCTTTGAACTGTTTGTAATGTCTTACTGGCCTGTCATTCATTAATGAGTTAAATACATCTTTGACTCATGTTCGTTTTATATATATATGAGAGTCATGACCTTTCTTTTTACAAAGTTATTTTTTAACACTACCATTTCTTACCCTTCACATGTTACCTAGAGTTTTTTTTTTAAATCAAGAATACTTGAGGATTTACTTCTAAAAATGGAATTTTAACATGTTTCGTATAGTGGGGTTGGAATGCCTCATATTTTCACAAGATTAATTCTACTAGCTTCCTCTTTTCAGTATCATCACGCACTTTATCTTCCCTCTGGGGACTGTAATAAATATTTCTGCCATAAAAATGCAAATAGCATTAGACTAAGAATTGTAATGCCCAGGAGGCTTAAGAAGATTACATTTAGATAAGATCATACTGTTACCAATTATGAGATTTTTTTCCATCATTACTCCACTCTATAGAACTGTTTCTTATTCTTTGTTTCCAATAGGTTTTAAAAATTATTTCTGACTACTGGCCTTTTAAAAATGATTTCTGTCCAACAGGGATATTTACTTGACTAGATCCTACAAGTGAACTGAGCTGGTGTATGGGCTTAACTTGGCTGCAGATTTGCATGTATGCAATGGCAATAAAGTAAGGCACTCTGATTTTAAGACATTTATTTCAATATATCTAAGACTTCATTGCATTAGAATATCAAATTGGCTCCTTTTCTCCTTTATAACAGCTATAGTTTGTTCAGCTGCAAATATAGAGCAAAAGATGATCAACAAGTATTACAACAAAAATACTAGATTTTTGCTGTAATTCCTGTCTATAGACAGACTTTTCTATAATACTATATGGGAAACTATCTCAATACACAGCCAAGTAATTTGAAATTTCTTTCAAGCCAAATTGCTACTAGGTCACTATGCTCAGTTACTAAGACAGTAGCTACATAGTCATTCTACCTACTCCATCTTTGTTCTTCATTTGATCTCAGTCTTGTTTTCATAACTTTCCTTTGCACTTGTCTTTTTATACTTAAACTTTCCCAAGGTCAGAAAGCAAATCAATGACAGAATAGGGAACAGAACTCCCAAGAGATTCCTAAAATATTAGAAGTTCCATCTTAGAACAGTGATGTCATCAGGATTTTTTTTTTTTTTTTGCTTCCCACAAACACCTAAAATAACTTCTTATAATAGAATCTCTTGGAGGGAAAAGGGGATTACATCGATTTCAGTTTCTTAGTACCTATTTAATTTTAATAATTTTAGAAAGAGGCAGCAAAAATAGAATTAACAATATATAACTTCTAGTAAGCCATTTAAACTCTTAATACAACTATTAGGCAAGAACCTGGGAAACTGCGTGAAAGCAAAAAACGAGTAGAACTAATTTTGTAAGCAACTTATCTGTCAAGTAGTGTTTGAGAATGAAGGAAGGTGTTGTAGGGTTTTATTCACTGTCTTCTAGGATTTAGAAGTTGTTATAATTAGTTGGGGCCAGGTAAATTCTATTAGAAATGCTGTAAGGATTATTAAGTACTTTTCACCCGTTAAGATTCATTTGCTCAATGTGTTTGCATAGTTTCTGGTTGTTTTAAAGGAAAAAAATTTCTTGTCACAGGCTACTATGCATTCTCTTACAAAGATTTTTTTAAAGATCCAGTCTAGTTCACGTTTCCTGCTGTTTCCCTTCTTTCTTGACAGCACTGTCTGATTGTCACTCAGTATTCTATACAGGGCACAGGGTATTACAAAAGTTGACATGTTTAAGATAAATGAGCCCCTGATTGTAGTACAAGAAGTCAGTTACTAGGGCATGTTGTCTTCCATTGTTTTTTGTTGTTAATTCATTCAGATGCTTCTTTTCATATCGGGAAATTGTTTGTTTCTAGGTGAATCTTGTAAAACACAGTCTTCATTATTGAGTATGCACATATGAAAAATGAAGGTGGAATACTGGTTTATTAAAAAGTTACGCTTGTTTAGAAACTCTATCAGAATACAGAGCCATTCAGAAATCTGTGACTATCTGTGTATGGCCAGAAACAACAGCCACAGCTATTGAAAGAATTGGTTTTCTTCAATACTCATCCATCCAAAAGCTATTGCTTTTGAAATCAGTCAGTTTAATGACTGGTCTTGAAAAGAAATATATTTATTCTGTAAAATTCCTGTATAACCCACCATGTTTGTTTTTCTGTTTTTGTTTGGGTTTTTTTTTTAAGCTATTGATTTTTTTCTAACTGAGATAACATTCACGTAACATAAAATTCACTATTTTTAACCATTCTAGTGTACATTTCAGTGGTTTCAGTATATTCAAAATGTTGTACAGTCATTACCACCATCTAATTCCACAGCATTTTCACCACTCCAAAAAGAAATCTCATGCTCACTAGGCAGTCACTTCTCATTCCCCCTTAATTGCTGATACCTGCCAATCACCAACCTATTTTATCTTTATGGATTTGTCTATTCTGGGGATTTCACATAAAAGGAATAATACAATATGTGGCCTTTTGTGTCTAGGTTTCACTTAGCACAGCATTTTCAAGGTTTATCCAAATTATAACGTGTATCAGTATTTCATTCTTTTTTATGGCTGGATAATAGTCCATTGTATAGACATACCATAGTTTATCCATTCATCAAGTGATGGACATTTGAGTTGTCTCCACTTTTTGGCTACTATGAATAATGCTTCTATGAACATTCATGTACAAGATTTTGTGTAGACATGTTTTCAATTCACTTGTGTATATACTGAGGGGTAGAATTGCTGGGTCATATGGCAACTCCATATTAAAATTTTTGACAGGGTTGGGCATGGTGGTTCACGCCTGTAATCCCAGCACTTTGGGAGGCCAAGATGGGTGGATCACCTGAGGTCAGGAGTTCGACCTTCAGGAGTTCAGCCTTCAACATGGTGAAACCCCGTCTCTACTAAAAATACAAAAATTAGCCGGGCATGGTGGTAGATGCCTATAATCCCAGCTACTCAGAAGGCTGAGGCAGGAGAATGGCGTGAACCTGGGAGGCGGGGCTTGCAGTGAGTGGAGATTGCGCCACTGCACTCCAGCCTGGAAGACAGAGCAAGACTCTGTCTCAAAAAAAAAAAATTTTTTTGGGGAAAATGCCAGACTGTTTTCCACAGCAGCAGTAGCATTTTACATTTCTACCAGCAATGTATGAAGGTTCCAACTTTTCCATATCATCCCCAAGACTTGTTATTGTTTGTCTTTCTGATCATAGCCATGGATGTAAAGTGGTATCACAATATCGTTTTGATTTGCATCTCCCTAATGACTAATGATGTTGAATGTCTTTTTATGTGCTTATTGGCCATTTGCATACCTTCTTTGGGTGGCTCAAGACCAGTCATTCAAATCTTTTACTGATTATTAAACTGGGTTATTTTTTGTTTTGTTGTTGAGTTGTAAGAGTTCTTTATACATTCTGGATACCAGAACTTTTTCAAATATATGATTTGAAAGTATTTACTCCCATTCTGTGCATTGTCTTTTCAGTTTCTTGATAGCATCCTTTGATGCACAAAAGTTTTTCATTTTGATGATGTCCAATTTATTTGTTTTATTTGTTGCTTGTGCTTTTGGTGTCATATCTAAGAAACCATTGCTTAATCCAAAGTCATGAAGATCTACACCTATGTTTCTTTATAAGAGTTTTATAATTTTAGCTCTATATTTAGGTTTTTGATCCATTTTGGTTAATTTTTGTTAATTTTGGCCACAAATGTATAAGTTTATTTCTGAACTCTCTCTCCCATTGATTTATATGCCTATCCTTTGGCCAGTACCACACTGTTTTAATTACTATAGATTTGAGGTAAGCTTTGAAATTGGAAAGTGTGAGTTCTCCAACTTTGCTGTTCTTCAAGGTTGTTTTGGCTATTTGAGGTCCTTTGCTTTCCCACCTGAATTTTAGGTTCAGCTGGTCCATTTCTGCAAAAAGGGCAGCTAGAATTTTGATAGATATCACAGTGAATCTATAGGTCAGTTTGGAGAGTATTGTCATTTTAATAATATTAAGCCTTCTAATTAATGCATGAAGTCAAAATGTCTTTCCCTTTACTTAGGTATTCTTTAATTTTTTTTTAACAATGTTTCAGGGTTTTCAGTGTATATGCCCTGCATTTGGTTAAGTTTATTTCTCTCTATTTTATTCTTTTTTGATGCTACTGTAAATGAGATTTTCTTAATTTCATTTTTGGATTGTTCATTGCCAGTGTATAAAAATATAATTGATTTTTGAAATGTTGATCTTGTATCTTACAACTTGTTTATCAGCTGTAATAGTTTTTTGGTGAATTCTTAAGAGTTTTCTATAATCTAAGATTATATCATTTGTGAATAAATATAGGCTTACTTCTTCCTTTCTAATCTGAATGCTCTTTACTTATTTTTCTAGCCTAATTGCCCTGGCTAGAACTTCCAGCACCATATTGAATAGAAGGGGTGAGAGCAGACATCCTTGTCTGATTCCTGATCATGGGAGGAAGTATTTGGTTTTTCACCATTAAGTATGATGTTAACAGGGGACTTTTCATGGATGACCTTTATTACATTGAGAAGTTCCTTTCTAACCTTTATTACATTGAGGAAGCTCCTTTTTATTCCTGGTGTGTTAAGTTGAATTGAATTAAGTTATAAGTTTGAACTAAAAGACAAATAGGCTACAGGATTTTTTGCCTCTGTTCAGCCTATGGAAATACTATGATCCTGTGTTCTCTTTAATTTTAATGGCTACTAGGTTCTTATCTGGGAAACAATAAAATCACTGCCTTTCAGAAATTCTGAGAGCTCACTGAGCCAGCTAAGTTACATGCCTGATAGTGTTGCCCTGATATGGTTTGGATCTGTGTCCCCATCCAAATCTCATGTCAAACTGTAATCCCCAGTGTTGGAGGTGGGGCCTGGTGGGAGGCGATTGGATCATGGGGGCTGTTTCTCAGGAATGGTTTAGCACCATTCCCCTTGGCACTGCCCTCAGGATAGTGAGTTCTCAAGTGATCTGGTTGTTTAAAAGTGTGTGGAACCTCCCCTACCCTTGCTGCTGCTCCTGCCATGTCAGGGGTCTTGCTCCTGCTTTGTCTTCCGCCATGATTGGAAGCTTCCTGAGGCCTCCCCAGAAGCAGATGCTGCCATGCTTCCTGTACAGCCTGCAGAACCATGAGCCAATTAAACCTCCTTTCTTATAAGTTACCCAGTCTCAGGTATTTCTTTACAGCAGTGCAAGAACAGACTAATACATGCCCTTAGAGATGCAAAATTAAAAGGCAAGACACTTGATTCATGTTTACTTGTATGAAGTGCATAATGTTTATATTATATATAAAATATTTAATAGTATAACAAATATAATAATTTTTTCCATTATAATATGTGAGCTATCTTAAAGCTAAAATATATTTTGTCTTGGTTTTTGAAACCATAATCTTCTCTATTTTTGTTCTACCTAAAGACTAGGAAAAGAGCTAAAAAGATGCCAAATTAGAATCCCATATTACAAAAAAATCTTTTATGAGTTAACAAATATTATAGCCCTTTTATATCCCTATATGTGTACTAATTTACTATTTTATTCCATTAAAATATTTACATTGCTAAGATGTAATGCAATCGTAGTCCCAATTATATTATTAAGGTTTTGAATGTCAACATCAACAGATCTTGTTTTCCTTACTATTTGAAATGGCTGTGGGTTTTTTTCCATCTTCTGGAATTATTATAAAGAGAGAGAGAGAGAGAGAGTGTGTGTGTGTGTGTGTGTGTGTGTGTGTGTGTGTGTGTGTATTTTAACCTTACGTGTCTTGTCACTAAAAATTTCCCTTGCAAGGGAGAATAAGGACTTAAATCACAGTTTATCTTCTACTGAATATAACTGTTTCAGGACAAATTGAAGTATGCTTCCAGCTATTACAAAATTGGCAAGACACAAATGAAATACCATGGAGACACGATTTGTGCACCAGAAGTCAGATATCTATCAGTAACCTCAGCTTTTCTCTTTCCATATAGCTTCCTTCTCCCCATGAACCCATTATATTAGCAGTGAAATTGGAAGGCCAGGTCTTCCAGACACAGAGATCTGACTCCAGGTTCCCAGCTATTCACAGATGGACCCAAAAATGTTATACTGAAAAGGAAGTATTCATGAGAAAATTTGCAAAGTGAGATATGCCTTGAATATTTGGGGAGTACTTTATAGTAAGAAAAAAGTCAAATATGAGTTATTCCTTCCCAAATTTATAGAACAAGTATTTCAAACCTGTTAGATTCATTTTTGCACTTTTACAGTGCCCCAATTTTGACCTAAATATATATGTTTTCTGGAAAAACATTCACTTTCTGGAAAGCATGTTCATGAAAAGTTAAATGAACAAATATTATATTTTGGAGACTCAACCTTACTTTCCCATTGGCTTCTATTTCACTTTTAGAGATGTCAGCTCTGATACCAACATTTTACCTCTCAGGTATTTTTATCCTTTCACCTCTCTGTGAAATAAAGGCCTATAAATAAATATCTAATTGTTCTGGGGAAACTCTTGAAAGGAACCCCACAGGAAATCCTTCCATGGGTGCCAAGATTATTTTAGAATGCCTCTGGTCCCAAAGTCTTCTTGTTTCCTAATCATCAGAAACAGTAATCCTGGGCAATTTTTTCCATTAAAAGAAAGTATATCTTACTGTGTGGAGAGAAAACACAGTCAAAACACTAACAATTTCCAGCCATGAACGTGAATTTGGCTTGCCCTTCTATTAGGAAATATGAGGTAGTAAATAAAGTAAAATCAACATTCTGTACACCTTCTATAGCACCTGTGGTTACTCAGTGCTAAGGGACTACCAGCAGAACTATGCCATGCTAACACAGGAGCACTGAAATAAGGATTGAGGATAGGCTCACACTAATTGTATCAAATTGGCAAGCTTTACATTTTGTTAATATTAGGAATATGTTGCACTCCTTTGGTGACAGGATTACCTATTCCTCCAGATCCTAATGTGACAAATTAAATGATAGAGGTTGCTGGTGCTTTTCATCAGCAGCAAAAATGATTTAGGGCTAGAGAGGGAAGTAAAGGATGGTAGATCCAGAAATTCCTCTTCCTAATAAAACCATAGATATCCATACCCCTCCAAAGATAGTCACTTCTAAATTATTTACTTTGTAGAATATCCAAAGTTTTTGCTTTTATTCTTTCTCTTTTTCTTCCCTTTGGAGCCATTTCACTAGTTGTTAATGGAAGAGAATCAATGCTAATTTCTGGTGACATTGAAATGTAGAGGACTTGGATAGTTTACCTATCCTTGTAAGAGCAGTCATACCTTCTAGGGTTATAGTAAAGATGGAGTGAAATAATGCAGAGGAAAGAACTTTATAAAATATAAAACAGCTAGGCCAGGCATGGTGGCTCACACCTGTAATCCCAGCACTTTGGGAGGGCAAGGTGGGCAGATCACCTGAGGTCAGGAGTTCGAGACCAGCCTGGCCAACATGGTGAAACCCCATCTCTACTAAAAATAAAAATTAGCCGGGTGTGGTAGTGGGCAACTGTAATCCCAGCTACTCGGGAGGCTGAGGCAGGAAAATCGCTTGAATCTGGGAGGCAGAGGTTGCAGTGAGCCGAGATTGCGCCACTGTGCAACAGAGTGAGACTCTGTCTCAAAAAATAATAATAAATAAATAAATCAGCTAACCTTTGGGGGTGAGAATTGTCTTTACTCTCTCACTTCCCTCCTTAGTTTAGATTCTGTGGTTATGATGATGATCAGTCCCTTGAACCCAGCCTCATCGCCCCTGCCCTCTCCAATCCTTTTTCCCCTCCCTCTCTTTTCTCTGTTCTTGGCACGATGTCAACCCTGGTTAGATCCAAGTCTTTCACAGTGCAACACCAACAAAAAGAGAATGGGCTTTAGTGTCTGACAGGTGAATGTAATTGTGGCTCTACCCTTCGTTCGTTTTGGGGAAGTCAACATTTTCAAGTCTCGGTTTCGCATCTGTGAAAGAAAATAATGATACTCCATGTAGTTGTTATGGAGATTAAATTCAATAATACTTGTAGCATGACAGCACAAGACCTGGCACATAGTAGGCATTCAGTAAGGGGTAACTGTTGTCATCAGTATTTATAATCCATGATAGTTTTTTTCTGTGCTAAAACCGAAAACTAATTTACAGATGTACATTTCCAAACATACATGCATGTTTTACCATATGAAGTATTTTAAAATCCTGATTTTATAGTCTAATTTAATAACTTTATTGTTTTTTAAATCTCCTGTTCGTTTCCTTAATACCTTAAAGATTGAAGAGCTTTCTTTTCTCTCCCTTTCTCTCTTTCTTTCTTTCTCTGTCTTTCTTTCTTTCTCTCCTTTCTTTCTCTCTCTCCCTTAAAATCCTGATTTTACAGTCAAATTTAATAACTTTATCGTTTTTAAAATCTCCTGTTCATTTCCTTAACATCTTAAAGATTGAAGAGCTTTCTTTTCTCTCTCTCTTTCTTCCTCTTTTTTTTTTTTTTTTTTTTTTCCAGACAAGAGTTTCGCTCTTGTTACCTAGGCTGGAGTGCAATGGCGCAATCTCAGCTCACTGCAAACTCTGCCTCCTGCGTCCAAGCGATTCTTCGGCCCCAATCTCCGGAGTATCTGGGACTATAGGCGCGTGCCACCACACCCAGCTAATTTTTGTATTTTAGTAGAGACAGGGTTTTACCGTGTTGGCCGGGCAGATCACTCCTGACTTCAGGTGATCCGCCTGCCTTGGCCTCCGAAAGTGCTGGGATTACAAGCATAAGCCACCGTACCCAGCCTGAAGAGCTTTCTAATGATACTTTTGGCTTATTCATAGAACATGAATAAAATCTAAAATAAATTTTAAAAAGAAGATGAAAACTGTAGCTTTAAATCTGTCCTTAATTTATAAAACATGACATATGATATATGAAAACATAAATACATGAATGAATGTATCCGGATTCCTTGGGAAACACTTTCATAATGAGACTATATGAATGATTCTAAAACCTGCCTTATACAGCTAGGTAGCTAAGGAACATTTTCCTCAAACCCCATTATATGGTTCCACAGATCTCAGCATTTACCCTCAGACTTAGACGCATCAGTCAAAATATTGACCATCTTTTAAAATAAGCTCCAAATTACAGGAGAAAAATCTGCCTTAACAAGTGCAGCTCAGGGCATTTAAATATTTCTCACAGTATTCTAAGGCCTCCATGTTATCCAGTGGATGATAATTGAATAAAATAATGAAACATTCCATATTCCCTCTTATTACCATTCATCACCCAACAGCTGTAAAATCACCAGCTGCTAGGAAAAAGAGAACTAAATTAGTCCTCTACAGCTGCAAAGAGAAAAAAGCTTAAGATCTCTTCACACAATTTCCGGGATTCCAGCAGGCTGGAGTCAAAGCACAGTTTTCCTTGCCACAAAACCCTCAGCCTTGTAAACATGTCAAACAGCACATAAGCTGTGATTTATTTTTGTCATTATTGGCAAAGAAGTGTATGAAGGAGAAGAGTAGAGGTAGCTGAGATAATACAATAGAATCATGACAGCAATGTAAGTAGTGTCTACCATATCCCGGGCACAGAGCATCAGACTTTTAAATCCTTACCATAACTACAAAAGGTAGATATTATCCTCATTTTATTAGAGAACTGAGGCTCAGTGAGACCAAGTAACTTAGTAAGTGCTGTGGTAAGTCAGATTTAGCTGTGTTTGGCTCCAATACCAGGGTCTTAATCATCACACAGTTCTGTCTTCCAGTAAAATAGACAGATGAAGGAAAACTGAACTGGTGAGACTAAGTGGAATGGATCTGGGGAGAAGGGGAAACATGGGGGGAAGGTGATGCTGTTTTAAAAGACACAGGAGGGGGCCGGGCATGGTGGCTCATGCCTGTAATCCCAGCACTTTGGAAGGCCGAGGCAAGCAGATCACTTGAGGTCAGGAGTTGGAGACCAGCCTGGCCTACAGGGCGAAACCCCATCTGAACTAAAAATACAAAAATTAGCCAGGCATGGTGGTGCATGCCTGTCATCCTAGCTCCTTGGGAGGCTGAGGCATGAGAATTGCTTGAACCCGGGAGGGGGAGGTTGCAGTGAGCCAAGATCACGCCACTGCACTCCAGCCTGGGTGACAGAGCAAGACTCCATTTCAAAAAAAAAAAAAAAAAAAAAGGAATGTATTAAGGTAAATGAGGCTCCTAGTTTGAATCTCTTTTCCTATTCTTTTCGATAGTTTAAGAAATAGGGTGCCATTTCCATTAACTTCCCTAATTTGCTATCATCAGCCATAAACAATTCTAGCCCATAAAATCAGGTTTCATTAATTACTCATTTTAGCAACAATATTAGCCACAGACGAACTGGCATAGTCTGTAAAGCAATGGTTTTCAAACTTTAGCAAGCATTAGAACACCTGGAGGGGTTGTTAAACATAGATTCTTAGGCCTCATCTCTAGAATTTCTGATTCAGTAGGTCTGGGGTAAGGTTTGAGAATGTGTATTTCTCACGAGTTGCCAGATGAGGCTGATGGTGCTGGTTCAGGGACCACATTCCACTGCTGCAAATAAAAACTGTGCTAAAAATTTAGATTTGTGTGCACATACCTATGATAAGCTGACCTGCAAAAGAACAGCATTTCTTAAGAAGCTACCTTCCATTCTGCAGGCACAATCAGATTTCAGTTCTTCTACAGCCGTGTACATAAAATAAATGGCGTCTAGAGACACACAAATGTGGGACAATTAATCTATGCCTATGTTCCTAATAAGGCAAAAGGCTATACTTTCAATGTGCAATATGCTCAGTGAAGCAATCATAGGAATTAAAACATCACATTCAGGCTGGGTGTGGTGGCTCACACCTGTAATCCCAGCACTTTGGGAGGCTGAGGCGGGTGGATCACCTGAGGTCAGGAGTTCGAGACCAGCCTGACCAACATGGAGAAACCCCATCTCTACTAAAAATACAAAATTGGCCAGGCGTAGTGGCACATGTCTATAGTCCCAGCTACTCTGGAGGCTGAGGCAGGAGAATCACTTGAACCAGGGAGGCAGAGGTTATGGTGAGCCAAGATCGTGCCATTGCACTCCAGCCTGGGCAACAAGAGCGAAACTCCATCTCAAAAAACAAAACAAAACAAAAACCACATTCAAAGGAGGCAACCATTTCCAAATTTAATACAAGCTCTTTTCTAATTCAGAAAAAAGTATAGATAAAAGTCAAATACACCCAAGCTTAGGGGTGGAAAAATCGAAAACCAGAATAATTCACATTTCCAACCGTGGCTGCTATTGGTCCAATTGCTTATGGGTTCTTTTTTCTTCTTTTTTCTTTTTTCTAAAGAGAATAGGGATAGCAAGAATTGTGATGGAACTGGATCCCTGGAAGTCAACATAGTCTTGGCCACTTAGGCTGTTTTTTACCCCCTACCTGGCCTTATCCACAGTTTTGGCTTGGCTTAGCTCCATTCAAACACATGCTTAGTAATGGCACTAGGGGCTGCTACCACTGCTGCACAAATTGAAATCAGTATGAAAATGGAATAGAAAGATGTCAGCAAACTAATATTATTTTAAAAGGAAATTGCTTCCAATTTCAAAGCAGCAGGAGATTAGTAAGAAAATGAGGTTTCCGTTCCATAGGGTTTTCTAGGATGGAGATGTCTCATTCTAACATCCTTTTGGAATGGAAAAACACTTACTGTATAGTCTCCTTTACTTGGTTATCCTGAACCTCTTTACAGGCTGATAATTTTCTTGCTGGCAGTATATTGTATAGAATAGTTGTATTTTAAGACTTCTTCAAAAGTGTCTGTTAGCTTTGAGTAATTATCCATTGTTGAATTTGGCAGAACAAAGAGAAACTTCTAGAATTTTTATCTTCAGCCTTAGAAAGTGTTGTTAACTCTGAAAGTTTATATTTAGAGGACTTACTTTAAAAAAAGAAAGTAATACTTTTAAATGCCTGCTCATGATTTTTTTTAAATTTTTATTTATTTATTTATTTATTTATTTATTTATTTATTTATTTATTTTTTTGAGACAGAGTCTTGCTTTGTCACTCAGGCTAGAGTGCAGTGGCACGATCTCGGCTCACTGCAACCTCCGCCTCCCAGGTTCAAGTGATTGTTGTGCCTCAGCCTCTCGAGCAGCAGGGAATACAGGCGCCCACCACTATGCCCAGCTAATTTTTGTATTTTTAGTAGAGATGGGGTTTTGCTGTGTTGGCCAGGCTGGTCTGGAACTCCTGACCTCAGGTGATCCACCCGCCTTGGCCTCCCAAAGTGCTGGGATTACAGGTGTGAGCCACTGTGCCCGGCCACCTGAAGTTTTTATAAGGCCCTTGAGAACTCTGGCACTTTGTTGTGGTTGATCAGAGCCATGCAGGTAGTCTCATAGGTCCTTCAGTCCACAAATATTGAGGGTCCACCCTGTGCCATGTTATGGGGGCCTCTGTCATTTTGCTCAGGACTCTACTCTGAGGTGGTCCTGTATGGCTTGGATTATAAGAGACAGTCGAGGAAACAAAAGATCTGCATGCTCTCCTTTCACAAATTCACTAAAATGTCATGGCAAAATATTTTGAGCACTCTACCTCACATAAACTTTCTAGTTCACAGTCTGGTAGGTTGACATGTCTCTAAATATTTGTTATTTTCTGATTGAATCCTACCTGAACCCAGTTAACTGAGATACACTAAATCATAGCACCCTTTATTTGAAACAATACTGTAGGATTTCAAAGATCCATCAGTGTCTAGAAACTAGCAGGTATCTGTTGAATGAATGCTGCATTTTCTTCAACTCTGGGAGCCTGGATTAACTTCTACAAGTAATAGCACTGTTTCTATTTTGGTTACTTTCTGGCTACTGTCCTAGTCATTTTAGTTACCCTGATGCTGCCCCAGCGACTCAGCCCAGCCAGCACAAACTGTCCTGCTGGCTAACTGGATCATGGCTGCTGGTGGCCTATCGTATACTAGGGCTGAGAGAAAGAAGAAAGAATAGGGATGTCTATCCTTTAGGAAATGCAGTAGCATATTCTGCAGCCTTTTCCATTTTATTCATTTTGCTTTGGTTTGCTCAGAAGTATCAGAGCAAAATAGAAAATCAAATAATTGGAGCGCTCATCCTTATTTTCTCCTTGCCCAATCCCCATCCATAGTCTCTGGATGTGTCCCAACAAGGTGCTTACTGCTGAGCCACTCTGTATCTTTTCTGGAAGTCGGGGAGGTAAGGACAGATAAACAATGACACTAATTTTTCATCATCTCCCTATTCCTATGTTGCTATCATTCAACCAAACACCTACTGAGCACCTACTTCTGGCCCAGGTAATACACTTGGTCCTGAGGATACAAAGATCATACAGTTCCTCAGAGAGTTCGTGGTCTCCTGGGGGATGCAGAGAAGTAAAAATTCAGAGGAAAGCCCAGGAGATGTGTGAACCTAGAGGAAAGAGAGTTTAACTCTGCCTTAGGTGAAGAGGGGGTCAGTCCTCTTCATGGAGGAGAATTTTTATTCATTCTGCTGGCTGGACAGCAAAGATACCAGGCATAAAATCGAGGTTCTTATTTTTCCAACTTTAAAATCTACTCCACAATGGTCCCCATTTACTGTCAAAGCTGGCTTGTGTGTGATAATACCACTAATATAATCATGCCATCCTCTCACTCCTGCTCACTTTACACTTTATATCTGAAGGTCACAGTACTAAAAACTGGCATGGGTGTTTTCCAAGGAATCTGGTTATCAGGCTTGACTACAACTCTAAAACTGAAGATTAAAAGACAAGTTAACAGGCACTTTATAGGATGAGTATGGAGTCGGAGCTGTGATGGGCAGAGGAAAAAATCAGCAGCACTATGTTAAGCATATACCAACCAATGCCCAAAGCTGAAGGTAACTTATGATTTGTTTTTCTTAGGGGAGGACTTGTTTCACCTACCATGTGGAATGTTCCTGGGGCCTTGACAGGTCTGAAGCCATGAACAGGTATGCATTGATCAGCGTGGCCATTGCAGAAGCAGCTGCCCTTGACAATGAAATCATAGATTGCATAGTGTGTAAAATGTTGAGGCTCTTCGTTCAGGTCATTTCTCTGACAGGGACAAGACTGTCGTTTCAGCAGCTGCACGCGAAGGTTGGTGATCTTCAGCTGCTCCTGAACTTTGGCACTGTAAGGGTTCTCTGTATCGTATGGTGGTGACAAAGCTTTGAAAATAACCTGTAAGGAGAAAGAAAATACCATGCGTTTATAGGACTGTGCGCAAACCCTGAATTGTTTGCCTAATGTAGTCCCTGTTTGATTTATGCCTTATGTCATCTGTGAACGATAAGATAACAAGAAGTTTTTAGACCTTGAGCACACCTGGGACAGAGCCGCCCTGTTATTCTAAGGAGCAGATGTGCTGCCTGTTTGTACACAGAAGTATACATTGAGTGACCAGCAGAGACCTGACCCTTGAGATAAAGGCAGCCATACAAAGATCTTGCCAGGAAGAGCATTCTGGGCGAGGGAAGAGCAAGCTTAAAGGCTTTGAGGCAGAGTCAAGCTTGGCTTGCTCAAGGAAGAACAACGAAGTCAGTGTGACTGGAGACCAGTGAACAAAGAGAGAGTGGCTGGAGAGGCGGACAGAGAGCAGGTGTGAGATAGACATGAATGGAGCCCTGTGGAAGTCACAGTAGAGTTATGCTGACTGTAGCGGAAGCCACTGGGACACTGTAGGCAGAGAGGTGATATCTGATTTACCTTGCCTAAAAATATAACTCTCTCTTTTTGGATATAAAAGTATCACCTTAGAGATCAATTTCATACCAAAAGTATGAAAAGGAAAGAATCGACTGTGTCACATGTCCAAGGTCTACTGGTACAGACCTGTCCTCAGTGAAATATAACTGTGGGGGAGAGGGTAATAATTCAGCAGACATTTGGCCTCTGCAGCTCATGGTCTAGCCAGTAGCCAGAGTGGTTCTCTATAAACAGAGATTGGATCGTGTCACTCCCTTGCTTAAACCACCCCCACCTGAAGACCTCCCATTCTCCTCAGAACAAGATGCAAGGTCCTTATAATGGCTCTGCCTGGTTTCTGTTCTTAGTACTTATCACCATCTGACATTATATTTGTAGTGGTTTAGTGATTTACTATCTTCCCAGTCCAGACCAAAAACTTCATGTAGGCGGTCACGTATGTATCCCAGGACAGTGGCTGGCACATAGTAAGTATTCAATAAATTTTTGGTAAACAAATTAATTAATTTAACATTGTTCTTGGCATTTGTGTAATAGGTGAGAATTCCAAATAACTTCCTTATGTCGGGTCTAAATTCATTCGCATACTGAATTTCACGTTAAACACCAGTATTATGACAATAATAAGAAATAACGGATTAACCGGTATTTGTATTTCTAGCTATTTTTGAACTTTTAAAGCTTAAACAACATTGTATCTTAAACTCAAACCACATTCTGTCCCATTTATCCACATGCAAAGTGGTGGAAGGAAGCTTATCAGAAAATAAAATTTTCCAACAAACAATATGTCATATATTCAAAAGTCAGTACAGAAGTAACATCTTTTTCTTTTAACAACAGCTAGAACATGATTTTCTGTTTCGAAGCATTTTTTAAAAATTGAATCCATTATGGGCTTTATATGGAACTGATTCTCAACGTGACCTCCAAACACTGACATTTCTGTTAGACAGGAAGAACCCTTGCTCTAAATGATATCAGTAAAGTGCTACCTCCTATTTTATCAACCACAGTAATGCAAGGACATGGAAAAGGACACACCAGTGCTAACCAAGTAAGAGCTCCACTGAAAAGTCTGTGGTGTCCTTCTCCTCGTTATCTGCCCACCCTTCCTTTTCCTGAGCCTCGGTGGCAACTGTTTGGTCTCTCTCTGTCTCTGCCACGTATTTACCCTTGACATTTACCCTAGTTCCCTCTCTCACCCCATTCCATCTCCCCCTCACCCTCAGAATTGTTCCGCACAGGCAAAGCCAGAGGAAGCTCTGTCAAGGTCTGTAGGAACTTTGAAGCTCTTCTGCTTCCTGAGCCCAGACAGTGGGAGCTGAATGGCGGCTCTGTGCTTGGTGTGCATGACACCACAGTTGGCACGCGGATATCAGTAGGGAAGGGACATCATGACCCCTGAGGCTGTGTGCTGGAAAGGAGACAGCAGAGTGCCACAGACACAAAAGTGAACGGGAATTTAAACCATGAAATCTTTTTTCCAGAAAGGAGACGCCTTAATCTGATACCCTGGGAATGGATCTACCCTGCGTCAGGAAACAAAGAGTCCGCCAGTACAGATGCTTCCAACTTCTGGCAGGTCGCCCTTTGGGTCCCACCCAGTTTTTCTTCAAACTTCCCCAGAAGAAGCCTGTATGGCATGAGTGAAATGAAGTAAGAAAACACGTAGAAGCCCTCAGGATAGTATCAGCCTCTTCTGTGTTTTGTTCCCATAAGGAAGGGAATGTATCTATAGGCCCATCACTGATCCTCTGTCTACAACTGCCTCTTAATACACACTCCCAACAAGATATATTAATATTTAGAAAGTCAGGGATTGCGCTTTTTGACCAGGTTCAAGCATACTTCAGTATTTCTGGCTCGTTAGTGCTATTGGCCAGGACTTCATGATCTCATTTTTTAATTAAGAACTTTTATTATGTTTTGGTGGTTAATATTATGCTCATTACAGAAAAATCGGTCATGCAAAATATTAAAGATAATAAGTACCTACAAAGTGATCTACCTCCAAAGATAACCAGGGATGCCAACTTGATAATATCTTTCTACTTAAACTTCTGTATGTATGCATACATATAAAATACAACATAAACATCTTTATATACCTTGTGAGTATTCTTCCAAGTCACTAAGTGTATCTCTACATCAGAGGTTCTCAAAGAATGGTTCCCCAGACCAACAGCACCCCTAGGGAACTTGTCAGAGATGCAAATTCTTGGACCCTATCCAAGATCAACTGAATCAGAAACTCTGCAGGTGGGGCCCAGCAATCTGTGTTTCAACAAGCCTTCCAGGTGATTCTGACACATAACAAAATTTGAGAAACACCGTTACATAATTTTAAAACCTGCTTAGAATTACAGTGTGTGGCTATGACATAATTTATTTAGCCAGGCTGCTATTGTTAGGCAACTAGGTTGCTTCCAGCTTTTCAGTGTAACCCACTGCAGGGAACAACCTTGTAGCTAAAATGTGGATGTACAGACAGTAGTCCGCCCTTATCCTCCGGGAATGACTTCCAAGACCCCCAAGGGATGCCTGAAACTGCAGACAGTACTGAACCCATAGAGACTATGTTTCTCCTATACATACATACCTATGATAAAGTTTAATTTATAAATGAATTATATATGATATATAATTATATATTTATTATATATTAAATACAATTATATATAATTCATTTATAAATTAAACTTTATCATAGGTATGTATGTATAGGAAAAACCTATAATGTAAATTATGTATAAATTATATATATATATATATATATATATATATATATATATATATATATATCTCCTCCATGCCAACCTGGAGGATTGTTATATCCTCTTGATGAAGTGACTGTTTTATCTATGTATGTCCCTTTTTATCCTTGGCAATATTCTTTGATCTAAAATCTACTTTGATAGTAATATAGCCACTCAAGCTTTCTTTTAAAGTGTTTAATATATATATATAAAAATTATATATAATTTATAAATTAAACTTTATAATAGCACAGTAAGAGATTAACAACAAATAATAAAATAGAACAACGAAAAATAAAACAATTATAACAATACACTGTAATAAAATTTATGTAAATGTGGTCTCTCTCTCTCTCTCAAAATATTTACTGTACTCGCCTATTTTTGGACCATGGTTGATGGTTACTGAAACCACGGTAAGTGAAACTGCACATAAGGGAGGACTACTGTAATAATTTCCTGAAGATACATTTCCAAAGCTGAAATCAATGGGTAAAGGAAATGCATAATTTAAAAAATATCTGACCCTCTGAATGAATCATGGACCCCTTCCTACCTAACCTTTGGAATCTTCACATTTTCCTGGTCTTGCCTTATTTCTCTAAGCCTCGAATCCCTTGAACTTTGCCTGAGGATGGGGATTCTTGGCTCAGGCTCTGCCATTTCTTTGTGCCCCAGTGTAACAGAGAAATCCATACAAAGTCCTGAACAGGTGAAAATGACCTATATGATCTTTCTATTCTAGAATACTCATAAAAAATTCTCAATAAGAAGATGGAAAATTAGGCTAGGTGCGGTGGCTCATGCCTGTCATCCCAGCACTTTGGGAGGCTGAGGTGGGTGGATCACAATGTCAGGAGTTTGAGACCAGCCTGGTTAACATGGTGAAACCCCATCTCTACTAAAAATACAAAAATTAGCCAGGCATGGTGGCGTTAAAAAAAAAAAAAAGCATGCTATATGTCTTATTTATGCTTTGAGATGAAAATTTAAACAGAGCATCAATACAGTGTGAACAGAATAAGGAATAAATATTAGGTACATAATAGTCAAGGAATTCTTTGAGAATCAAACTCATATCTTAACATATTGCTCCATGCCTAACATTGTATTGCCTATGTTGAATTATAAAAATTTGTAATAATAAATGTGATCATATTTTTAAAAATTCTTTTTAGCTGCTAGCTTGAGGAATAATATTCAAGGCCGTCCTGTGGACTCCCTTGGAACTCGTTCCTTCCATGATGGCACACTTACACTGTTCTATTGTTGTTGCCTATTTACTTGTCTGTATCTCACATCAGACTCAGTGCTCAGAGGGCAGGGATCCTGTTTGTCTGGTTCACAGCTGTGCTCCCCAGCATGTCCCACAGTCTCTGGCACATTGTAGCATTTCATAATGACTGCTGAATGAATAAATGAATCAACTATTTCTCCAAGTATCATTCTAAGAGGAGAAGCCAAACAGGGTCTAGAGTTTAGAAGAACACAGATAGCAAGATGCTCTTACCACAAGTTCCGCACTCTTGATGAGAACGATGTGAACACACACATCTATGTATAAACACTATGTAAAAATATGTAATACATTTCAAAATGCTTTATGGATTTCTTCTCTTCAGTAGCACACAAGATCTTTCATATTCTTAAGAAAATGGATCAGGCAGGTATAGCAAACACTCCAAGAAATACAAATCTTTTCCATAGTTTCTGATCTAGTTTTCTTATTTACTAAAAATAGCAACTTCAGGAACATAACTGCATTTGTTCTTTAACAGTTCTTAAGATACTAGACACATCCTCACATTCTTAAAGAAGCAGCTTTTTGTTTTAATGATTTTCTCTATTGTTTTTCTGTTTTTCTTTTTCATTGGTTTCTGCTTTTATCTTTATTATTTACTTTCTTCTGCTTACTTTGTGTTTAATGTGCTCTTCTTTTACTAGTTTCTTAAAGGGAAAACTTAGATCATTGATTTGACTTTTTAAAAATAATTCACTAAGCAGTGAATTTTACTTTTAAGCTCTGTTGGACTTGAAGATCATTGATTTGAGATGTTTCTTTTTCCCTAGGTACTTCTTCAGTTGCATCCCCCCGAAGTTTGATACGCTGTGTTTTCATTTCCATTCAATTTCAAAATACTCCTGATTTCCTTTTGATTTCTTCTTTGAATAACTGGAATAAAAAGTGTGTTTACTCCAGTTATTTGGGGATTTCCCAGATACCTTCCTGTTATTGATTTCTAACTTAATTTCATTGTGGTCAAAGAACATATTTTGTATGATATGAATCCTTTTACATTTATCAATACTTGTTTTATGACTCAGTATATGTTCTGTCTTGATAATGCACCTTGTATCCTTGAAAAAGTATTGAAATATCCAGCTATAATTATCAACTTATTTTATTTCTCCCTTCAGGTTTTGCTTCATGTATTTTGAAGCCCTGTTGTTGGGTACATAAACATGGAGGATTGTTGCTTTTTGTTTTTTGAGATGAAGTCTCACTCTTGTCCCCCAGGCTGGAGGGCAGTAGCGCGATCTTGGCTCACTGCAACCTCCACCTCCTGGGTTCAAGTGATTCTCATGCCTCAGCCTCCCAGGTAGTTGGGATTACAGGCTCCTGCCACCACGCCCGGCTAATTTTTGCATTTTTAGTAGAGATGGGGTTTCACTATCTTGGCCAGGCTGGTCTTCAACTCCTGACCTCAGGTGATCCACCTGCCTCAGCCTCCCAAAGTGCTGGGATTACAGGCCTGAGCCACCGTGCCCCGCCAACATGGAGGATTGTTATATCCTCTTGATGAAGTGACTGTTTTATCAGTGTATGTCCCTTTTTATCCTTGGCAATATTCTTTGATCTAAAATCTACTTTGATAGTAATATAGCCACTCGAGCTTTCTTTTAAAGTATTAGTAGGGTATATCTTTTTTTATCCTTTTACTTTTAACTTAGCTATATCTTTATATTTAAAGTGAGCTTCTTATAGGCAGCATACCTAATCTTTTTCAAAAATTTTGTCCAATATTATAATCTATGCCTTTAATGGGGATATTTACACCTTTTACATTTAATGTGATTGATGATATTTACCACTTCACATATAGTATAAGAAACTAAGAAGAGTATACTCTCATTTCCTCCCCTCAACCTTTGCACTGTTGTCATCCATATTACCTCTATGTATATGTTATAAGCTCCACAACACACTGTTAATACCTTGGCTTTAAAAAGCCAACTAATTATCTTTAAAGAGATTTTAGAAATATAAAAAGGCATTTCACATGTATTCACCTACTTTTCCTTTTTGATGATCTTCATTCCTTTTTGTAGGTCCAGATATCCATCTGGTATCATTTTTCTTCTGTCTGAAGGATTTCCTTCAATGCAAATCTGCTGGTGAAAAACTTTTTTTTTTTTTTTTTTGGCTTCTTTATGTCTGAAAAAGTCTTGACTTCATCTTCATTTTTGTAAAATATTTTTTGCTGGGTATAGAATTCTAAGTTGACTTCTTTTTTTCTTTCGGCACTTTAAAAGTTTCTGCCTCCGCTGTCTTCAGGCTTACGTTGTTTCCAACAAAAAGCTTTTGTCATTCTTAGATTTGTTCCTCTGTACGTAATGTGCCATTTTTTTCTCTGGCTGCTTTTAAGGTTTTCTTTTTACCATTGCTTTTTAAACAATTTGATTGTTATGTGTTTTGGAGTAGATTTCTTCTTGTTTCTTGTGTTTAAGGTTTGTTGCACTTCTTGGATCCATGGATTTATAGTTATTATAAAATTTAGAAAAATTTCAACCATTATTTCTTAAAAATTTTTGTTCCCCTCCTCTCCCTTCTTTCCTTTGTTGGTTCCAACTACATGTACCAAATTGCCTGAAGCTGTCCCAGAGCTCACTAATGCTATATTTATTTCTTTTTCTGGCTTTTTTTTCTCCCTGTGTTTCATATTGGGTCATTTCTATTGCTACGTATTAAACGTCACTAATCTTTTCTTCTACAATGTCTAGTCTACTAATCCTGTTTGGTATGTATTTTTCATCTCAGGCATCAGAATCTTCAAAAATGGTCATTCAACTTTTTTTTGCTATCTTTTCCTTGCCTCTGCTTAATGTGCTCCATCTTTCTTCCACCTTTTGAACATAAGAAATACAGTGATAATAACTGTTTTAAAGTCCTCAGCTACTAACTGTATCATTTGTGTCATTTCTGTGTCTGTTTCTATTGATTTGTTTTTCTTTTTATTATGAGTTGTATTCTCTGTTTCTTTGCAGGTCTTGATTAGCTGCTAGGTATCATGAATTTTACCTTGTTGGGGGCTGAATATTTTTGTATTCTTGAGCTTTTTCTTGGGATGCAGTTCAGTTTCCTGGAAATAGCTGGATCCTTTTGAGTCTTGCTTTTACATTTTGTTATGTGGGACCAATGCATTTTCTAGCATAAGGCTAATTCTGCCCCTCTACTGAGGTGATACTCTTCGAATTACTCTAACAATGAATTACAAGGTTTTCCACACTGTCTGTTCCTGGCCCCATGTTACCTCTGGGGATTGTTCCCTCCCTCCTTCAGGGTGTAATGCCCAACCTTGTTTTTACTAACCCTGTTCTTAGTCTCTCCCTTTCCTTTAATCACCTAGACTTGTTTCCACCTGAATTGATTCTCCCTTAGCTAAGAGAGCCAGACAGACTCCATCTTGGCTCTTTCACTGGCAGCCCCTTCCTCAAGGACTTAACTTGTGCAAGCTGACTCCTAGCACATCCAAGAATGCAATTAACTGATAAGATACTGTGGCGAGCAATATCTGCAGTTCCCAGGAATTCGTCCGATTGATAACACCCAAAGCCCCGCGTCTATCACCTTGTAATAGTCTTAAAGCCCCTGCACCTGGAACTGTTTACTTTCCTGTAACCATTTATCCGTTTAACTTTTTTGCCTACTTTACTTCTGTAAAGTTGTTTTAACTAGACCCCCCCCTCCCCTTTCTAAACCAAAGTATAAAAGAAAATCTAGCCCCTTCTTCGGGGCCGAGAGAACTTTGAGCATTAGCTGTCTCTTGGCCGCCGGCTAAATAAACGGACTCTTAATTCATCTCAAAGTGTGGCGTTTTCTCTAACTCGCTCAGGTACAACAAGGGTGTTTCTCTCTCTGGCCTCAGGTAGTTTTCTTGCATATGTGTTGAACAGTTCTCAGCTGGAGACTTGAGAAGGACTATCTGCAAATCTCTGAAAGTCTCTTCCATATAGTGCTCTCCTCTGTGGAACTCTACCTTGCAAACTCTAGCTCCCTTGGTCTTTCCTAGATTCTCGAGTCCTTAAGTCAGGAAATCCATCGAGCTCTATCTAGGTTCCTCTTCCCTGCACTGCAGACTGGACACCCTCTCTAGGCAGTAAGCTGGGGTAATTGTAGGGCTCACCTCATTTGTTTCCCTTCTCTCAGGGATCATTGTCCTCTTCTGCTGGAAGTTCAATACTTTAAAACAATTGTTTCACATATTTTGTCCAGTTTTTTAGTAGTTTCAGGTGGGAGGGTAAATCTGGTCCTTATTACCCATCCTGGATGAGAAGTGACATGTAAAAACCCAAGGCAGCTTAACTTTTATAAAACACAGTTTATAAAACTGTACATAAACTAAGCCTTTATTTTTGTACTCAAATATATAGAAATGGCATATTGGATGTTTTATAATAAAGTTAGAAGTATAGTTATATTTAGTAGATAGAAAGGCATGAAAAATCAATAAAATATGTTCCTGAAAAATTTGAAAAAGAAAATATAAGCATCTAAACTTTGTACATTTATTCAATAATTCTGTTTTAGTAATTTGTGTCTGAATATACCAGTAAACTCCCATTATAACTTTTCAAATAATTTGTGATACCTATTATTATGATCGCCTATATATGTATGTATTGTTTTCTTTTTTTTTCAGAGACAATGTCTTGCTTGAGTCTAGTGGCACAATCATAGCTCACCACAGCCTTGAACTACTGGGCTCAAGTAATCCTCCTGCGTAGCTGGGATTACAGGTGCATGCCACCATGCCCAGCTAACTTCTTTATTTTTTGTAGATACTAAGTCTCACTATGTTGCCCAGGTTGGTCTCAAACTCCTGGCCTCAAGAGATCTTCCTGCCTTGGTCTCTCAAAGTTTTGGGATTACAGGCACGAGCCACTGTGCTTGGACTATTTATATTTTTTGTGTGTGTGTTTATGCTATGTTTTGATGCATCCTTATATATCCCCAACATCTAATACAATGCCTTATGAATTCTCAATAATGTTACTGAATGAGTGAATCTGAATCATGTCAATACAGGTTTATTTTGATTTTCCAATATAAAAATAATGGAATAACTATAATAAAAATTTATTTTTATAATGTACATTTCATTAATAAGCAAAAATTCTAGGTACATATTGCCTCACAATAAACTTTATCACTTAAAAAATATCTTAATTTTTATGGTAATCTTACACCCCCTTCAACATAACTAGCACAATTTTACTTTATAGAAAAAATATATTTAATATGCCAGGCATGGTGGCTCACACCTGTAATTACAGCACTTTGGGAGGCTGAGGCGGGTGGATCACAAGGTCAGGAATTCAAGACCAGCCTGGCCAATATGGTGAAACCCCATCTCTACTAAAAATACGAAACATTAGCTAGGCATGGTGGTACGCACCTGTAGTCCCAGCCACTCAGGAGGCTGAGGCAGGAGAATCACTTGAACCTGGAAGGCAGAGGTTGCAGTGAGCCGAGATCATGCCACTGCAATCCGGCCTGGGCGACAGAGCAAGACTCTGTCTCAAAAAAAAAAAAAAAAAAGAAAAGAAAAGAAAAAATAGATTTAATATTAATCAGCTTATTATTTATTCATTACATTATTCAAATATGGCATTGAAAAAGTATTAAATATTTGAATATTTTCAGTAATAAATTTACACCAACTGCAGGAATGACTACAAACATTTAGGGAGAAATCCCTGGAACTTTTGCCTAATATAATCTAATAAAAAGACAAATCACCTCCATAGTAAAACCTATTTTCTTTTCTTTTTTTTTTTTTTTTTTTGAGATGGAGTCTCGCTCTGTTGTCCACGTTGGAATGCAGTGGCATGATCTCGGCTCACTGCAACCTCCCGGTTCAAGTGATTTTCCTGCCTCAGCCTCCAGAGTAGCTGGAATTACAGGCACATGCCACCATGCCCAGCTAAGTTTTGTATTTTTAGTGGAGCTGGGGTTTTACCATGTTGGCCAAGCTGGTCTCGAACTCCTGACCTCAGGTGATCCACCCAGCTTGGCCTCCCGAAGTGCTGGGATTACAGCTGTAAGCCACCATGCCTGGCCCTATTTATATATATAAAATCACATTTCTTCCCTACTGTGTCTAAGCCTGGTTGGAATAGGATCTATAGTGAGAAACATTTCCACTTGTATTTGTCAGGCCTCTGAGCCCAAGCCAAGCCATCGCATCCCCTGTGACTTGCACATATACGCCCAGATGGCCTGAAGTAACTGAAGAATCACAAAAGAAGAGAAAAGGCCCTGCCCTGCCTTAACTGATGACATTCCACCATTGTGATTTGTTCCTGCCCCACCATTAACCCTGTGAATTTCCTTCTCCTGGCTCAGAAGCTCCCCAACTGAGCACCTTGTGACCCCTACCCCTGCCCACCAGAAAACAACCCCCTTTGACTGTAATTTTCCATTACCTTCCCAAATCCTATAAAACGGCCCCACCCCTATCTCCCTTCGCTGACTCTCTTTTTGGACTCAGCCCGCCTGCACCCAGGTGAAATAAACAGCCATGTTGCTCACACAAAGCCTGTTTGGTGGTCTCTTCACATGGACGCGCATGAAATTTGGTGCTGTGACTCGAATTGGGGGACCTCCCTTGGGAGATCAATCCGCTGTACTCCTGTTCTTTGCTCCGTGAGAAAGATCCACCTATGACCTCAGGTCCTCAGACCGACCAGCCCAAGGAACATCTCACCAATTTTAAATCAGGTAAGCGGCCTCTTCTTACTCTCTTCTCCAACCTCTCTCACTGTCCCTCAACCACTTTCTCCTTTCCACTCTTCAATCTCTCCCTTCTCTTAATTTCAATTCCTTTCATTTTCTGGGAGAGACAAAGGAGACACATTTTATCCGTGCACCCAAAACTCTGGCGCCGGTCACGGACTGGGAAGGCAGCCTTCCCTTGGTGTTTAAACATTGCAGGGACGCCTCTCTGATTATACACCCACGTTTCAAAGGTGTCAGATCACGCAGGGACGCCTGCCTTGGTCCTTCACCCTTAGTGGCAAGTCCTGCTTTTCTGGGGAAGGGGCAAGTACCCCAACCCCTTCTCTCCTTGTCTCTACCCCTTCTCTGCTTTTCTGGGGGAGGGGCAAGTACCCCTCAACTCCTTCTCCTTCACCCTTAGCGGCAAGTCCCGCTTTTCTGGGAGAGGGGCAAGTACCCCTCAACCCCTTCTCCTTCACCCTTAGTGGCAAGTCCCGCTTTTCTGGGGGAGGGGCAAGTACCCCTCAACCCCTTCTCCTTCACCCTTAGTGGCAAGTCCCGCTTTTCTGGGGGAGGGGCAAGTACCCCTCAACCCCTTCTCCTTCACTCTTAGCGGCAAGTCCTGCTTTTCTAGAGGAGGGGCAAGTACCCCAACCTCGTATCTCTGCGCCCCAATCCCTTATTTCCACGCCCCTACCTCTTATCTCTGCGCCCCAATCCCTTATTTCTGTGCCCCGACCCCTTATTTCCATGCCCCAACCCCTTATTTCTGTGCCCCATCCCTTATTTCCGTGCCCCGACCTCTTATCTCTGCGCCCCAACCCCTTTTCCCACTTTTCTGGAAGGTAAGAACCGCCGAACCCCTTCTCTCTGTTTCTCTACTCTCTCTTTTCTCTAGGCTTGCTTCCTTCACTATGGGCAACCTTCCACCCTCCATTCCTCCTTCTACTCCCTTGGCCTGTGTTCTCAAAAACTTAAAACCTCTTCAACTCACACCTGACCTAAAACCTAAATGCCTTATTTTCTTCTGCAATGCCACTTGACCCCAATACAAACTCAACAGTAGTTCCAAATAGCCAGAAAATGGCACTTTGAATTTCTCCATCCTGCAAGATCTAAATAATTCTTGTCGTAAAATAGGCAAATGGTCTGAGGTGCCTGACGTCCAGGCATTCTTTTACACATCAGTCCCTTCCTAGCCTCTGTGCCCAGTGCAACTCGTCCCAAATCTTCCTTCTTTCCCTCCCGCCTGTCCCCTCAGTACCAACCCCAAGCGTCGCTGAGTCTTTCTAATCTTCATTTTCTACAGACCCATCTGACCTCTCCCTTCCTCCCCAGGCTGCTCCTCGCCAGGCCGAGCTAGGTCCCAATTCTTCCTCAGCCTCTGCTTCTCCACCCTATAATCCTTTTATCACCTCCCCTCCTCACACCTGGTCCGGCTTACAGTTTCCTTCCGTGACTAGCCCTCCCCCACCTGCCCAGCAATTTACTCTTAAAAAGGTGGCTGGAGCTAAAGGCATAGTCAAGGTTAATGCTCCTTTTTCTTTATCCCAAATCAGATAGCATTTAGGCTCTTTTTCATCAAATATAAAAACCCAGCCCAGTTCATGGCTCGTTTGGCAGCAACCCTGAGACGCTTTACAGCCCTGGACCCTAAAAGGTCAAAAGGCCGTCTTATTCTCAAAATACATTTTATTACCCAATCTGCTCCCGACATTAAATAAAACTCCAAAAATTAAATTCCGGCCCTCAAACCCCACAACAGGATTTAATTAACCTCGCCTTCAAGGTGTACAATAATAGAAAAAAGTTGCAATTCCTTGCCTCCACTGTGAGACAAACCCCACAACAGGATTTAATTAACCTCGCCTTCAAGGTGTACAATAATAGAAAAAAGTTGCAATTCCTTGCCTCCACTGTGAGACAAACCCCAGCCACATCTCCAGCACACAAGAACTTCCAAACGCCTGAACCGCAGCGGCCAGGCGTTCCTCCAGAACCTCCTCCCACAGGAGCTTGCTACATATGCTGGAAATCTGGCCACTGGGCCAAGGAATGCCCGCAGCCCGGGATTCCTCCTAAGCCGCATCCCATCTGTGTGGGACCCCACTGAAAATCGGACTGTTCAACTCACCTGGCAGCCACTCCCAGAGCCCCTGGAACTCTGGCCCAAGGCTCTCTGACTGACTCCTTCCCAGATCTTCTCGGCTTAGCGGCTGAAGACCGACACTGCCCGATCACCTCGGAAGCCCCCTAGACCATCACGGACGCCAAGCTTCAGGTAACTCACAGTGGAAGGTAAGGCCGTCCCCTTCTTAATCTATACGGAGGCTACCCACTCCACATTACCTTCTTTTCAAGGGCCTGTTTCCCTTGCCTCCATAACTGTTATGGGTATTGACAGCCAGGCTTCTAAACCTCTTAAAACTCCCCAACTCTGGTGCCAACTTAGACAATACCCTTTTAAGCACTCCTTTTTAGTTATCCCCACCTGCCCAGTTCCCTTATTAGGCTGACGCTTTAACTAAATTATCTGCTTCCCTGACTATTCCTGGACTACAGCTATATCTCATTGCCGCCCTTCTTCCCAATCCAAAGCTTCCTTTGCGTCCTCCTCTTGTATCCCCCCACCTTAACCCACAAGTATAAGATACCTCTACTCCCTCCTTGCACCTCTTACCATCTCATTAAAACCTAATTACCCTTACCCCACTCAACGCCAATATCCCATCCTGCAGCACGCTTTAAAAAGATTAAAGCCTGTTATCACTCGCCTGCTACAGCATGGCCTTTTAAAGCCTATAAACTCTCGTTACAATTCCCCCATTTTACCTGTCCTAGAACCAGACAAGCCTTACAAGTTAGTTCAGGATCTGCGCCTTATCAACCAAATTGTTTTGCCTATCCACCCCGTGGTGCCAAACCCATATACTCTCCTATCCTCAATACCTGCCTCTACAACCCATTATTCTGTTCTGGATCTCAAACATGCTTTCTTTACTATTCCTTTGCACCCTTCATCCCAGCCTCTCTTTGCTTTCACTTGGACTGACCCTGACACCCATCAAGCTCAGCAAGTTACCTAGGCTCTACTGCCACAAAGCTTCACAGACAGCCCCCATTACTTCAATCAAGCCCAAATTTCTTCCTCATCTGTTACCTATCTCGGCATAATTCTCATAAAAACACACGTGCTCTCCCTGCCAATCGTGTCCGACTGATCTCTCAAACCCCAGCACCTTCTACAAAACAACAACTCCTTTCCTTCCTAGGCATGGTTAGCGCAGTCAGAATTCTTACATAAGAGCCAGGACCACACCGTGTAGCCTTTCTGTCCAAACAACTTGACCTTACTGTTTTAGCCTAGCCCTCATGTCTGCGTGCAGCGGCTGCCGCTGCTTTAATACTGTTAGAGGCCCTAAAAATCACAAACTATGCTCAACTCACTCTCTACATTTCTCATAGCTTCCAAAATCTATTTTCTTCCTCATACCTGATGCATATACTTTCTGCTCCCCGGCTCCTTCAGCTGTGCTCGCTCTTTAAGTCCCACAATGACCATTGTTCCTGGTCCGGACTTCAATCTGGCCTCCCACATTATTCCTGATACCACACCTGACCCCCATGACTGTATTTCTCTGATCCACCTGATATTCACCCCATTTCCCCATATTTCATTCTTTCCTGTTCCTCACCCTGATAACGCTTGATTTATTGACGGCAGTTCCACCAGGCCTAATTGCCACACACCAGCAAAGGCAGGCTATGCTATAGTACAAGCCACTAGCCCGCCTCTCAGAACCTCTCATTTCCTTTCCATTGTGGAAATCTATCCTCAAGGAAATAACTTCTCAGTGTTCCATCTGCTATTCTACTACTCCTCAGGGATTATTCAGGCCCCCTCCCTTCCCTACACATCAAGCTCGAGGATTTGTCCCCACCCAGGACTGGCAAATTAGCTTTACTCAACATGTCCCGAGTCAGGAAACTAAAATACCTCTTAGTCTAAATAGACACTTTCACTGAATAAGTAAAGGCCTTTCCTACAGGGTCTGAGAAGGCCACCACAGTCATCTCTTCCCTTCTGTCAGACATAATTCCTCAGTTTAGCCTTCCCACCTCTATACAGTCTGATAACAGACCAGCCTTTATTAGTCAAATCAGCCAAGCAGTTTTTCAGGCTGTTAGTATTCAGTGAAACCTTTATATCCCTTACGGTCCTCCGTCTTCAAGAAAAGTAGAACGGACTAAAGGTCTTTTAAAAACACACCTCACCAAGCTCAGCTACCAACTTAAAAAGGACTGGACAATACTTTTACCACTTTCGCTTCTCAGAATTCAGGCCTGTCCTCAGAATGCTACAAGGTACAGCCAATTTAAGCTCCTGTATAGACGCTCCTTTTTATTAGGCCCCAGTCTCATTCGACACCAGACCAACTTAGACTGTGCCCCAAAAAAACTTGTCATCCCTACTATCTTCTGTCTAGTCATACTCCTATTCACCGTTCTCAACTACTCATACATGCCCTGCTCTTGTTTACACTGCCGGTTTACACTGTTTCTCCAAGCCATCATAGCTGATATCTCCTGGTGCTATCCCCAAACTGCCACACTTAACTCCTGAAGTAAACAAACAATCTTGGCTGGCAGGACTATGCTGAATCTCCTTAGGCACTCTCTAATCAGATGTCCTAGGTCCTCCCAATTCTTAGACCTTTTATACCTGTTTTTCTCCTTCTTTTATTCCATTTAGTTTTTCAATTCATACAAAACTGTATCCAGGCCATCACCAATCATTCTATAAGACAAATGTTTCTTCTAACAACCCCACAATATCACCCCTTACCACAAAATCTTCCTTCAGCTTAATCTCTCCCACTCTAGGTTCCCACGCCGCCCCTAATCCCGCTCGAAGCAGCCCTGAGAAACATCGTCCATTCTCTCTCCATACCACCCCCAAAAATTTTCGCCGCCCCAATACTTCAACACTATTTTGTTTTATTTTTCTTATTAATATAAGAAGGCAGGAATGTCAGGCCTCTGAGCCCAAGCCAAGCCATCGCATCCCCTGTGACTTGCACGTATACGCCCAGATGGCCTCAAGTAACTGAAGAATCACAAAAGAAGTGAAAAGGCCCTGCCCCGCCTTAACTGATGACATTCCACCATTGTCATTTGTTCCTGCCCCACCTTAACTGAGTGATTAACCCTGTGAATTTCCTTCTCCTGGCTCAGAAGCTCCCCCACTGAGCACCTTGTGACCCCTACCCCTGCCCACCAGAGAACAACCCCCTTTGACTGTAATTTTCCATTACCTTCCCAAATCCTATAAAACGGCCCCACCCCATCTCCCTTCACTGACTCTCTTTTCGGACTCAGCCCGCCTGCACCCAGGTGAAATAAACAGCCATGTTGCTCACACAAAGCCTGTTTGGTGGTCTCTTCACATGGACGCGCATGAAAGTATTATAAAGCCATCATTTGTTTTATGTGGTTGTTTACTAGTTATTTACAAACAGCATCTGGTTAATTCAGTTAAATCTTGTCACTACACATTCACAACTGTTCTGATTATTGTTAGGTTGCTAATACACCTAAAACCCAAACGTAGAAATAGACACATTTGTCTCCATTTCTATTGTTTATTAAGTTATGTAAAAACTTAAATCTGTCATGCTTTTTAGGTTCCTAAAATATATGTAATTCGCAGACTAGTTTTTGTATTGTCACCTCACTTGAAGAGGAAGGTTATACTTCAATTGACTCGTGAAACCAATTTCTGGCATCGCCTAAGTTGACATTTTGGTACCAGAGTTGAAAAACCCAAAGAGCATACATTCTGTCAGATGAGGACATGTATCCTAGTATGTTCTGAAACGGGCTTTCTGCTTCCATGGATAGGTGGCCACTTGGAAAGTATGTGAAGTTTCCAGGGTTGCAGCGAGTGGGAGTTCTGGTTTCATGGAAAGAGAAGGCTGGACTAGAAGATAGCATAATTGACATGTGGGCGTCTGCAGCTGGTTGGTTTAATTTTAGAACATTTGTCCTTGACTGTGCCCCTTTAAGTGAAGTACCTACTTGTATTAGAGAAGTGTGTCTGTCTTTTGGGCAGCACCAAAATCCTTTTGCTTATACTCTGGAGCATTCGGCACCCTGTTTCATCAGATAGCCCACCCTTTAAAGTGGGAAAGTCTTATCTTCTGAGATAGGACAATATAACCTAATAAAGCTCTCAATGGAGCAAGCTGAAGAATGCAGTGCACTCAAGTGACTTACTTGTACGATAATAACCTCAATTTGTAAGTACACAAAAGCCTCTTTGCATGTTTCAAGGGCATATTTACAGTTTTAAAGTGATGCAAAGGCAGCTTCGTAAATATCTTCAGGGAAAAGGGAAATGACAGAACTGTAACTGAGGAATGAGAAACAAGATAGAAAACCAAATTGAAAATAAAGACTGGGGCTAAAAATAAATTTTAAAAATTCTTCAATACATGTGGAATCCTAGCCTTTTTTTCTTTTTGCCCTCAGGACTTGAAGTCAAAGGATCTGAGTGTCAGAAACGTCCTTAGCAATCAATGGGCTAGTCCAATTAGACGAAACTGAGGCTCTGAGAACTTGAAGTGATTTGCCAAGTGTCAATCAATAGGTTGGTGACAGAGTTAAGACTGGAATCAAAATCCTAACCTCCAATCTAATGATTTTTTCACTATATCCCATTTTATACTTGTTTTAGAGTTAGCCATTCCTGGATTAAAATTAAAAACATAGGATTAAAGAAAATATTATATATGATTGATACCATCAGCACTTGTCAACCAAATAATGGATAGGATGAACTGTGCCACCTTTATTCTGTGAATGGATGTGATTAACTGTACACTGGTTAAAAGTAGTAATACCTGCTTCTGCCTGGCTCGCAAAGATGTAGTGAACGTTTTCTTCAAAGGTCTGAGATGTGGAAATGCCTTGAAAAATCACTGCCCTTTATAAATAAGATTGATTGGTGTGTCGCTTTTTGTTGGGAACCTGCCTTGTTTTTGTCAATCTCCCTTCTTTGGGACTGAGTCCTCCTGGGGAGTACAGCTCGGTGACTAGGATTCATGGACAGGCCTCTTGGATGCTGTGTGCCTACACTGGTAACTTCCCAATACTGATCACCTCAATTTCCTATCACCATGCTCGGCCCACACTTAGGAATACCCCACTACTTCGTCTTGGATCATCAATCTCTTGCCTGCTTGACCTCTGGTGGAAATTGCCTGTATGATCTCTCTTTTTTTTCCCTGCCCATCCTTCCCCACTCTTTCTTCCTCTCTTTGTACCCAACTTTATACTCCAGCCATACCGAGAACCCCTTTCTGTTCCTGGAAAGCTCCATGAACTTGCTGCCTGCCCAGCTGTTGCCCATGCTATTCCCCAGCTGGATCACTTGCCACACCTCTCTGTCATTGCCACCCATTCCGCTCCCACCCTCTACTTGGTCAACTCATGCCAATCTTTTAGATGTCATCTTTGATGTAACTTTATTCAGGAAGCTCTCTTTATCATCCCTGTTCCTTCTATGTGCTACTTCAAGCACCCGTTATTTCTTCCAGACTTAGAATATACCATGTCTATTTTTAAATTTGCTTAATTGCTTGTATTTCTCTCTAGACTGTGAGTGAGACATGAGTGCAGGGGACCTTGTCTGCTTGCCCATCAGTGTGTAGGCAATGCTTGGCATATATGAGTTAACACATATTTGTTGAAAACTCATATTCATGCTTAATAATGGCTTACATTTTATAAACTGTCTTTATTTTTATCTCATTTCATCCTTATAGTAAATCTATGATGTGGTATTATCCATTCCCCTCTTTCAGATACAGAAACTCTGAGAAGATGTTAATTAACCTATCCAACATCACCTAGCTAGTAAGTGGCAGAGCCAGTACTTGAACCCAGGTTGTTGGAGTCCAAGTTCAGTGCTATTACCATTACATCACAGCTGACTTTGTTTGGTTATAGAATACATAGCAAGTGATCAGGGGAGTGAAATGAACAGACCTTCCCTTCAGGAGAATTAATATGGCAAAGAGAAGACTCTGAACCATGGTAAAGGCAGTTTGGGGAATAAGAGATGTAGTGGGGAGCAGGGGAAGAACAGCCACGTGTGAGAGGCAAAGAAATGAATGTTGGAACAAAAACAGAACTAAAGGCTGAGCTTTGGGGGCCATCTATGGTTAGAGCTCAGAAAGAAGAAGAGCCAAAAATAATACAAAAAAAAAAAAAGATCCGTGAGCAATATGGGAAAATAGTGAAAATTCATTATCATAGAAGCCCAAGGAAGTGAGAATGCAAAGTAAAAAAAAAAAAATGTAATTAAAAATGGCAAATGCAATTTATTAGAAAAAAGGAGATTACAAAAACCTTTCTGGGTTTGGCTGGATAACAGAAGACTATTGAGAGCTTAGATGGAATAAGGGACAGCTATAAAGGATTCAGGAAAGAGCATGAGACAAGTAAATGGAAGCAAGAAAGAACTGATTGAAGAATTTTGGCAGTTTATTCATTCATCAGTTGATGGATAGTTGGGTTGTTTACAGATTCTGGCTATTATGAATAAAAGTGCTGTGAACATTCACGCAGAAGTCATTATAAGCATGTAAGTTATTTTTCGTGGGTACTTAGGAGAGGAATTGCTAGGTGGTATGGTAAGTGGATATTTATAAGGAACTGCCAAAGTGTTTGCTAAAGTTGTTGTACTATTTTGCATTTCTAGCAGCAATGTATGATGAAAATTTTAGTTGCTATACCTCCTCTCCAATATTTAGTGTTATCAGTCTTCTGAATTTTAGGCTTTATAGTGAAAGTGAGCAGTATCTCCCTGTGGTTTTAGTTTGTATTTCCCTGTTGACTAGTGATGCTGAGCATCATTTCATGTGTTTGACATGCATCCTCTTCTCTGGTGAAGTGTCTGTTCAAATCTTTTGCTCAGTTTCAATTCTTGTTTTCTTCTTATTGAGTTATGAGTTCCTTATGAATTGTGATATGTAAATATATATTCAGTTTGTAATGATTTGCAAATATTTTCTATCTGTGGCTTCCTTTTAACACTTTCCTTAACAGTGTCTTAATAGCAATAGTTTTTTATTTTATTTTATTTTTTGAGACAGGGTTTTGCCCTGTCGCTTGGGCTGGCTGGAGAACAGTGGCACGATCACGGCTCACTGCAGCCTCAACCTCCTGGGCCCAGGTGTACCTCCCACCTCAGGCTCCTGAATAACTGAGACTACAGGCAAGCACCACCACACCAGGCTAACTTTTTAATTTTTTGTAGAGATGGGATCTCCCTATGTTGCCCAGGCTGGTCTCAAACTCCTGGGCTCAAGTGATCTGGTCTCCCAAAGTGCTGAGATTACAGTCGTGAGCCATTGTGCCTGTCCAGTTTTTAATTTCTATGATGTTCAGTTTACCAGTATTTCTCTTTTACAGTTTGTGCTGTTTTGTGTCCCATTCTAAGAAATTTTTGCCTAAACTCAAGGTCATAAATATTTTCTCCTAGAAGTTGTATAGATTTCAGCTCTTATATTTAGGTCTGTAGTTCATTTTGAGTTAATTTTTCTCTACAGTTGAACTAAGTGTTGAGGTTCTTTTTTCTGTCCCTTCACATATGAATGTCTAATTATTCCAGCACTGTTGATTAGAAAGACTAACGCTTCTTCATTGAATCAGCGTGGTAACTTTGTTTGATGTGCTTTTCTTTACAGCTTGTTTTATTTTTTACTTGGGGTTTACTGAGCTTCTTAGATCTGTGGATTTATAACTTTCATCAAGTTTGGAAATTTTTTTTTTCCTGTTACTCCTACAAAGATGTTTTTTGTCCTCAGCTTCTTCTTTTAGACTCCGATTACTTGAATGTTAGACCACTTAACATTGTCCCACACTTCACTGATGCTCTTTTTACTTAATCATCTTTTCTGTCTGTGATTCATTAATAGTTTCTATTGTTATGCCTCCAAGTTCACCAAACTTTTCCTCTGCACTATCTAATCTACTGTCAGTCCCTAGTAGTATTTTTGTTTTTTTTTTTTTTTGAGATGGGGTCTTGCTCTATCTCGGCTCACTGCAACCTCTGTCTCCTGGGTTCAAGTGATTCTCCTGCCTCAGCCTCTTGAGTAGCTGGGATTACAGACACCTGTCACCACACCTGGCTAATTTTTGTGTATTTTAGTAAAGACGGGGTTTTACCATGTTGGCCAGGCTGGTCTGGAACTCCTGACCTCAAGTGATCCACCTGCCTCAGTCTCCCAAAGTTCTGGGATTACAGGTGTGAGCCACTGTACCTGGCCCCTTGTAGTATATTTTTTAAATTTCAGATATTGTATTTTTCATCTTTAGAAGTTCCACTTACATCTTTTAAAAATATCTTCCATTTCTCTCTTCCACATGTTCATGTTCTTGAACATACGGAGTATATTTATAGTAGATGATCTAATGTCCTGGCTTGCTAATTCTACCAGCTGTGTAATTTCTGGATGTTCTTATTCATCAATTTTTCTTTTGGTTAGGAGTCATATTTTCATGCCTTGTAATTTATTAAACATTAGACATTGTGAATTTTATATTGTTGCTTGATGGATTTTGATATATTTCTCCAAAAAGGGTTAGACTTTGTTTTGATATGCAGTTAATTTATTTGAGATCATGTTCAGCTTTTTGAAGATTGCTGTAAATTTTTATTAGGGTGAACCCAGTTTTGCCTTTATTTTAGGGCTAATTTAACCCTATTACAAAGGTTTTCTGAGGGCTCTACCAGATGCCTGTGAATTATGAGGTCTTTCCGGTCCAGACAGTGAGAAGGTGAACTATTCCCAGACTCATAGGAATACTAAGAATGGTTCAACTACTACTTTCTGACAGTTCTTTCTTCACTCTTTTAGAGTTTACCTCACACATATGCAGCTCAGTATTTAGCCGAAAACTTAAGGAGACCTTTGTGTACAGATCTCTGGACTTCTCTTATGTAGCTTTCTCCTCCCCAGTATTCTACCCAACAAATTCTAGCTGCCCTGGCCTCCTTGAGCACTCATCTCTGTCTCCTCAACTTGGTGGGCCCACTGGACTCTGGGTTCTCCTTCCTATGTGTTGGCTTGGAAATGTCCAATCAGCAAATTGGGGCAATTGTAGGGATTGTTATGTTTGTTTCTTCTTTCTCAGAGCACGGTCTTGTGCTGCCTGTTGCCAATGTCTGAAAACAATTGTATCATCTTTTTTTTTTTTTTTTTTCTCGCTTAAGCTGTGTGTTTGTAGTGGGGAAAGAAGAGGGGGGCAGTCATTCCTGTAGCAGTTAATCCCTCATGAGCAGAAGCAGAAATCTCATTTCAAACTGATAAGTTTTAAGAGGTTGGGACTTTTGGAGTGTCAGAAGTGAGACAAAAGGAAAAATCAATCTGATTTTAAGGAGATTAGTTTGAATACTAAAATGTAATTATTCTTTCTTATTCCTTTTTTACTCCATCTCCCTTTCTTCCTTAAAGGGGAGAGGATTCTACTTGAGATTTATTTTCCTTTCAGCAAATGAAAGTCGCAAGAATTGCTTCCTATATAGTTTGTTGTATTAGGAGGTATGCGCAGCATATAAATAGCGGAAACTATAGTGTTGCAGATATCCTTTTTTTACCCCTGAAGTAAATGAAAATTACAACAGCTCTGGGTAGATATTTCACTTCTTGGGTTAAAAGTTCTTAGACTTTCATTTTGGTCCTGCTGTCATTCAACAGGATCAGAACAAAGCTATGTATACTCTTCCATGCTTCAGTCAATTAACTCTAATATCAAGGTATTTTAATGCAGAATGTAGAATTCTGTGCATAGTAAAAGTGAATTTTCCCGAGGCAGGACAAAAGAGATATTCTTTTTTTTTTTTTTCCCCAAGACGGAGTCTCGCTCTGTCTCCCAGGCTGGATAGAGTGCAGTGGTGCGATCTCGGCTCATTGCAACCTCCACCTCCTGGGTTCCAGCGATTCTCCCACTTCAGCCTCCAGAGTAGCTGGGGTTACAGGCACTCGTCACCATGCCCAGCTAATTTTTTTGTATTTTTAGTAGAGATGGGGTTTCACCATGTTGGCCAGGCTGGTCTCGAACTCCTGACCTGAAGCGATCTGCCCACCTTGGCCTCCCAAAGTGCTGGAATTACAGGCGTGAGCCACCGTGCCCAGCCCAAAAGAGATAGTCTTATAAGTAAAGTGCGTCAAAAGACATTAGAAGAGTCACCTAGGTTGTCTAATTTACCTACAAAACCTGGTCACACTAGGAAAACGATAAACCATGAACACATAGTTGTGAGCACCCAGAATAATTCTTTAAGTCTACCTAATTATATCTACATTTCTATTAACACATAGTTTTTTTCTTTTATCCCCCTCTTTAAGAGTAAGATAACTCTTCAGCTGTAATGAGACCAAATGCTAGTGAACTTATCCATGGTGGCAAAAGCTTTTAGCCATTTTTGCCTGTTTAAGTCATTAAAATTATTTTATTACCTCCTGTTTATCTCCTCAATTAATCTTCCTTATAAAATGCATATATATACATATATATTATTCATATTATATATGTTAAACACGTTCCCTGACTGGGTGCCACAGAAAACCACCACAGTTGGCAATTAACTTGATGTTAAAACGAATTGAGTTTCTTGTTGAACATGTGTGTGCCTACTGGGGATTTCCAAAATGCAAACTTAGACTAGAATGTACTTTCCATTTTTTTCATTCAAGAGTCTTTATCAGGAGCAACCCCAATGTGCTGATTAAGGTTTAAAAAATTTTCAAGTTTTAAACCCTGTTACCCTGGTGGAGAGATCCTGGCTACCAAACAGACTTCAAAGGCACCTCCAACTTGCCCTAAGCCACAGACAAATATTTGCTGTTACTCTAGTACTAGGCAGCATAGGGCCACTTTGTCCTTCACTTGTAGGAGACCTTGAGGATAAGTATTAATCACATCATGAAAGGTTTTCTCAGTAGAGATGAATCTCACATATCTTTTCCCATTAAGTTTCGGTCTGAAGTATGAGGATTAGTTGCAAGAGTTGAATTAAGAAAGAGAACTGAAAGCTGAGTTAGAAGAAAAGACTTGCAGAAATAAAGACCAGCAATTGGCTTTAAAAGTAAAAAGCAGATATTTTTCTCTCTACTGTGTCCTACATGTACTGAAGTACGAGCAGTGCAACTGAAAGAGAGGTGAGTCTAATTCACATGATTCGTATAGAGACAGAAAACAGTAAATGGTATGAAATTAGTCTGTTTCCTTCTGCTCATGGAGTAGAGATTTATATAGGAGAGCTGAAAGTACAGAATTTTTCAGGATGTTTAAGCTTTGGGCTTGCAGAGCAAGAAAGCTCACAATAGAAATTCTGGGCTCGAAAGAGAAATTGGCAAACAAACTAACTCTCATTTCGGCTTCTAAAACTGTTTCTTTCCTATACATTTAGATAAGAAAAGGCATTTCTAACATGAATCAATTGCAAATGTGGCTCATATAAATTCCGACTGTGTCTCTCATCATCAGTGTCATTTTTGTTTTTAAATAATGACAAAGCCATAATTAAATAAGATAAAAATCCTAAGTTTCTGTGACCTTAAGCCTTTTCATAAAGAAATACTTGTTTATTAGTTCAAACTTTACTTATTGAGGAAATGCTTTGTATGAGGCACTGAGACTCTGGATACAAAAATGGATAAATTAATAATGCATAAGATTCCAATTGTCCCCTAATTCTTGAAAATTGATCTCTATCAAAAGTGGTATTAGAAACAGCTCAAAGAATTTTTAATAATCAAAAAAGAACATGAGGCCATTTAACTCAAATTTCTCAATGCAAGAAGTTCCTCTATAATGGCTGATGCCCATTCATTCTCTGCTAGCTCCTACAGCCTCATCAGGCAGCGTGTTTCAGTTTTAGAAAGGTCTAATTAACAAAAAGTTCTTCTGTGTTAAGCTAGAGTCTGTTCCCTGAAACTCCTAATACTGGCCTTAGAGCTATACAAAACAAGTCTACTTTATCTTCAACATGGAAATCCTTCAAATATTTAAGGGCAGCCATCAACTTAACTTCTATTCTCCAGGTAAATTATCTATAATGTCTCATATCACATAGTTTCTACACCATTTACCACTCTTGCTAAGTAGCAGATGACCTCTCTGTAACTCGTAAGCACATGTTACTAATGACGGTATTTTCTAGACATTTTCCTCTCCACGATGTCAAGCGAATTCTAGCCTCTATTTCTGAACCTTTCTTTTTCCAATTTTATTTTTTAATCCAAATAAATTTCAAAGATTTTTCCATAATGTAATATTCAGATTTTAAAAGACCTAGAGTACTTTCAACACAGCTGTTGGGGAAGAAATGAAGCTGACTGAGTGGAGACAGTAGCATGAGACAGAAAAATATGTTTTTATGAGACCTATTATTTACATAGCCTCTTGAGCACCCACTTCTAATCATGGTAAAACTGGAATGCAAGACTGAAGTTCCAATGTCATTATTTTGGGAGGTGAGAAAGGGGAGGAAAGAGTCACTTCCACATCTGAATTAGAGTGTTTTGATATGACCTGCATATTTCTATAACATCTGTCATTGCATCATTTAGTTCATAAGAAAATAATATTTCTGGTTACATGCCAATGATACTGACAGGCAGACTAGCAGTCAAGGCTGAGTCATAGAAGGGTGGGGTTGTGGAGAGCCACAGCTGTAAAACATGTAACTGTCCCTTAAGCAGCTGAAGTGATGCAGGAGGCTGACTGGAAACTGAGCAGGAGATTAAAATGGCCTTTGTGGATGACAGCAATTGGAGTCAGCTCTATAGGTAACAGACCCTCTTGGCTATACTCACAGCACCTGCCAGAGCATCTAGAAGTAGCTAACTGCTTTATTAAGTGGGCTTTTAAAGAAGGAGAGCTGGCCGGGCACAGTGGCTCACGCCTGTAATCCCAGCACTTTGGGAGGCCGAGGCCAGCGGATCACCTAAGGTCAGGAGTTTGAGACCAGCCTGGCCAACATGGCGAAACCCCGTCTCTACTAAAAATACAAAAATTAGCTGTGCATGGCGTCAGGCACCTGTAATCCCAGCTACTCAGGAGGCTGAGGCAGGAGAATTGCTTGAACCCAGGAGGCGGAGGTTGCAGTGAGCCAAGATTGCACCACTGCACTCCAGCCTGGGTGAGAAAGCGAGACTCCATCCCCCCGCCCCGACCAAAAAAAAAAAAAAAAAGCTAAAAAAGCACCAGAAATAATACATCACTGAACTCTTGGCTGTCACTTTCTACCTGTGCCTGGTGCATGTTTTATAAAGTTCTTGGAAAATGAGTGTGTGTGAAAGTTTTGATTACAGTACTTCAAATTGAGAATCTTTTACACGTTATAACTCCCTAACTTGAACAGGACCTTAAGAGAGATTTTTTTAAAGCATATTAACCTGTCATATAAATTATGAGGAGTGCCTATCCCTAATAAAAGAATAAAGGCAAGTCCCGAAAGGGAAGCCAGAGGAGGGCTAGAAATCTAACTTGTTCACTCACTCACTGTAGAGCAACCTCTTAACAGAATCACTTGGAAATTCCTTCATGAATCTGAAATACCAACCAGATGTAGGTGGATACATTTCTTTCAGTTTTGATAAGACATTTTACTTTAAGCTCATACTTGTATCTTACCATAACATTGCTGTCTAAAAATATCTTTAAAAACATAGTTCCTTATCTTGTACTTGACATTCATAACACAGTTCAAAAAGAATTTGTAAAGTCTCAATAAATATGTCAAACTAAATATGGAATGAAGAGACAAGAATTGTTCTTTGTACCTCTGATTTGTTCACTTTTATCTAAATCTAACTCCCACTCTATTATTGCCTGTCTAGGTAGATGACTGGGCTACTGCTTTAATGAGAAGACACAATTCTTGTGTTCACGTTATCTACTATTAAATGCCAAGACTGATGTTGTCCTCTAACTCAATGTCTGTCCAAAAGCACTAAGCAAAAATGTAGACCCTCAACGCTCTTGGAGACATTGACAGTTGACCAAAGTTAGTACTGGAAGTCCCTAACTTACGACTGGGTTGTGCTCTAAAGATGTATTTGTACGTTAGTTGTCTGGGCTTTAGAAGGCATTTTGTGTCCATTTTGTTTACCACCATATCCTTGGAGCCTCGGAAGGTGCTAGACATATAGAGGCACCCACATATTTGTCGAGTGACAGGATGAACTGGCCCCAAAAGTCTACTTCACTAATAATGTAATAGAATTATATGATTATTAATAATAGCACTTATATAGTACTTAGCCATTTATAAAACACGCTTATATATGCTTTATCTTAGTCTTTCTCACATTGATCCAACTTACAAAGGAAGAATCCAAGGCCCCTAAAATACAGAGATAGCCTTTTAGGGTACTTTCGAGATTTGAGTGTGCAATGAGAGAGATGGAACTAGACAGATAATAGTGGAAGTGGAGAACCAACTTAAGAGCTGGCACCATCAGAGCCTGGTGACAGACTAGAGCCCAACTCACACACGCAGACTGCCATATTGTGTCTAGTATCATTATAAATATAGATAAAATGTCACCCATTAATACAGAGACTCAGAAAGACTCAGGGACTCCTCGCCTTTTTCCTCTGCCTTCCTTTTCTTTGGCAGTTAAGTGACATCCTTATGTTCAGTGGCTAAAAAGGGTGCTCCTCTTACAGTAGCAAGAAATAAGATTTCCCTAAAAGAGTTTCACCAAAATTATGGGCTCCTGCCTAGCTAGCTGAAGACTCAGTGATCTTGCTAAGCAGTGTCCAACACAAGCCCTCTTCTATTGGAGTCGTTGGATGTAAAATATTTTCTTAAGTCATAATCTATATTGACAGTTAAATGGGATATTCAAAGGTCTTGACCTAAGCCTCTGAATCTGGACATAAATCCTCTCTGTACCTTTTCTCACTGTAGATCATTCAGCCTTTGCGGAAACATTTCATGGGATGAGAAACTGAAAGGAATTCATTTGGTCTTTGGATACAACAAGTTTTTTAGAAAGTTATTTGGTCATACTCTTGCCTTTTGAAAGCATCAGAGCCCATTTAATCCCTCTTCAAACATCTAAAGAATGCTAGCAATTCCTGAACATCCATAAATCCTCTCTCATAGGCGAAATATCCCAAGTTAATTGTTCATTATATAACGAGGTTTCTCATTGATCTCACCAGTTCTGCTCAGCTTTCTCTAAATAGGAATATCTTGACCTGCGCATAATATTCTAGCTGTGCTTGCCTAGACGGGAAGACAGAAGGGCTCTTCTCTTGTTTGGAGCATTATTCTTCCATGAATGTAGCCTAAGATTGCATTCGCTTTTTTGGCAGTCATGGTATACTGTTGACTCACGTTGATCTCAGTCAATTAAAACCTTCAGGTCTTTTTCACATGAATGGCTGATAAGTCCACCTCTCTGGTGTAGTACAGCTGATTTTTGTAAAAAGGAATTAATATTTATCACTGTTAAGTTTAATCTCATACATTTTACTCAAGAATCTTTCACACTGTCCCCTGAGTTTTCTTTCTTAAACAGTTCTGATTATGTTATCTCTACTCAGAAAAACTGTTGATGGATCTCCACTACCCACAGGATTGAGTCCAAACTGCTCCCCGTGGAGCACCCAGGGCTAGCTTCATCTTCCTCTGTCTCCCTTTCTTCCCCACCCCTCACCACACCACCCTCTCCAACCACTCTCAGGATTGGCTTTCCTTACACAGGTGCACTTTTCCATGGAACTCCCTGCTCTACCTTTCAATTATTACCCATCCTTTAAGAGACAACAATTTAAAGGTCCCAATCAGACTAACTCCTTAAAGACAGGAATATACTATAATGAGGTACAGGTAATAGGGAAGAGGCACAGCTCAGAAATTTCTCACAAAAAAAAGTTTATTTTGTTTGTTTTGGCAAGGAAAATAATATTTAAACCTCTCTCACCGAAGAAAGTTTTCTCCCTTAACTAGTTTCTCCTCCCAGCTCCAAAAATGCAGGTGAATTGAATGTAGCTTAGCAGTGCTTATGGAGAGAAAGTAACAAGCTTGGCCATTTATCCCAGTAAGCCAAATAGCTGCACAAGCTTGTCCACAGTGTCATAAGGCAGTTGTTTTTCAGAATCACAAAACAACTCCCCATGCAACGAACTCAGCATTGTGACAAAGAGCCCAGCTGGGAGCATAAGGCACCCTTCCCAATCATTTCCCATATTGATGAAAAACTAAGCAACGCCCCCCCTCCAAGTGAACCTTCAGAGGCACCTTGCACTGTTTTCCAGGAGGTGGTGATAGATCTGTACCTTTCCATCTAAATGGGAACCCTTTGTGCTAGGCCTTTGCATACTGGGAATAGAGCCTGTGGTTTGGATTTGCAGAGGGATGTAACCCATGACATCGTCCTTGTTGAGAAATCACACCGACCAACTGCCTGCCCGAGGATCTGTCATCCTCAATGGCTAACTTATGAGACGCTTATCAAGGCATCTCTCCAACACACTATTTAGTGTGTCTGCACATCCCTTATTCTGCCATAAAAGTGCTTGAAACCATACGAAGCAATACAAAGTTGTTGTCAGTAACAATAACAACAATAGTGGAAGAGTTGGTTTACTTGAGCAATAGCTATTGAATATGTCAGGCAGCACGTGAGATGCTAAGGCAGTGTTTCTCCAAGTGTGGTCTGGGCTACTTTAGGGAGCTTGCTAAAGAATGTGGTAAGTGCTATGACAGAGGTGAACATAGGATACTGTGGGTGCACACATGTGATGTACGTGTACACTGCACCTAACCCAGAATATTGGTGCAAGGTGAAGTTTAAGCAAATTCCTTAAGGATGAGTGGGAATTATCTAGTATTTCTCCATCTACCCCTAAATTATTTGAGTGACTTAACTAACTTAAATGAATGAGAGGCAGGATTAGGGGGAGGGGATCAGAAAAGGAGAGCCCTCCCCCACCAAGCCAAGGAGGGTCAGAGAGTGAGAAAGAACATGGCACCTGAGAGTGATCCAAGCAGCCCAACAGATCCAGCTAGAGGCTACAGCTCAGGAGGCAGGGATGAGACAAGAGGCCAGGGGGGCATTCAGACAGGGCCTAGCAAGCCACATTCAAGAATGTGGACTTCATGATAATGCACCTGGGGAGTCACTGAAGAGTTTCAAGCAAGGAAGTAACATTTTGTATTTTTAAAATATCCTTGAGAATGCAGTATAGAGAATAAATTGGGGAGCAAGCGAGACAGAAAAGAACATTCAGGAGAATGCCACAATTACGCAGAAGAAAAATAAGAGTGGTTTGCTCTAAGATAGTAGCTACAGGGATGGAGAGAGGCATACCCACTAAAGAGAGACCCAAGTAGCACAATGGGATAGGACCTGGTGGATGATCGAAGCTGGCTGAAGGAGAGAAAGGAATTGAGAGAAACTCTCAGCTTTTTGCTTTGATGAGCTTCTCTGGGTTAGACAGCAATGCCATGTATACATCTATTTTCTCTGTGAAGCAGGAGGCAAGCTCTTTAGCTGAGAGTCAGCAGGGGGTTTGCAGAGATGTCAGGGAGAAGAGAGAAGCTTTGAGAGTCTCTGCAGGGAAGAAAGAGAGCGGAAGGGAAGAAGAACTTCCAGGGAAGTTTTAGGGCAAACTTGAGAGTGGAAAACATAAAGGCATCTCTCAGTATGATTGTGTTGTTATTTTCTCCAGTAGAGTTCAGCTGTCTAGCCGAAGGAGCAAGAAGGTAAACAGTGAGATTGAGCTGGGATTGGGATGCAACAGAAGGACAGGGGGCAGTGGAATTGAGAGAACTGATAGAAGATTCCAGAGAGAAAATCATGGGGGCAAGCTAAGTATCATGTCCATTTTTACAGACAAATAGGAGCCAGAGCAGAGATAAAATAAGTGGTCTACTGGGACATAAGTTGGAGTCTTAAAAGAAAAACTTCAGCCGAATTAGATTTAAAGGAGTTTAATTGAGCAATGAACGACTCGCGAGTTGGGCAGCCCCCGGAATCACAGCTGATTCAGAGATGCCACCGCAGCCAGTGGTGGAAGAAGATTTATAGACCAAAAAAAAAAAAAAAAAAGGAAATGATGTTCAGAAATTGGAAGTGAGGTACAGAAGAGCTGGATTGGTACAGGTTGGCGTTTGCCTTATTTGAACACAGTTTGAACATTCGGCAGTGCATGAATGGTTGAAGTATGGACATTGGGATTGGTCAAGACTCAGCTGTTGTTACAGGTGCATACTCCTAAATTAGGTTTCAATCTTTTTTTTTTTTTTTTTTTTTTGAGACGGAGTTTCACTCTTGTCACCCAGGCTGGAGTGCAAGGGTGTGATCTCCGCTCACTGCAACCTCCATCTCCTGGGTTCAAGCGACTTTCCTGCCTCAGCCTCCCAAGTAGCTGGGATTATAAGCTTGCGCCACCACACCCGGCTAATTTTTGTCTTTTTTGTAGAGGCGGGGTTTCAGCACATTGGCCAGGCTGGTCTTGAACTCCTGACCTCAGGTGATCCACCAGCCTTGGCCTCCCAAAGTGCTGGGATTACAGGTGTGAGTGACCACTCCCGGCGGGTTTTCAATCTTGTCTACTTATTAAATTAGGTTACAGATTGTCCACAACGACTCAGATATAGAAGTACAGAGTCCTTCTCAGGCCATATTTAGTTTTCTTTAACAGAAGTGGAAATTAGAAAGAAAAATGGCCAGAAGCAACAAATGGGAATGAGTAAGAAAGGTGGGATGTAGGGGCAGCCAATCACCTGGTTTTGGTTTCTGCAAACTACACTTTCTCACTACACTCCCCTCCTTCAAGAGGGTGTTCCAGTGGGCTTACATTCTTCTGAGCTTTCATGATCATCAGAGAGGGAGCTATGGTTACGAAAGGAAGAGTTTTGCGCCCATTTGGGTGTGTTAGGATGGAGGGCAAGGATGAGGGTTCCTGGAGAGTGAGGTGCCCGGCTCTCCTGATGCAGCACCAGTTTGATGTGACCTCCATTACCTTTACTTTTTATTTGGAGGTGGTGGTGGGATCAGGGGCTATTTACTGGGACACAGAATATGAGAGAAGTGTAGGCATCTGTTACAAAAGAAACTGGTGGAAAACCTCAAGGGCCTCAGAAGGGCCAGATTGGCTGAAATAAAAAGTAACAGAAGTTCTTGACATAGATTAAACAGTGTAAGAGGGTGATCACATCTTCTCTCTTCAATTCAACTTTAAAACAGAGAAGCCTTTTTCAGTAGCAGCCGGAAGACAGTGTCAGCACAAATGAACATGACGTCATGTAGAAAGCACGTGAATATTTTTCAAAATTATTTTTTGTTTAAGGAACTGGGATTATGAAGTGTAAAGTAACATCAGCAAACATAGCAGAGGCCTGGGAAGACTTCTGCTCCTCTGCCAGTGGCAGGAAGGGGAAGAAGAGAAGAGAAATATGACATAGAAAGAAGGGTGTTGTTCTGTTTTTGTTTGCTCATTAGCAAGATGAACCATCCAGGAAAAGAATTTGTTTTTTTTTTTTTTTGAGACAGAGTCTCGCTCTGTCGCCCAGGCTGGAGTGCAGTGGCGCGATCTCGGCTCACTGCAAGCTCCGCCTCCCGGGTTCACGCCATTCTCCTGCCTCAGCCTCCCAAGTAGCTGGGACTACAGGCGCCTGCTACCACGCCCGGCTAATTTTTTGTATTTTTAGTAGAGACGGGGTTTCACCGTGTTAGCCAGGATGGTCTCGATCTCCTGACCTCGAGATCTGCCCGCCTCGGCTTCCCAAAGTGCTGGGATTACAGGCGTGAGCCACCGCGCGGGGCCAAGAATTTGTTTCTTAGAGATACACTGAGTGTATGCAAACTGCCTGGCACAGAAACTGTTGTATTCTACGATGATCTCTCAATGTTGGTTTTCCCTTGTCCTCCTTAACAGAACAATTAAATATTAATATATTCAATACTAATTAGAAGATGAATAAATTTTTAAAAAATTCTGCACACAAATTGAAATTGTGAAAGTATAAACCCTTTTACTTAAATGGGATTGTCAAAGTAGATGCTCTCCATCAAATTTTGTAAATCAAATTTCATAACATTAAGCAGAAAAATGTGTACAATGCTATATTTTAACTTTGTTTACAATACTGTGATAGTCCAGGGGCATTCCAAAAAATTGCTCCTATCGCTGAAATTTTGAGAGTCAAAAAAGGATGAAAAGTTAGATAATTTCAACATGAATGGAATATGAGGCCCTCAAAATCTGAAGGTCTCTAAAATCAACATTTCTCTTTCAGCACAGTATTTTCAAAGTTTTCTTCCTCCTTCAATATAGCATGCCAACTATTGCTCCCTCTCCCTTTTCCATCATCATTTGTTATCTGATTAGTACTTTGCCTTCTCCCTGCTTGTTTTAGGTCATGTTTTGAAAATGTGAAATTGCCATTCCCAACTTCTCTCTCACCTGTGATTTTAGAGTTTGCACCCACCATTCTGACTATGGTAACCCAACATAAATCAATTCATGTTGTTGCTTAATTGAACAAAAGTTGGACCCATAAATTAGTGAGATTGGTTTTCTTTCTTGTTTTTTGAGACAGGGTCTCACTCTGTTGCCCAGACTGGAGTGCAGTGGTGCGATCATGGTTCACTGCAGCTTCAGCCTCTCTAGGCTCAGGTGATCCTCCCACCTCAGCCTCACAAGTAGCTGGGACTACAGGTGTGTGCCACCACATCTAGCTAATTTTTGTATTTTTTGTAGAGACAGGGTTTCGCCATGTTACCCAGGCTGGTCTTGAACTCCTGGGCTCAAGCAATCCACCCACTTCAGCCTCCCAAAGTGGTGGGATTACAGGCATGAGCCACCACGTCCACCCAAGATTAGTTGCAAAAGTGTTTTCAATAATGGCAGCATCAATGGACTAACTTTAATCCTCCCCTTGGCTCAGTTTTTAGAACTTTCTCTTTTTTTAATCCATACTCACTCCCTTGGCAATCTCATCCAGCTTCATAGCTTAAAATCTCACACATATGTTTGGTCCAGCCAGCTTTTCTGAACTCTAAACTCCAGTGGCCTCCTACGTATCTCCATTTGTATGTCTAAAAGGCAACTCATACTTAACGTGTCTGAAAATGAGTTCCTGGTCTTCTTCTCCAAATCTGTTCCCTGGCACATCTTCTCTATCTCAGTAAATGGTCGTTGCATTCTTCCAGGTGCTCAAACTAAAAACATACTTACTTCTTTCTCTTACAGTCTACATCCAAACTGTCAGCAAATGCTGTTGGCTCTATCAACAAAATAGATCTAGAATTCAACCACTTTTCACCATTTCTACCTCTGTCCTCTGTCCCATGCACCATCAAGTCTAGTCTGAATTATTGCAATAGGATTCTAAATGGTCCCCCTGCCTCTTCCCTCACCCTCCTTCCCTCTTTGGTCTTTTATTAACACACAAGCCAGAGTAATCGTACTAAAAATAGATAATATCACCCCACCACTTAAAATCTCAAAATCTCCAATGGCTTTTTTTTTTCTTTTTTCTTTTTTCTTTTTTTTTGAGATGGAGTTTCACTCTTTTGCCCAGGCTGGAGTGAAGTGGCACGATCTCGGCTCACTGCAACCTCCGCCCTCCGGGGTTCACGTTATTCTCATGCCTCCGCCTCCCGAGTAGCTGGAATTTCAGGCACCTGCCACCACGCCCAGCTAATTTTTGTATTTGTAGTAGAGACAGGGTTTCACCATGTTGGCCAGGCTGGTCTCAAACTCCTGACCTCAGGTGATTCACCAGCCTCGGCCTCCCAAGGTGCTAGGATTATAGGCATGAGCCACCATGCCTGGCCTCCAATGGCTTCTAATATCACCCAGACTAAAAACAAATGACTTTATAAGTAAGCCCTGAATAACATATGGTTCAAATTGGGGCTCCTTTGAGGGAATGCTAAAAATAATGAACAGGATTGAATTGATCTAGGCATAAGTTTGAGTCATCCTGGGCACCTCTTTTTGAGGGCCCGCATGCCCACACCTGCCCATCACTCTGATCTCACCTACTACACTGCACCTGGACCCCTTAGCTTTGGTATCAACCTCCTCGCAGACTGGAAGGTGCCAGGCGGACTTCCTCAAGGCCTTTGCTCTTCTCTATGTATGTCCACAACTCACCTCTACTTTCCTTTGGGTCCTTATTCGAACGTCTCAATGAGGCTTTCTCGGGGAGCCCCATCTCAACATAAGCCTCTTCTCCCCATAGCACCCATCTCTGCTTTATTTTTTTTTCCTTTGCACTTATCACTATGTAGCATTCTACATATTTTACTTATTTACTTTATTTAGCACCTTACATTTAAAATATGATGCAAGGTGAAATATTAATACATTAGATGACTTCATTAGAAATACTACTTAAAGTAGGTACTAACTAGATAAAAAGTACCTTCCCTCCCCGCAAAAACCAAACCAATCAAATAACAAAGCATGCTAAGTGGTACTGAAGAACTGTGATGTTCATTCCCATACAGCTTATTTTAAATGATCTTGGATAACACTAAGTGCAAAGAGCCTTCACTTGTTATATATACTTCTTCTATCTAATGTAAAAGCAGTAACTTTATTATGCAAAGTGCATACCACCATATTACAAATTATCAGTAGACTATATGTTGTATACAATACCTACTGATTACCAGGGAAATTTAGTTTTAGTTTTTCTCTCTTTTTTTTTTTAAAAAAAAAAGATTGGCATTATAATAAAGTCTAATCATATAAATAACTTCAAGGCAAATTAATCATCCCAGCTCTGGAATAGGTTAGCTCAATAATTTTAGCTATTATTTGACTCTGTGTTATTTCAACTCACTAGGTTTCAGTTTCTTTGTCTGTAAAACAGAGTTAATATTGGTGCTTAACTAAGGAGCTTCTTGTGAGAATAAGGGATGCAGCGCACTGGGAGCACCTGGCAGGTGGGAAGGCTTCAACAGCTATTAGCAGCCATCATGACTTGTAACTACTGCTACTGTGGAGATAGGCATGAACAGATTTCGCCAGTTGAAGACTACAAGTAGTTAACTGAACAGTCATGCTTAGAAAGCATTCCTACTCATATAAGACTTTGTTTTATCTTTTGAGAAATTCTAAATATTGCTTAACATATCATAAATGTAAATGCCCATAAAACCCCGATTAAGTAATTTATCATTTTCTGCACACTTGTGCCATACTGACTTTATCACAAGGTATTGAAACACAGCCCTTTCCATGGCCTAGAGACAAATGAATACTTGGATCTTGAAAGGCATATTATCTACACCACATATTTGGGGGATTAAGCATGCACTATCTCATATAATTTAATGAATCAGTCCATAAGTTATCATGTTTACTCTCTCACCCAGTAGGTTGTAAGGAGTGTGAAGGAACGGAATGTGTATAGTTTTTGTATCTTTCATGCTACTTGACTTGGCACAAAGGCATTTCAACTTAGTATAGTGGAAATAGCACTGGGCTAGAAGTCAGGAAACACAGATTTCAGCTGAGTAATTGAAGACAAGTCACTTCAACTATCTTTAGGCTGCAGATTACTCATGAGTAATATTCTTTTCCATTAACAACATTTAGATTCCTTTTCAAATGCTCTCATTCTAAGGAACACTAGCAAAAGGGGTTTTTATCAATGAATGTTGGTTTAATTAATATCCAACATCATTTTCCCATACCTTAAAACATACCATTACTGAGGCTTGGTTCCAAGATGGCTGAATAGGAACAGCTCCAGTCTACAGCTCCCAGTGTGAGTGACACAGAAGACGGGTGATTTCTGCATTTCCAACTGAGGTACCGGGTTCATCTCACTGGGGCTTGTTGGACAGTGGGTGCAGGACAGTGGGTGCAGCGCACTGAGCATGAGCCAAAGCAGGGCGAGGCATCGCCTCACCCAGGAAGCACAAAGGGTCAGGGAATTCCCTTTCCTAGCCAAGGGAAGCTGTGACAGATGGCACCTGGAAAATCGGGTCACTCCCACCCTAATATTGCGCTTTTCCAATGGTCTTAGCAAACGGCACACCAGGAGATTATATCCCGTGCATGGCTCAGAGGGTCCCACGCCCACAGAGCCTCACTCATTGCTAGCACAGCAGTCTGAGATCGAACTGCAAGGCGGCAGCCAGGCTGGGGGAGGGGTGCCCGCTATTGCTGAGGCTTGAGTAGGTAAACAAAGCAGCTGGGAAGCTTGAACTGGGTGGAGCCCATTGCACCTCAAGGAGGCCTGCCTGCCTCTGCAGATTCCACCTCTGGGGGCAGGGCATAGCCGAATAAAAGGCAGCAGAAACCTCTGCAGACTTAAATGTCCCTGTCTGACAGCTTTGAAGAGAGTAGTGGTTCTCCCAGCACGGAGTTTGAGATCTGAGAATGGACAGCCTGCCTCCTGAGTAGCCTAACTGGGAGGCACCCCCCAGTAGGGGCAGACTGACAACTCACACGGCCGGGTACTCCTCTGAGACAAAACTTCCAGAGGAACGATCGGGCAGCAACATTTGCTGTTCAGCAATATTCGCTGTTCTGTAGCCTCCGCTGCTGACACCCAGGCAAACAGGGTCTGGAGTAGACCTCCAGCAAACTCCAACAGACCTGCAGCTGAGGGTCCTGACTGTTAGAAGGAAAGCTAACAAACAGAAAGGACATCCACACCAAAACCCCATCTGTACATCACCATCATCAAAGACCAAAGGTAGATAAAACCACAAAGATGGGGAAAAAACAGAGGAGAAAAACTGGAAGTTCTAAAAATCAGAACACCTCTCCTCCTCCAAAGGAACGCAGCTCCTCACCAGCAACAGAACAAAGCTGGATGGAGAATGACTTTGATGAGTTGAGAGAAGAAGGCTTCAGACGACCAAACTTCTCCGAGCTAAAGGAGGAAGTTCGAACCCATCGCAAAGAAGTTAAAAACCTTGGAAAAAGATTAGACGAATGGCTAACTAGAATAACCAATGTAGAGAAGTCCTTAAATGACCTGATGGAGCTGAAAACCGTGGCATGAGAACTACGTGACACATGCATAAGCTTCAGTAGCCGATTCGATCAACTGGAAGAAAGGATATCAGTGATTGAAGATCAAATGAGTGAAATGAAGCGAGAAGAGAAGTTTAGAGAAAAAGGAATTAAAAGAAACGAACAAAGCCTCCAAGAAATATGGGACTATGTGAAAAGATCAAATCTACATCTGATTGGTGTGCCTGAAAGTGATGGGGAGAATGGAACCAGGTAAGAAAACACTCTGCAGGATATTATCCAGGAGAACTTCCCCAACCTAGCAAGGCAGGCCAACATTCAAATTCAGGAAATACAGAGAACACCAAAAAGATACTCCTCGAGAAGAGCAACTCCAAGACACATAATTGTCAGATTCCCCAAAGTTGAAATGAAGGAAAAAATGTTAAGAGCAGCCAGAGAGAAAGGTCAGGTTACCCACAAAGGGAAGTCCATCAGAGTAACAGCTGATCTCTTGGTGGAAACTCTGCAAGCCAGAAGAGAGTGGGGGCAAATATTCAACATTCTTAAAGAAAAGAATTTTCAACCTAGAATTTCATATCCAGCCAAACTAAGCTTCATAAGTGAAGAAGAAATAAAATCCTTTACAGACAAGCAAATGCTGAGAGATTTTGTCACCACCAGGCCTGCCCTACAAGAGCTCCTGAAGGAAGCACTAAACATGGAAAGGAACAACCAGTACCAGCCACTGCAAAAACATGCCAAATTGTAAAGACCATCAATGCTAGGAAGAAACTGCATCAACTAAACAGCAAAATAACCAGCTAACATCATAATGACAGGATCAAATTCACACATAACAATATTAACCTTAAATGTAAATGGGCTAAATGCTCCAATTAAAAGGCACAGACTGGCAAATTGGATAAAGAGTCAAGACCCATCAGTGTGCTGTATTCAGGAAACCTATCTCACGTGCAGAGACATGCATAGGCTCATATAAAGGGATGGAGGAAGATCTACCAAGCAAATGGAAAACAAAAAAAGGCAGGGGTTGCAATCCTAGTCTCTGATAAAACAGACTTTAAACCAACAACGATCAAAAGAGACAAAAAAGGACATTACATAATGGTAAAGGGATCAATTCAACAAGAAGAGCTAACTATCCTAAATATAGGATAGTTCCACCCAATACAGGAGCACCCAGATTCATAAAGCAAGTCCTTAGAGACCTACAAAGAGACTTAGACTCCCACACAATAATAATGGGGGACTTTAACACCCCACTGTCAACATTAGACAGATCAACCAGACAGAAAATTAACAAGGATATCCAGGAATTGAACTCAGCTCTGCACCAACTGGACCTAATAGACATCTACAGAACTCTCCACCCTAAATTAACAGAATATACATTCTTCTCAGCACCACATCGCACTTATTCCAAAATTGACCACATAGCTGGAAGTACTCCTCAGCAAATGTAAAAGAACAGAAATTATAACAAACTGTCTCTCAGACCACAGTGCAATCAAATTAGAACTCAGAATTAAGAAACTCACTCAAAACCACTCAACTACATGGAAACTGAACAACCTGTTCCTGAATGACTACTGGGTACATAACGAAATGAAGGCAGAAATAAAGATGTTCTTTGAAACCAACGAGAACAAAGACACAACATACTAGAATCTCTGGGACGCATTTAAAGCAGTGTGTAGAGGGAAATTTATAGCACTAAATGCCCACAAAAGAAAGCAGGAAATATCTAAAATTGACACCCTAACATCACAATTAAAAGAACTAGAGAAGCAAGAGCAAACACATTCAAAAGCTAGCAGAAGGCAAGAAATAACTAAGATCAGAGCAGAACTGAAGGAGATAGAGACACAAAAAAACCTTCAAAAAATCAATGAATCCAGGAGCTGGTTTTTTGAAAAGATCAACAAAATTGATAGACCGCTAGCAAGACCAATAAAGAAGAAAAGAGAGAAGAATCAAATAGACACAATAAAAAATGATAAAGGGGATATCACCACCGATCCCACAGAAATACAAACTACCATCAGAGAATACTATAAACACCTCTACGGAAATAAAAGAGAAAATCTAGAAGAAGTGGATAAATTCCTGGACACATACACCCTCCCAAGACTAAACCATGAGGAACTTGAATCTCTGATAGACCAATAACAGGCTCTGAAATTGAGGCAATAATTAATAGCTTACCAACCAAAAAAAGTCCAGGACCAGACGGATTCACAGCCGAATTCTACCAGAGGTACAAGGAGGAGCTGGTACCATTCCTTCTGAAACTATTCCAATCAATAGAAAAAGAGGGAATCCTCCCTAACTCATTTTATGAGTCCAGCATCATTCTGATACCAAAGCCTGGCAGAGACACAACAAAAAAGAATTTTAGACCAATATCCCTGATGAACATCGATGCAAAAATCCTCAATAAAATAAAGGCAAACTGAATCCAGCAGCACATCAAAACGCTTACCCACCATGATCAAGTGAGCTTCATCCCTGGGATGCAAGGCTGGTTCAACATATGCAAATCAATAAATGTAATCCAGCATATAAACAGAACCAAAGACAAAAACCACATTATTATCTCAGTAGATGCAGAAAAGGCCTTTGACAAAATTCAACAGCCCTTCATGCTAAAAACTCTCAATAAATTAGGTATTGATGGGACGTATCTCAAAATAATAAGAGCTATGTATGACAAACCCACAGCCAATATCATACTGAATGGGCAAAAACTGGAAGCATTCCCTTTGAAAACTGGCACAAGACAGGGATGCCCTCTCTCACCACTCCTATTCAACATAGTGTTGGAAGTTCTGGCCATGGCAATCAGGCAGGAGAAAGAAATAAAGCGTATTCAATTAGGAAAAGAAGTCAAATTGTCCCTGTTTGCAGATGACATGATTGTATATTTAGAAAACTCCATTGTCTCAGCCCAAAACCTCCTTAAGCTGATAAGCAACTTCAGCCAAGTCTCAGGATACAAAATCAATGTGCGAAAATCGCAAGCATTCTTATACACCAATAACAGACAAACAGAGAGCCAAATCATGAGTGAACTCCCATTCACAATTGTTTCAAAGAGAATAAAATACCTAGGAATCCAACTTACAAGGGATGTGATGGACCTCTTCAAGAAGAACTACAAACCACTGCTCAATGAAATAAAAGAGAATACAAACAAATGGAAGAACATTCCATGCTCATGGGTAGGAAGAATCAATATCGTGAAAATGGCCATACTGCCCAAAGTAATTTATAGATTCAATGCCATCCCCATCAAGCTACCAATGACTTTCTTCACAAAATTGGAAAAAACTACTTTAAAGTTCATATGGAACCAAAAAAGAGCCTGCATTGCCAAGTCAGTCCTAAGCCAAAAGAACAAAGCTGGAGGCATCACGCTACCTGACTTCAAACTATACTACAAGTAACCAAAACAGCATGGTACTGGTACCAAAACAGAGATGTAGACCAATGGAACAGAACAGAGGCCTCAGAAATAATGCCACATATCTACAACCATCTGATCTTTGACAAACCTGACAAAAACAAGAAATGGGGAGAGGATTCCCTATTTAACAAATGGTGCTGGGAAAACTGGCTAGCCATATGTAGAAAGCTGAAACTGGATCCCTTCCTTACACCTTATACAAACATTAATTCAAGATGGATTAAAGACTTAAATGTTAGACCTAAAACCATAAAAACCCTAGAAGAAAACCTAGGCAATACCATTCAGGACATAGGCATGGGAAAGGACTTCATGTCTAAAACACCAAAAGCAATGGCAACAAAAGCCAAAATTGACAAATGGCATCTAATGAAACTAAAGAGCTTCTGCACAGCAAAAGAAACTACCATCAGAGTGAACAGGCAATCTACAGAATGAGAGAAAATTTTTGCAACCTACTCATCTGACAAAGGGCTAATATCCAGAATCTACAAAGAACTCAAACAAATTTACCAGAAAAAAACAAACAACCCCATCAACAAGTAGGCGAAGGATATGAACAGACACTTCTCAAAAGAAGACATTTATGCAGCCAAAAGACACATGAAAAAATGCTCATCATCACTGGCCATCAGAGAAATGCAAATCAAAACCGCAATGAGATACCATCTCACACCAGTTAGAATGGTAATCATTAAAAAGCCAGGAAACAACAGGTGCTGGAGAGGATGTGGAGAAATAGGAACACTTTTACACTGTTGGTAGGACTGTAAACTGGTTCAACCATTGTGGAAGACACTGTGGCGATTCCTCAGGGATCTAGAACTAGAAATACCATTTGACCCAGCCATCCCTTTACCGGGTATATACCCAAAGGATTGTAAGTCATGCTGCTATAAAGATACATGCACACATGTTTATTGCAGCACTATTCACAATAGCAAAGACTTGGAACCAACCCAAATGTCCATCAATGATAGACTGGATTAAGAAAATGTGGCACATATACACCATGGAATACTATGCAGCCATAAAAATTGATGAGTTCATGTCCTTTGTAGGGACATGGATGAAGCTGGAAACCATCATTCTCAGCAAACTATTGCAAGGACAAAAAAACAAACACTGCATGTTCTCACTTATAGGTGGGAATTGAACAATGAGAACACTTGGGCACAGGAAGGGGAACATCACACACACACCGGGGCCTGTTGTGGGGTTGGGGGAGCAGGGAGGGATAGCATTAAGAGATATACCTTATGTAAATGACGAGTTAATGGGTGCAGCACACCAGCATGGCACATGTATACATATGTAACAAACCTGCACGTTGTGCACATGTACCCTAGAACTTAAAGTATAATAAAAAAATTTAAAAAACCATACCATTACCATAAAGCAAATGTGACCCTTAATTATAGGTTTTGTTCACTCATGAAAACTTGCCAGGAACTCATAGTCCTTGTCACTGTCCATTCTATCAAACACAAATCCTTCAATCTGTTTTAAAAATAGCAAACCTGGGTGGGAGGAGGGCGAGCATCAGGAAGAATAGCTAATGGATGCTGGGCTTAATACCTGGGCAATAGGATGATCTGTGCAGCAAACCAATATGGCACACATTTACCTATGCAACAAACCTGCACATGCTGCACATGTACCCCTGCACTTAAAAGTTGGAAGAAAAAAGTTGTTAAGCTTGATTCTCTCATCTTACCATGTCATTTCTATTTCTCCATTTGTTTATGTTCCCCATTTCTTTTTTCTGCTTTAATTGAATAAAAGTAATAATTAATTTAAAAAAATAGAAAAATAAAAATAGCAAACCTTCCCCTGCCAGCATTCCCCATCCCCTCCCCTGTTTTGTTTTCTCTCCTTAGTATTTACCACACTCCGACATAACACAGATTTTACTTATTTGCTCTCTATCTCCCCATCCCCACATTAGAATCTGAGTTTCATGGATACAGGGATTTTTATGTGTTTGGTTCACTGCCATGTCTATGCCACCTGGAATGGGATCTGACACATAGTAGCTTGAAAATTATTTGAATAAATGGGTGAATAAACATCATTTAAGATCCTCTATTGGTTGTGCTTCCCATACCATAACTAATCTCATATGAACTACCAACTCAGCTTCTCCAGGTTAACCAAGGTTTCTGATCCTCATCCCCTGCCCAAGGCTTATTCATTTATCCCCTGTCATTTCTCCCTGCTTGTCATATCACTCATTTATTTATTCAGTTACAGATTTATTGACTGCCTACTGTGATCCAAGCAATGTGCTAAATGCTAGGGACATACAGGTAAATAAAACTGACATGAGCCTTACCCTCTTTAATAATCCTTTACTTTTTTTTTTTCTTTTTTTTGAGACAGAGTCTCACTCTGTCGCCCAGGCTGAGGTGCAGGGGCGTGATCTCGGGTCACTGCAACCTCCGCCTCCCAGGTTCAAGCAATTCTCGTGCCTCAGCTTCCCGAGTAGCTGGGATTACAGGTGTGTGCCACCACACCTGGCTAACTTTTTTGTATTTTTAGCAGAGACAGGGTTTCACCATGTTGGCCAGGCTGGTCTTGAACTCCTGACCTTAGGTGATCTGCCTGCCTCCCAAAGTGCTGGGATTACAGGCGTGAGCCACTGTACCCAGCCTAATAATCCTTTTCTATTCAAAGATTACTTTGAGACCCAGCTACTCCCTCTGTTCTTGGCTTCTCTGTACTGCTGACTCTGACTTTACAGTCCTGCCTTTGAATGGTACATTTTCATAATGCCCTGGAGAAAAATTTTAAAAATCTGTGTGCTTTGGTTGGTTGCTATCCAATTTTGAATAGAGTTCTTTTAATAGAGAGTTAATAGAGCAGGGAGCAAGTCGTGCTCCCTTCTAAGGAGACAGTAACTACATCCCTTTAGAGTTACTTTTGGGCCACACTGGAACAGATGCTGTTTCCTAACAGTGATCATCGCAATTCCAGTGTCATGAGGCCTGACTGTGTGGCATCTAAGACGGTTTGCTACATCTCCCCACTTCCTTGTGTTTGCTGTATCCAGAGGTAATCTGAGAGTGCTTCTTTTACATCCTGAAAAAGCCTAATTAACCTATCATTTTTAGCCTCAAGGTTATTATTATTGACTGCTCCAACTAATAGGAGGCTAAGCTCCCAATGGACAGAGTCCTGATATCCAGGGATGCCTAGCCCCAGGCCTGTCTGTGCCTTTCACCAGAGTTTTGGGAGCACTTAAACCTCCACCCCAGCATTTCCCACGCTGCGCTCTGTGGATCATTAGGGTCCTGAAAGATAGTAACGAATTCTGCAAAAAGAGGGTTTCATAGCCAAGTAAGTGCAGGAATGTCACATCCTAAATCTCCCATTTGGGGATACAGGGTACATAATGAGAATATTAATGTATTTATAAATGTTTCAATTTGTTAAACCAAGTCAGTGTTTCCCAGCCTAAGTTAACAATGCTATCTTTTATTCTCAGTATACCACTGCCATCTCAGAGGACATTACTGCTCAGGAGAAAACTGTTTGGCAAATTCCATTTTACCTTCATGTCATCTCCAAATGAATAGCAGCAAATGGCTTTAAGAGAGTGAGAGAGGAGGGAGATATAAGATATTCCCCACCAGTAGTTCTTGAGGGTCACAAATAGAGGGAGAGAACTTGATTTTATGGAACAAATACTAGACTTCAGGTCAGAAGACTTGTGACTTAGTCCTAGCTCTGTCACGTAACTAATGGTATGTTGTTGGGCAAATCATTTTAGCTCAAGCCTCAATCTCATCTCCCAGGAAGGAGACACGTTTTAGGATAGCCATACCCCATTCTTTGAAAGAGCTGGGCAGTTTAGGAAGTTTCTATATAGCAGGTTTAATGTCTATTTAAAAAGTGTTCTTCTGGGTGAATTTTTGGGCCCATGTTTTTGAAGTCCTCTTTCAGATGACTGGTGCCTTCCACTCTGTTGATGGAGGTGGCTGACTCTTTAGACATGAAGCTCCAGGCTCTCAAAACCCAAAGCAGTATTTCTGAATGAACATTGGAAACAAATTGAGTCTGGCATATATTTATGTTAGCCTAATTAATAGGATAATACCTAGAGAAGTCTTAAGCCTTATATAGAATGGAGGAAAATATAGGTCTATAATATTGCAAATAAGCCATAAATGAAATTTGAGACTTCTTATTTTTAAACTAGATTGACTAGCTTCTTTTTCTGAGCACACAATTTTCAAAGATGGAAATTGGTGACATGGAGTTGAAACTGCGAAATAAATTTGTAGTACTGCACTGATTTATATATATTCTAACATGACAGGGGAGAGGAAGGCAATAATCACTTCTGGGGAGGCTTCCTGTAGTCCTTGAGTTAGAGAAAGACTCTTCCATTCTTTAACTCAGGAGAGAAAGATTAGTTCTCAAACCTGTCCTCTGTAAAGAAGAAATTCTATAATGACTTCTTTACACTTTACACTTGCAAATAATGCTCTAGAGGGAACTAGGTCACACTTGATGCTTTTCTCACCATTAAAATATGTCTGCTGAGGCCGGGCGCAGTGACTCACACCTGTAATCCCAGCACTTTGGCAGGCCGAGGAGGGCGGATCACTAGGTCAGGAGTTCAAGACCAGCCTGGCCAAAATAGTGAAACCCCATGTCTACTAAAAATACAAAAAAAAGCTGGATGTGGTGGTGTGCACCTGTAATCCCAGGTACTCAGGAGGCTGAGGCAGGAGAATTGCTTGAATCTAGGAAGCGGAGGCTTCAGTGAGCCAAGATTGTGCCACTGCACTCCAGCCTGGGTGACAGAGCGGGACTCAGTCTCAAAAAAAAAAAGTCTGCTAAAATAACAACTACAATTAAAAACACTTATGAACTAGGTTTAGAAGGTATCTGTACACTGAAATAACTTACATAAATGTTAGTCTCTATCTGCTTGGAATTTGATATAAACATTGATGACAATAAATAGTTGGTTTTAAAAAAGACAAGACTGTATTTCCATATAGGTTAGTTCAAAGTTACTGTAGTCATCTCCAAATAATTGCTGGACTGTTGCAATAAATTTGCAATAAATTCAACGTGATATTTGCTAAATGAGCATGCCTGCCATCTGGTTACTCAGACTGTATTTTTGCAATTTCATAGATAAACAAGGCCCAGTAGAGATTACTATAGTCATCTTTAAATAATTGCTGGACTGTGGCAATAAATTTGCAATAAATTCAATGTGATATTTGCTAAATGAGCATGCCTGCCATCTGGTTACTAAAACTGTATTTTTTCAACTTCATAGATACACAAGGCCCAGTAGCACTGAGATGTAAGGAGCCAATATGAGCCTGAGGATCAATTCCAAAGCAATTTGAGAGTTCAAGCCATTCATTTGTTTTCAGCACAAAGTGTTCTCCACATAACAAAACAATGAGACTAACTTATCTGTCTCTTTCCTGTCGTGGTATCTTTAAAAATGTCCATCATGACAGGTTGCAAATGGGCTTACAATATTCAGCCAACTTTGGGGACCATGAAGAATGGAAAACAGTCAGTGTGCTGCTTGCACCATGTCCTACTTGGTTCTGGTGCCAGCAGCACTATTCTTGCTGGTCTCTTCAAGGTGCACACAGAAGAAGCGGCTGAATGACATGGCAAAAGTCTCCATGTATCTATGGAAGTGGGGAAAGGAGGCCCCAAACCAACCTTTTCATCAGGCCCCTGGCAAGCACCTCCCCATACCACACCAAAAGCAGAATTAGTAGCGTTGAATACAGTGCCTGAGGGGGTCAATACATGCTGATTATACACAACTACCTGGGAAGTCTGAGAATAGTTATATAAAGGATGCTAGAAGAGTGCTTACCCTAGTTTCTGTAGCCATGGTGATCCATGTATTGGATATATGCCTAATCGTCCAGGCTGTCTCAACCTCGGTACATTGACATTTTGAGCTAGATAATTTTTGGTTGGGGATGGGGTGGGGAACGCTATTTTGTGCATCGTCTGAGGTTTAGCATCATCTCTGGCCTCCACCCACTAGATGCCAGTGGTGTTCCTCCCCCTAGCAAAAATGTCTCCAGATATTTCCAAGTGTCCCAATGTCCCCAGGGAAGAGGAGCCAAAAATCACCCCTAGTTGAAAGCCACTTATCTAGTCTGTATATTCATGACATGGACCAGAATTAGAATGATTATACTCTCCTCTCTTTTTCCTGAATCAGTATTTCTTCATCTACTTATTGAAGTATTATATTCTCTTAATCTGCTTTTATTCAGTTTTCTCTGTTCTCATACACCTGAGGGTTGGGGGGAGCCTTTCAAGGTATTGCCACATAAGTTAAGAAGAGCTAAAAAGAGACCTGTTTCTCCCTTAGGAGAAAGGAATATTAAAGAGAAAACATTCCACATAGAAATTGGATCAGTAGCTAATGAGGCTGTTTTGCAGAATGAGTTTAAGATGGCCTAAGCTGAAATTCATGTGTCTGTGAGCCCAGAAGAACCTTTGTATGTTAAAAGAAACTACTTTCATTTGTTTGCTACTGTCATACAAAAGTATCCTTCTGTCAAACAGATTTTTTTTTCTTTCTTGGCTTTGTTTTTATTTACTTCCTATTTATATTAACACTATCAGGAAGATACCCGTGTGGGCTCCAGGAACAGACTGTCTCAGTAACTCTTCCCCCTTCAGAAGCACAGTAAGTAGTCCCGAGAACTGAAGCAATGAGGAGCCTCTAGAGTGATGATTTGTGTCTGCTCTTTTTTATATGTGAAAAATTTGAATCTTAGAATACTGACTTAAACCCAGCCAGTGGGCAATCTGCTTGAAAATGACTACACATTCATATGTAAGGGTAAGAAATAATTTATGACAAATAAATCTCATGAAAAATTCTAATTTCATTCATGTTGCTACAAGTATAGCTTCATGCTTTAAAAAAAAATGCGGGCTGGTAACATTTTTCTATCTTACTTACAGTGTAGAGTTAAACAGGTGCCCTTACCTCTCCTCCAGTGCATGGAAAAGGACTGGAGTATTTAGAAGTACAAATAGCGCCCTTCTTGACAACATCATCTTCCAGGCCAAATGTAGCGGAGCAGTTAGTCGCAAAGTACTTATAAGGCTTCCATGTTTTCCCAAAGTCCTGGGAGCGGTCCAGCACCATGGCAGCCGGCCTGGGGGACTTGAACATCACAATTAGGTGAGTGAAGTAGAATTCAGCTTCCAGGTCTAACTGGATCTTTTCTCTGTGCACATCCTCCGCAGACTGCCACCATGTGCGAGGAAACCGGAAGGATGAGTCTGCCATGGCAGATGGCAGGTGAGCCAGGTGAGGATAGGCAGCATTGCACTTGTCACATTTGGGCTGCCGACAAGTCAGATCCGTGTTCTCACTGTAGAAGCAGTACAGTTCGGTAGCATTCTGACCGCAGGTGGTGTCTGCCCAGAGTTTTCGCCCCAAAGCCAAATTTCCCATCCGAGGGTTGCAGGCTTTTTCACAGCGGGAACTCACTCCAGCTACTCCACTCAGTCCTAAGAAAGGGAAAGCATGCATGATGCAAGACAAACCCATCTGGAAAGCTCTTTTGGCCACCTAGTCCATCAACAACAGTCAAGGATCTCCCCAAAAGCGCTTGAGACTTTCGATAAATGGCAAATTCTACCATGCTCCACCATGTTCCTGTTTGAGCATGAACACTGTTCTGCATTCACAATGCATTCGTGTATGCGTGTGTGTGTGCGTGTGTGTGTGTATTTGCTTTTCATGTTCAGATGTAAAATTCACATCACAGAAACAAACACTTTAGGCAGAGGGCAAGAGGAGGGAAAATAGAACCACCAGGGTGAAGATTATTGGCCTAAAACTTTTCAAGTACTTTGCCTTATAAATGTTTTCTGTATTTCAAATACATTGATGTGTTTTTGAAGTCATGACTATTGAAAAACCATAATGTTTTTAAGACCACCTAAGTTAGTCTTTCAAATTTAATGTGAGTCCTTCACATGATTTAACATGTTTATTATGAGAATGTATTTAGAAGGAAATGTGGAATTCTATTTTCTTTATATTTTTAAGCCAGGGAAGGGATAAATTCCCTAGGAAAAGCAATATGAGATATTTAATAAATATACAATGGGTCCTCATTTAGAGGGAGGCAAAGCTAGAGACCTTTGGAGTTCAGATGTGCACTATCAGTTTCTAACATTACATAAACATAACTAAGAAAAAAACTCTCTGAACTGCCAAATGGCAGAAAAGCTTATTTTACATGCTGTCTCTTCAGGGTTTCTACCTGTGACAGGTTATAGAGTAGTTAACTGTTTGCTTAACAGGAGAGTGTCTACAGTCTGGCAGCCACTAACAGCACCTTTAAATATTATCTGTGAACTACAAGACCTTCTTTAAAAAACACACTTTTCCTCCCAAAGGTCCAACAGACTTTAATGTTTTAAAATGACTTAAAATGATAAACATTATCCACTTATTAACATTCTGAGTACATACTATAATCCTTTGATTTGCGTTTGTCATTTTAATTGTGAATACCTTAAGCAAAAATCATCTATTTTAAAGGTTAAAACAGAGGGGGAAAGAGGGAAAAGGAAATCAACCCTTAAATTCTGGCTAATTGAATGTTTCTGCTGCTTAAGAAGCAGTACCTCTGAACTGTTGTCATAGTAAGGATTGGAGGAGGCCAAATGACAGCTTAGGCTGCAACAGAGACATTTCACACACTGACAATGGCCAACCCCACGAAGCCTTGCAACTAAAGGGCTTCCTTAGGCATTATTTTTTAAATGTCAAATTAAAGTGTGCATTATGCCTGGGTTCTGTTTGCCACTTTTCTCATTAGCTGGGGCAACAGTTGCTTGTGGCCAGAAGCACACAAACACACAATGTGCTATGACTCACCTGTAAAAAATTTCAAGGAAAATCATATACTGCCTGTACAAGTATTTTTGACTTGAAACACTTGCCTTGTGATGTTTATTTACAACCTTTCAATGGCTTGCATGTTTTTGCCATAATATGGTTTGAGAAGGAAAAGGTTTTTTTTAAAGCTCATATTTTAAGAGTGCAAGAATTAAAGTAAAATCTTAGGCCTTTAATAGGTCCCTGGGAAAAATATCCAATAATTTTAAATGCCCCTAAACTCCTAAGTCCAGAAAAGATTTGAGCCAGATAAAGAATCCATGGGGCAAAATACTTGGAGTCACTCAAGGGACTATTCAATGATACTAAGGATGCTCCTGTGACTTGGACTGGTTTGGGATGCAGACTGGAAAGCCTGGATTTTGCTGGGTGCCAGCGGCCCTCAGGGAAGAGTGGAAGCCCAAGGGAGGAGATGCGTGCTACAATGTTCTGTAGCCACCAGCGCATCCCTCTAGCCCAGGCGCCCCTTTCTGAAGCAGTCAAGATCCGCACGAGAGACTGGATGTCTGCAGACTCCCTCACATCTCTCCCCCTCACCTACAGGGCTGCGCTTACGCCTAACTGGAAACCAGGTGACCCGCAAGAGGGAGGGAGAGGAGCAGAAGGGGCTCCCGAATACAGAAACCACGAGCCAGGAGCCGGTGGCCTAGGGCAGCCCAAGAAAGCCAGGATGGGAGTGGGAGGGAGAGGGCATCTGCCGACGCCGACGCCGGTTGTCCAGTTACCGAGCCAGGGAGCAGACCCGCCTCCGACCTCCCGCAGAGTCTCTGCCAGGGTACCAATTCCCCAGGGGCGGCCAGCCAGCTCAATGCAAGCCCGGGGTGATCACCACCTATCGTCCAAGCCAGGAGTCCCACTGCGTTCCAGTCACTGCTCCGGGGAGAGGGCGCTCAGCCCTGCCCCAGGTGTCCTTACCTGGTTCTCTAGTACCCAGCACCAGGTCAGGGACACCAGCGATGGGCTTCTACCAGAGACCGGCCCCAGCCCACGCGCGCCCAGGGTCGCTGGGCCACCCCTCCTCATCATTCCTTAGGCCATGAAGTGCCGGGGGATGGCGAGCTGGGTCCTTTGTTCCCTCACCAAGTGGAAAAGCAGTTTTTTAACAAGCCAAACCAAGAAAGAAACCCCGGTCGCAGTATCCCCGGCAGGGCGCACCCAGGATAGCTGGTTATCCAAGCGCATGTGTATCCCAGTTGTAAAAATAAATCAATAGTATTTGAAACTGCGGAGCCCCGGGGAAAGGAGGCGGAACATGGCCACTCATTTCACCCTCGGGAGCAGCGCTCTGCGCTCGCAGCCCTGGCTCCCCTGCACCCCCGAGTCCCGAGATGGGTTAGAGAAGCAGCGAGGGAAGGGGTGGGGGCCCCGCCGCGTCACCACCCACCTGCGGCCACCACCGTGCAGCCCCAGAGCAGCAGCAGCCGCGCGCAGCTCCCCATGGCCGGGAGGAGCCGGGAGCAGCCGGGCCGGGCGGGTGCCGGAGGGAGCCGAGACCTCTGGGCTGCGGGATGAAGCGCCGCCGTCCTCGGGAGGGAACGGGGCCCTGGTTTCTTCCTCCTCCTGGGGCGCCGGGCTCGGTCAGCGGTCGCCGGCAGCTGGGAGCCAGGGGCCGGGACCGCGCGGGGAGGTGGGGTGACCCTCGCGCACCGGCCTGGCGGGTCCCGGGCACCTGGGGGGCGGCGGGAGCCCCGGGACCATAGCCGGCCTGGCTGCGCTGCCCCGCGGAGCGGCCCTGCGGGCTCGTCTGCCGCTAGCCCGGGGCTCGGCGCCCGCAGCCGCCGCTGAACTTTGCGAGACCTTTCACTTCCCGGCCGCCGCCGCCGCCTCCTCCTGGGCGTCCTCCTCCGCTTTTCCCACCTCTTCTGGCTGCCCCGGCTCCGTCCCGTCCTTCTCCACGGGCAGTTCCATGCGATGCATTTTTATTGCACCGACGCCGCGGCGCTCCGGTGCCAGCCCTCCTCCCCTCGCACCTCCACCCCTTCCTCCCGCCCGCCCCCCGCGCTTGACAGCCCGGGCGGCGCAGCCCGCGGGATCGGATCGCCGCTGCCGCTGCCGCCCGGGGGGGGGGTCCCCCGCGCCCCGACCGACGCCCCCGACGCCCGGCTGCCCGCTGGTCCCGGTCGCCTCAGCCTGGCCCCCGGCTGCCCTGGCGCCCCTCCTGGCCCGCGCCCTGCATCTCCCTAGTGACCCCCCTGGTGCCCTGCAGCACCCACAGGCCTCCCCTGGGAAGCAATCTCCCACCTTCTCCCGGAACATTCCTAAGAGCAGTAGACTCCCTCTAGATCAGGTCAGGGCATGCCAAGGGGCTTAAAAAACCGCGAAACAGGCTAGCGCCTACTTCCCACATCCCCCAGCGAAACAAGCCCTCCCTCCTCCTCCAGCCACCCCCTCTCGGGGAGTCCCACGACCCGGGGACGGAACACCCCAACCCAGCCCCGCGTCACCCGCACTGAGAGCGCGCCAACTGCTAAGCGGCGTTCGCCGCTTCTCTGCTGCCTTTTGCGGGGGTAGGGGGATGTCTCGGCTAAACAATCGCTGCCTACATGATCCGAAGGTGTGCCCACTTTGGTGTAAGAGGTATTGCCTAACTCAAACTCAAGGTGCTGAAAGAAAAGGGTCACAGGATTAGCTAGTCGGCAGTGTAAGAACATCGTTGTCCAGAGGCAGGGCAAGGGCACGACAAAGGGAACTCTTCGGTCCTTCCAAGCGTTCTCCCTTTATAGAGTATGCCGTGCTGTGAAACAGTGTTAGGAACTAACTTATGGGGAGCAATTTAGTAGCAACCACACGCAGCTAATTGCAGATAGGATTGCTCAGGGCTGGTGCTTCTGGAAAGAGATTAAATAGCAGCCGAGTCTGAGATTTTTGCAAGTTCTGTGAAAATATAATTCTACTTACACATCCAGGGAAACTGGCAAAAGTTAAGTCGACAGCAATTTTGTATTGCAGTGCTCATTTTGTTCCTTTGAATATTTTCCAGAAAATTAACTACGTTCCAGATACCATTTAGTCGTTGTGTCTGTTACAGATGAGGATAATTCAGAGCTTTGGGATACATGTAGATATTATTTACAATGACCCAGCCAGGAACATATAAGAAGTTTATATCTCCCAGGGGGATCTGGGTTGAGGTCAGCATAATCCATTTGGGCGACATTAAAATTATTCTTCTGGCCAACAGAGGAAAGTAGCAGAAGGTGTGGACAGCAATTCATGTAGCATCACCTGCTTTAGAAAATAAACGCTTTGAGTTCCCAAATACTGGCAATGGTGGGGCTTTCTTCATATCTCCTAATGGAGCCATTGAAACACCTCTCCAATTAATCTTTTTACCAAATAAATGATAGGAAACTATAACAGCCAAAGGTTCTTAGCATAAATGTTAACTTAATAGCCAAGGCAAATTAAACAAAGGGGTGGATGCACATTTATTATTAACTTCTGAGTCTAGTATATTTAGGCAGAACTAATCCATTTCTGTTTTTTAATTAACAAATAAACTTGTATGTATTTATCATGTACAACATGATGTTTTGAAATATGTATACAGCGTGGAATGACTAAATCTAGCCAATGAACATATGCATTTTTGCATATTAACATGCATTTAAGAATACACTCACTGTCTTAGCATTTTTCAAGAGTACAATATATTGCTAAAAATATAGAATGCTTCACAAATTTGTATGCCATTCTCATGCAGAGGCCATGCTAATCTTCTCTGTATTGTTCCAATTTTAGCATATGTGCTGCCAAAGCAATCACAGAACTACTCCATATCTCATTACAAATTTCAAAGCCATTTACTGTCTGCACGAATCCTGCATTGATAATATATTTCTTTGCTGAATAACTGGCTCTTATTTCCTTTAACAAGACAGAAAGCTCTCTAATGGTAGAACAGTCTTTAATATTCAGTTTATACAAAACATTACTATGTTTTTCTGATATTTTTCCTTATTCTTAGCCAAGAACACCTACAATAAGTGTTCATTACATGTTTTTGACTGAGTTGTGTTAAAACTATTGTTATATACTAAGGGGCTAAGGAGACTAAGGACTAAGGAGAAAACCAGTTATATCACAATGATTTCCCATATTCAAAAGGAATCTGCACATTCGACACCAATACTATCTATATGAAAAGCTCAGGAGAGAAAAATAGTCAGCATTCTAATAAACATCATTTGCTTATATAGTCCAGTTTAGTTACAAAGGATATTTTCATTTTGAAGAAGCTATCCAAGAAAAGGTTACCTACATAAGAAAAATCTTGGATAAGTATATTATTGCCTATGATTTTGTTTTTGAAAACATCAGTCATGGATTCAGAATATTTTGTAATTTTATGAATTAGTAGGAAGCTTAGCAAACTTACAGAATTTCAATAACAATTCCCAGAAACCACAAAATTGATAAGTTAAATCTAGAATATTCCTGAGAACTTGAAAGGAAGTTAAAAGGGTCTTTAAAAAGTAAAATAAATGGCATAGCCAGGCGTGGTGGCATATGCCTCTGGTCCCAGCTACTTGGGAGGCTGAGGTGGGAGGATAGCTTGAGCCTGGGAGGTCGAGGCTGCAGTGAGCTGTGTTGGCACCACTGTACTCCAGCCTGGGCAACAGAGTGAGACCTTGTCTCAAAATAAATAAAATAAAATAAATGGCAAAACTCTTTGCACCAAAGACTTTACTCACAGGAGAGCCCTTCAGGACCTCACTTAAATCATTCATGTATTTTTATTAAGTTTGGTTATGACATCTTTCTAGATCACAGCCTATTAGAAGTAACAGATTAGAATGGAGCAGGATGTTATTAAAGACAGGGGATAAACTGAGGCAATCCAGTAATGAGAAGGATGGGAAAACTCTAAAAAGCAGCCATAAGTACAAAAACAAAACCAAAACATCCACAGCAGTCTGAGGCCTTCTAGTGCAGAAACAAAGGACGAAAAAGCTATAAAGGCATCACTCTCCGGTAACTTAGTAGAGTAAGTGAGGTTCCTAGTGGAGCGTAAGACATTCAGAATCAGGAGGGACCCTTGAGCCCAACTTCTCACTCCATCAAAACCCCTTTCCACAAAGCCTCTGTCCAAAGGTCATCCAGTTTCTGTTCTAAAAATCTCCATAAACAAGAGCCTCAAAGGCAATTCTGCTCATTTTTGGCACTGTTGTTCTATTTAAGTGGGATGTTTCTCTTCTTAAAATTCTGTGTTTATAGGTTAGTCATCTGCAACCATACAGAATAAGTCCAATTTCTCTTCTGGTAGGTATTCAATGATTTAAAGTAAAGTTTTAATAATTTTCATCTTAACTATCCTTTTAGTTTAAACACCCATATGACAGGATTCCCACACTTTTCACCATCTTAATCACCTCTTTTCAGATATACCCCAGCTTGTCTTACACTGTGCATGTAGAACTCAACTCCAGGTTTGTCTGATCAACATAGAATAGAACTAACATTTTCCTTAACTTAGCTCTATGGCTTATATTTCTGTAACCTAATGTGATGTTGGCTGGTATATTTGAAGTCAGCTAAAATCCTTTTTTCATATATTGGTATCTTACAGAGTCATCAATAAAAGGTAAAATATATTTTGTTTTACCAGAGGGAAATATTTCCATTAAAATACATTGCATGTAGTAAGCATTCAATAAACATGAATTTGAAGAATAAATCAACAAATTTAAGCTGCTAAGTTTGAAAAATGGTTACAAATTTTAAAAGAAACTTTTAGTTTTCAAAGAACTAATTACCTATTTTCTGAAAAGGTGATCACTTTTATGGAAAATTTGACTCTTCAACAATACCATTTGCAACTGGCATTATTATACATTTCCAAGAAAAAGAAAGACTCTGAAAATAGTGATATTTTTAGTATACCTAGTGTTTTTTCTCCATGGAAGTATAAACATGATCTTATTTATCCTCACAGCATCAATGTGTGGGAGGGAACAGGAATAGTTGTGCCCATTTATACAAAGAGAAAGTGAGATGAAAGATGTAAGTGCCAAACTTAGATCATACAATAAATACACACTGAAGATAGGACCTGGGTTTTCAGATAAAAAAAAAAAAATCATTGCTTATCCATCAATTTTCCATGAATACAATCTTCTCTCTCTTTGAACTAGAAGACTACTGGGAGAAGATAAAATGGAGAATTGTTTTCATTAAAATAATCCTAGATTTTGTTTTCTACCTGGACTGTGCCCTTTGAATGCCCTTTAAAAACATCATCTTGGGAATTTCCTTAAGCTTTAACTTAAGCCTCCTGCCATGGGCGCTCTTTCTTATTTCATGTGCTTCCTGGCTTCAGCTGCTCATTCCTAGGAAGGGAGGGAGTGAGAGGCTTTGAAAATACACATGCTCTTCCAGGAAGGTAACCATACTTTTCTAAAAAAAAAAAAAAAAAAGCACGCATGCTCTCTCATGTTGAAATTAATTATATGAGGGCAAGAAATTTTTTTAAAAAAACAAAAACAAAAACCAAGAACAGTTGTGTTGTTATTACAGATATAGCTACCATTGACAGCATTATATTGACACACATTTCTAAATGGCTCTTAGCTAAAACTTTCTGTACCTATTGCTATTTCTGAAATTGATGAAAATCCAACTCAGTAGCTTAACCAAATTGAGATTGATTTTTCTTACAAGACAAGAAGTCAGGAGGTAGACAGTCCAATATAAATGCAGCTACTCAAGGAAGTCATCCAGATTTGTTTGGTGTTCTCCCTCATGGGCACAAGATGGTTTTTCTGCCTCCAGGACGGGTGTTGTTATTCTAGAAAAGAGAAAAGGGTAAAAGATACATGCCAGCTGGCCTTAAAACACTTTCCCAGTAACCTCACCCATCTGCTTATATCTAATTGTCTAGAACTGGGTTACATGGCCTCTTCAGACCATGAGGAAGTCTGGAGAGCTAAGCATTTTAACTGGGCACATTGACACCCTTAACAAAATCAGGATTCTACTGGAAAGAAGGGGAGGTTGGATATCAAGTAGACAACTACAGGAGCAGTATATGTCATCCAAAGTTAGCAATTTCACTGATGTGTTTGGCCCAAGCACCTATTAACATATTCAGTGGCTTCTCATCATTGGCACATAAAATGCATGTTGCTTGGCTTGGCACCCAAACCTATAATGTCCCGGTTCCTTGCCACTCACAGTGAACAACCTGCACTCTTGAAGATGGACAATACTGCTTCATGCCTCTCGCTTCTGCACACCCTCTCCTCCTTCTGGCTACCTCTGGCAGGTCCTTGGAAATTCAGTTCTGACAATAGCTGCTGTGACACCTTTCCTTCTTAGGCTCCTCTTCCAACAGGGTTAGTTTCCCCTCTGTCCTCTCATGGCACCCCCTGTATCACTTTATTATTCTCAGTTATACTTTTTTTTCTCATATACTGGGTGAAAGAAAATTAAAAGCAAAATTGTATATATGCTTTCATTATTGTTTTTGGTTTCTGTTTTGTTTTCAAACAGGTCTCACTCTATTGCCCAGGCTGGAATGCAGTGGTGCAATCTCAGCTCACCGCAACCTTGACCTCTGGGCTCAGATGATCCTCCTGCTTCAAGTCTTCCAAGTGGCAGGGTCTATAAGTGCACACCACCATGCCCAGCTAATTTTTTTGTTTGTTCGTTTAGTGATGGGGTTTTGCCATGTTGCACAGGCCGGTCTTGAACTCCTGGGCTCAAGCAATCCACCCGCCTTGGCCTCCTAAAGTGCTGGGATTACAGGCATGAGTCACAGTGCCCAGCCACTTTCATTATAACAACAGAAAACATACATATGAAAAAGGTCTGGAAAGAAATACATCAAAATATTAGAGATGACTGTTCCTCTGGCCTCTAAACTTTCAGCAATACCATAGGATTGTTATAATTCCATTTTTTGTTCTACAAAATATAACAACTTAAGGCAGGATATGATAAAGCAGTGCCTGGCAGTGCCTCAAGAGTGGCATATAAAGTAGGCTATTAGCACAGGTGAAACTTTGTGGGCTGAGGAAGTTAAAAAAAACCACATGGAGGATGTGGACTGAACCTGGGCACTAACAATTGTGTAGGTGTGGATGAATATGGTGTGGATGAATATGCCAGTGGTGGTCGCCTAAGTGCTCCAGTGTGAATAAACAGAGTGCCTCTGAGAGAATGAGTGGAGTCTATTAGGAGAAGGAGATTCATAGGGATTCGTGGAATGGGGAAGAAAAAGCAGAGGAGGGACAAACAAATAAAGGCTTTGGCAAGTCAAGCTGCTTTGTGTTGGGAGGTTCTCTGAGTCATAATTTAGAAATGACATATAATAGATTAGGAAAAGAAGACTTGGAAGGTGAGCTAAGGGCTACTTTATGAGAATACCTGGGTCTACACCAAGATGAGGATAGGGATAATGGACAGGGGTTGGGAGGAATTGAAGAAGAACCAAAAAGAAATTGATAGAACTTTGTAACTGACCATGGGATTGGCCGAAGACTGGGAAGAAATTAAAAATGACTTGGGCCAGTGCGGTGGCTCACACTTGTAATTCCTGCACTTTGGGAGGCTGAGGCAGGCAGATCACTTGAGGTCAGGAATTCGAAACCAGCTTGGTCAACATGGCGAAACCCCGTTTCTACTAAAAATACAAAAATTAGGCAGGTGTGGTGGTGCATGCCTGTAATTCCAGCTACTCGGGAGGCTAAGGCAGGAGAATCACTTGAACACTGTGGCGAGGAGTGGGTGGGGGGTGAATGAGGGGGGACAAAAAAGTGACTTGGATTGGGGGCTCTGAATCTGGTTAGTTGAAAAAATAATAATCTCTTTTGCAGAAATAGGAAAATCAGGAGATGTAGTTGGTTTGGGAGGTGACTGATTCTATTTGGAACGGGTTGACTTAGTGAGGATGGCAGACCAGTCATGTCCAGCAGATGGTTAAACTGGCTTTAAAGCTTAGTGGGACAGTCAGACAATAAAATTTATAACTTTACCTAATTCATAATTACACTGATAAAACCTTAGCATAGGAAAAGACCTTGGAAGTTATTAGTCCAACCTTTTCTGACACGAGAAAACTGAAGTCCATTTAAAACTTTTTATTTCACAGGCCCCAGCCTAGTCAAGGTTATACAGCTAGTTAGGTTTGGTGACTAAGCTGGGTTTGCAAATTTAGCCTTTTCTTTGCCTAGTACTCTTATGCAAGCAATTGAGAGTACAAAGATTCTACTCAATTTGTCTAGTTCAACGAAAGTACTATTGTCTAAGTATTAGAAAATCAAGCTTAAAAAAGCTCACAATCTACTGAAGCAGCAATTTGATTAAAAACATCCCTTGTCCATAGGTGGGATTTCAAGATATGTAATATAGTAGAATATGTTCAAGATGTTAATTAAGCTAGATATGCTTCTGGTTTGGTTTTATCTATAGCTCCTAATTACCCTGGACACTTTCCGATCCTAAACCTGTGCTGCAATTTCAAACACAAGTGCCTTTCTGAATATTTTTATTACAATTGTGCCTTACAAGATTACAATGCAATTTAGAGGGTAAATCTATGACACAATCTGCTTCAACCCTAAATTCAGTATAATTGACCTCATCATAGAAGAGGCATTCAGTTATCAGAAACATTAGAAAAACTTCATTAACCAGTATTAAAACTGTACCATCTCAGAGCTCAAATTAATGGTTTCAGGATGTTAATACATTTTGAAAACCTGTAAATGAATTTTAAGCAAATTGGTTTGGAAGGCCGAGGTGGGTGGATTACATGACGTCAGGAGTTTGAGACCTGCCTGGCCAACATGGTGAAACCCCGTCTCTACTAAAAATACAAAAAATTAGCCAGGTATGGTGGCGGGCACCTGTAGTCCCAGCTACTCTGGAGGCTGAGGCAGGAGAATTGCTTGAACCCAGGAGGCAGAGATTGCAGTGAGCCAAGATCATGCCATTGCACTCCAGCCTGGGCAACAAGAGTGAAACTCCATCTCAAAAGAAGAAGAAGAACAAGAAGAAGAAGAAGAAGGAGGAGGAGGAGGAGGAGGAGGAGGAGAAGGAGAAGGAGAAGGAGAAGAAGAAGAAGAAGAAGAAGAAGAAGAAGAAGAAGAAGAAGAAGAAGAAGAAGAAGAAGAAGAAGAAGAAGAAGAATTTTAAGCCAATTAGCCATAGCCACTCAAGGTTACAATAAATGTAAGTCCATTTAGGTTTCTGCACTCTACAAAATAACACCTCAAATGTTCTACCTTAGACCTTCTCTACTTATAAATGCTATTTACTCACAGAAATATTCCTCACTAAATTTAAGGAATTAAAACTTTAAAGCCAAATTAATACAAAAATATTAATTGCTCTGAAGCCCAAGCACTTTTTTATGCATGTAGTAAGTCTCTCTAACATAACTATTGAAGATTCCTTCATCGTAAAGAAAAAGCACATCATTTCCCCACTATCTGTCCTCCTTCAGAAATGTTTGAATGAATACAATATTTATTGCAAACAGAGAAAAAGGAATCTTTTTTTTTTAAAAAAGATGAATTCTTCTTAAAATGCATGATATTTCTATCATGAACAGAATTCTTTCTTTGGTAATGAAATCCTTTAAAGCTATAGTAACACTTTCAAAATAATATTAAATTTTACATTGAAAAGAATCCTGAAGTGGCAGGGGAGTTCCCAGTCTATTAATGACCCTATAGGAAGGGTGAAGGAGGTACAGATTATTATCTCTTACTCTGAAATTTAAAAAATCACAGCCTGCAGACTTGAGGTAATAAGTAGCTAAAGTCAGTAGCTTTGAATTCCTTTCTCAGTCTCACTGGTACGGTCTTGGATATAGCACTTTTAAATACACAAAGACAATCAAATATACTTATTGTTTCTCCGTGTGTCCTGTTTTTTGGTATACAAAAGGAAATTTAAGTGCCCCATTTGTAAACTCCAGATATCCTGCAATCAGTAAATAAATATCTTGAAAATGCAACTCATTCAAAGAAATACATCAATAGAGTCCAACAGAGAAAGGAAAACTTCCCTGTGCAAATCTGGGTGAGCCTGTCCTAAGGTGCTTATCTTTTTTTTTTTTCTTTTGAGATGGAGTCTTGCTCTGTCACCCAGGCTGGAGTGTGGTGGCGCCATCTTGACTCACTGCAGCCTCTGCCTTCCAGGTTCAAGTGATTCTCCTGCCTCAGCCTCCTGAGTAGCTGGGATTACAGGCATGCACCACCACATCCGGCTAATTTTTTTTGTATTTTTAGTAGACACGGGGTTTCACCATGTTGGCCAGGCTGGTCTTGAACTCCTGACCTCAGGTGATCTGCCCGTCTCGGCCTCCCAAAGTGCTGGGATTACAGGCATATGCTACTGCACTTGGCCCTAATGTGCTTACTTTTGATAGAAATTTTTTCCTCATTATAACCAATAACAAATAGCTAGCATTTATTGGGGACTTAATATACAGCAGGCCTTGTGCTAAACACTCTACATACAAGATCACCTTCAGACTTCTTAGTCACCCTAGGGAGAGACTGTCAATTGTCATCCTTGCTTTACAAATGAGAACTGAGACTCACCCAACTAGTAAATAATAGAGCTGAGACTGTAACCCAACCACTGGATTCCAAAGCCCATGAGTGAAACCACTGTGTTCATCATGGGTCTTTGGGAAATAACAGAAAAGCAGTTAGTAGGGCAAACCCATCTTCCAAAGAAACTGAGGCAGGAAAATAGGGTCTGGAGGCAGGGAGCATAAGGCTGACTCATACTTCAGCTATAACAGGAAATATCGTCTCCATAGGGCATAGGCTGTAAATGACTTTGTAACTTTACTTCATCCTTTCCATTTACATAGGGTGTACCTGAAGTAACCAATGGAATCCTCTAGGTATTTAAACTCCCAAAAATTCTGTAACTGGGCCTTTGAGCCTCTATGCTCAGGGCCACTCCCACACTGTGGAGCGTACTTTCATTTTCAATAAAACCCTTCATTCCTTCCTTGCTTTGTTTGTATGTTTTGTCCAATTCTTTGTTTAGGACACCAAGAACCTGGACACCCTCTACCGTTAATAAAACCAGCTTTCATTTTGGTATGGCTCCTTCTAATCTTATATCTAGCCTATATAGCCATACAATTTTTGTTCCATGTTTTCTTTACTTTTTAAATTTTTTTAGATGGAGTTTCGCTTTTGCTGCCCAGGCTGGAGTGCAGTGACGTGATCTCGGATCACTGCAACCTCCGCCTCCCAAGTTCAAGTGATTCTCCTGCCTCAGGCTCATGAGTAGCTAGGATTACAGGTGTCTGCACCATGCCCGGCTAATTTTTTGTATTTTTAGTAGAGATGGGGTTTCATCATGTTGGTCAGGTTGATCTCAAACTCCTGACCTCAGGTGATCCACCTGCCTCGACCTCCCAAAGTGCTAGGATTACAGACGTAAGCCACTGCACCCGGCCTTTCTTCACTTATTATTAAGTTATTAGAAATTCTACACAAACATCAGTTTTCATGGCCATATACTGTTCCAGTGAGTGGATCTACCTTATTATACTTTTGTGTTATTTTCAGATTTTTGCTATTATTCATAATAGTTTTATAGCTATCTCTGTTAAACATTTTGTTAATTTGAGTTTTTTTAATTTTTATTTTCTTATCATCATTAAAATGAAAATATCAGCTCAAAGAAAAGTTACATTTAGGCCACATTGTCAAATTTCTCTCCAAAAATGCTGCATCCATCTGTACAACTATCACTAAGGTATGGTGCCTATTTCACCTCACCCATACCAGCATTGAATATTATACTTTAAAAGTATAAATTTTCCAATTTAGTATGTGAAAAGTGATATTTGTATTAGTATTTCTTTTATTAGATTATATGTAAAATTGAATTTTTTTCTTTGCTTGCTAATCAGTTTTATTTCACCCTTTTTACTAATTATCTAAGATGGAATGAATTTCCAATTTCCTAAGGAAGTTAGACCTTTCTCCATTTCTAATATATGCGTTTAATGCTACAAATTTCCCTCTAAGCACTGCTTTTGCTGTGTCCTGTGAATTTTGATAAGTTGTACTTTTATTTACATTTAATTCAAAATATTTAAAATTTTCTCCTGAGATTTCTTCTTTGGCTCATGAGTTATTTAGAAACACATTGTTTAATTTGCAGATATTTGGGGATTCTCCAGCTAACTTTTCTGAGATCATATTTTGTATAATTTCTATTCTTTTAAATTTGTTAAAGTATGTTTAATGGCCCAGCATATGGCCTATCATGGTGTATATTTCTTGTGAATTTGAAAAGAATGTGTAATTCAGCTGTTATTGAAGTATTTGATAAACGTTCACTAGGTCAAATTGACTGATCTGTTCAGATCATCTATAGCTTTACTATTTTCACCCTTTTCAAATGATAGTCACTGTTAGCAACTAGTAAACAACAGAAGAGAAAAGTAAATAGGAAACTAATTACACTTTTAGTGTATATTGTAGGAAACAGACTGCCATGCATGCTTTCCATGAAGTTTTTGGTTTGTATCTATTACCTCTTTCCACAATGAAGAGGATGTAAGAGAGGAAAAGCAGGGTAAGAGGGTGAGCCAGAAACACAGAAGAAGTTGTTGAAAGGACACACCAAACACATCACCAGTCTGAGATTTTTTCCATATTTTATGTAATGCTTTCATGCCTATTGAGAAAATAAATGCTTGTTGATGAAGATTTTAATCTTTATTGGCGTTCTTTGGAATTCTTGTTTTTTAACACAAAAGTGATAGTATAACTCTTTTAAAAGACATCTATATAATCTTATGTTTTGAACTGGCTCTCTTTTCACTGAAAAATACCAAAAACTCACAGTTATAGAGTTGGAAGGGTAACTGTAGTACAGAAAGTTTGGCCAATTACATAGTGTTACAGTTTTAAGAGCTGCTTCCAAAGCAATCACACTATTCGGAAAAACTTTTTCATAACAAATGTGTTCTTCCTTTAAAATGTAAACAATGAGCCAATCTTAGAAGCAAACATTGACCGCAGAGTCATATCAAGTCCGTTGTTATAAGTACTTTAGTTTTAACAGTGCAGAAACGTGAAGGATAGGTTTACTTTTTAACTCCAACCCTGTTCAAAGATCACTTATTGGCCTCTGAAGGCACAGGTGGCATGCCTGTTATAGTTTAACAGGTAGCCTCTGGGTGAGGTATAGTAGTTCAGATAACTTTGGATGCTTTGGATGCTCTCATGTGTGGCAGTATGCACTTGCTAAAACATTCTCCTCTCTGGGTCTGGAAGCCTAGAGTCTATATCCATATGAGGCACTGGGCAGGTATTCCAGACTTCTGAGTCATGGATGAAAAATGCCATCTTGCAACTGACACAGCAATTCCTTTGCCAAGAAATCATCATATCCTTAGTTTCTTATGTTGAGGTAAATATTCAAGTTCTTGGTAAATAAGGTAGATTTTCTATTTGCAACCTATATCTGAGTATTCATCCTTTTGATAACAAAATTTACAGGGAATATTTTTTCTATCAGAGGCACCGTTAATTATACTAGGCTCTCAAAAGAATTCCAGATTCGCCTCAAATACCAGCAACTCAATTCTATTCCACTACTCAGATCTGTTGGGTTGGGTTGAATTGGAATTGTATTACATTTATAGTTAATTTAAGGAGTATTTACATCTTTAGGGAATTTAGTTTACATTTTTATGAACATCATATATTCTCCATGTATTTAGGTCCTCTTAAAGACATTTCAACAAAGTTGCCTAATTTTCTACATAAAAATCTTGCCAATCATTTATTAGATTTATTACTATACATATTTTTGATTATTTTTATATATGATATATTTTTAAAAGTAATATTTCTTAATCTTTGCTGTATGGGGATGTCATTGATTTTTGTCTATTGATCTTATATCCAGCAACCTTACTAAATTCCTAATTCTAATAATTTGTAGTCTCTTATGCCTAACTCCATGTTTCCATATAAACAACCATATTGTGTACATTTAGGGACCATTTATTTCTTCTTTCCAATCTTTACAATTTTTATTTGTTTTTCCTTTCTAATTACACTGGCTAGAATATGTAGTACATTTTGAATAGTCACAATATTGGAGGACTGGTGATTTCCTTTATTATCTTTGTGAGGCAAACAATATGCTTTAAAATGTTTGTTTTTTAGCTGGCAACTAGATGTTTTGTACCGAGAGAATTCAAGCTATGTAATCTGCACTATTGCTAGAGTCATTTCTTTTCTTAACTCTTTTCTCCTATGTTTACCTTCTCTACTAGTTGATTTGCCCTTTACACACTCTAAGTCCAAGTTTTACATTTGCTTTTCTCATTTCTAATGGTGTACTTTTGTGAAATTGAATATTGATTGTAGAATCTCCTACCAAGAACTTTTTTCTCTTTTCAAATTATTATACTTCTTAATATTCATGGCTTCTAGAAAGAATTAAATTTAAAAATAAAATTTACCTTCAAAGACAATGAGATGACCATGGATCTACCAAATGCTTTCATGAAATGTTCTTTATTTTTTCCTACAATATTCTCAGTACTTCCAAATGTGCAGGTTGCTCTGCTGCACAATGTTGGGAATGCCATTCACATCATGTGAGTAGCAAGCCCTGGGATTCTGCAGCACGCAATCTTCAAGGCTGACTGTGGTAGCCCCGCCTCTGCATTTCACTTTTCCGTCTAATTAGGACTGTGGGGTCTCTCAAGCAATTAGTGATAATCTACTAATGCCTAACTCCAGAAACAACTCTAAATGTGTTTCAAAAAAATTTCTACTTTTGGCTGCAAGCAGAAAAAATATCATGTCTGGGAGATATGTTATGATAATACAGCTTTAATAGGCAACCTCATTCCATGCCAAATCAGTGTTGATACAATATTCTTTTGTTTAGTATTATGTAATTAAGTAAATTGTCACTTCTGTTTCTATAAACACAATTAGGACGAGGTAAAAAAATGGGAAGAGAGGGGAGGAATTCATTTTGGAGAAAGAATCAACATAAAAGTAATATAATTACAACTCTCATTAGTAGTAATAATAATACTTGTGATGAGATGATAATGGTAAGGTAGTAATGATCATCATGATCATCACCATCATAATGATGCTGATATGCCCATGAATCCAAGTTGTTCGGCTTAGTTCCAAGTTTAAGCTGCATTATAGTTTAGTTTCTGCCATAAAAATTTCTTCAAAGCAGAGAGGGAGAGGATTTCATAGCATAGCTTCTGCTTTCTCACTAACAAATGATATATGTCAAACTTACAGTGACACAAGATTGCCAATTATATTATAACTTTATAAACTCTCATCCCATGTACAAGCAAGGTCAAAAATTAATTTTATCCGATTGAAACCAGAAGCTTTCTTTAGAAAGGCAGGTCTTTAGTTAAATACTAAAAAGGGCAAAGACTATAGCCAGTTCATTTTTTAGCTGCATATCTAGAGTTTTAAGTTACATATATATAATATACATTATAGGTAATATGGAGAGACTATAGATAGACAGATAGATAGATAGATAGATAGATAGATAGATAGATAGATAGACACCTATATATAGTATATGTATTTGTGGAATATCTTATTCATTCAGTACTGGATAGCACAGGTCTAGACCTCACAGGGGGTAATACCACAAGGGGAATAATGTGTGCAAAGTGCAGAGTAAGTGCATGTAAATAGCTTGCACTAGCAGAAAAAAGCACTGCAAGGAGCCAAAAGAAGAATATAAATCAATCGTGATCCTGGTAGAATAAAGTTGAGATGCTCTGGCATATTTGCAAGTAATGATACTAGTGAAAGAGCTAAACAGAAGGCAAAAATAGAGACCACAGGTTATAAGAAAAAGTTATGCACAGTCAAGAGTTGGAAAGCAACTTAACTTAAAAAAAATAAAAACCATCTACCCTGGCAGTGTATAAGGCATACTAGGCTTGCTGCTAATACGAAGTAGCCAGGGATATTTGTCTTTCTATCACTGGTGCCAGGCACAGGGTAAGTTCTCAATATATATTTGTTCACAATGGAGGAAGAGTGATCGGTTAGATAGCTATGTGGCCTACTTAAAAATACCACACTTTGCCAACGTCACATGTGGTTCAAGAAAATCTGTTTCTGAGTTGTTTTTGTGGGTGTGGTTCACAGACAATATTGGTGACACATCAGGAAAGATGGCAAGCAGAACGAGAACTAGTGCTACAAAAAGTGATCTCACTGTAACAGCATGGGTGGGCCTGGAAGTCAGTTCTCATGCAACCCCATTAGTTCTAGAAAGTTCTCATATGACTAAGAAAAAGCTGACAGGAATCAAACAGATTTCATCATTAAGCAAACAGAAAACATCAAGTAAGTAAGGGAAAATGTCGAATGAGGTTAGGAGGAAACAATTTTAGATACTTTTATAGCCTCCGGCCTCTTTCATTCCCTTTCTCAATCAGCTCTCCTCCTATCCCAACCCATGACCCTCTCCTACCCTTACCCCAGGAACACTAACAGAGCAGGGATGTTTCTGTATAATCCATTCAAGAAATTGCACAAGATCACCTAAGAAGAGGCTGCTATAGTCTGAATGTTTGTGTTCCTCCAAAATTCATGTGTTGAAACCTAACCCCCAAGGTGATGGTATTAGGAGGTGGAAGGTGATTGAGTCACCTCATGAATGGGATTAGTGCCCTTAGTACTGGAGAAAGCCTGTTTGCCCTGTTCACACCCTTCTGCCATGGGAGGATTTCTTGAGAAGGTGTGATTTTTGAAGCAGAGAGGGGACCCTCACCAGACATCTAATCTGCTGCTGCCTTGATGGTGGACTTTTCAGCCTCCAGAACTATGAAGAATAAATTTCTGTTGTTTATAAATTACCTAGTGTAAGGTATTTTGTTATAGCAGCAGGAACAGGAACCTCTGCTTCTAAGACAGAGGCAGAGCCAGGATTTGAAAAATTAGATGCCAGAGCTCCTGGTCATTATTATTGTACTAAACCAGATCATGCAGTAGTAACACTACTGGCAGAAAGCAAAATGCCTTCAAAGCCATTTTCTTAAAATTCTGTCATGAAGCAGCAATTATCCTTCAACTCATTTTTTTTTTTTTTTTTTTTTTTGAGACGGAGTCCCACTCTGTCACCCAGGCTGGAGAGCAGTGGCATGATCTTGGCTCACTGCAACCTCTGCCTCCTGGGTTCAAGCAATTCTTCTGCCTCAGCCTCCTGAATAGCTGGGACTACAGGCATATGCCACCACGCCCGGCTAATTTTTGTAGTAGAGAAGGGGTTTCAATGCATTGACCAGGCTGGTCTTAAACTCCGGACCTTGTGATCCGCCTGCCTCGGCCTCCCAAAGTGCTGGGATTACAGGCGTGAGCCACTGCGCTCAGCCTCAACTCAGTCTTTAACCAAAGGTTGCAACTTTCTTTACCAGCAAAAGCCACCTAAAAATTTTAAAATCACCCACCAGTAAAAAACAAGAAAACAACCAAGATTCTGAACTCTCCAACAATGAAGAATAGAGGAGGGAGAGGGCAGGGTGAACATGTTACTCCCACTAAGCCTCATTCATAAAATGGGAGTAATAATAACACATATCTTAGAAGATTGTGGTAGGATTAAATACATTAATTAAAGCACTCAGAATAATGCTTGACACATCATACGCATTTAATAAAAATTAACTATTATTTATCTTTTTCCTACCAGGTGCAGTGGTGCTTTTTTTCTTTTTTGCTAATTAGCCTAGAGTAAATTGCAATGTGTCTTCAGTTCCTGAAGCCTAAGGATGTGACGTCCAGCAATGTACTCATATTTTTAAAAATTCTATACAACTTATTTGGGTAATTCCATGTTGTGATAGTAATAATGTAATAATACTAACTCACCATAATTTGTTATTTTAACCAGACATTTTTAATTGCTCTAACCAAAGTGAATTAAAAGATTACTGATCATGCTGCAAAAGCAGAATGGTGAAATGATTAGGAGCCTAGACGCTCATGTTCTAACTCTAGGTTAGAATCCCACTCACTAGCAGAGTGATTTTGGGCAAATTATCTATCTTCTTTATGCCTCAGTTTCCTCATCTGTAAATTGGGATACTACGAGTATTTCTCTCAGAGATTTCTTATGAGGACTATATTAGTCTGTTCTCACACTGCTATAAAGAACTACCTGAGACTGGGTAATTTATGAAGACAAGAGGTTTAATTGACTCAGTTCCACAGACGTAACAGGAAGCATGACTGGGAGGCCTCAGAAATCTCACAATCATGGTGGAAGGCAAACGGGAACAGGGACCTTCTTCTCAGGGCAGCAGGAGAGAGAGAGAGCGGGGAGAACCACCACACACTTTTAAACCATCAGATCTCTTGAGAACTCACTCACTATCACGAGAACAGCATGGGAGAATCCGCCCCCATGATCCAATCACCTCTCACACCAGGTCCCTCCCTACACACGTGGGGATCACAATTCGAGACGAGATTTGGGTGGGGACACAGAGTCAAACCATATCAAGGACTAAATGAGTCATCATTGCACATAAAGTTCTAGGAAGAGTGTCTTGCACATAGTATGTACTTATATAAGTTGTTTCTTTTATACTTTTTCCATATAGTTAAGAAAATATATTTTGCCAGTTGATTTTTACAAGTTTATTAGTAAAATGTTCATAGAGAAACATTTACATTTCCTTACTCTAAATGTCCAAAATATATTTAATACTTATTTAACATACTTATTTTACATGGCTGAATATTACATGGTTGAAATTAAAGGCTTTATGTCAGCCTAATTTTAATATATTGTAGTTATTGCTTTAATTGTAATATATTGTAGTATATTGTAATTGTAATATATTGTAGTTATTGCTAATTGTAATATATTGTAGTTATTGCTTTAATTCTATTTTAATCTTTAGATGTTTAGTTAAGATCACTGCCTTTCATTATCTCAGCCTATTTCTTTTCTCAAAATCCATGCATAGGCTTCAATTATAATGTTTATATAATTGACTAGTAAATTCCCTCACTAACAAAGTAAACTATTAGGCTATAACAAATATGATACATACTTAGACTATTTTTATCTTTATATACAGACACTGCTAAATATCATAAATCATAAAGCTTAAAGATTTTTTAAAATACATGTATATATTTTTAATTTTTATGCTTAGCTACCACTATGAGTATTGAAATTAACAACAGCCTCAAATCAAGCAGTGAAAAATGCTAGTGAATGATCACATTTTAATGCTGCTTAATTTTTAGGCTTCTGGTGTGAATTAGCTATGAGATACAGCAATTTAAAGGATAATGACTAAACTCTTTCCTATTTCCTGCTTAATTTCCTTTTAAAGAAAAGTATTGGACTTTAAAAAATATTACTCATTCTTTAAATAAAAAAAACCAAGGAATTAGAATTCTCTTAACAAGTGCATCTTCTAGAGCAGCAGTCTCCAATCTTTTTAGCACCAGGGACTGGTTTCACGGAAGACAATTTTTCCATGGACGGGGTCGGTGGGGGGATGGTTTTGGGATAAAACGGTTCCACCTCAGATCATCAGGCATTAGATTCTCATAGAGAGCCTGCAGCCTAGCTCCCTTGCATGTGCAGTTCACAATAGGGTTTGAATTCCTATGAGAATCTATTGCTGCCACTAATCTGACAGGAGGCGGAGCTCTTGTGGTAATGCTGGCCGGCCACTCACCTCCTGCTGTGCAGGCTGGTTCCTAACAGGCCACGGACCAGGAGTTGGGGACCCCTGTTCTAGAGCAAAGAATTTCAGATGAAGAAATAAGTGACTAAAACAAAAGCACTTTTATAAGTTTAGAAAGGATGGCTCTATATAGATCTACATAAGAAGAAAAAAAATCAATCAAATAGTATCTGTGTCACGTTGATGTATCTTGTTGAACCTTCTAGTCCCATCCCAATGTTTAGCATCGTAAACACACATGCAGGCCAGGTGTAGGTGGCATTGGGGCAGCACTACAGTGACAAGAGCACCTTGGGAAGTACCATAAGCAGAGAATGTTTGCGTTTGGGTCACTCCCAGGAAAGTTGCAGAGACATAATAGAAAAAAGCTAAAACTACAAAGGCATTTTTTTAAAAAAGGTTAACTTATTATTATTATTTTTAAATTTTACTTTAAGTTCTGCGATACGTGTGCAGAACATGCAGGTTTGTTACATACATTTGTATGTGCCATGGTGGTTTGCTGCACCTATCAACCTGTCATCTAGGTTTTAAGCCCCACATGCATTAGGTTATTTGTCCTAATGCTCTCCCTCCCCTTGCCCCCAAGCCCCCAACAGGCCCTGGTGTGTGATGTTTAAAATGATTAACTTATAAAGAAACCAAAGTGATCAGCTTTCATATTTATAATTATAGAAAACATTAAACTCACATTGCTAAGGGTGTAGTTAAGACTTTCTTCATCTTCAGCTATGTCCTTTTAGGGAACTGAACATTTTTTAATTTTTTATACAAAATTTAAAAACTCTCCTTATTTAAAATTGATTGACTACCCAAAAATGTGTCTTTCTTTGCTTCCATTCCATGATTTATAAAGAATTAGCTTTAGTACTCTTTTTAGAGTGTAGGTTGAAAAGGCATTTTATTTTCCACCTCAGAGTAATTTTTAAACCACATCAATTATTTTTCATGTGCAGCCGTTTTTATCCACAAATTATTGCCTTAGGCATTTTTACTTTACCACACATTTCAGAAGAGAAGGAATGAAGGGGAACCAGCTAATCTACAAATGTTCACCTACAGTAGATCAGGCCAAAAAAAGGAGAGAAGAATATGACCCAAAGCTTCTTCAGAAATAAGAACTGCTTATTAATAGTCTAATGCAGGGGTGTCCAGTCTTTTGGCTTTCCTGAGCCACACTGGAAGAAGAAGAAGTGTCTTGCGCCACACATAAAATACACTAACACTAAAGAAAGCTGATGAGCTAAAAAAAAAAAAAGAAAAAGAAAAAGAAAAAAGCAAAAAAAAAATCTCATAATGTTTTAAGAAAGTTTATGAATTTGTATCAGATTGTAAGCCTCTTGAGAACAATCTTGGGCTTTATTTATGTTTCCCAGCACATAAGTAAACATTTCCCAACAAAATGCATAAATGGTAGGGGATAAAGTAAATTGGGAATCAACTCTTTAGTGATAATTAAATGCAAGGAAAGTAGATTATATATTCAGCGTTTACCAAGCTTGGTAAATAAAGCACAAGATTGTTCTCAAGAGGCATACAATCTGATTTGGCATGTAATAATTTGCACATAAAGCAATGAGAAACTACTATAAGGCAATAAAACATGCTAGAGACTGGGAGACCCAGAAAAAGAAAAAAAAAGCTGGATGGCGACTATGATAAGGTTTGGATATGCTAAAAAGGGGCAAGAAAGACATTCTCCAAAGGAATACATGAAAGTTTAAAATTAATAAGGGGCTGGGCGTGATGGCTCACACCTGTAATCCTAGCACTTTGGGAGACAGAAGAGGGAGGATTGCTTAAGCTCAGGAGTTGGAGACCAGCCTGGGTGACATACTGAGACCTCGTCTCTACTAAAGATAACAAAAATTAGCCAGGCATGGTGGCACAAACCTATAGTTCCAGCTACTCAGGAGGCTGAAGTGGGAGGCTCACTCAAGCCCCGAGGCTACAGTAAACTATGATCATGCCATTACACTCCAGAAGGAGTGTAATATCTTTTCTGTTTGCTAAAATTATACTGCTTTGGATTCACCCATTTATTTCTATCATGTTTTCTAAGAAGGAGAAAAGGCTACAAGATATTGAGATGTTCACCTGTCAATGAAAAGGAGCTATAATTTGGCCCAGAAAGAAAGTCTATTGATCCAAGGAGCAGCTTAGACACAGAGCTGTTTTCAGTATTACCCAGGTCTCATGCTATCCACCACCAGCAGTCCTCACTGAACTTCCCCCCAAGCTGAATAATTCTAAACTTTAGAAAATGCTAACAATTTTTAAAGTGTCAAGAAATTATGGTAAAATGAACACTTACATTTGGTACATGATATGAACATATACAAACAAAATATTTTACTACAGAACCATAAATTGATGGAATGATCAAATAAGATTATAGAATCATGGCTATAGAAATAGAAATACAAGGTCAGGAGCAGTGGCTCATGTCTGTAATCCCAACACTTTGGGAGGCCGAGGTGGGCAAATCATGAGTTCAAGAGATCGAGACCATCCTGGCCAATAGTGAAACACCATCTCTACTAAAAATACAAAAATTAGCTGGGCGTGGTGGTGCATGCCTGTAGTCCCAGCTACTTGGGAGGCTGCGGCAGGAGAATTGCTTGAACCTGGGAGGCAGGGGTGGCAGTGAGGTGAGATCGCGCCACTGCACTCCAGCCTGGTGACAGAGTGAGACTCTGTCTCAAAAACAAACAAACAAACAAACAAACAAAAAGAAATACAAGTCTGTTGACTAAGCCTACCATGACTCATGTAGGATGATATCGTCTAGAGAAAAACATGGCCATTAAATCAAGTACTTGTGATAACAGTCAAATGATATCAAGTTCTAAAGTCAGAGAGAAATAGTTAAATCAATAACTGAAAATTTACAGATTTTATTGGATAAATGGTGAAGTATTTAGTTGTGAAAATATAAACTTTTCTCCAGAGTTAAAATGCCTGAGTACTGACCCTCCTTTGTTTGTAATTGACAATATCCCTAAGATATTTTCTTAAAGAAAATTATCAGTATCAACATTTTAACTCTGGAGAAAAATATATATATAATGATAATTTTCTTTAAGAAAACATCCTACGGTTTTTGTCAATTACAAACAAAGAAGGGTTAGCATTCAGGTTCTTTGCCTTAAGGAAACAGAACTCTGAATGTAGAGCTCTTTATGACTCCAATAAAGGGCATATATTTTTCTGTATCTCCTAGAAAGAGGTGTGGAAGTTTTTGGTGGTTGAAGAATTAGAATCCAAGTTAGATTCTGTTCTCTTAAAACAGGATCCATTTTCCGCATGTAATTTCACAATGGGTGCTATGACCAGCTAAGCCTATAAATGATCACTGCACCAAATCAGGACTCTAATATACTACTGTTTTACTTTATATGCCTAGTACATATAGCAAAGTTGCATAACAGAAGAAAAACAAACCCTGGTTTTACCATTCTCATGGCGTTAACATAATCTCCAGTGAGTAAAATGATACTTCTTAAAAATTGGCCCAATTTATCTATTGTAACTATAGCCTATAACGTACTTTCAGTAACAGGGTGATCATGATAAAGAAGAATGCTGACCAGGTGTGGTGGCCCACACCTGTAATCCCAACACTTTGGGGGACTGAGGCAGGAGGATTGCTTAAACCCAGGAGTTTGAGAACAGCCTTGGCAACGTAGCAAGACACCATCAATACAAAAAATTTTAAAAATTGGCTGAGCAGTTGGGCGTGGTGGCTCATGCCTGTAATCCCAGCACTTTTGGAGGCCAAGGCGGGTGGATCACCTGAGGTCAGGAGTTCGAGACCAGCCTGGCCAACATGGTGAAACCCCATCTCTACTAAAAATACAAAAATTAGCTGGGTGTGGTGGCGGCATCTGTAGTCCCAGCTATTCGGGAGGCTGAGGGAGGAGAATTGCTTGAACCCAGGAGGCGTAAGTTGCAGTGAGCCAAGATCATGCCACTGTACTCCAGCTTGGGCAACAGAGTGAGACTCTGTCTCAAAAAAAAAAAAAAAAAAATTAGCTGAGCATGGTGACACCTTCTTATAGTCCTTCCTACTTCAGAGCCTGAAGTAACAGGATCACTTGAGCCCAGGAGGTCAAGGCTGCAGTGAGCCACGATCACACCACTACCCTCTATTCTGGGCAACAGAATGAAACTCCGTTTCACTAAAAAAAAAAAAAAGAAGAAGAAGAAGAAGAAGAAGAAGAAGAAGAAGAAGAAGAAGAAGAACCCTCTTTGTCATTCAACACCTGTTTTTGAAAACTTGATATGTGGCTAACAGAACAGAGTGTCCCTGGAAAGAGGTCTTTTTTTCTTTTGAGACAGTCTGACTCTGTTGCCCAGGCTGGAGTACAGTGGTGCAATCATGGCTCACCGCAGCCTCAACCTCCCAGGCTCAAGCAATCCTCCCACCTCAGCCTCCCAAGTAGATGGGACCATAGGCAGTGCCACCACACCTGGCTAATTTTCTAAAACTTTTTTGTAGAGGCAGGGTCTCACTATGTTGCCCAGGCTGGTCTCAAACTTCTGGCCTCCAAAAGTGCTGGGATTACAGGTTTGAGCCATCGTGCCCAGCCTAAGAAGTCTTTTTAATAAGGAAAGACTCTAGAACAAAGAATATAAAGGAGTTTCAAGCTTATTTGATTTGGAGGGAAAGACTCTGCAGTTCAAGCTTATTTGATTTAGAGTATCTTTACATAATGTAGTGAAATTTCATTAATTTGTATTCATACAATGAACTAATTTCACCTAGTTTGGGCTATTCTGTAATATTTATGATGCAAGAAAGTCAGTAACAAAATTATAAACTAGTTCTTTCCGGTTAGAAGGTGTAAAATGAAAACAGTTGGACAATTATTCAGGCACTAGAAAACATTATGTGGAGCAACTCCTAGGATTTGGTTTGCTCCCCACGGAAAAACAAGCTTCCAAATAAATATTTCAGCAAACAAATCTATTACTTTTTTCTTTTCTTAATTATTCTTAGAAAAAATGTACATATAAACACTTTGACTGTTATCCATAAGTCAAATATTTCCAAAGTAGACACTGCCCACGTTTGGTTAATTACCTGAATTTACAGGGTTGGTTTCCATTCCATTCATTTGCGTAGTCACGTTGTTTAGTTCACATGATACGTGCCAGCCTCAGCTGAAATTCTAGTTATTGGCAGAGTTTAAGAAAGCTTGGGAAAGGAACCTGGGCAAGTGCTTTTATCCATTCTGGTCAAGGGGTCCTGATCTGGAGTCCATGCATGAGCTTTTAGGAGGTCTGCAAATCTGCAAAACCTGCATGTAACAATTGTATGTTTTCATAAAAAAATTTTTTGAGGCAGGGTCTCACTCTGTCACCCAGGCTGGGGTACAGTGGTGTGATCTCAGCTCACTGCAACCTCTACCTCTCAGGTTCAAGCGATTCTCCTGCCTTAGCCTCCCGAGTAGATGGGACTACAAGAACGTGCCATCAAGCCCAGCTAATTTTTGTATTTTTTTGGTAGCAACAAAGTTTCACTGTGTTGGCCTGTCTGGTCTCAAGCTCCTGTCCTCAAGTGATCCGCCAACCGTGGCCCCCAAAGTGCTGGGATTACAGGTGTGAGGCACTGCACCTGGCTGATTTTTATATGTTTAGATGAAAATTTCCAGAGAGTTCACGATTTTCATGATTATCAAAGGTCACTCTCCTTCTAAAAAGGTTCAATTATTGATTTAAGGAGTTCTTATTTGTCAGTCCTTATTGGAGATCCAATGCTCCAATGAACTGAGATACAATTTTGGGTTGAAAGATCTGAAATGGTGTCTTCTCTCCACTGACCACAAGCCGGGCTTTGAAATTAGAGTCGTAACCTTTCCCTTGCAAATCCCTGGAAGGTGTGCTTTCAACAGCTCGCTGCCGTTTGAAGGAAAAACTGTTCCAAATGTAATTATATACATATTGGGGATATTAAACATTTCTTCTGCGAAAGTTTCTTGTATCCTTTGTTTATTTGGTTAACAATACTTTTGCAACCCTATTATAAGCAGTATGTGCCAAGGATAAAAGGATAAACCCAAATACACGTGTCCTTTGTCTTTCTGGATGGATATATAGCAGAGAACATTTTCATTTTTCATAATTCTCTGTATCTACTGGAGAAAGAAAATGATAAAACATACCCAAGTTTATCTAATTTCAACCAGAAACTCTCAAATGAAATGCATGAAGTAAAGTGACATCTAGTGTTGGTTAAGTGGCAGTGAAATATGTGTCAGGACAAGGCATACTTTAACTTTCTTTGAACAGACTGTTAAACTTGGCTTTGTTAAGTTGCCAACTCCGGAAAGCATAGTTTTGCTTTTAAAAATATTTTAGAGTAATTCTGAAATAATCTGAATTTAAATGCTAATAACATTGTTTTTATTTTTTCAAAATAAAATGCTTAACGCCTACAGAAAAGTCTAGAGAATGAAATAACAGTTACGTATCTACCACCCAACTCTGTCAAATCTTAACGTTTTGCTTTACTTACATCAGATATTTTAAACATAAAATGTAATAGACACATTTGATGCCTTATTAACTATTTCTGATTTCATGTCCATCTTGTTCTCTTTAGAAGTAATCAATATTTGGTTTATTATCTCTGTGACTTTTTGTATTTTTATTACATATTTGTGTACACATAAAATTTATAATATTGCACATATTTTATAGCTGATATAAGGGATACCATATGGTACAAATATTTCTGCAACTTACTTTTTCTAGTTTAATATTATGCTTTGGAGATTTCGTGATATTGGTCATCTAACTTCAGTCATTTACTGTAACTGCTGTATGTTAGCATTCCATTGAATGAATTGTACAACAATTTATTTAATTTACAGCTGATGGACATTCAGAGTGTTTTCAGTCTCTTGCTCTTACAAACCATGCTACAGTGAACACTCTTATACGTGACCCATTGTGCACACATTTGCGAGTTTCTCTAGACTGCACAACGAGGAGGTATTGCACAAGTGTATACTTTCAAAACATCTCTAGCTATTGAGCATTTGCTCTCCAAGATGGTTGTACCAATTTACACCCTAGTAGAAGTGTAAGAAAACTTCTGTGGCTTCACATTCTCGCCAGCACTTGGTATTGCCAGGCTTTTTAATTTCTGACAATCTGCTTGATGTAAAATCTTATCTCATTGTGGTTTCAATTTGCATTTCTCTGACAAGTAGTAAAACTGAGTTACTTATTTATTTATTTATTCATTTATTTTGAGACAGTCTCGCTCTGTCGCCCAGGCTGGAATGCAGTGGCGCGATCTCGGCTCACTGCAAGCTCCGCCTCCCAGGCTCACGCCATTCTCCTGCCTCAGCCTCCCGAGTAGCTGGGACTACAGACGCCTGCCACCACGCCGAGCTAATTTTTTGTATTTTTAGTAGAGACGGGGTTTCACCGTGTTAGCCAGGATGGTCTCGATCTCCTGACCTTGTGATCCACCCGCCTCGGCCTCCCAAAGTGCTGGGATTACAGGTGTGAGCCACCGCACCCGGCCGAGCTTTTTAAAAATATGTTTTTACTACTGAAGTTTCTTCCGTGAATTGCCTATTCCTATTCTATGCCTACTGGATTGCTGGCATTTTCCTTTAAGTACTTGCTGATATAAGTACTTTGTAGGCTTGATATATTGCAAATATTGTTTCTCAGTTTATGGCTTGGCTGTTCACTGTGTTCATGGCATCTTTTCATTTTAAAGCAATCGACTTTGGCTGGGCGCGGTGGCTCATGCCTGTAATCCCAGCAATTTGGGAGGTCAAGGCAGGTGGATCACCCGAGGTCAGGAGTTTGAGACCAGCCTGGCCAACCTGGTGAAATCTGTCTCTACTAAAAATACAAAAATTAGCCAGGCGTGGTGGTGTGTGCCTGTAATCCCAGCTACCCAGGAGGCTGAGGCAGGAGGATCACTTGGAACCCAGGAGGCAGAGGCTGCAGTGAGCCGAGATTGTGCCACTGCACTCCAGCCTGGGCGACAGAGCAAGACTTTGTCTCAAAAAAATAAATAAATAAATAAACAAAAAATAATCAACTTTATGAATCTTTCCCTTTTTATTGCTTATTTTAAAATCTTTTTCCTTTTTTTTGAGGCGGTGTCTTGCTCTGTTGCCCAGGCTGGAGTGCAGTGGCACGATCTTGGCTCACTGTAACCTCTGCCTTTGGGGTTCAAGTGATTCTCCTACCTCAGCCTCCTAAGTAGCTGGGATTACAGGCGTCTATCACGATGCCCAGCTAATTTTTGTATTTTTAGTAGAGATGGTGTTTCACAATGTTGGCCAGGTTGGTCTCGAACTCCTGACCTCAAGTGATCTGCCTGCTTCGGCCTCCCAAAGTGCTGGGATTACAGGCTTGAGACACTGTGCCTGGCCTTAAAATCTTTATTAAGCTTTTCTCCTTTATTTTCTCTTAAAATGTTTAAAGTTTTTTTTTCCTTATTTAGGTTTCTAAATTATAAACTTTTCTGTATTGTGTGAGGTAGAAAATTCGATTCCTTTTGTATCATGGATAATGACTGTCCTAGCATTATTTATTGAAGAAACCATCCTTTCCTCATTGTTCATTTTAGCTCATCACCAAAGTCACTTATGAAATTAATTTGGGGCCAGGCACAGTGTTCACACCTGTAATTCCAATACTTTTGGAGGTCAAGGCAGGAGGATTGCTTGAGGCCAGGAGTTCGAGACTAGCCTCGAAAACAAAGTGAGACTCCCATCTCTACAAAAACTTTTCTAAAATTAGCCCAGCACAGTGATGTGTCTGCCATTGCATTATTTGGGAGGCTGAGGCAGGAGGATTGCTTGAGCCCAGGAGTTTTAGGCCGCAGTGAGCTTTGATGGCACCACTGCACTCAAGCCTGAGTGACAGATCTTTAAAAAAGAAAAAAATAATAACTTTGTAAGATTTGTCTTGCATAGCACTACCTGGCTCCTGAGGTTCCCTCAGTTAAGTCAGGTGTGTATACTGACTTCCACCTATGGGTTCATCCCTACTCACATGCTGAGCCTGTTTTGCTATCTGTTGTCTGAGAAATATTGGTCAGCATCAGGACCATTATTCCTAGTGTTTCCATACTCCATTCCTGCGTTCTGGCCATTTGTTTTTTCTTGGGGTCCAATCCTTGTTGTTTGCGCTCCTATTCTAGGTTCTGAGCTAGGATGGCCAACCATCCTGGTTTTCCCAGGACCAAACTACCTGGTTTCCCCAAATGCAAGACTTTATGTGCTAAAACTGTGACCATCCCTGGCAAACTTGGCCTGGATGGTTGGTCACTTTAGATGTATCCTGTGGTTTTTGCTTCCTCTTGTGTTGACCTCTTGACTGTCTAGTTTGGTGTTTTCTCTGTGCTCACAAATCATATTTACCTTGAACTTGTATTCGTTGAGTGCCTATGATGTCAGAGGCTGTATGAAGCATTTTCATATGTGGTATCTCATTCAACCGTTAGACAGCTCTGCATGATTTCCTTTTACAGATGAGGAGGATTTTATGTAGTTAGCCAGGATCACAAAATTAGTGACACAAAAGAATGAAACCCAAGCCTCCTGACTACACATTTTTTATTTCCACCAAACTTGTCATCTTTCCGGCCCGAGTTGCATACTTGGGGCCTCCACTCTGTACTAACTGAACTTCAGGGTGAACTCCATTATGCCTTGCCTAGCCTCTTGCTGTCCTTCATACATCTTTTTTTTTTTTTTTTTTTTTGAGACAAGGTCTGGTTCTATCTATCGCCCAGGCTGGAGTGCAATGGCACAATCTCAACTCACTGCAACCTCTGTCCCTCTCTATCCACCAGGCTCAAACTATCCTCCCACCTCAACCACCCAAGTTGCTGGAACTACAGGCACAAGCCACAATGCCCAGCTAATTTTTGTATTTTTTGTAGAGATGGGGTTTGCCATATTGCCCAGGCTGGTCTCAAACTCCTAGGCTCAAGTGATCCACCCCTCAGCCTCCCAAAGTGCTGAGATTTATAGGCGTGAGCCACCACACCCAGCCTATCCTTCACACATCTTTAACCTAATATGATAGTACTTGAAGTCAACATCTTCTATTGCAAAGCACAAATGACAAGCCCATTTGTTATGCAATGGTATAAATATCTCAAATGTTTCATTAGGATAAGCACTAAGAAGAAAGATAAACGTGAATATAATAGCATGGCACATCACACTGCCACATCAGATTGCATCCCTCCAGTTAATATGTCATGGCATAGGATGCGGAATCTTTGCATTTTAATGTATTCATTTCATCAATATTTCCTTTTTGGTAGTTTATTTAAGAAATCCTTCATTAAGTTATTCTCCTTCAATTTCTCCAAATACCTAATTTAATTAATTTGTAGATTATGAATACAAAATATTATTTGTAGAATATTAGTTTCCCAAATATTAACAGAAATTAGGTGTGTATGTGGGATGGGAGGTGGGCCAATTAGTTTGGGAAACAAATATCTTATTATAGAACTTCTCAGTCTCTGTTTTGCTAATTTGCAGTGTGACTTTCCTACAGAGAGATAGAGTGTGTGGCATTTTTCAAATGCTATGAATTTTCCAAATGACCATGACACCTTTTTCTTTTGTTGCATTGGTTTTGTTTCATAATTTCCCATGTGCCTTGGAATATCCACTGGGAAACGGTGTTTTCATCTCTAACAGCACAATACCCTCCAGAGGGCAGCAGATTCCCTTGGCATATAGCCAATCATCTATTCATTGAACAGATTGATGAGGGACCTGGAGCATGTTATATTATTATTCCAGTCAGGGATGTAAAATTTCTAGTTTCTGTAACAGAGAGAGGCATTAAAATTTAGCTCAAGGCTAATAAAAAAATAAATTATTGGCACTGAGATATAATACAAAAAAAAATCCAATCATATCTCTGATGGATTACAATGGCATGCATTGTATTGTAAAGTCCAGATCATGTCTCTATTTATCCTCTTAGTCTCAATCAAACAACAAATATTAGTTGAGTGTTCCATAAGGAATAAAATGAAATATTACCATTAGTTCATTTCTCAAGGAACTAAGAGATCAGAGAGACAGTTAGATAAGGCAACACATTAGTTCATTGGATTTCATTGGCTGCAAATCAGAATCACTGGGGGACACTTTTAAACAATAATAATGCTCAAATCTCACCTAAGAACATTAAATTTGAATCTTTGTGTTTGGTTCCAGGCATGAGATTTTTTTTTAAATTATACTTTTAAGTTCTAGGGTACATGTATACATGTGCCATGTTGGTGTGCTGCACCCATTAACTCGTCATTTACATTAGGTATTTCTCCTAATGCTATCCCTCTCCCCTCCCCCACCCCATGACAGGCCCTGGTGTGTGATGTTCCCCACTCTGTGTCCAAGTGTTCTCATTGTTCAATTCCCACCTATGAGTGAGAACATGCGGTGTTTGGTTTTCTGTCCTTGTGACAGTTTGCTGAGAATGATGGTTTCCAGCTTCATCCATGTCCCTACAAAGGACATGAACTCATCAATTTTTATGGCTGCATAGTATTCCATGGTGTATATGTGCCACATTTTCTTAATCCAGTCTATCATTGATGGACATTTGGGTTAGATCCAACTCTTTGCTATTGTGAATAGTGCTGCAATGAACATACGTGTGCATGTGTCTTTATAGCAGCATGATTTATAATCCTTTGGATATATACCCAGTAATTGGATGGCTGGGTCAAATGGTATTTCTAGTTCTAGATCTTTGAGGAATCACCACACTGTCTTCCACAATGGTCAGACTAGTTTACACTCCCACCAACAGTGTAAAAGTGTTCCTATTTCTTCACATCCTCTCCAGCACCTGTTGTTTCCTGACTTTTTAATGATCGCCATTCTAACTGGTGTGAGATGGTATCTCATTGTGGTTTTGATTTGCATTTCTCTGATGGCCAGTGATGAAGAGCATTTTTTCATGTGTCTGTTGGCTGCATAAATGTCTTCTTTTGAGAAGTGTCTGTTCATATCCTTCCAGGCATGAGATTTTAAAAACATGTTTTCAGGTGATTCTAACGAGTGGCCAGGGTTGAGACTATTGCATTAAGAGGATAAAAAAGTATTTTTGGAAAGAGGTTTCTGACCTTTTCAAGCAGGTGGAGGAATTTAGAATCCTTTTCCCAGGGAGAATGTTTCAAATGTAGAAGAGTACAAAAAAGACAATGGTCATTCTTACATCCTCTGTTCAAAGTTAACCTTTGTTAGCATCTTTATTCTTTCTTAGCTGTCAGAATTGCAAACAACAAAATCATACAAAACCCACATCTTATAGTTCCTAAAGTTAACCTTAAAAAACATTTCCTAGGAGAGCAAAAGACATCATTTTTTTCATCTCCAAAAATGCATTATAACTCACCCTAGTTAACAAATAGTCTGGCATATTCCAAATAGATCCACTGGGCCATAGACCTCATCTAACAAAGATGAATTCTGTTCATTTGCTCTGTGAATAGAGCTAAGAGGCTTATTTGTGCAAAGACTAACTGATGAGGTGGAAGAGAGAGCAAGACAGCAAGAAAATATTAGTGAATATATATCTTCCAATTGCAAAGAGATATGGAGCAAGAACCTGCCTAGATGGAAGGAATGAGAACTATAGGCTATAGTTATGGATGGGAGGTTTTCTTTACGCAAAATTAACTAGCTTATAGTGGGAAGTGAGTGGATGGAAACGTGTCTCATTAACATCATGTTCGAACTTACCATAAGCTCAGTGAGGGTCAATAACCTGATAGGATGGCTGTTTTTAGGGCATCATAGGACTGAAGAAGACTTCCTGACAACCGTTAAAAATCTTTGAACTAGAAGACAAACTTGAAAAAAAAATACAAGCAGAAATATGTCCTCTGACAGCTGATAGGTATTTTAAGCAATGGATCCGATCCATATTTTGCAAAAGGCTCTAGAAATTAAACTAAAAATGCTTCACTAGGTCTAATGAAGTATATCTTGAATGATCCAGAGGAAGATATTATTTTCATCCCCATTTAATAGATGAAGTATCTAAAATCAGAGAAACTGACTGATTTTCTCTAGACTACAAGCTAATAAGTAGACAACTGGGACTTGAAACCAGGCACACTGATTGTCTCCATAGTCTGTGTGCTTAACCACTGCATGGTACTGCCTCATAACTTACAGAAAAAAATTCGCATTGCATTACAGAAAACCTATATATTCACACATTACATTTATTACCCATTCTAAGGGACACACTATAATGTCTCTAAATTTGGGATACTACTAGTAATCAATGGTGTCTATAATTTTAGTTGATACATATATTAATACATACCTGATATCTATAATTATAATCAACAAACAATTGGTATATAGAACAATGGTGCATCTTTGAAATAGAGTAAAATAAATCTCATAGGCACTTGTACTTGTTCTTTCTCTAAGGGAAATGTTTGTGAATTCAGAAATCCTTTTCTTTTCTAGGAAAAGTGATGAATTAATTACAAATTTCTGCAAATGGAAGTTCATTCATTTATTTGGCCACCAAATATTTTTTGAGTTTGGAGATCAAAGCAGTAGAGTCTCAACTCTGAAGTCAGACAGACCTGGGTGGAATCCTGGCCATACCATTTTCAAGCTATGTAACCTCGAAGAAATTCTGTAATCTCTCTAAACCTCAATAAAATGAAAATGTTCACAGTGTCCTATAGGTTTATTGTGAGGATTTAATGCAATAACTCATTTAAGGGATAATACCTGTTCGGCATATTAAAAACGCCATCTATTAGTATCATTATTTAAAAACCTGTTAAACATCCCCATTTTGTTACAGTGTTCTAAGGTTTGTTAACAACCTTAGGACAATGAAATAAGGATAAAATTTTGCCCTCATAAAGCTTATATCCTCATAGGAAAAGACACAATTATTATTGTGTTCATATGGTGATCACCAGGCAAGTCACTTAAGAGTTTGAAGATAAATAAGATGCCTTATCTAATGGTTAAAATCTTACTAAAGAAAATCTCTTTGAAAGTAGCTTATATTTTTACAAGATAAAGCATTTCTATATATGGTCTAGTAAAAGATTTAAAGTAGGCAATCCAGAAAGATTTGTTGAATCAAATTGCACTGCATGTCTTCCTTTCTAATTTGCTATGAGTTAGGAACCACAAGCAGCCTTTTCCTAACAGTGTTAAAAAAAAGTTTTGTGCTGGGCGCAGTGGTTCATGGCTATAATCCCAGCACTTTGGGAGGCCGAGATGGGTGGATCACTTGAACTCAGGAGTTTGAGACCAGCCTGGACAACATAGTGAGACTCATCTCTAAAAAAAATACAAAAATTAGCTGGCCGTGGTGGTGTATGTCTGTAGTCTCAGCTACTCACGAGGCTGAGGTGGGAGTATCGCTTGAGCCCAGGTGTTGGAGGTTGCAGTGAGCCGAGACTGTACCACTGCACTCCAGCCTGGGCAACAGAGACAAACTCTGTCTCAAAAAAAAAAAAGTAAAGTAAGATAAAAATAAAAAATAGTTTTCCTTTAACAATCCTACTACAGAATCACAGGAAATTTTAAAATATCAAATATATAGCATCTACCTTCCAATTACACATTCAGATGTTTTCACTCATTGCCATATGTGTTATCATCACATATTAACTGTTATCTTTTATCACTATAATAATTGTCTTTTATTACCAACTATATGCTGAGATGCCAAAAAATAAAACTTACCATGTAAGGTGGATTAAACCCCAACGATCAATTCACAGTGACAGTTTACCTTACGCTAACAACCCTTTATGTAAGATGAGAACAAGAGACAGTGAAGTGGTTTAATGGCTCAGTTTCTGCAGATCAGTGAGAACTGGAAGAGTCATGCTGGTTGACTCTCACCCTATTGGCTAAACAGTGGCTGGGCCAGGGCAGGTTTTCTGGTCCTAATATAAGGCCATGATCCACCTATGAAATGCTCCTGGCTTCAGTTTCCTTATTTGAAAATTAAGCATGAAGTATCATTTCATGAACACATAAATAATATAGACTGGTTTCTGAATATTTGGAAAATACAGACAAACATAAAAGTAAAAGTAATGTATAATCTTATCACCCACAGACAACTATTATTAATATTTTGACATATTTCTCTTTAGAAAGAGGAAAAGAGAAAGGCAGGAAAATACACATATATACAAATTAGGAATGGGCTATAACCAGATGTACAGATGAAATCAGCAAGTAGAATACTTATTATTACTTTAAAAAATAAATTACAACAAGATATGAATGATTTTGAGGGAAATATAAATTACCATAACTGGATCAAGAATAAACAGCAGGAAACCTGAATATATCTATAATTATGAAAAAAAAACCCTGAAATCGTTTGCAGAAATTTTCTTCCATGAGGTAGGTATCATTGCAATTCCCCTTTTACAGAATGGGGAAACTTGAAAGGCTACATATCAAGTCACTGGCAGAGGCAGGACTTATCAGTCATTTCATGATCATAATCACCATTCTCTCTAAGTAGATCTGGCCTCCAACAAGAATAAGCTCATACGACAATAGGGAAGTCATTTAACAATCAGTAACCCAGGACCTACTCTGTGCTAGGTGCTCTTCTGGGTACAAAAAATGCAATGGTGGGCTGGGTGTGGTGGCTTATCCTTGTAATCCCAGCACTTTGGGAGGCCGAGGCAGGCGGATCACGAAGTCAGGAGTTCGAGACCAGCCTCACCAACATGGTGAAACCTCGTCTCCATTAAAAATACAAAAATTAGCCAGGCATAATGGCACTTGCCTATAATGCCAGCTACTCAGGAGGCTGAGGCAGGAGAATCGCTTGAACCCGGGAGGCGGAGGTTGCAGTGAACCGAGATCACACCACTGCACCCCAGCCTGGGTGACAGAGTGAGACCCTGTCTCAAAAAAAAATTTTTTTTAAACATATAAAAACATATAAAATTGTTACATGCAATTTTTGCAGATTTGCAGACCTTCTAAAAGCTCATGCCACCTGACGGGCGCGGTGGCTCACGCCTGTAATCCCAGCACTTTGGGAGGCTGAGGCAGGTGGATCACAAGGTCAGGAATTCAAGGCCAGCCTGGCCAAGATGGTGAAACCCGTCTCTATTAAAAATACAAAAATTAACCAGGTGTAGTGGTGGGCATCTGTAATCCCAGCTACTCGGGAGGCTGAGGCAGAGAATTGCTTGAACCCGGGAGGTGGAGGTTGCAGTGAGCCGAGATCACACCACTGCACTCCAGCCTGGGCGACAGAGCGAGACTCTGTCTCAAAAAAAAAAGAAAAGAAAAGAAAAGAAAAGAAATGCAGTGGTGAATAAGGTATAGTTCCTGTGTTCAAGGAGCTTCTAGTTGAGTCAAGACAAGACAAATAATTCTACAAACTATACAGCAACATGTGAATGGTTACAACAGGTAGAAACAAGTGTTGTCAGAACTCAGAGGAAGAAGTTATGCCATGGGTGACAGAGAAGAGTTCGTATTGAAGGTAGGATTTGGGCCAGCTCTCGAAGGGCAGGTGGGGAAGGGAGAGAAAGGTATTCCATGCAGAGGAAGCAGCATGTGTGAAAGCCACATGCCATAGATAATCTATACGTTCGTTGACTTCTTCACTACTTCTCTCTTTAAAAACAGTGCAAAGGGACATTATGCTGCATTTGACCAAAGGCAGTCATTCTTGGCAGCATCCTTTCGTTCTTCCATCATGACAAAACTGCTGTTAGGTCACATTAAAATAGTAGCAATCTTTGGCAGAAACCTACTGTATGCTTCCTTAATGAGTTGTCAGAGGTTCTGTAGTGCCATTTGTCTTCTAAGCTAGTTTTTTATGAAGGCTGTCAGTAAAGGGTAAAGATGGGGATATGCAATATATTCACCAGTCAGCAGGGGGTTGAGAATCTGTTCATTCAGAATCAGCAGGGGACTGTGGGAAAATGTCTATTCTTTAAGCATGCCTCTGAAGGACTACAATTCAAAAGAGGGGGTGAGGTTTGTAAGAGGCTAAGAAAGTCTTCCTCTAATGTAAACTTCCAGGAGTCTCTGCAGGCCCTCTCCTTATAGACAGGGAATGAAATAAAGCCTAGCAGACTTTCTACCATCAGAATGATCTTAATTTTGACAACTCAACAAAACTTAATTCAGAGATCAACAGATGAATCTGATACTATCCAGAAGGTCATGTGTATGGGTAATTAAGTTGACAGTCACAGATATCAAAATAATTCCCACTCAGGCTGCAACTTATGAATTTCACTGTCTTACTGAGGCTATGAACTATATGTAGCATTAAGAATTGAGGTGTTTGTTTTGTTTTGTTGTTTGTTTCTTCCTGAAGTTCTTACAGTTTGGGTTAGAAGAGCTAAGGAGTAAAGTTTGGAAGCAGACAGATCCTGGCTCTGTGACTTATTCTTTGTGAAACCTTGAGCAAGTTACTTAGGAATTCTAGCTAATAATACCTGTTTTACGGAGTGGCTGTAAGGATTAAATGAGATAATGAATGTAAAGCATTGGCACAGAAGTGCTCAATAAATGGCAATCATCATGATGAATATTACTTTTCTGTATATCCAAGAGCAGTCTAGACTTTCTCCAGAACAGAATATGTACCTATAGGGAGATGAAAACTTTTATTAAATATAAATAATTATGGATAAATGAATAATAAGTAAAATATTTTATACCAGCATATTTTATCTTCTGTACTATCCATAATAATCTAGCCTGCTTTCTATAATCAGGTCATCAGGCAGAAAGCGGAACCAGTTTTTGTTCATCTTCTTAATCTATCACACTTCTACTTGCTCTACTCTACTTTGAAATCAAGGTATAAGTATTAGCATGCTTGCAAAACCTCATTTTACAGTGTATGGTTTTAAAATAATTATATTGCACCATCTCACATCCTCAACATATGTGGGAAACTGCTGAAAGCTTTACCTACAAAAAGACTTCATTGTTACTTAAACTGAAAAGCTAGCCTGCCCTTTATTTTGACTATTTATATAAACTATTTGTATAATTGAAAGCATAGTCACGAATCAAAGGATATTCTTTATTTTAATCTTCATTCTTTCTAGTTATTAATTTAAACTATAAGAAAATAATACCATCTTGGCCAGGCGCAGTGGCTCACGCCTGTAATCCCAGCACTTTGGGAGGCCAAGATGGGTGGATCACTTGAGGTCAGGAGTTCGAGACCAACCTGGTCAACATGGTGAAACCCCGTCTCTACTAAAAATACAAAAATTAGCCAGGCATGGTGGTGGGTGCCTGTTATCCAGCTACTAGAGAGGCTGAGGCACGAGAATCACTGGAACCCAGGAGGCGGAGGTTGCAGTGAGCCGAGATCACACCACTGCACTCCAGCCTGGGTGACAGAGTAAGACTCTGTCAAAAAGAGAAAGAGAGAAAGAGAGGAAGGAAGGAAGGAAGGAAGGAAGGAAGGACGGAAGGAAGGAAGGAAGGAAGGAAGGAAGGAAGGAAGGAAATAATACTATCTTAAAGTTGGAAAGATCCCTAAGATTATCTCTCAATCCCTGAATTTGACTAATGCAAAACTAAGGCCTGGATAGGTCAAGGGACTTATGCAAATATCAATGGAACCAAGTTTAATATTTTAAAATTTTTGTCTTCTCTATTGCAGCAGCCATACCTAATATATCCTTATAATTGCTAGAAATAAATAATGGAAGTAATTTTGCATGGAATAAACCTGACTTTTTCTATCTTAATTGGTTGTCACATCTAAGGACAAATATCAGCTATTTGGAACATGGTGAATGACGTTATGAATAACATTAAGTGCCTCATTTCTTAAGATAATAATGGATCACATTATTCTATAATGCATGAAAAAATGTTCTCTAGTGCCTTGAAAGCTAAAGTACTACTCAGGATTCTTCATTTTGGGCATTGGATAGAATTGGATGCGGAATCATATCTGGCTTTGGGAAATCTCATGTTACCTTGCATGCAATTAATATATCTCTCAAATATTTGCCTATATTGTCTTGTTCACTGTAACTACAGCATATACTGGTACAACAAGATGAAAGAAAATAATAATTCTTAACAGAAGATACTCTTTCTGTATGAGAGTAACACAGAATTGCTATTTTTCTGCAAGTCAGTTGATGTCACTCTATAAAACATGCAGTAATTACGATAAACACTAAAATAAACTTCTTAACCTTATACTTCAGCAATTTTTTAGCCATACACATTCAGTCATGCATGTAAAGCTGTCATTTCCAATCTAGACTATTTCTGATTAGTCTTAGCTCTTCTGCAGCAATGCCAATCAAAGTAATTATGTTATCACTGTTCTGGCAATTAAATGCTCTATTTGTTTACTACTGAAAGCACAATTGATCTGGTACATAGTTAAGTTACAAATAGTTCTGTGTCTGATATTAATGAATGCCCATAATGCATTTTTCCCAAGTTATTTCTTCAAAGTTAAAATGGCACAACTTACAATAGAAATTCTTCCCCTTGAAATCAATGGTTCTCAACTGTGGATGACTTCGCCTCCCAGGGGACATTTGGCAATGTCCAGAGACATTTTTGATTTTCAGGATGGGGTGGGGGTGGGAGAAGGTGGAGATGCTATTGGCGTCTAAGGAGTAGAGGCCAAGGATGCTGCTAAACACCCTACAGTGCACAGGACAGACCCTACCACCACTCCAACAAGAAGAATTATTCAGTCCAAAATGTCAATAGTTAAAAAGTTCTGGAGGCAGATGGTGGTGATGGTTGCACAATAATGTCACTAATTAATGTTACTGAACTGTATACTTAAAATGATTAAAATGGTAAGTTTATATTATGTATATTTTTACCACAATAAAAAAATCAATAGTGCTGAGATTGTGAGCTTTAAACCATTGAGAGTTCTTGTGTAATGAAAGTATTTCAGTACTGCTAGGGAAACCAAAATGTACTCTGTACCTGGTAAAATGCCATTCATAAAGCAAACAACTTTACTTTTTTCTTGTAAATCACATTTTGTTTTCCTTGACTGGCTTCCAAATTTCTTTCAGGCACTAGTCAATGATCCTAAACAATAGTTTCCTTCCCTGAATGCATACATAAATGAAAACAAAAACTATAATTAGGGTCTTTTTTCTTTGGCTGAAGCTAGTTTGACTTAGGTTTCTGTTATATACAACCAAAACTCTTGACAAGTAGAAGCAGCAGCAAAGAAATGTGGACAAACAAATTTTGTTTCACAGAAAATAAGAAAACTTAAAACTCACATGGGTTGCAACGGAAAGGAAAGAACAAAACAGTAAGAAGCAATGTGCTCCTAATAACACTGAAGAGGGCAGGAAAGACATTGTATTAGTCAGGGTTCTCTAAAAGGACAGAACTAATAGGATAGATGTATATTTAAAGGGGAGTTTATTAAGGAGTATGAACTCACACAATCACAAGGTGAGGTCCCACAATAGGCCGTCTGCAAGCTGAGGAGCAAGGAAGCCAGTCCGAGTCCCAAAGCTGAAGACAATGTTTGAGGGCAGGAAGCATCCAGCATGGGAGAAAGATGCAGGCTGGAGGACTAAGCTAGATCTAGTCTTTCCATGTTTCTCTGGCTGCACTGGCTGCTGATAGATGGAGCCCACCCAGATTGAGGGTGGGTCTGCCTTTCCCAGTCCAATAACTCAAAAGTTAATCTCCTTTGGCAACACCCTCACAGACACACCCAGGAACAATAGTTTGCATCCTTCAATCCAATCAAGTTGACACTCGATATTAACCATCACAGATGTATTTACTTTTTCTGGTTCTAGTCACAAAGAAAGATGCAAGTGCACACTCAACAATGCTCCACAAATAAGATCTATCTAGTGCTACCTCATCCTAGGCTTCTTCAGATCCACCATCTCCCTACTTTACAATAATCCTACTTGTGTCCACAGTTAGAGCCAGCAATAATTAGTCACTTCACTGAAGTAGTTTAACTTTCTGTTTTTGTCAGTAGCTTTTCATCCTCAGTTTAGTCAATGGTAATTAAAATACTTCCACTGGAACCACACATATGATTAATAACTCTTACTGAAGCTGAATTAGAGCACATCATCCAACCACCACCCTTCAAAAGTTTGGATATTAATACAAAAGAAAATGAAGCTCTAAAATTGGAATGCAATGATTAAAATCAACGGTTCCTTCTCACTTATAGCCACATCATAAAAATAAGTATTTTGCACAACTTTTACTAAAATTACCTTTTCTTAGTTCTGCAATGACAAATTGAAAAAAAAAGGAGGTTGTCAATCTGTCAAAACAAGAGTTTTTAGTCATCTGTGTAGAAAAATCCTTGTCACAACACTGTAAGAATTTTAATACACAAAAGAGATAGGGAGAAGAATATATAGTAAAATATTTTAATGACATCAGGTATAGAAAAATTTAAAGAAAACAAAAAGTAGAAACTATAAAAGAAAATTAAGGCATCAAAAACATTAAAATTAAAACTTTCTGTATGGCAGAGACCCTACTGCCTTAGTCTGGGACAGTGTTTCTCAGAAGCACACAGGTAGCACCTGAGGAGCTTTGAAAAGTACTGATCCTAGGTTACACCTCCCCAAATTCTGGTTTTAATTGGTTGAAGGTACAGCCAAGGTACCTAGAGTTTTAAAAGCTCCCCAAGTGAGTCCAATGTACAGCCAATGTTGAGAACCATTAGTCTAGGAAAAGAAAGTTATAATAATCTACAAGGTATTTTTATCCAGAATTATAAAGTCTTATAGGTCAATGAGAAAAATTCAAAGAACCCAATATAAAAATGAGCAATATTTGAATAGGCAATCAACTGAAGAGAAAACTCAGACCGATAAACAAACACAACAATACTCAATTTTCTAGTAGTCAGGAAAATAAAAAAATCCAAATTACAACAAGATACCAATTCACACTAAGCAGATTGGCAAAATTAAAACATTTGTAAGTACCAAGGACTGGTAAGGGTATCAAACAACAAGAACTCTCAAAGGTGCTGGTGGGAGTATAAACTGGTACAACCCTATGACAGTTAATTTTTTTTTTGAGATGGAGTCTCGCTCTGTCACCCAGGCTGGAGTGCAGTGGCATGATATCGGTTCACTGCAACCCCCGCCTCCCAGGTTCAAGTGATTCTCCTGCCTCAACCTCCCGAGAAGCTGGGATTATAGGTGCCCACCACTACACCTGGCTAATTTTTGGAATTTTGGTAGAGATGAGTTTTTGCCATGTCAGCAAGGCTGGTCTCAAACTCCTGACCTCAAGAGATCCACTCGCCTCAGCCTCCCAAAATGCTGGGATTACAGGCATGAGCCATTGTGCCAGCCATTATAGGTAATTTTATGTGTCGGCTTCGTTAGGCTGAGGTGCCCAGTTGTTTGGTCAAATATGAGTCTAAATGTTATTGCAAATGTATTTTTTTAGATGTGATTAACATTTAAATCAATAGATATTGAGTAAAGTCAATTACCCTCCATAATGTGGGTGGGCCTCTTCCAATCAGTTGAAGGGCTTAGGAGAAAAGACTCAATAAAGAATAATTTTGCCTCAAGACTCCAACATCAAAGCTCTGCCTGAGTTTCCCATTTGCTGGACCGCCCTGCAGGTTTCAAACTCAAGACTACAACAACAACTCTTACCTGAATCTCCAGCCTGCTGGCCCACCCCACCATGCCCACAATCATGTTAGCCAATTCTATAAAATAAATCTATATCTGATTTACATCTATATACATATCCATACCCATATCTCTATATCTCTATCCTCTTGATTCTGTTTCTCTGGAGAACCCCAATTAATATAAACTAACTTTAAAGAACAATTCAGCAATATCTAGAAAAGTTGAAGATGGGTATAGTCAATTTCAACTCCAGGTATATAGCCTGTAGTCCTCAAAGAGACAGGTGAGAAATGGGATGTAGATGTGGGACTTCTATATCTTTTTTAAAAGTTGAGGGTAAGGGGGCAAAGCAAATACGGCAAAATGTTACAGCGTTTTAAATCAGGGATGGAGTATGTTTTACATTGTCATACTATTTTTGGCATTTTTGTGCAGTTTGAAATACTCCATAATTTAAATGAAAGCAATCAAGCAACTTGTGTTAAACATGGTGGTGATGGAAGTGGCCCCAACCAGTAAGCCAAACCCTAAATAAGGTCGAAGTGACGGAGAGCAGACCCAGCAGAGGGCAGGGATGGGATAGGAATGGATTTCAGGGGAAAGCGAGTAGCACTCAAGAGAGCCCCAAGACTTCTCAAAGTCTCTTCATAAACAAAAATTTCCTTTGACTTCTAAGATAGTTAGCTCATCATTAACTGCCCAGGGAAAGAATAGAAATCTGGCAGATGACATGATACCCTGAGGACATCACCGATAACACTAACCTTCATGACTCGGTTAAGGCAATGGCTTCCAGGTTTCTCCACTGTCAAGTTACTGTCTTCCTCTTTTCCTGGGGAAAAAGATCATATTTAAAAATAATTTATTGAAAATAATTAAATAAATGAACTTGCTATCCAATCAGAAGAACACTTGGATGAGTATTGCCTTACAGTGGGTTTTATCAGAAGTTGAAAGAAGATGGCACCCAGCAAGAAAAACTATACAAGGAATGGAGTGGGATGAAGGTAGAAAAAAAATAAGCAAACGATGTTGCCCATTTTCCTTCTGTTCATTGCTTTTCTACTCCCCCTTCCTTTCTTGGTCTTGAAAGTCTTTTTTTCTTCCTTTTGTTAACTGGCTCCTGCTAGGTCCAAGTATAAAGGAACCATGTCTCTATTTGTTAATCATTGTATTCCCAGAGCTTATAGTAGCCAGTGATAAATGGGTACTTACTGAAGAATGGAAAAGAAAGAGGAGAGAAGCGATAGAAATAGAAAGAAGAAACAGTAAGATAAAAGATGGGAGAAAGGAAGGAGCTTACTGATCATACCAGGTTATTAATATATTCCTTAACATTTATTTTATTTATGTTCCATGAACTCAATAATATTAAGCTATATTGATTTAGGATAGTTTCTCTAAGTTTTTTTTTCTAAAATTAGATTGTTTTCTTACTTGATGTTACCCTATATTTATATTTTTTTCTATTGAGCATTGCCCTGAATAAATAGAAGGTTTACTGTCAATTTCAACCTAAAGCAATTAATTTTGAATGGTAAATTTTCTAGCTTTCTAGGAAATGAATGGAAGATACCATTTCTGGTAAGCAAAACTTTTGGCTACCCTCAAAATGTGTATTATTTTATATTAGATCACGATATTCTTCTTTGTCCCTATGTTGGCCCCTTCTCTGGTGATGAACCAGTAGGAAAATTATCAAAATAAAAACCATAAAAACCATGTTAATATATTTACTGAATCATAAGACCTCCAGATTGAAAGAAACCTTCAGAATCTTTTTACCCATCAGACACTTGCATCACCTCTACATCCCAATAAGTGTTTTCTCCTTAAAATGGTCAAGGGAATATATATATATATTCCTCTATATATATACTGTTCATATTTATCAAGGATATATTCCTCTCTAAGTAGGACCTGGCCTGACCAAAATACTTCAAAGGTAATCTGACTGGTACACAATCTAGTAGGATTACCAATCCCTTTTTTTACTTATTCATTAAAAATAGAATTATTGCATATGATGTACATGGCATTTGTTTAGGCACTGGATATCCAGCAGTGAATTAAAAAGCCAATTCTTTCATACATATCAAGGAAGAGAAATGGAGGAATATATATATATATATATATATATATATACACACACACACACACACACACACACACACACACACATATACATATATACATACATATGTATGTGTGTGTATATATATATAGAGAGAGAGAGAGGAAGCCTATTCAATTCTTATGCACCTCTAAATGCGAACAAGCTCTTTCTTAGGCTGAGCAAAAGTCAACAATTTCCATCCTTTGGCACAGGTTATAAGCCCAAATATTTTTCATATGAAAGGCTTTTTAATGTTTTAAGAGAGTTGAATATTTTAAGATAGACAAGCTTTCCTATCCCTAACTCCCTTCTCTTTTCCAAACCAAACAATTAGAGTTTCTTCAATCATTCTGCCCAGGACACACTTAAAGACCACTTGTCAGTGTGTCAATATTCCTCTCCAGGTAGGGCCTGGCCTGACCGGAATACTTCAAAGGTGATCTGACTGGTACATAATCTAGCAGGACTACCAATCCCTTTGTTTTACTTATTCATTAAAAACAGAATTATTGTTTATGATGTACATGGCATTTGCTTAGGCACTGGATATTCAGCAATGAATTAAAAAGCCAATTCCTGACCTGGTAGACCTAACAGTTTAGTGAAGGCAAACAGATAATAATTAAAATAAATAATAAATTGGCCAGGTGCTGTGGCTCATGCCTGTAATCCCAGCACTTTGGAAGTCCAAGGTGGGTGGATCACCTGAGGTCAGGAATTTGAGAATGGCCTGGTCAACATGGTGAAACCCCATCTGTACTAAAAATACAAAAAATATTAGCCAGGTGTGGTGGTGCACACCTGTAATCCCAGCTACTCCAGAGGCTGAGGCAGGAGAATTGCTTGAACCCTGGAGGTGGAGGTTGCAGTGAGGCGAGATGGTGCCACTGCACTCCAGCCTGGGTGACAGAGAGACTCCGTCTCAAAAAATAATAATTATTATAATAAATAAATATATTATAGGATACATGAATAGGAAATAAGCTTTACAGAAAAAATGCAGCAAGGAGGCTCTAGTTTGGGGAAGGAGGATGCTGAATGACTTGTGATAGCCTCTCGAGATGCATTCTTTGTCCTTCTCTGCCTTGCTCTGTCACAGGAGGTTAATCTATGGACTCTATCAGTGGAATCCCTTGCCCTCTGACTTCCAGCCCTTTAATTTGGGAATACCTTAAAAGCCTTAATTAAACATATCCTATGATCAAACAATCTTATTTTTAAGACTTTACCCTAAGAACACAATCAAAGAGGTACACACAAATAAATACTGATAAGGATGTTCACGGCGCCATTACAATTACAAAAAAGTCATAACCAGGTTGAGCGTCCAACAATGGGTTAAATAAATGATGGTAGAACATGAGATGCAATATCATGCAGCTATTAAAAATCTTGTTGTAAAATAATATATATTGACATGTGAAAATGTTCATGATATATTGCTAAGTGAGAAGAAGAGTAAAGAGTGGCAATGATGAGTATCAGGTGATATAACTAGAACTCGCAGGCTTTTGTTTCTATTGCAACTATACATTTTGATGATATCAAGGATGCCTTTTAAAAGTCAGAAAATATTCTTTGCAAATTCCTAATGATTTCTTCTGCATTCTATTTTTCTGGGATTTTTAAATTTTTTACTTTAAGTTCTGGGATACATGTGCAGTGCATTCTTGTTTACACAAGTAACTTTCTTAGCAAGATTTTCTTTTCAGAGAACAATGATAAATTCAGCTCTAATGGAATTCCCATAAAGTCCAAATTAGTCAAGTTTATATGAATGCAGATTTATTATAATCCAGAATGAAATGATTAAGAACAGAATATCCTCTTTTCCCCACAAATGGACCACAAATATATCAAATTATCTATGAAAACATGATCTTCTTTGATCTCATACAAATTCCTATTATTTGTCATGGAGTAAGGCCTTACTCAGTATTTGCTCATGTATTATTTAATTAAAATGACTCATGAAACAAGTGTGTCATTATGCTGGCTTGCCTATTGTCCATATTCACATACTTGAGTGTATCCTTATTCTTGCCTGGAAAAGGCATATGCTGCCTTGGGCATCATTCCAGTTAATCTCTTCAAACGATTTATGAATGAGCATTCGTGAATGTAATTAAGTAGCAAACAGACTTTGAACAGCAGTAGGGAAACAATCTTGAATTCTTCACTCTGAAACTACTTCAAACGTTATGTCCAAATAAAAAGAGGATCTTCACTACCTATTTCATCCCGTCTGCTCAGGGAAGGCTAAATATCTGTCCTGTTCCTATTTGGATAGGTGAAGATACTTGGTTTAAAATCCACATTCTATACATTTCCTCTCCCCATCTCATCTCACTTTCATCTTCTTGCCCAGCAGGAGAGAGTTAACTCAGCCAGAAATGTGGGTAAATACTGGAAACTTACTCAGATGCAGAAGGGACTGTGGCTCAAGATGTTATAATGTCCAGAAAGCAGGGAATGTGTTGGCTTGAGTTAATGCCAGCTTCCTTGTTTACTGGTGAAGTGTGCTTAAAAGATAAGTCTTTGGAGTGTAAGTGTGTGCAACCTGAGAATGAAAGAGAGAGAGCAGAGAGGGAGGAGATGGAGAGGAGAGGGAGGAGAGAGGGAAAGAGGGAGAGAGGGAGGAGAGAGGGAAAGAGGGAGAGAGGGAGGAGAGAGGGAAAGAGGGAGAGAGGGAGGAGACGGGGAGAGAGGGAGGAGAGAGAGGGGGAGGGTGGAGAGAGGGAGGAGAGAGAGAAAGAGGGAGAGAAGGGTGAGGGAGGGAGAGAGGGATGAGGGAGGGAGAGAGGGAGGAGAGAGGGAAAGAGGGATAGATGCAGGAGAGAGAGAGGGAGAGAGGGAGGAGAGAGACAAGGAGAGAGGGAAAGAGGAAGAAACGGAGAGGGAGAGAGGGAGGAGGGAGAGAGGGAGAGAGGGAGGAGAGAGGGAGGAGAGAGGGTGGAGAGAGGGAGGAGAGAGAGAAAGAGGGAGAGAGGGATGAGAGCAGGAGAGAGAAACGAGAGAGGGAAAGATGGAGAGAGGGAGGAGAGGGAGAGAGGGCGGAGAGGGAGAGAGGGCGGAGAGGGAGGAGAGAAGGTGGAGAGAGGGAGGAGAGAGAGAGGGATGAGAGAGGGAGGGAAGAGAGATGGAGAGAGGGAGGGAGGAGAGAGGGAGGGAGGAGAAAGGGAGAGATGTGAGAGGGAGGAGAGAGGGAGAGAGGGAGAGAGAGATGAGGGAGGAGAGAGGGAGAGAGGGAGAGGTTCAGTGGCTCAGGCTTGTAATCCCAGCACTTTGGGAGGTTGAGGCAAGAGGATTCCTTAAGCCAAGGAGTTCAAGACCAGCCTAGGCAATGTAATGAGACCCTGTCTTAATAAAACATTTTAAAATGTGTGTGATGGGTGTAGTTCCAGCTACTTGGGAGACTGAGATGGGAGGATCACTTGCGCCCGGGAGCTTGAGGCTGCAGTAAGCTGTGATCACACCCCTGCTCTCTAGCCTGTGCGACAGAGTGGGACACTGTCTTAAAACAAAGGGCGGCGGTGAGGGGGGAGGAGGTTTGAGGAAAAGACCATATGATACATTATGGTCAACTTTTGCAAGATTCTGAAATTCTGCTGGATGATTTTGATTATAACAGAATGATTAATATTAATTGTGTATATAGCCCTGTTAGCGGTGGAGAATCCATATCCATCTGGGTCTGCAGCAACCTCAATTCTTGCCTCCTCAGAAGAAACAATTTGACTGAGGGGCAGAAGGAGAGACCAAGACAAGTTTTAGAGCAGGCGTGAAAGTTTATTCAAAAGCTTTAGAGCAGGAAGGAAAGGAAGGAAAGTACACTTGAAAGAGGGCCAAGCGGGCGATTTGAAAGACCAGCACGGTTTGAACTTTTGACTTGGGGTTTTATACCTTGGCAGGCTTCCGAGGTCTTGCGTTGCTTCTCCTGCTCATCCAACGCTGAGATCTGATCCGGAAGCTGCTGATCACCAGTTTCAGCTGTTTTCTATCTGGTACGAGACTGTCTTTCCCTAGTGCCAGCTGTGACCAATTATTACTGTAGAGAAACAGTTAACAACCGCCTGACCTCACAGGATGGCCTCCCGACACACCTGGTGTGTGAGTAGTGGGGGAGCCCTCTCCTTCCCTGCTCACACCTGACTATAGCACAAGATATTGTTTAGATTATTATTATTCTAATATTACCAATGCTAACTTTAAAAATGAATACATTTCCACCACCTCTTAAAGGAAAGATTCACTGGCTAATCTCCTCAGATAAATATATTCTTTTTTTTTTTTTTTTTTTTTTTTTGAGATGGAGTCTTGCTCTATCACCCAGGCTGGAGTGCAGTGGCACGATCATGGCTCACTGCAAACTCTGCCTCCTGGGTTCAAGCCATTCTCCTGCCTCAGCCTCCCCAGTAGCTGGGATTATAGGCATGCATCACCATGCCCAGCTAATTTTTGTATTTTTAGTAGAGATGGGGTTTCACCATGTTGGCCAGGCTGGTCTCAAACTCCTGACCTCGTTATCCGCCTGCCTCGGCCTCCCAAAGTGTTGGGATTACAGGTGTGAGCCACTGCACCTGGCCAGATGAATATATTCTTGAATGAACATTTACATGTTTAAATTAGTGTGTATGCAAGTGACTTCAGGGTCATGGTGACCATATTCTGTAAATCCATCGTATGGAACATAATTGTGAACGAATAGTTATGGGCATAAGCATTCATAAATGTTAAAGACCTAACGCTAACTGAGTTAAAAAATAATCTCTCTATTATCAAGGGCACACTTTCTAATGGCAAAATTTTTTAAAATGAAAAACCCGGGAAATTATAAAGAAAATTTAACCATCCCAAATCCCATAACCTAAACATAACAACTAATAACATTTTGGTGTTTATTTTTAGTCTGTTTTTCTAGACACATATATTCAAATGTCCATATTTTGACATTATTAATATTTATTTACATATTTTGATGTCTTATATTTTCCCATGTCATTAGAATCTTTGTAAATATTATTTTAAATTATGGCATTACTTTTTTTTTTTTTTTTTGAGGTGGAGTTTCGCTCTTGTTGCCCAGGCTGGAGTAAAATTGTGTGATCTAGGCTCACTGCAACCTCTGCCTCTCAGGTTCAAGAGATTCTCCTGCCTCAGCCTCCTGAGTAGCTGGGATTACAGGTGCCCACCACCATGCCCAGCTAATTTTTTTGTACTTTTAGTAGAGACAGGGTTTCATCATGTTGGCCAGGCTAGTCTTGAACTCCTGGCCACAGGTGATCCACTCACCTCAGCCTCCCAAAGTGCTGGGATTACAGGTGTGAGCCATGGTGCCCAGCCTGTATTAAATTTTATCATATGAAAATATTGTTGCCAATTGAAGTATTATTTAGCCACTTCACTAGTATTGACCATGAACGTCTTTATACATGTCCACAGTTTTTTTTTTTTTTTTTTTTTTTTTTTTATTTTTTATTTTTTATTTTTATTGATCATTCTTGGGTGTTTCTCGCAGAGGGGGATTTGGCAGGGTCATAGGACAATAGTGGAGGGAAGGTCAGCAGATAAACAAGTGAACAAAGGTCTCTGGTTTTCCTAGGCAGAGGACCCTGCGGCCTTCCGCAGTGTTTGTGTCCCTGGGTACTTAAGATTAGGGAGTGGTGATGACTCTTAACGAGCATGCTGCCTTCAAGCATCTGTTTAACAAAGCACATCTTGCACCGCCCTTAATCCATTTAACCCTGAGTGGACACAGCACATGTTTCAGAGAGCACAGGGTTGGGGATAAGGTCACAGATCAACAGGATCCCAAGGCAGAAGAATTTTTCTTAGTACAGAACAAAATGAAAAGTCTCCCATGTCTACTTCTATCCACACAGACCCCGCAACCATCCGATTTCTCAATTTTTTCCCCACCCTTCCCGCCTTTCTATTCCACAAAACCGCCATTGTCATCATGGCCCATCCCCAATGAGCCGCTGGGCACACCTCCCAGACGGGGTCGTGGCCGGGCAGAGGGGCTCCTCACTTCCCAGTAGGGGCGGCCCGGCAGAAGTGCCCCTCACCTCCCAGATGGGGCGGCTGGCCGGGAGGGGGGCTGACCCCCCCACCGCCCTCCCGGACGGGGCGGCTGGCCAGGCAGAGGGGCTCCTCACTTCCCAGTAGGGGCGGCCGGGCAGAGGCGCCCCTCACCTCCTGGATAGGGCGGCTGGCCGGGCGGGGGGCTGTTCCCCCCACCTCCCTCCCGGACGGGGCGGCTGGCCGGGCAGAGGGGTCCTCACTTCCCAGTAGGGGCGGCCGGGCCGAGGCGCCCCTCACCTCCCGGACGGGGCGGCTGGCCAGGCAGGGGGCTGATCCCCCCACCTCCCTCCCGGACGGGGCGGCTGGCCGGGCGGGGGGCTGACCCCCCCCACCTCCCTCCCGGACGGGGCGGCTGGCCGGGCAGAGGGGTCCTCACTTCCCAGTAGGGGCGGCCGGGCAGAGGCGCCCCTCACCTCCCGGACGGGGCGGCTGGCCAGGCAGGGGGCTGATCCCCCCACCTCCCTCCCGGACGGGGCGGCTGGCCGGGCGGGGGGCTGACCCCCCCCACCTCCCTCCCGGACGGGGCGGCTGGCCGGGCAGGGGGCTGACCCCCCCCCCCCTCCCGGACGGGGCGGCTGGCCGGGCGGGGGGCTGACCCCCCCACCTCCCTCCCGGATGGGGCGGCTGGCCAGGCGGGGGGCTGACCCCCCGACCTCCCTCCTGGGCGGGGCGGCTGGCCGGGCAGAGGGGCTCCTCACTTCCCAGTAGGGGCGGCCGGGCAGAGGCGCCCCTCACCTCCCGGACGGGGCGGCTGGCCAGGCGGGGGGCTGACCCCCCACCTCCCTCCCGGACTGGGCGGCTGGCCGGGCGGGGGGTTGACCCCCCCACCTCCCTCCTGGACGGGGCGACTGGCCGGGCAGAGGGGCTCCTCACTTCCCAGTAGGGGCGGCCGGGCAGAGGAGCCCCTCACCTCCCGGCCGGGGCGGCTGGCCGACCCCCCCCCCCCCGCCTCCCTCCCGGACGGGGCGGCTGGCCGGGCAGAGGGGCTCCTCACTTCCCAGTAGGGGCGGCCGGGCAGAGGAGCCCCTCACCTCCCGGACGGGGCGGCTGGCCGGGCGGGGGGCTGACCCCCCCCACCTCCCTCCCGGACGGGGTGGCTGCCGGGCGGAGACGCTCCTCACTTCCCAGACGGGGTGGTTGCCAGACGGAGGGGCTCCTCACTTCTCAGACGGGGCGGTTGCCAGGCAGAGGGTTTCCTCACTTCTCAGACGGAGCGGCCGGGCAGAGACACTCCTCACCTCCCAGACAGGGTTGCGGCCCAGCAGAGGCGCTCCTCACATCCCAGACAGGGCGGTGGGGCAGAGGTGCTCCCCACATCTCAGACGATGGGCGGCCGGGCAGAGACGCTCCTCACTTCCTAGATGGGATGGCGGCGGGGAAGAGGCGCTTCTCGCTTCCTAGATGGGATGGCGGCCGGGCAGAGACGCTCCTCACTTTCCACACTGGGCAGCCAGGCAGAGGGGCTCCTCATATCCCAGACGATGGGTGGCCAAGCAGAGACGCTCCTCACTTCCCAGACGGGGTGGCGGCCGGGCAGAGGCTGCAATCTCGGCTCTTTGGGAGGCCAAGGCAGGCGGCTGGGAGGTGGTTGTAGCGAGCCGAGATCACGCCACTGCACTCCAGCCTGGGCACCATTGAGCACTGAGTGAACGAGACTCCATCTGCAATCCCGGCACCTCGGGAGGCCGAGGCTGGCGGATCACTCGCGGTTAGGAGCTGGAGACCAGCCCGGCCAACACAGCGAAACCCCATCTCCACCAAAAAAAAACGAAAACCAGTCAGGCGTGGCGGCGCGCGCCTGCAATCGCAGGCACTCGGCAGGCTGAGGCAGGAGAATCAGGCAGGGAGGTTGCAGTGAGCCGAGATGGCAGCAGTACCGTCCAGCTTTGGCTCGGCATGAGAGGGAGAGGGAGACGGGAAAGGGAGAGGGAGACGGGAGAGGGAGAGGGAGACGGGAGAGGGAGAGGGAGACGGGAGAGGGAGAGGGAGACGGGAGAGGGAGAGGGAGACGGGAGAGGGAGAGGGAGACGGGAGAGGGAGAGGGAGACGGGAGAGGGAGAGGGAGACGGGAGAGGGAGAGGGAGACGGGAGAGCTGATCCACAGTTTTAAAATAGAAGAAACTGGCCAGATGCGGTGACTTGTGCCTGCAATCCCAGCACTTTGGGACTCTGAGGCAAGCAGATCACGTGAGCCTAGTAGTCCGGGACCAACCTGGCCAACATGGCAAAACTCCGTCTCTACAAAAAATACAAAAATTAGCTGGGTGTGGTGGCTGTGCCTGTAGTTTCAGTTACTTGGAACGCTGAGGTAGAAGGATCACCTGAGCCTGGGAGTTTGAGGCTGGAGTGAGCCGTGATAGTGCACTGCAATCCAGCCTGGGTGACAGAGTGAGGCTCTGTCTCAAAATAAAATAAAATATTGCTTCTTGGCTTTTTGGCTAAGATCAAGTGTAAAATAAAATAAAATACTAGAAGAAATGAAGATATAGGGAGGCTAAATACCTTGTACAAGATGGTAAAGCGTGAACTCGTTTGTTTGGAAGCTATTTTTCAATATATAGAATAACAGATGCTAAAGATAAAAGAAGTCACCAAGTTCAACCTTTGTATTTTTTTCAGTTGAGGAAACTGAGACCCAATGAGGTAAAGGTGACCTGTTCAAGGACTCAAAGAGTCTAATGACTGAATGAATACTAGAGCCCCAGTCCCTTGGGTGCTATTTTACATATTTTTCTTCAAAGTGTAAATCACTACCTAATATTATTTTTGTTATTCATTGACTTATGTATCAACACTCCCTTGCACAGACCCTCAGCTCCTTAGTCTCTAGCGCCAGAGTTGTCTATACTTACCTTCTTCACTTCTCCCTATGTTTCCACCTAAATCCATGTCAATCAAGCTTTCAATCCTACTACCTCACTGGGTGCTCTTGTAAAGATCATCAGTGACCCCCACATGGCCTACTCTAGTGGACAGAATGAGTTTTCATCTGTCTTGATTTTTTTTTTTTTTTTGAGTCAGGGTCTCGTTCTGTCTCCCAGGCTGGAGTGCAGTGGCATGGTCTTGGCTCACTGCAACCTCCGCTTCCCAGGCAATTCTCGCACCTCAGCCTCCCAAGTAGCTAGGATTACAGGCGTGTGCCACCACGCCCAGCTAATTTTTGTATTTTTAGTAGAGATGGTTTCGCCATGTTTCCCAGGCTGGTCTTGAAATCCTGACCTCAAGTGATCCGCCCACCTTGGCCTCCCAAAGCACTGGTTAACAGCAGCCTTTGATGCAATGGATCACTTTCTCTTCTTACAGTACTGTCTTCACTTGGTTTCTAGTACACTACTCTCTTGGTTTCTTCCTAACTGTTGGGTCCACTTACTACACCTCTAAACATGGAAGTATTTCCAGGTTCAATCCTTGACTATCTTTTTAAATTAGTAATCATCAGCCCCATCAGACCCAATGCCTATCTTCTACAAGAAGTATTTTTTCAATACAAAAATTAGCCAGGCGTGGTAGCATACACCTGTAGTCCCAGCTACTAGGGAGACTGAGGCAGGAGAATTGCTTGAACTGGGGAGGCGGAGGTTGCAGTGAGCCAAGATCATGCCATTGCACTCCAGCCTGGGCAACAAAGCAAGACTCTGTCTCAAAAAAAAGTATTTTTTTTCATGCTGCCTTTAAAGGGGCTTGCCATCTACAGTTACACAGGTGGTAGATGGGGGGCAAATTCTAGGTGCACTTTGTTGCCTAGTCATGCACCCTGACAGGGGGCTACATCAACCCCAAAGAAGGGGTGCCTTTTCCTAATTCCTCCACTCAGAGGGGGCCTCTTATTTGTACAGAGGCACCTTATATGCTAGCAGCAGTTCTGTTCTGTACTATCAAGTGAAATTCATACAGAATACAACCTACGTACACATGTAATTTTAAAATAAATATAATGCCTAAACTGTAGCATCAAGCAGAGATAAATGTAAAATAATTGATCATAAAAATATGCAAACGCTCAAGTACTTTTACACTAGAAAACCTCACAAAGTAGTCAACTGTTTGAACCTGTAAACAGAGCCATGGATGTTATCTTGGTGATTCAAGTGCAGCTTGCAGCATTGTCAATACTTTTCTGAAATAGTGAAAACTGTTAGTAAAACTCTAAACAAAAGCAAGCATAGTCTTCTCTGAATTTACATGATAATTGTATTTTTGAAAAATGCAGTGTTAAGAGCAAAAAAAATTATGTTAAAAAGTATAAGATAATTATAAACAGGTTTTTCACCTGAAATCCCTGGAATATAAGAAGTATAAGTATTAGCTGTTGTTACCTTGTTTAACCCTGTTAATAATATTTAACCCATTTTAAAAATTATTTATTTATTTATTTATTTTTGAGATAGAGTCTCACTCTATGTGACTCACTCTGTCACCCAGGCTGGAGTACAGTGGCGTGATCTCGGCTCACAACCTCTGCCTCCCGGGTTCAAGCAGTTCTTCTTCCTCAGCCTCCCAAGGAGCTGGGATTACAGGCATGTGCCACCACACCTGGCTAATTTTTGTATTTTTGTAGAGATGGGGTTTCACCATGTTGTCCAGGCTGGTCTCAAACTCGTGACCTCAAGTCATCTGCCTGCCTCAGCCTCCCAAAGTGTTGGGATTACAGGCATGTGCCATGCACCAGGCCAATTTAACCCATTTTATGATAAGGAAATAGACAACATCCAGTAGACCCTCTGGCAATAGAGATCAATGGTTGCCTACCCCAAACAGCCTACTGGTGTTAGAACCCCTGATTCTCAGCAGGGCATAGGGCCACTGGGACTGTAAGAATCCTTTTCCATCCTCCCTTGCAGCCAGTGTGGCCGTGTGACCAGGTTCTGGTCAACATGCTATGAGGAAAAGAATTGTGCAGCCACTTCCAGAAAATTTCCTTTAAAGATAGCTGGTGCTTGCCCTTTTTTCCCTCCTTCCTCCATTTAACCCTTCGACTACGTATGTGGTAGTTAGAGCTCCATCTGGGATGATGAAGATGAGGGTCATAGCCTAAGAGGGCAGATCAAAAGCTAGGGGCAGTCAGGGTCTCTGAAGATTTCAAGCAGCAAAGCGTCACCCCAGTATTGAACTATTCACCTTTACAAAAGAGGTCAATAAACTTTCTTTTTGTTAGGCACTTCTTGTGTTACTACAGAGATATATCTGAGGCTGGGTAATTTATAAGAAAAGATGTTTAATTGGCTCACAGTTCTGCAGGCTGTACAAAAAGCATAGCGCCGGCATCAGCTTCTGGGGAGGCCTCAGGAAGCTTCCAACCATGGCAAAAGGCAAAGAGGGAATGGCGGCGTCTCACATGGCAGGAAGGGGAGCAAGAGAGAGAGGACCTGGAGGTGCCACACACTTTTAAACAACCAGATCTCGCAGGAACTCACTCAATATCATGAGGACAGCATCAAGCCATAAAGGATCTGCCCTCGTGACCCAAACACCTCTCACTAAGCCCCATCTCCAACTTTGGGGATTACATTTCAGCATAAGATTTAGGGGGACATATATCCAAACTGTATGATTCAACTGGTTTAAATCATCCTTAATTTGGGTCTTTGTTAATCATAGCTGAGCATAATCCCAACCTAATTACCCTCTATAAATTATAGTTCCTTTCCTCAATCCTAACTAAGTCTCCTTCCATAAATAACAGCTCCCTCTCTCATCCTTAATCTTTTTGCTTTAATTTGCCTTAAAATCTACCAGTCTATCCTGTTTACTTTACTTCAGTAAGACTTTAATATACTGATAAATAATAGGTTCTTTCCTAAGAGTTAATCACCATATTTATGAACTTCTCTTAAAATATTGACTATATGATTTTTTATAAGAGATTTTTTTTTACCTTCAGTCACACACTTCTCAAATGATTTTTCTAGCATTGTGTATTTTATTAGATCAATTTGTGATATAATTCCTTTGCTCTTATTTCGGCCACCCATGAAATAGAAGAGATAGAATAGAAATGGAAGGCTAGGCATGGTGGCTCATGCTTGTAATCCTAGCACTTTGGAAGCCAAGGCAGGCGGATCATCTGAGGTCAGGAGTTCGAGACCAGCCTAGCCAACATGTTGAAACCCTGTCTCAACTAAAAATACAAAAATTAGCCAGGTGTGGTGATGCATGACTGTAATCCCAGCTACCTGGGAGGCTGAGGCAGGAGAATCTCTTGAACCCAGGAGGCAAAGTTTGCAGTGAGCTGAAATCGCACCATTGCAGTCCAGCCTGGGCAACAGAGCAAGACTCTGTCTCAAAAAAAAAAAAAAAAAAAGAAATGGAAAGAGAAAAGGAAACTGGAAAAGAATAAGAAGAATAGCCCTTCCTCACAATTTTCACATTAAAATAGTATCACATAATAAAGCTTGACTAAATTTTTTTTTTATTTACTTGGAATACTGGTATACTGAAACAATTGGAGGGTGTCCAGAAAAAATTAAAATTCTTTCCCTCTATATTTTTTCTTTTGTATTAGTTTTTATTATAAACATCAGTTTAAAGGGGATTTATAGTTTGCTTCTGTCTATCCTTCATTTCTGAATAATCCTGTCTAAAAGTATGAGGTGGGGCTGAGCAAAGTGGGAATGGGGAGGTCAGCGCGCTCTGGAGTGGTGGCCCAGTTCATGCTGTTAGAGTCAGGCAAGGCTGTCTTGCTGGGTTGGGTGGGAGGGGGGATGGTAGTGGTGATGGAAGTTTGGTTACATGGAGGGGATTGATCAGATAAGTAAACAAATTGAGGATGAAGGGAGACAGTTTTCTAACTGTTGGGGAAGGGACTACAAATATGGAAACTGAAAAAACTAAAATAAGCCATGTGGTGTTGAACTGGAATTTTCAATAGCGATATTGAAACAAGTATGGATATGGTCATATATGCATGCATGTATGTATGTATACACATGCATACGTTCTCTAGTTTTGTCCAGTGAGAGGGACTGGAAGCACCAACACCCCCCTACCAAGGAGCGTGCCTATTGTCTAGACCAATCTTTAGTTTCCTAAATGCCATTCTCCACTAAAACGAAGCAGTGTTTTTTGGAGAATTGACTGATTCCAGGTTTGGGACAGGGAACATCTTATTGGGACAGAAAATAAGGAAATGCTCAAAGAATGAGGATGACATGTCAAAAGAACACAGAAGACAGCTTAATGGGGGATCCCCCTGTCCAAATATGTGACAATTAAGGCAGAGAAATAACAATAGTAACAGATTATAAATTCATGTAATAAAATAGAAATTCATGAGTCCTTAAAATAAAGAGCATCAAAATAAGTAATCATGACATGATTAACCCACTAAATAAAATAGAATCTATGAGTCCATACTGATATAAATAAGTGGGAAAAGGAGAAAGCTTTTCTTACAGTGGAATGCCAACTGATGCATGGAGAAGAAATGATGGAGTCAGAAAATCACCATTTGGCAGCCAGCATAAGTAACTGATTTAGCTCAGAAATACAGTGGATGCTAATATGCAGTAGGTGAAAGTTTGAGGAGGAATGAGATAACTACATAGCCTCAAAGTACCTTCACAAAATACTTCTTAATAATACAATTTTAAAAGGTAACTTTGCAATGAAGAAACCTGGCAGATAGTTCCCTAATCAAGAAGTTAAGGCTAATAGCACAAGTAATGGAGCCAATAGAATATATAGGCTATCTAGGGCCGGGCGCGGTGGCTCATGCCTGTAATCCCAGCACTTTGGGAAGCCGAGGCGGGTGGATCACAAGGTCAGGAGATCGAGCCCATCCTGGCGAACACGGTGAAACCCCGTCTCTACTAAAAATACAAAAAAAGTTAGCCGGGCGCAGTGGCGGGCGCCTGTAGTCCCAGCTACTCGGGAGGCTGATGCAGGAGAATGCTCTACTGTTCAGTATATTCCATTCTTTTGAGTAAGAAGGGTGGACACCCTGATTCCACCCCCCTTTTTTTTGGCATATATATATATATGTTTGAATTGGTGCAAATTTTTAAAGTCCAAGTCTCTCAAGTCAGTTATTCATTAATTTATTCATTCCAGAAATTTGCCATTATGTGCCAGGGAACTAATTATGTGCTAGTAAATGACTAGTAATAGCAACAAAGGGTTAATGAATAAAATACCTTTTTCTCTAAAAGAGAGTGTAGTTAGTGCTAAAACAGGTGGGGTAGAGCCCATGTGACAGAACAATTAGTTACCTAGGGAAGTCAGAGAAAGCTTCAGATATGAAGTGCCCATTTGAGTGGGGCCATGGAGATTAGATGAGGAGGCATTTTTCAGGCAAAGCAAATGGGGAGGGATTTCTAGGTGGTAAGAACGTCCTGTGTAAGTACGTGGAGTTGTGAGAAAAAGCATGGCCGGCGGTGCAAGGGCCAGCTTTGCGGTTCATGGGACAGAAGGGAAAGAGATGAAGGAGTTTGTTTTAGGCTGCTAGTCATGGGTAACCAACAAAGGTTACCCATATCCAACTAAAATGTCCAGGTCTTCGGTTTGTTTTGAAGGAAAGGAGGTCAGATACCTCTGGCAACAGGGTAATAGATGAGGAAGTAGAATAAGCTTTATTTTTTAAAATTGGATTCAATGGAGACATTTGAGGGGTGAAGGAGGTGGGGGGAGACTGTATGGCACAGGATACTATGGGGAAAATTCCATGAGGTTTTGTTTTGTTTCCTTTAGTGTTTTGAGAACAGTGAAGTCCTATTTGTACTGATTAACTTTGAAGTGCTTATGTGGCAAACAGAACTCTTATTCCAAATTCACCACTGCCACCCGCTGGAACCATGGCAAAAAACAGAAAAGTGTTTAAAGTCAGTATTGAACACTGATCATCTACTTGAGTGGTTTCCAGCCATTTCATCCACAGACTTCTTTTATTATCTACTCGCCCCCACAGATTGAATCTATGATTTACAAAACTCAAAGACATTACTTATTTAAAATTTGTTTCCCATTTTAATAATCAGATACATAAATAAATGCCAGTCAGAGCTTCTGACCCATGATGATCCACCAGTATTCGTATTTTAAGGTGACTTCATTCCAAGCAAAAGCAAAGACACATGAGGTCTTAGTCTATAGTGTCTTTATTAAAATAAATGTACAATTTGTTGGTTATTTTTCTTTGTTTTTGAAAATAGTTTGCAAAGCCACAACACTACCTGCAAACTGATCCAGGTTCAGGGGCCTGTGGGGCCATTGATCTCCAGTGGTCCTCAACCAGGGGCAACTGTGCTCCCCAGGGGACATTTGGCAATGCCTGGAGACATTTTTGGTTGTCAAACCTGGGTGGGGGAGGGACTACTGGCATTTAATGGGTAGAGGCCAAGGATGCTGCTAAGCAACCTATTATGCACAGGACAAGTCACAAAATAAGAATTATTTGTGGCTGGTTGCGGTGGGTCACTCCTGTAATCCCAGCACTTTGGGAAGCCGAGGCAGGCAGATTGCTTGAGCTCAGGAGTTCAAGACCAGCCTGGACAACATGGCGAAAACCTGTCTCTACCAAAAATACAAACAATTAGCTGGGCATGGTGGTGCACACCTGTGGTTCCAGCTACTTGGGAGGCAGAGATGGGGGGATCACTAGAGCCCGGGAGGTGGAGGTTGCAGTGAGCCAAGATTGAGCCATTGCATTTCAGCCTAGGTGAGAGAGAGACCCCGTCTCAAAAAAACGGGGTCTCAAAAAAAGAAAAAAAGAAAAATAAAGAAAAAAGAATTATTTGGTCCAAAATGTCAATAATATCAAGGTTGAAAACTCTGATCTAGCCCAATCCCTACAGTGTATAAAGGAAGAAAATAAGATCCAAGACAATTAAATGACTTTTTCTTTTATTTTAGTAGGCAATACATTCAAAAGTTCCAAAAATAGAACATTAAAAGGGTATGTAGGATTTGAACAGATATTTCTCCAAAGAAGATATACAAATGGCCAATGAGCAAATGAAAAGATTCTCAGCATCATTAGTCATTAGGAAAATGCAAATCAAAACCACAATGAGATACTGCTTTATAGCCACTAGCATGGCTATAATTAAAACAACAACAAAAACGGAAAATAACAAATTGTTGGTGAGAACGTGGAGAAATTGGAACCTTCATACATTGCCGGTGGGAATATAAAATGGCGCAGCTGCTGTGGAAAAGTTTGGCAGTTCCTCAAAAAAAGTTCTGTGTAAAATTATGATATGACCCAGCAATTCCACACCCCTAGGTATATGTCCAAAGAAATTGAAAACAGGTATTCAAACAAATACTTGTACACAAATGCTCATAGCAGCAAAATTCACAGTAGCCAAAAGGTGGAAACAACCCAAATGTCCATTAACAGGTGCAGGGATAAACAAAATGTGGTATATACATACAGTGGAATCATACTCATACATTAAAAGGAATGAAGTACTACTACTACAACAAGCTACAATGTGGGTGAAGCTCAGAGACATTACACTTAGTGAAAGCCAGATATAAAAGGTCACATGTTGTTTCTATTTATATGAAATATCCAAAACAGGTAAATTTATAGAGATAGAAAGCAGACTGAGGGTTGCCATGGGCTAGGAGAGAAGGAAGATAGGGAGGAACTGCTTAATGACTACAGAGTTTTCTTTTAAAGTTGTGAAAATGGGCTGGGCACAGTGGCTCATGCCTGAAATCCCAGCACTCTGGGAGGCCGAGGCAGGCAGATCACTTGGGGTCGGGAGTTCAAGACCAGCCTGGCCAACATGGTGAAACCCCGTCTGTACTAAAAATACAAAAATTAGCTGGGTGTAGTGGCATGTGCCTATAATCCCAGCTACTCAGGAGGCTGAACCAGGAGAATCGCTTGAACCCAGGAGACGGAGGTTAGCAGTGAGCCGAGGCTGCACCACTGCACTCCAAACTGGGTGACAGGGCGAGACTCCATCCCAAAACAAACAAACAAATAAATGAACTTGCAAAAATGTTTTGGAATTATATAGAGGTGGTGGTTGCAATAACATTGTGAATGTACTATATGCCACTCAATTGTATACTTTGAAATGGTTAATATGTGAATTTCATAATTAAAAGTTTTTAAAAAATGCATAGTGAAACATCTCATCATTGTCTGCCCTCAGTGTAGTTCCCACTACACCCATAGGCAACCCGTGTTCTTAGTATCTTAGGAGCCCTCCAGTATACTTATGCACATACACAGAAATGGATAGCTTGTTATCCCCTTCTTTCTCTTTTTATACAGAGGCAGCATATTTTGCAAATTATTCGGTGCCTTGTCTTTCTCAGCAATTTATCATGGAGATCTTTCTGTGGCCTTGACACTCTTGAACATTGCAGGCCACTTTGTTCCTCAATGTGGTTTGTCTGATATTTCCTGATTACTAGATTCAGGTTATGTGGCTTTGGTAAGAATATCACAGAATGCATCTTTTCTTTGCATCTTATCATGTGGCACCTGATTTTGATTTTCCAGTTGCTAACGATAGTTGTTTGATCACTGGATTGTAATAAGATGGTGTCTACCAGTTACTATAGTGAAGAAGACTGAAAATAGCCAATGTTCGAAGGGATCCTGATTCCTTTAGTGGGAAGCAGTTTCTAGAAACTAAAACCTGAGCATTAAGTATGCTCATTATTATAGGTTGATTCCTTTGATTAGTGCCCTTGTAACAAATTTCCCTTCCTGCCATTGTCCCCTCCCCTGCATTTCTTCTTCATTCCATTCAGGTTCTGACACCGTGTGCCAGGTCATTCTGCATGGACATCCTCCTTGCTTCCTTTAGGCTCTGACACTCCACAGCAGGCCACCCTCTTCCCCGCAGTGTGGACACCCTCTTAACCCCACTCAGGCTCCAACACTCCCTGTCAGGCCACCCTCTGGGGATGCTTCATCCTACTTGGGCTCCAATGGCTGGTGCTGGGCTGCCCCTCGCCATGCGTGATCACCATCCTCACCTCCTCAGGCACCAACTTCCCATGTTTGCCTGCCCTCCTATGTAGATACCTTCCTCCTCCTGCTCAGGCTCTGACACCCCACACTGGCTGCTCTCTTATGTGGATGTTCTCCTCACTCCATTCAGACCACTGTGACTACCCCCATACCCCAGCACAGGTGCATACTTTGCTTACTCCATCTAATGGTTTTAAAACCACATCTTCAGGAAGGATAGAGGAACAACCTTGTACTAACTCCTAACATCCACTACCACACTGGGAGAAAGAAACAATTATCCCTATGTCATGGGAAAATAAGCTTAGTGAGGGCGGGTAACTTACACAAGTTCCCACTAGTAAGTGTTGGGGGCAGGATTCAAACTCAGATTCGAACCTGGCCTCTAGAACCAGCATTATCAACCATTATGTTGTCAATCATATAAAACAATCATATAATGTGCTATTAAATATACTGTTTTTATTATCTTCTGCTGCCGTATATACTGCCTTCTTTTTTTGAGACAGAGTCCCATTCTGTCGCCCAGGCTGGAGTGCAGTGGTGCCATCTCGGCTGACTGCAGCCTCTGCCTCCTGCGTTCAAGTGATCCTTGTGTCTCAGCCTCCTGAGTAGCTGGGCTTACAGGCATGCACTACCATGCTTGGTTAATTTTTGTACTTTTAGTAGAGACGAGGTTTAGTAGAGATGGGGTTTCACCATGTTGGCCAGGCTGGTCTTGAAATCCTGGCCTCAAGTGATCCACCCACCTCGGCCTCCCAAAGTGCTGGGATTACAGGCATGCACCACACTGCCTGGCCTATACTGCTTTTTTAATATAACTCAATATATATGAACAAATTGTATGCATCCACTCATTTTCTGTCTCATCTGTTTCCCAGGTCCTTGATTGCTAGCTCCCTCCAGCTCCCTCTGCACTTAATGGCTAATAAATGTGGTTTTGGGTCTAGACTAATCTCTTATATCTTGAGTTATTAGGCAAACTAATTTTCTGGTCCATAAAGGGATTGGTCTCCCCATAAATATATAAGGTGCTACTTTTACATTGGTTTTACATTACTTAAACCAAGCTTTTGGGGATAATTAGATTTTGATTGAATATAAATGTAGGAGAACAAATATTTATCGAACTGACCAGATATTGTACTGCGTTGCATATATTATCTCATTTAATGTTCTTCATTTAATGTTAACCCTGTGAGAGTCAGGAGAGAACCCCAACTTCAGGTAGCAAGGAGTAAACCTGCTGTCTCTCCACAGGTGCTGAAAGGAGACAATGAGACTATGTGGATCAGAACAAGACAGTTTACTACACACAGCAAACAGAAGCATTGTCTTAGCCATGTCAGCCTCCCTTGCCCCCCAGGTCCCAAGAGGTGAAGTGATAGACCCAGACAGATAGATGTGCACAGTGGATTCCAGCACAGCTGAAGAATCAAAGCCAACAGCCCAGAACTTTTTGAGCAAGCAGCAGTTTAGCAAACAGCAAACAAGTAGTCCAATATTAGTTATTAGCATTAGTTATTGTAGGTCACATTGACCTACTCACGTGCCTACGTACCTCGCTACAGAAACTATTCAGTATCAGGAGGTGGATAAACACCACAAATATTGTATCCTAATAGCAGCCTTATAAGATGGGTATTGAACTGGGCATGGTGGTATACACCCATAATCCCAGCCACTTGGGAGACTGAGACAGGAGGATTGCTTGAGCCCAGGAGTTTGAGACCAGCCTGGGCAACATAGTTACAGCCCACCTCACTAAAAAAAAATTTTTTTAAGATAGGTACTATCATGATCATCCTCTTTATTGATGAGGAGATTGAAGCAGAGATAAGCTGCACATGGCAGAGTCAGGATTTGAACTCAGACAGTATTGGCTCCTACCCACAATACCAGGTTTCCTTTGTTGGGGCTCAGAAAATGATACCCCGAAGCATACTGCTACTTTGCACTAAAGCAGCAGCCTCAGAACCAAGGTCTGACCTTCTCTCTGACCTTCTCCCACCCCCCATCTCTTGCCCCTCCTCCTCTCCTGAAGCACAGGAAGAGACTTTTCTCTGAAGTTTCCTTATCTACCTAAAGATCCAATCCACTGAAGAGGAAAACAATTGTCTTCAATCTTCTTACTGAAATTTCATTAACCAAGGAAAATTAAACTCATATCACAGAGGAAAAGACTGAAAATCAAACACCATACCCACAGCCCAGATGAACTTTGTCCCAGACTATTGTCTGTTCCATGGACCCATTCATCTCTTGTAAAAATCACTTATTACTCTTCTAAAATTGCCTACATCCTGCATTCCCCTCTCCCCTATGCATAAGGGTATATAAACTTCTAGACCTTATTGGGTCTAGCACTACTAGAATTGGGCATTCGCCTTCCTGTGATGCTCCCATGCGCATAAATCAATTACGCTGTGCTTTTTCTCCTTGTTTTGGATAGATAGACCAATTGGTCTATTGTCTATTTATTTCTCAGACTCAAATATCAAACCTCAAGAGGTGAGAGAGGAGGTTCTTATGCTCCTACACCTTTGAGGTATGATTGTCTCTCTATAATGGTACAATGGGCTTTGAACCACCAAAAAGATTTGAATTCTAATCTAGGTTCAGTGTTTGTATGATCCAAAGAAGCTTATATATTTTTTAATCTTAACTTCTTCGGTAGACAGAATACCATATCTCTCAGGTTTGACAAAAAATATATAAAAAGCTTCCACCTGACAGCATTCAAATCTTGGATTTTTCCTCCTTTAAACCTATTCCGATCATACCTGTAGCTGATTCTGGCCATAATCAGAAAAAAATAAGATGTTGGAATTATGAGAATAAACAAAATAAAAAGAAGAGCTCATCAATTTCAAAAGTAACTTCCTAAATGCTATCCCTCTTCATTGACTGCATTAATATTTGTATTTCTATATATTTGTTTATTTGTACTCTACTTAACCACATTTTTGGGAGCGGCAGCATCGTATAAAGGAAAAATCTTAGGCTTTGGAGCCATTTTACCTTCCACATGGCTTTTGACAAAAATACATAATCTCTCTGAAGCTGTCTCCTCATCTCTAAAATGGGGATGATAATAATATCTACCTTGAAGTACTGTGAGGATTTAAATTAGACAAATTACATAATAAAATATCCTAGCATAACATGAAAGGCATTCAATATGTATTGGTCCCCTTCTTCTCAAAGAGGTTTTAAAATTCCACAAGGGCAGACATCATACATTCATTTTACTCACCTCAGTAAATATTTCTAAATCATTTCATAAATTCCTTTTTAGATGGTTGTATACAACTGGAATTTTTGGGTTATAGGATAAATAATGGTAGAACTCACCAAACTGTTCATCCTAATTAACAATTAGGGGTCGTTTTCTTCATATGTGCTCAAAATGTATTCTATCTCATCTTCGAAAAAATACAAAGTCTGTTATTTCCCCTATATTTGAAGCAATTATTCTGATGAATATTCTGTGGAGCCATATGCCAACATGGCAATATATATATTTGCCTTTAAAATAGTAATGCCTTTTAACCTAGGAATTATATTTGTAAGAATTTATGGTAAAGAATCAAAAATACACTTGAAGATTCATGTAAAAGTATGTTCAGTGCAGACTGTTTATAACAGGAGAAAAAATGAAAATAATAGAATAATACATTATCACAGATGCAAAATACAAAGTATAATGAAGACATTAAGCCACATTTTAGAAGAGTATATTCAGTCATATGAGAATTTGCTCAATATAAAGTGAAGAAAACAAGTTACAAAACTGTGTGTAGGCTGGGTGTGGTGGCTCACACCTGTAATCCTAGCACTTTGGTAGGCTGAGGTGGGCAGACTGCCTGAGCTCAGCAGTTCAAGATCAGCCTGGGCAAAGTGGTAAGACCCCATCCCTACTAAAAATTAAAAAAAAATTAGCAAAAGATTAGCTGGACGTGATGCTGCATGCCTGTAAGCCCAGCTACTCAGGAGGCTGAGACATGAGAATTGCTTGAATCTGGGAAGCGGAGGGTGCAGTGAGCTGAGATCGCACCACTTAACTCCAGCCTGGGTGACGGAGTGACACTCTGTCTCCAAAACAACAACAAAAAAGAAAAAACAAACAACAGCAACAAAAAACTGTAGATATCTTGTAAAAAAAAAAGTGCATATGTTACAGTAAAAGTTAATTGTTGTTCTCTTTGATTGGTGGGATTACTAGTGATTTTAGGTTTATTGTTTAGAACTTTCTACATTTTCCAAAATTTTGTATAATATTTATAATTAGACAAATATCAGTGACTTATGCCCACTTAATTTTAATAAGGTATTTAAGATTAAAATTTAATATGGACCAGGAATGGTGGTTCACGCCTGTAATCCCAGCACTTTGGGAGGCCAAGGTGGGTACACAGCTGGAGCCCAAGAGTTTGAGACCAGCCTGGACAACACAGCGAGACCCTATCTCTACAAAAAAAATTAAAAAATTAGCTGGGTGTGGTGGCACATGCCTGTGGTCCCAGCTACTCGGGAGGCTGAAGTGGGAGGATCTCTTGAGCCCAAGAGGTCAAGGCTGCAGTAAGCCAAGATCTCACCTCTACAATCCAGCCTGGGTGACAGAATGAGACCCTGTCTCAAATTAAAAAAAAAATTTAACATGAAAAGAAAAACCAACCTTAAATACACTATCTTTACAGAATGTGTTTACTGTAGTATTTCGTTTCACTTCACTGAGAAAACAGCTAAAGAGTCAGGCTTCTAAAACACATATTGAGTCTTTGAAAGGTAGCTTCATGAAGTAGAAAAAGCAGAGTTTTGAAACCCAGGTATGTGGTCCTGAGCAAGCTATGAGGCAGAAGAATAGCGGCTGGAAGCAGGGAACCTAGGGCCCATCCATGCTGACTGGGTATCAGAGGCTACTCCCATTTCAACCCCTCCTTTTTCTGCGTGGCAGTTGAAAAATGAAAGTACCTCTTATTGGTCCCCTCCCGCAACCAATCAGACTGGTTGTGGGCCAATGGGCAACCTCTAGAGGGTATTTAAAGCCCAGAAAATTCTATAACCAATGCTCTTGAGCCGCTTGCACCAGGCGGTGCCCACCCTGTAGAGTGTACTTTCATTTAAAATAAATCTCTGCTTTCGCTGCCCTGCTTTGTTTGTGCGTTTTGTCCAATTCTTTGTTGAAAACGCCAAGAACTCGGACAGCTACCCTCAACTGGTAACAGTTACCTGCTGGGCCTACTTCCTCATCTCTTAAACGGGGCTGTCACCCCGAATCAGACAGTAAGGTAAGATTTCCACGATTGTTGAAAAAGCCTGACACATAGTAGGAACTCAAAGTCTATACAAAGACTTAAAGTTCATAAAACAATAGACAAACGGAGAAATCCACTGAAGTTTAGGGTGAATAAATCTAATAACTGTTTGGTAAAAACTACACTGACAATCATTGTCTGGTCAGTGTTCAACATTTACGTGAAACACTGAGCTTTTACAAGGCCAAGCCCCGTTTTACGTTAAATTCTCGCAACCACCCTGAGGATGGTTCCGTTTTTAAAGCCGCGTTCCTGCCGAGGAAACAATGGCCCTCGGGGTTAAGACACTGCCCAACACCGGCCGCGCCTGATAGACGCAGGTTCCGAATGCAGGCCCCCTCCAAAGTCTTGCCCACTGCTCCACAATGCCTCAACACCCAACATTTCATCCTCAACTCCAAATCCATCTCTTCAGGGCCGCAAAAAAGCGTTACTTCCCAAAGGGCGTGTTCTCCAAGAACTGCATTTAGCATTTCAGATCAGAGTGACCCGAACTCAATAGGATTACGACAAAAACTAGTGAGATTCAGATAACACCGTTACATCGAAAGTTTTAATCCGTGACAGAGGAAATATTGCTTACGCCCTTAGGTAATTTCAAATGCACGTATGAAGGCCGTGCGGGTTTCTGCAGGCGAAGCAAAAGAAAGGTGGGGCCGGCAGGGTCGTGGGGCGGGGGTGGGGCATGACACCGTATCCCAGACGCAACTCGACCTCGTTTGCAAGAAATTCTGTATCCAACTCTCTTCAGTGCGTTTCGCCGCCCCTAGTCTAGTCTGGCTAGCCCCCAATTCCTTTAAAAGGGGTTAAAACGGGTGTTGCAGAAGAGAGAACACTCAGGTAGAAAGGGCCTGCGGCAGAGGCGCCCCCAAATCATGGAACCTGTTGGAAGAGTGAGGAAGGAACTCTGGGACCCCGAACATTCTCACGGGTGTAAAAAGACAAAGTAAATCCCCATTAGCCAAGTTGGGGAGAAGTCACATCCGTTACACAGCCTCTCCCAGACCGCCCTCTAGGAAGGACACCACATTTAAAAACACCGGCCTGCCTCCAGTCCTTGGCTGCCTCACAGCGATGCTCAGAGCCGGTTTCCCAAGGTCCGCGCGCCGCCTGCAAGGCGCAAACCCAAGCCGCTGCTGGTTGCTAGGAGATACTGGGCCAGCCATCTCCTCCAATCAGCACGCACCTCTTTGCGTCCAATCACAGAGGCAGGAAGGGCCGTGGTGGGAGGTGAAAGGTCATAGTCCTGTTTGGCGGCCATTTCTCTTGAAACTGCGGCTCGGGACCTGCGGTACCTGCTGTAGTCACGAGGGACGGGCGGCGGCCTGGTCGGCAGAGAGTAGCCTGCAACATTCGGCCGTGGTTACGATGGTAAGGAGAAAGAGAACGGCGGGAGAAGCGGGGAGAAAGAGAAGGAGGGAGACCAGCCTCGCGGGGCCTGCTGGTTCCTTCGCGCGTTTCCCATTCATCCGCGTGAGGCGCCGCGCACCCTGTCGCCAGCTCCTTTCACTCTGCTTTTAGGTTTCTGAGGCGCGTGCTCCTCCCGATGCCTTTCTTTTCCTAGGAGTGCCCGTGCCTTCTTCTCTTTGTTTGAATCCGGGCCTGGGGTATTCTTAGTTGGGGCTATAGGGTCGGGGTAAAAGTCAAAGAGAATTTGCACTTCCCACTTAACCACACTCCAGAATTCACTTTCATTCCGTGAAAGTAATGATACGGCCATGCTCTAGATTAACTCACTTGGGTGGGGAAGACAGACATTAGTCAAAAAATAACAAGTATGTAATTGCAAATAATAAGTGCTAAGAACAATGCAGACAGGAGGCTGTGAGGGTGCGCGTTAGACATTAGAGGCTTAGTCAGAGATGGCCTCCCTAGGAGGTGGAATTTAACTCGAAGCCTAAGTGTCATGAAATACGACCCTTTAAAGAGCAGGAGGAGGAGTGTACCGAGCACAGGGAATAGGAGCATAAGACCTGCGGCCGGAAAGAAAGCTTGGTCATTTGGAGAAATTGACAGAAAGGTATAGCCACTTGCGCGAATAGTGGTTAAGAGATGGTATCGGAGGAGCAGGCGTTGGGCAGGACCTCTTAGGCTGTATTGGGAGGTTTTGATTGTACTCCAAATCAATTTAAAATGATTCGGTTGGAAGCCATTGGATCATTTTAAGCAGAAATATGACAATCTGATGTGCACTTTAAAAAATCATAGTTACTGTGGTGGATAACAAATTGGAGAATGAAAACTGGAGACCCATTAGGTTATTGGAGTAATCGCCATATCAAGATCACTCCGAATATGCTCATGTTAGAGGGGGTTAGTAGCCAAGTTTCTTAGTTCTCTTCTTTGTTTGACTGGTGAGTGAGCAGAAGAGGGCAAAAACCGAAATCACTGGAGATGTTAATGGTTTGCTGAATAAATAGACATTAAGTAATTGCTGTAAGTAAGAGGCGGTGCTACTGACAAAGTCAGATAGGACCTAGCCCTAGCTTCCCCAGTTAAATACTGTCAAGCGTGATCTGCCCTCTGCTTCCTTCTGTAGTTTTATATTTGGGGCTTTGACTGACAATGCTGAATTGTATGTCCCCAAAACCACCTTGTTGCATCACTCTTCCCTCCTTTTACATAAGTAGCTAGCCTTGCCTGGAACAGCATTTTTTCCCGCTCTGGAAATAAACTCTTATCCTTTAAAACTGAGGTATTACTTATTTCAGGCAACCTTTCCTTTTTCCCCTGGATTGCTTTGGTACCCTTGTGCCTAGTATATCTCCTTTTACTACAGTGCAGCATGCAATATAATTATTTGTATGTGAGGAGTTCCCCTCCCCATCTCCAACTTCTTGACAGGGACTCATTTATTTATTTATTTATAAGAGACAAGGTCTTGCTCTGTTGCCCAGGCTGGAGTGCAGTGGCCTAATCATAGCTCACTGCAGCCTCGAGCTCCTGGGTTCAAGCAGTCCTCCCACCTCATCCTCCCTAGTAGCTGGGACTACAGGTGTGCACCACCACACCTGACTATTTTTGGTAGAGATGGGGGTCTCACTATGTTGCCTGGGCTGGTCTTGAACTCGTGACCTCAAGTGATCCCCCGGCCTTGGCCTTCCAGATTACTGGAATTACAGATACGAGCCACCCTACCTGGCCCGCTTTTTTTTTTTTTTTTTTTTAGTGCCTTTATCTTTGTTTCTTTAGAGCTCAGAACAGTGAGTGATGTAGGTAGTCAGTGTATCTTAAGTGAATAGTCAGTGTTTTGTTTTGATGGGTTAAAGGTGAAATTGGCTAACTGGATATTTAAATTTCCCTGGTACTCTCAACAAATAAAAGTGAAAATTATGTACTAAAATAATAAGGAGTCAAAAGTTTTCTTCATTTGCATACCACAAAATATTGGTGATTCGGTAGAAGAGAGTTGGTGGTGGGAGGAAAAATAATTAATTAGATCCTTTTTTGTTCTTTGTGCAGAGTTTACCCCTCAATCCCAAACCTTTCCTCAATGGACTAACAGGAAAGCCAGTGATGGTGAAACTTAAGTGGGGAATGGAGTACAAGGGCTATCTGGTATCTGTAGATGGCTACATGAACATGCAGGTAAGCTAAAGAGCTGTAAAGGTCATAACATTGCATTTATTTTGCTTCACCTTATTTCTCAAAGGTTTAGTCTGACTAATAAGAATACATACAATTAAATTGACAAATATACGGCAAAATTCAAAAATAAAGTCAAAGCCAGGAGGGATACTGTGATATACTAGGTACAAGACATGGACTTAAACCAGAATTCAGCTACAGATTTTATTCCTAGTAGTTAAAGTAGGAAGAGCTCAGACACTTGATTCATAATAATACCATAAGGGAAACACACTACTTTGCTGGAGAAAACAAAACATTTCTCATCATTTAGCCCTGAAAGAAAGTTTTCAAGTGAAATTATTGAGTCTTTTAATGAATGCTAAAGGCACAACACCAAAGCTATTGAGGAAATTCATTCCTTCAGGGGAAAGACAGATCTGCCAAAGGAATTGAACTGACTGTATGTCTGTCAAACGAGTTTCTGTAAATGATTCAGCCATGTGTTTTGGTGGGTTTTTTTGTAATTAATTATCTTTTTATTGTGGTAAAATATACATTACAATTTTGCCACTCTAACCATTTTTAAGTGTATAATTCAGTGGCATTAAGTACCTTCACATTGTTCTGCAGCCATCACCGTTGTCCATTTCTGGAACTTGTTTACCATCCAAAAGTGAAATTTTTTGCCCATTAAACAATAATTTTCCATTAAACAATAATTTTACAATTAAACATTAAACAATAATTTTCCATTCCTTCCTCCACCTAACTAACCCCTGGTAACCACTAGTCTACATGTCTATGAATTTGACCGTGCATAATACCTCATGTAAGTGGAATTGTGTATTATCCTTTTGTGTCTGGCTTGTTTGACTTAACGTAGTGTATTATTCAAGGTTCATCCATGTTGTAGCATGTGTCAGAATTTCCTTTTTATGACTGAATAATATTCCATTATATGGATATACCACATTCTAATCCATTTGCCTCTTGGTGGACACTGGGTTGCTTCCCTCTTTGGACTGTAGTAAATAATGCTGCTGTGAACATGGGTATACGAATGTCTGTTCCAGTCACTGCTTTCAGCTCTTTGGGGTATATACCCAGAAGTGGAATTACTGGATTACTGGTAATTCTATGTTTAATTTTTTAAGGAGGCCAAGCGTGGTGGCTCATGCCTGTAATCCCAGCACTTTGGGAGGCTGAGGCAGCAGATTGCTTGAGCCCAGGAGTTTGAGACCAGCCTGGGCAACATAGTGAAACTGCATCTCTACAAAAAAAATACAAAAACTAGCTAGGCATGATGGTGTGGGCAGCTATATTCCCAGCTACTCAGGAAGCTGAGTTGGGAGGATTACCTGAGCCTGGGGAGGTTGAAGCTGCAGTGAGCTGTGATCACTGCACTCTAGCCTGGATGACAGAGAAATTTTTTTTTTTCTTTTGAGTAACTGTCACACTATTTTCCACAGCAGCTACGTGGTTTTACATACCCACCAGCAATGCACAACGGTTCCAGTTTCTCCACATCCTCACCAACACTTGTTATTTTCTATGGGTGTTTATAAAATAGTTATTCTAATGGGTGTGAAGTGGTATCTTATTGTGGTTTTGATTTGCATTTGGCTAATGATGTTGAGCACCTTTTCATGTGTTTATTGGCCATTTGTTTATCTTTGGAGAAATGCCTGTTCATGTCTTTTGCACATTTAAAAAATTAGTTTGGGATTTTTTGTTGTTTTTTTAATGGTAGTAGTTTCCAGGCAGGTTTTTAAAGGCTATCAAGACAGGTGGTCAATCCAATCATGAATCCAAGGATTCCATACTTGTAAGCAGAGTACTAAAAGGAGTACTTAAGTAGGCAGAGAGCTATGATTTTCCTTAACTTAGGCAATTACCACCTGAGCACATGACATTAAGGCCCCCAAAGCATAGTTTGAGTGTGGAAAATTCCTTAAACAGGAGTCATTTACCAAGACCATAGAAAAATCTGGGAAGTATATGAATTGTGATGAAAATATTCTGGAAGTAGTGGTGATAGTTGCACAGGTTTTTGAATATACTGAAAACCACTGAATTGTACACTTTAAAAGGGTGAATTTTATGCTATGGAAATTAACATCTCAATAATAAAAGAATTACCACTTAATATTTGTTTTAGAATTAATATAGCTTGCTAGTGACCCTGCTAGAGTTGCAAAATGTCTGAGTAACCAACCACTTTGAGTAGTCAACCATATTGATACCAGTGTTTGAATTTGTTCACTCAGCAAATATTTATTGAATTCCATTATGTGCCTGGCACTGTGAATATAGCATTGAACAAAACAAAGTCCCTGCCCTCAACAGTTTATGGTTTAGTGGTGGGAGGTGGTAATATAATGTGATAATAGGCATGATAGATGCCATCCATGAAGAAAAGGGGGAAGACAGTATGTGCAATATTATATAGAGTAGCCTCTCTGAGGAGGCGAATTCTGGAAGATACCAGAATTAGTGTACAACTCAGTTGAGTATCTGGGGAAAAGCATCCCAGTTTGAGGGAACAGCAAGTACAAAGGCCCTGTGGCAGAAGCATGCTTGGTGTGTTCAAGGCACAGCAAAAAGGCCAGAGCAGATTGAGTTAAGGGACGAATGACAGAAAGTTAGGTTAAAATGGCGGCCATAGAGAGCCTGTTAAGTGATGGTGAAGAACATGATAGAAAGTATTTGGAACATTATTGTGTAATTTAGAAATGTTAAATGTTGTAATTACTTTTTACAAAAAATTAGTTGCTCTTAATACATTATTTCTTATAGCTGTTACATACAAACTGTCTCAACAACCTCGTATATTTCAGACAAAACTATATCATCTGGATAATGGAGATTACTTTTTGTTGTCTATAAGAAAGGGAGTAACATCCAGTAGTAGTGTTCATTACCATGTTTTTCATGCCTTATGAAACATCCTATTTTAATCCTTATTGTTAAGCCCTATTTTTCTTTTCCTTTTCCACGTGCCTAATTGTGAAGGAAACCTCCCTCTCTCCCATCACTCCTTAGTTCCTTCTCTGAGTCCCAAGTGGCATTGATTGTGATTTTTCTTTTAATTACAAGTAGAGCTTGTTACCTATATGTAGAAGGAAAGCTAAACATTTTGATATAAAATTAGAAATAATTCACCAAAATAACTGTAGGTAAAGTAAGAAGAGCTCAGACATTCGATTCATAATAATACCATAAGGGAAACACACTACTTTGCTGTAGTTCACCAAAATAGCTGTAAAGGTCACTGTTAACTATTTACCTTTCTCTTAAGAACTTGTTTTTCCCTGTTTATTAGTACATAATTAAAAATTCTTATTCAGGCCCAGATGTGATAGCTTATGCCTGTAATCCCAGCACTTTGGGAGGCCAAGGCAGGAGGATCACTTGAAGGCAGAAATTCAAGACCAGCTTGGGCAATATAGCAAGATCTCATCTCTACAGAAAAAATTGTTTCGAAGTAGCCAGGCTTTGTGGCACATGCCTTTAGTCCTAGCTGCTCAGGAGATTGAGGCAGGAGGAGCCCAGGTGTTCAAGGTTTTGGTCAGCTATGATTGTGCCACTGCATTCCAGCCTGGGCAACAGAGGGAGACCCTGTTTCTTAAAAGACAGGAAAAGAAGAAAATTCTTACTCAATTATTTGCTTTGGTTGTTGACTAATATAAAAGTATTTGGCATGTTAGCCATAGCTTTCGTATACCTATTTGGACACCTCAATATGAGTTAGAGACTGCCTTCTTCCACACACTGTTTTAATATCTAATAGAAAGAAATATTACATAACCTGGGAGATTCAGAAACTTATGTTGAAACAAGCTTTGAATATTAATTTCGTTGAAGGTTTATATGAAACCAAAAGTACTACAATAGTAATAGAAAGCTCATCTTCTGTTTATTAATTATAGATAAATTTGAGTTGTTGGTATAGAAAGGTCTCAGTTAATGAGTTCTCTCACCAATATTAGCTGTATTGTAATATTTTCCTCCTGTGTGATTATACTAATATATTTCTTTTTATTGAAAGCTTGCAAATACAGAAGAATACATAGATGGAGCTTTGTCTGGACATCTGGGTGAAGTTTTAATAAGGTAACAAACAGCAGTAGTATATGTAAGGAGTTACTGGTGAGCATTAGGAATACCTGTTCTAAATATATTAGTGCCTCAATTTTGGAATTACTTTTTTTTAAAAAATCACTATTATAATACTTTACAGTTAGACTTCAGAAGTCTTTGAAATTGTTAAACTTGTCAAAGGTAAGTTTTCAAATGTTTTGGAACTGGCCAAAAGATTTTTCTAGTGTTGATGTTTAATTTTCTAGCTCTTAGCTATAATCTTTTGCAGTGGCAACCTTTTGCAGTGGCCTTTGTTGCGGGAACTTAGTTTTGAATTTTAGTTGGGTCTGGCTGTTTTGTTATATTGATTTTCTGTACTAGCTTCAAAGCTCCAAATTCTGGTAATTATTTCCTTTGGAAAATCATAAAGATGTCATTTTATAACAACCATATGGTGGAAAATAAGTGCCATGTGCTTTTCAACAAATCTATGTGAAACTTTTTTTTAAAATGAATATATTTAAAAAATTTTTTTAAAGACAAGAATATTATAAATATAGTATTCAGTATTTTCATAATAAAAATATAGTAATTCATATCATACATGGTTTCTGGTTGGAACAACAAAATCGACTTTTTCTATTTACAGGTGTAATAATGTCCTTTATATCAGAGGTGTGGAAGAAGAGGAAGAAGATGGGGAAATGAGAGAATAGCATCTTTTGTGGGGGATTTTTTTTATATATATTTCTAGACAATAAAGATTTGTTTGTTTTTCAACTTGACTTGTGAACTATTTGTATTCAGATATTTACAAGCAAAGCTGAAATGATGAACCAATTGGGAAAGATTACTCACTGAACTAATGCTTTAAAAGCCACTGAATTTCATTTAAGTTGCTTTTCTTTTGTAAGCCCAATATTCTTTTTTTTCCCATAAAGGATAATTATTTATATGCTTTAGATATTTTTATGAAGGTGAATTTCAGACCTTTTCTTGTAAAATTATCTATTAGCTGAGACCTTTTAAATGCAACTTTTTCTTTTAAAGTTATTTTTGAGCTACTTTTAACGTATAAAATTAAACATTTTCTTGGTATTAATAATATACTGTCTTATTTTACTTAGTAGTCAATAAATTACATGTTAATTCTGTGTCAATATAAGCTAAATGCACATATTGCAGCTAAAATTGAAGCATCTTCTAAAAATTAAAATGATTGTACAGACAGGGCACAACAGAAATTGGGAACTGACATTCAGGCTGAAGGCATACGGTTTGTTCACTGAAGAGAAAAAAGTTCTCTGAACAAAATGTAATGTCAAATAAAAACCAGTCTCCCCATTATGTTCTGAGACATAACCTCGAGGTTGAGTTTTAAGCCCCTCAAAACCCTTCAGGTATTTTAGGGTTGTACATTGTTAAAATGTATAGTCCATAGTAATAACAGTATGCTATGAACTTCCCTACAGATGGGTTGAGAAAATACATCATTTACATTCTCATGTTGTAAGAGAATGGCCATTATTACACTTCAGTGTTCATTTACCATAGTTTTATCAGTAAACTATCTTTGTGTATCCCCAAGTGGGACAACTCAAAGTATAGAAGAAAGTGTTTAGCTATATGGAATAATACTTATGATATGAATACTTAAAGACTTAAAATTTACAAAATACACCTAAGACATTCTGGTAATAAAATGTCTTACTGCTTTTATTCAAGTAAAAAAATATTCTTCCTCTTGTGATTTTGTTTTTGTTTCATTGACTAAAGGTAGCTGCTGTTTGTTACCAGATGGAGGTTTTGAATGAAAGACAAGTCGTCTTCCCAACTGAAACAAAAGAAAAACAAAATACTTAATATTTTTTGAGCATAGCCATTTTCTATTGAAATTTGTGAAATACCAATATTAACTTGATTTTTACAAGGAATAATATGGTTTGTAACATTAACTAATCACAGTTAAAAGGGACTTATAACCTAACGGATGTCTAACATGCTAGGCAAAGTTGAGTAGCAAACTGGACACCAATAACTATGCAGAAGGAACAGCAGTTAGGTTTTATTGGGAAGTGGGAAAACTTAGGTAAAGTCATCAAATAGTATATGGTTCAAATGTGGTCAGCCTAGAAAAGCACCATGTTGAAGGCCACCATTTTATTTCTCAGTAAGTGCCATAGCCAGTTTTTCGTCCATGGTTGGAAGAGATGGCTTTCTCCTGTTGAGCACCTGACTAGCATTTAGAAATCTTGTTAAATAAAAAGTCCAGAAAACCATGTACCATCTTGAATACTGGTTGGCTTCTGGAGGTGTTCCCAACAGAAGAGGCTTTGGGAAACCCCGAGTTCATACCTATTCATTCTCTCTGGGTCATATATACTCAAATATATTACTACTTATTTTTCTCTTTACTTTTGGGATTCCCTCCTCCACTTTTTATTTTGTTTTGCTTTTATAGCTGAATTTGTATACATTAAATGTATAAGTGGGGAAACTACCATAATTCTATGAGATTTGATGGGACATTGCCACTGTGTTCAAAAGGCACTATTGACATTGTAGGACAATTCTTATGTGAGATTGTCCCCTGCATTGCAGGCCTGAGAGAACCTGAATAACAATAGCACTTTTCCCCATCATTGTAACAACAAAAATATCCTTGGGGGACTAGAATTTTTGAATTCCTTCTGCAATATCGGAATTTTTAACTGTCAAAGATCTTTGGTAACATTTGTTATTAATAGTGTCTGAGAAAATTAGCAATGATGAAGTGTCCTAACTGGGTCAGCTTCTATCAGAGGTCTTTGTGTGTTGTTGATTTATCAGATAACCATTTTTTCCCCCAATTTTTTCCAGTTTTAGTTTTTATGCTCATTTTTAGTCTGTTAATTCACTACACATCAAGTATCCATGATGTGCCAGGTATTAGGAATACAAACGTCATAAAACTCATGGTCTAGAAGGAAAGGTGAATATATTAAAAAATAATAATTTCAATTTGGTGGGTTTGCTAAGTAGTCCATGTGGAAGGGTGATGAATGGTTAATTCTTGGGAGGAGAGGACAGGTGAGGAAAGTCTTCATGGAAAGAATTGAACTAGATAAATACCTTTTTTAAGATGAAGTATTTATTTCAATAAAATATTTTGAAGTAATCGTTTTTTTGTCATGGCACATATTAATTCCCATACTTCAGAATTGTTTTCAAGTTCTTACCTCTTGAGGTTAGTTGTAAGGCACACAGTAAGCATTCGTTATGTGTTAGCTATCACTGTGGTAAGAATCAGCATCCGCAATAGCTTTGCAGATAACCATGAAATTGTCTTTCTGGAACATATTTCAGATGCTATCCCAGAGGAGGGAAAGAGTGTCATATAGAAACAAACTCCTTACCCTGTGTAGAATTGATGGACCACATGTACCTGACTACCTAATCCCAAACTTCTGATTGGACAGGTAGTCTTGCAAAATAAAGAACTTTGGCTTCTGGTCCTGATTGTGCTGCTAAGTCAAAGTGACTCTGGGCAAATCATCTTAACTCCAACTGTCAATCTCATTGTCTTTACAATGTGGGGATTATACACAGTCCCCACAGTTACATGCGATTCTCTGGGTTCACATCTCCAAAACATTACTGAGTGAAAGAAGCCAAGTTCCTAGTTATCATTAGTAAGAAAAAGAATATGTACATAAATACATATTTGTGTATGTATATTTCCAGAGGGATGCAAATGAACCTGTTAACAGTGGTTGCCTTCAGGAAGGGGAACTGAGGAAGACTGACTTTATACTGAATACTCTTGTATCTTTTGAACTTTGAACAATATGCTTTTAATCTATTCCAAAAAACAAGAAAAAAATTATCTGATTTTAATGAACCTAGGTCTAAAAAGAGGAGAGAAGAGGCTTCTTTTACTAAAATGTGTGTCTAATTGAGAACTGGAGAGCCACTAATTTGAATTATTCTAAAAGTAACAAGGAACCAGAGACCAATTGTAGCTGTGAGCAAGAAAGATTATCTTTCTGAAGTTCAACCTGGATAAGTTAGACGAATAAAGTATTTTGTTTTTGTATTTTGTATCACATATTGATATGGCTGGATCTATTAATAGCAAAACAAACCTTTTTCTTTGGTTGTGCTACTGCTTTTTCCAGAGCAGCTTTTAGCCTTTCCTGTTGGTGTCTTTGTTTTTCTTTCATTTTCTCATCACGAAACCTGTCACAAGAAGGGAGAAACATTCTTGTAACTATAAATCACATTGAGTAAGAAAAGTACATTACTATTTGTTAATGAGCCATGTGACTAGAAGACCTCCTTTAAAGGTAAATGAAAATGACACTTCATCTTTACTCATAACCGTGGCTTTTGAATATTCAGGTAAATCTCGACAACAAATACTATTTTGAAATGGGAAGAAATTTCATCATTTTGGAAAATATAAAATATACCCAGATCTTGGTCTATTTTTTTTTTTTTTTCCTCAGAGACAGAGTCTCAGTCTGTTGCCTAGGCTGGAGTGCAGTGGCATGATCTTGGCTCACTGCAACCTCTACCTCCTGGGTTCAAGCAGTTCTCCTGCCTCAGCCTCCCAAGTAGCTGGGATTACAGGTGCATGCCACCACACCCGGCTAATTTTTGTATTTTTAGTAGAGACGGGGTGTCACCATGTTTCCCAGGCCGGTCTCGAACTCCTGACCTCGTGATCTGCCCACCTTGACCTCCTAAACATTTCAGCACTTTACAGATAGTTTGTATAATAGCTACTTGAATTAACTTTCAGCTACTTGTTCCTCTTTTTAAAACTTTTAATTGAAATGTCACATACATACAGAAGAGTACACAAATAAATGCATAGCTTAGTGAGCTGCCACAAAAGTGTACCTTCCAGTTAATCTTTTTGAATAATATCCTCAAATTGTGAGCAAGAAATGCTATTTGTCATACTCTCTTTAGGGTTGTTTTGAGGGAAAAATTAAGTAATCTGTGCAACTTATCAAGTACAAGGTGGTGAGCAATAGGCACTAAATATGTGATAGCTATTTTATGGACCTATTTAATGATATTCTAAGTGTAAGGTTATATACTAGGGAATGGAAATAACATGTACTGAGCATTTTTATTGCAAAATTAGGTGCCGTGTTAGGTGCCCCAAACCATGGGGAAAATCAGCTAAAATTCTTTTTAAGAAGAATGTAAGTAATTGGAATTACATTCATGTATCACTGCTAAAAATGAGTTGTAATTACACTTTGGTGCAAATATATTTGCTAGTGTAAAAAAGATGGAAGTGCTGTTAGTGTAGTCATAATGAGGTCATCTTAGGGAAGGAGTAACTTTTCATTTATAGTTTTTTTTAAAGCTTGCTTTATGTTCAATAAGATCCCATCAGGATCACCATGATATAGTCTGGACATCATTTTTACTGTGGGTAAGCATATCCACCCTACATCCATAAAGTAGTAGGCAATAACAAAATATCTAACACTACTGGCTAATATTTGAGTACTTACTATGCGCCAAGCATGCTCTCATAATTTACTTGGATCATCTAATTTAATCCTCACAACAACCTGTATTTATCAGTATTACTCCCGTTTTACGGATAAAGAAACCGACTAGAGTGCTTATGTTGCCTAAGGTCACAAAGTCATAAATAGTTGAACTGAACTCACTCAGCATGGTCTAATCCCCAGGCTGGTAGCCTGAGTACTAGTCTGCCTCTCAACATGTTTTTTGCCATTACGTGAACATTATCCCACTTGTAAACATTCCCTACATGCCACAGTAAGCTAGGGGTCATATTTACAATAATCATTGCCTCAAACTAGGACAGTAGGCCCTCCATATTCACAGTTCCACATCTGGGCATTCAACCAACTGCAGATTGAAAATATTTGGAGAAAAGCCCCAACAATAAAAATAATACAAATTTTAAGAAATACAGTATGACAACTCTAGCATTTACACTATATTAGGTATAAGTAGTTGAGAAATGATTTAAAGTATACAGGAGGATGTACGTAGGTTATATGCAAATATGCCGTCTTATATGAGACATGAGCATCTGCAGATTTTGGTATCCTTGGGAGGTCCTGGAACCAATCCCCTACAGATACCAAGGGACAACTGTTTGTACTTAAAAGTTCTTATTTAACTTGGTATGGAAATTTGTAAGTGAACGCATTCTGAAAGGCCCCGGTCAGGCCATACCGCCCTCAATGCACAGATCTCCTTTGAAGGGCACCAAGCTATGTAAGCATGTGGGGGATGGGTTGGGGCTCCAGGGATGATAATCCTCATGAGGTTGTCTTGAGGAATAAATGAGTGAATGTTGTGTACATGTTGGCAGTTATACACTGCGGAAAACCCTCATTGTGTTGCTCAGACTTTCAAACAATTCCTTCATTAGGAATTTGGAGCCCTTCATGGGAGAACCACAGGTAGATTGAGTCTGCTTGAAGTTTTCCCATGACAGGCTCCTAATTCTATATCTTGGGTCCTTCACCACCAGTGCAATTCTCCTTCCCCATGATAGCTATTCAAAAATTTTCATGTAATTACTTATTCATAAATTTCATATAATTACAAAGATTTGCTTTTCCAGGCTAGTTTGTCCATCCCAAACTAGGTCAGTTGCCCCTGGTGAACTCTGTTCACCCAGTTCCTTCCTTCGTGGTGCTCATTACCATTGGTAATGACACATTTATTTCCTAAGAGTATTTGATGAATGATCTCCCATGCTAAATAATAGCTATATGAGGAGAGCAGGGCTGGATTTCATTCCTCCTCACTGTGTCCCTATAATATGACATTACACAAGAGACTTGCTAATGTGTTTGTGGAATCTGAGCAAAACCAGCTACTCATTAAGTCATTCTTATCCTTATTGACTGTACTTTTGCCGCCATTCTTTCTGTTTCATCCTCTCAATTGCCTCCACATTTTCTTTGGGAATGGATTCGATGAGGTCACACAGTTCTACCAGGCGAGATTCTACTTTTACCAGCTTTTGAATTGGGTTGAGGCCGTCATCCTCAGCATCTCCAATGCAGACTTTGTATACTTGAGTAATCTTTTTACTAAGTGAGTCTATCAGTATTTCCTGAGATTGAGAAGAGCAGAAAACATTAACATCACATTCCACATTCAATAAATATACCATTTTACTATATTACAGTAAAATCCCATGTATATGCTATTAAATGTTTACATTTTTATTTTTATTATTTTTTTTGAGACGGAGTCTCACTCTGTCACCCAGGCTGGAGTGCAGTGGTGCAATCTCATCTCACTGCAACCTCCGCCTCCCAGGTTCAAGCGATTCTTGTGCCTCAGCCACCCAAGTAGCTGGGACTACAGGCATGCGCCACCACGCGCAGCTAATTTTTGTATTTTTAGTGGAGCTGGGGCTTCACCGTGTTGGCCAGGCTGGTCTTGAATTCCGGACCTCAGGTGATCGAGCTGCCTCGGCCACAGGCATCAGCCACTGTGCCTGGCCTAATGTTTACTTTTTAAAATGAGAAGTTTTAATAAATCATTGAGAAAATGCAGCAGTGATATTTAACCTATATTATAATTTATAGTCAGAGCATTACTATAGAACACCTTGGATTATTTTCTTAAAATATACTGAACTCTAGATATGAAAAGTAATTATAATGGGTGGAATATTTTTTGCTTGAATGTTTTTGTATATCTGACTCCCTAAGAATTCAAATACAGGCAACAAACATTTTAAATCGTTTTTTTGCCACTCGGATGCATTTCCTTTTGGCACAATATGTAACCCAGCCCCCCTCCTTTTTTGCATGTATTACTCTGTTATAATTGCGAAACTATAATCATCCTATGTAATAGTTCTCTGCCTTATCCTTATAGTCCAGGAGAGCAGGAGCTACATCTTATGCTTAAACTTACAACTAAAACAGTGCTTTGCACATAACTACGCACTGAATAAATGTTTGCTGAATAAATGACTAAATGCATTCTCAGAAAAAAAAGTTGCAAGCAAACAGGTACCCAGGCTGGCCTACCAAAGCCTTTTTAGAAGTATCATTTTCACTGTTTTCGTTGGGAAGCCATTGCAGTATTCTAGTCTAAACAAAAGCTTAGGCCAAACCTTGCTGATCCCTGTACCTCGACACTGTGCCGTTTAACTGTTGGTGGAGATTCTTGAGGTGGTAGGTAACTTGTCTCAGGACCGTAAGAAAATTGTCATCCTCTGTCTCCATTGTGAACCCGGTGTTTGCAATTAAGAAGAGCTCAACAAACTGCTGGGCAATGTGAATCACTCTTCAGGTAGCATTCTGCCCCATTTCCTGCTTCCACTCAAGAAGATGAGAATCACCATAAAGCCAGCGACAAATAACACTCAAGAGAGAGGTGGCTCCTGGAGCCATGGGAAGCCCCTCCTGGAACCACAAACACCTTACAGAGCCACCAACACAATTACAAGCCAAGATCTGATACCAAGAGTACTTCCAACAGCTTTTCTCTTCCACCTCCTAGCTTAAAAAGCTTTCTGATGGTCCTGTTTAGCATAAAGCTCCTTTTTACCTTCATAAGGTAACACTTATTATATTTCCTATTTACATGAATGACATGATCCTTTTAGAAAACTTGGAGAAATACATAATAATATAAAAGAAAACAGCAAAAGTCCTATATTGGCCATAAATTTCCCTTTTCCCCTCTCTCTAAAATAACACTTACTGTGTTTCCTATTTATGTAACAACACATTCTTTTTCTAAACCTTGGAGACACAGAAAAATATAAAAGAAAATAAAAGTAACCCATCGGATTGAAATATTGTAAATTGCATATGAAAACAACACTGCTGCAATGTGAGTCACTAAATAAAGCACAGAAAAATACTTTAAAAATATATTCACCACAGGTTTTGAGGAAAAACAACTTTAAGATGAGAGTGGTTGCTAGTTGATGGAAATTTCTGAAGGAGACCTCTTGAACACTTAGATGGCTTTAGAGATGGATGAGCAGGGCAGTGGCTTTTTACGATGTCTTTTCTACACCACCACCCCCTCCCCCTTTTTTTCTTAAATTCCCTCTTCTGAGAGGAGAGAAAATGGCGAGAAGAGATATTTTCTTAATATAACAAGGTAAGAACAAGAGATAGAGAAGAATGAGATGAATGAAGGTAATTCACATATGAAAAAGGGATTGAGAGCCTGGCCTGACAAAGCAAAAAGTCAAAAGGGAGCACAAGGCACAGGCCAATTGATGACAGGGAAGGGAAGTTTCAGCCCCATCCCTGGAACTGCCCCCAGATGGCAGGCCCAGCCCACAGTACCTCGGAGGAGGAGCTGCCAAGGGAGTCTGCCCAGGTGAATGGGACAGGAATTATGGAAGACTGATCAGAGAACTTCAGGTGCCTTTCAACAGTGAACGGGAAGTGATATGACCAGAGCAGTGTTTTAGGAGGAATCATTGTATCAAAACGGGAGAGGGGAAAGGTTGCCGGGGTGGATATCTAGATGTCATTGAAAGTCTTTTCAAACTCAAGGGTTCTGTCATTCTAATCCATGTGACATTCTGCTGTGTGTTGACTGTACACAGTTCTCTCAATTGCAGCTGATCTTCTCCTTGTGCAAAGAAAACAATAAAACCAGAGATAAACACATTCCTCACATTGAACAGTGGAGCAGTTTATGTTCCATTTCATGTTCAATGAAGAAGTAACAACTGCTACACTAAACAACATGGATGAGTCTCACAAACACAGTATTGAGGGAAAGAAGCCAGACATGTTACATGATTCCATTCCAACAGAGTTCGAAAACAGGAAAGCTGATTGATGGCATGAGACGTCAGGACAGTGGGAAAGAGGGCTGGTAAAGCCTGGAAGCAGGTGTGAGGGAGGTTTGCAGGGGCTGATAATGGTGTATTCCCTGATCTGGGGGGTAGCACACGGGTGTGTTTGCTTTGAGAAAATTTCTTGAGAGGTACACTTGTGATTTGTGCACTTCTCAACATTACATTATACTTGAACTTAAAATGTTATTTTAAAAGTGAAATACTGGATCAAGGGCAAAATTTTTAGGGGATTAAGTATCATTAAGAGTGGAAGTTTTGAAAGACTAAAATTCATTTCATACTGATAGCTCCAGAGTAACATAATTTATGAATATCACAATCAAATATGTCAATTATACCTCAATAACGCTGGAAAAGAATCTTTTAAAAAATGAGCTGCAGCTAAATTTACTCAAAGGATTATGTTTTGTATATTCTGAGAGCTGAAAAAATGGAGGTAGAGAAGGAAAAAATCCTAAGAATACGTTTCCCTCCCAATTTTCCTGCTTCACCTCCCCTTCCCCACCCCACATTTCACATCTCTAGAAGACACTATGGATTATTAGTCCCATTTCCGCAGAGTGCAATACATGAATGCCAAATTTACACTTGTGATCAAAATTTCATGGATAGCCATTTAAAAAGGAATTTTACGTCAATTCTACTTTCTTTCTTTAGGTATCTGGTTGCCTCAATGTTAAAGAGTATCAAAAATGCCGCTTTTATTTTTTAATAGTTGCCCCAAACTTGGATGAAAGGGGCTTGGTTGGGATGGGGCAGGGAGGAGGGGAGATATCACAGATATTTATCAGACATTTTGCATGTCAATTGGTTTCAGAATTATTTTAAACAGTTGAAGTGTGGAAACCACTCAAGTGTCCATCAACAGATGAATGAATAAACAATATATGGTATAAACATACAATGGAATATTATCTAGCTGTAAAAATAATGCAGTCCTGATACAAGCTGCAACATGGATGAACTTTGAAAACATTATGCTAAATGAAATAAGCCAGACACAAAAGGACCAATATTGTATGATTCTTCTTTTGTGACGTACCTAGAATAGTCAAATTCAGAGAGACGAAGTAAAATGGTGGTTGCCAAGGGCTAGGAGAGGGAGGGATGGAAAGTTATTGTTTAATGGGTATAGAATTTCAGCTTTGCAAGATGAAGAGTTTTGGAGATTGCAAAACAACATGAATGTACTTAACACTACTGACCCGTACATTTAAAAATGGTTAAGATGTTACATTTTTATGTTGAAAAGATGATGAAAAAGTTGTGGAAATAGTGGTGATGGTTCCACAACATTGAGAATGTACTTAATGCCATTGAATGACACGCTTAAAATAGCTAACAGGTAAATTTGGTTATGTATATTGTACCACAGTTTTAAAAAAAATGGTTAGAAAAAAACAGCACTGAATTGAAAGGTGGCTATCATCACACCTCTTGGCCCCGGCAATGCACAACCCCATCCCCTACTAACTCAGGGCACTATAACTCCCTAGGAAATGTGTGTGTGTCTGGAGGAGCCATAACCAGCTTGTGCTTTTTGTAACCCTGTTCACCTGTGGGTAGGGGAGGACAGTCTTCTTCTGATGCAGTTCTCCCAGTTCTACTTCTGTTTGAAAATCAAGTTCATATCCATAAATGTGATGTTGTGGCAGGCCAGGTCTCACTAACGCAAGCCTCCTTAACAACTGTTTTCAGTACTGACTGAGTGGTTAAGTTAAATATTAAAAGCCAGTGCCCTTATACAAAGGCTGGAATGTAACAAAAGCCCACCAAGAGTTTTGCCTAGACCTTTCCAGGGTCTTAAAGAATGACAAAATAATGAAGGAATTCTCAACAGGACTCAGTTAAGATTAAACAAGTTTTATTGGGGATGAAGAAACTCTCCAGGCCTCCACAGACAAGTTTATTGGGGATCTGAAGGAACTACCCAAACCTCCCTGATTTAGCAGGAGACAAGATAAGGGTAATCACCCCAACATCTGGACCCATTTAGATTAAGTAAATTTACTGAGGCTCCAGAGGAAGGTCTTCAGGACTCAGACCTTCGTTATAGATCAAAAGAAGTTAATCACTCATGTCTTTAGATGAGTGCACACTTACACACAGACATATAGCTTAGAAGGTATATAAGCTCTGGAAAACTTTGTAGTTTTGAGTTGGTCTGGCAATAATTTCCAGGCCTTCTCCCTATAACCAGTTACAGAAATAAAAACTGTCTTCCTCCCCAGTTCATCTGCATCTCGTTATTGGGCCACGAGAAATAGCAGCCCAACCCTCAGTTTGGTCCCGAAACAATGTTAGCCTTATATATTAGCTTTGAATTTTTATTTCATTTGAGGTTTTTATAAGGTAATCAATGTTAGATGGAGCTGGTTGTGGGTCTAAAAGCTAACCTCATCATTCATTCAACAAACATTTATTGAGCACCAACTTTAAAGGGACCCTCAACTGAATGAAGAATAATAAGTCAATCCCTGCACTCAAGGGGGTTTGCATCTAGCTGAGAGATGAACTTGTCAATAAATAAGTGTACTAGCACATATCACAGCTGTTTTGATAATGAGTCTATGCAGGCCTGAAGAGGCAAAAATCTAGTACAGGCTCAGTGTTGGGAAAATTTTCTAGTCAGTGCTGAGTCACTGTTAATTGTGTTGATTCATGGCTTCCTCTGTTAATTACTCCTGGAATTACCACCAAAATGATAACACACAGTGAACTACTACATATGTCTAGGCTCTGAAGAAATGTATTTCGAGGGGAAACTATGGTCAATATCATGCATTGCAAAAGAGCAACGTTTTAAGAGAACCCCAATGCCAATTTGAATGCTTTCTGCCTATGTAAATTGGCTATTACATAATGGCAAGATAAATTCCAAGCTGGCTTTCCACTTCTGTCATCAATCTAGGACTTGTGATTTGCTTTAACTCTCCTATTCACATACTTAGGACACAGGGAATAAAAATTATAATCATGAGCCAAAATGAAATCACCATAGGCAAAGAGTGATTTACCTGAGCATCTGAATTAAATTCTCCAAAGCTAAAGAGCTTGGACTTTAATTGCAATTCTGCTGCTTTCTCTTCTTCTCTCACACAGTTAGCTTTAAGCATTTTTTCTTGCTCCAAAAGAAACTCTATGTTGCTATTTCTATTACAAAAGAAGAAAGAGACCCTCATCTGAAATTTGTGGTTAGTGAAATAACCATCAGTCAGGAGCTTTAACACTCTAGATCATGTGTCAAAATCCATGTAGTGAGCCAAATACAAGTCTGTATTTGAAGACATTGCCAAAGTACATGCAACTTTTCAAGTTAAAATGAGAAAAATACATGCACAAATGCTGTTTTTAACTTCCATCAGAAGGCATTTTCTTCCCCTCCCCTACTTTTGTGGTTCCATTCGAATTCCCCCAAATAGCAGCAGAGCTGAGGCATCAGGAACCCAGTGTTCTCAAACGTGGCTGATAATCAGAATATGTGGGGAGCCGAGAGGGAAAATATAGACTCCTAATTCCCTCACCTAAAGATTCTGATAAGATCCTCTAGAGATAGATTCTATATATCCCCCTTTCCTGCCTACCTGCACCCACCCTGTCCCAGAAAATCTTATTGTGGAGGTGGGTGGAGGGCCATTAGACACTGTGAAGATTGGAAAAGATACAAGGATTAAAAAGTCTCAGAAATGGTAATGGGTAGCTGTGAGATAATGATTTTTATTTAGATTCTTCTGAACAAATTAATTTGTTTTGAAGTTAAATGTAGTTTGACCTATTGTTTAAAAAGATTGCCATCTTCTGGCCCAGAAAACTGTTCTGAGAAAAGGTTCTACACATTTTTGCAATGAGTAGATACAAAGATTTATTCTCTGTAATTCAATTCTTTTTCAAGTTTGTAATACTATATATTTTTAGATGAGGAAGGAATTTTGTGAGGGATCAAATCCAGCTGCTTTCCCCTGACAGAAATCCTTTCTATATTCGCCCTGAGATATTGACAGGAACTTTATAAAATGATATAATATTTAATCACAAAAATTATTTTTCTGAGAGTCACAGCCAATGAAAATACATTTGTTAGCATTATCATCCACAGCATGATTTGGTAAAGTAAATGACAGCTAGCCAAGTGATAGGGCGAAAACTATACCGGACAAAAGTTAAGGCAGTAGGTACCATTTTAATTCTTTTTAGTCATTTTTCAAAGTATCTTTTATTATTACTAGTAGGAAAATACGTTGACAAGTGAAAGGAAGTAGGGACAAAATTAAAGCCAGTCTATTCTGTGTAAATACGACGTCTACGTTTTGCACTCCACAATGTAAACTATTAAAAACCCCAGCCTACATTCACAGAGACCACGAGGAAGAGCCACATGTGAGTGAGTTGGACCCAGGCTCTGGTTAGAAATTGCTTAATGGAATAAATCTACTTGTTTATAATGACTTACGTTTTATCCTGTATAACTTTTTCTCTTTTGTTTACCTCTTCAAGATTTTCATCTACATCTTGGGAATATTGAAACAAAGTAAGATTCTGCTCTTCCAGCTCTCTGAGGACTTGAAGTAACTCCTCTGGTTCCTTGAAATAAAGTGCTGGCTCCTAATTAATCAATAATGAAGAATATAATTTACTTAAAAATATGCTACCTATGCACATGTGACTTATCTAGAAAATACAGTGGGGTAAAGGAAGACAGTTCTAAGGATGAGGGAGACACAGGTAGGAACTTGTATGGGAAACTCGCCTATTTCCAAGTGAGAGCTGGCTTTCAGAAAGAGCACATTTGCAGTGTTGTGGGGAGATGAGGGTATTAAAAAAGGGATGGGGAAGAAAAAAGGAAGAAGAGGGTGAGGAAAAGGAGACAGAGCAGAAGAGGAGGCAAGTGCGGGAAAAAGGGAAAGGGAGAAGGAATAGAAGAAAGATGACAGGAGGCTGAGTGAAAGTCATTTTCTCCCCACATTTTAATTATTTTATATTTCCTACATTTTTAAGATAAAGTATGTGTTACCTTAAACATTTTTTTAAAAAATTACTTGGGCATTTGCACACCCATGTTCCTCATTATTCACGATAGCCAAGACATGGAAGCAAGAATGTCCATCAATGGATAAATGGATTAAGTCAATGTAGTATACACATACTATGGAATATTATTCAGCTTCAAAAGGAAAGAAATTGACCGGGTGCGGTGGCTCACACCTGTAATCCCAGCACTTTGGGAGGCCGAGGTGGGTGGATCATGAGGTCAGGAGTTCAAGACCAGCCTGAGCAAGAGGGTGAAACCCCGACTCTACTAGAAATACAAAAATTAGCCAGTCATGGTGGTCGGTGCCTGTAATCCCAGCTACTTGGGAGGCTGAGGCAGAGAATTGCTTGAACTCAGGAGGCGGAGGTTTCAGTGAGCTGAGATCGTGCCACTGCACTTCAGCCTGGGCAACAAGAGTGAAACTCCATTTCAAAAAAAAAAAAAGGAAACAAATCCTGTCATATGCTATAACATAGATGAACCTTGGATACAGTATGCTAAGTGAAATAAGCCAGGCACAAAAAGACAAATACTGAGTGATTCCACTTACATGAGGTATCTAAAATAGTAAAACTTTTAGAAACAGAATGTAGAATGGCAGTTGCCAGGGGCTATGGGAGGGAGAAAAGAGGAGTTGTTTAATGAGTATAGAGTTTCTATTTTGCAAAATCAGAAAGTTCTAGAGATCTATTGCTTACAGTTGACACTACTGTAATGCACACTTAAAATGGCTAAAATGGTAAATTTTTTACATGTTTATTTGTCACAATTTTTTAAAAAGATGACTTGGATAAGGTGTGTAATATACAACAATGAATGGTATTTGTTATCCCTTTTGAGTTTCTGTGGTTGCATTTCGGGTGGGGTTAGCTCAAAGTCAATCTTGCAGCAATAAAGGGTTGTTTTGTTGAAGGCCTATTTATTTTATGGTTCAGCTACCCAACACATCTCAAGTCCCAATAAAATGCAATCAGCAAGTGGCTATTTTTACAAGAAGATTGTAGATTTTATATATATTTTTATATATATATAAAATATATATATCCTAAATCATTACCTTCTTCTAGATACTTATTTGTTATAAAATGTCTTATGACAAAGATAGATTATATATCCAATTGGAGAATAGTATCAAAATTATATTTCTTTCTGGAAGGTTTGTGCAATATTTTGAATAAAATATTTTAATTTCAAAAGAATAAATGATCATCAGTATTTTTCACCAAACCCAATATTTAAACTAGCAAATATAATCTGGTTACCAAATCAACGTCCATTTCATCATCTAAAAGGAATTCCAAACTGTCTTCTGAACCGAAACTTTCAGCCAGGCTGTAAAAGAAAAAAGAAAAAGAAAATGTCTGATTTGTGAGCCATTTTCTGTCAACAGGTTTGCATTCCTCTCTAAATTGTCGTTGGAACCCAACTGTAACATAATTATTTTCAATAGCAGGTTTAGCCTTTTAGGGAACTGCTGATTGCAGAAATCAATGGATTCCATGAATATACAAAAGAAAATTGGATTCTGTCCCAGACACAGCTGACATACACAAACAATGAGACCACATGGGAGGGCCATACCATATGGTACCAATTATTTGAGGTGCATCTATAAAGTAAGGTAACTTTATTTTTAAAGAAACACATGACAGCCTATGTTGCCTCATCCTTTTGTCCTTTTAATGCATTCTTCTTGAGAATCTGAATGTGCTCTACTTCTCAAAATGAAAGCTGTATCACAGCCTTCTGACTGTCCCCAAGTAAGGCAATGCTTCTCTCTTTAAGAGCAGATTTTACTTCTCAAAATATCTTCCAATCAGGCTGACAAAATGTTGGTTGGGGTGATGGACAGTGAGATACCTCCTTAAAGCATAATCATGTGGCTTGGAAAGTGGCTCTGGAAAAATCCTGTAAGAAAGATCAGTGGAAACTGATTGCAATATTAAAGAAGCAGGGATAGGGAGAGAGTAAGTTGGCTGTTGTTGTGATCTAGGTCATTAACACTTTCAGATAGAGGGCAGTGATGATGGCAACGATGAGTAAGTGTGTGGGGAGGGAGGAGAATTTAGAGATATATGGAAGAATGAAATCATGGGAACCAAAAATAGAAAGGGCTCTTGGGGCCATGAGAGAAGAGACAAAGATGACTCCAACATTTGTGGTCTGGAGCCTGGAAAAATGGAGGTAGCACTCACAGGAAGGAAAACAGCTTACAGATGGGATAAGGAAAAGATTAATATTTGCTTTATTCATGTTGAGTTTGAGGGGACAAAATACACACCTGGAGCTGCCTATTGAGCAGCTGGAGAGAAAGTGTGGGAAAACAGAAAGGACCAGGGACATAGATGAATTTTAGGGAAACATACCCTGAGAAAGCATTTGACATTACAGTCCACCCTTCTCTGCTCTTGGGTTGAGCAACATCACTTTCTAATCACTCTCTTCCCACCTCTCTGATACTCTTGTGGTCTTTTGGGGCTCCTCCTCAGTCTTCTTCCCTTCTCCTTCTACCCATTCTTTTGGGGAGACCTCATCCATCTCATGGATTCAACCACTGCTAATACACTAATGACTCTCACATCTCTATCTCTTTCTTGAGCTTTAGATTTCAATGTCCAACCTTCAACTGGACATCATTACCCACATGGCTGTCCCACAGGGAGCTAAAATGAACATCCAAAATCACACTCCTTCTCTTCTCCTCAGGCAGGCCTGCTCCTCTTACTGGGTTCCCAATATTATTGGATGGCAAGACCATGCACCCAGTTGCCATGCTAGAAATCTGGGCGTTATCTGTAACCACTCTCTTTTCCCGACACTTCCCTCAATCTTTACATAAGCCGTTCAAAGTCCTGTCAGTGCCACTTCCCTATGTCTCTCACAGCCTTTCTTTCTTTGTTTCCGATGCCATTATCTGGTTTAGGCAGTCCAATCTCTCTCACCTGAATTGTGACAATAGACTCCTAACTGGCCACTGTACCTCTAGTTTTGTCCTCCACCATTTCATTCTCTAAAATACTGCCACATCCATCTTTCTAAAGTGCAAATAGGATTGGGTCTCTGTCACACTCTTGTTTAAAACATACAGTGTCTCCCCAGGGCCCTTGGGACAAAGCACAGGCTGCTTAGGTAGATAGCATCACCACTTCCCTGCTCATGGTGCAGTGCCCATGTACTCCTTGAGCCTCTCCCCCTTTTACCCAGAATGATAAACCTGCCATTCTGAACAGAGCCAAGCTCTGTCATCTCTGTACCAGAAAGCACTCCCTCTTCCAGAGCTTGTCCTCACTAACTCTTCCTCCTCTTATAGACTCAGCTTAGAGGCATCCTGTTCTGAAGCACATTCACTGATCCTGCCCTTGCCCTCCCATGCCCTCACCTCTCCTCTGGGTTGAGTCCTACCTTTGCATGCCTGTGGCACTCTGGGCTTATCCTTCTAATAACATTATCACATTGTATTGCAATCAACTTGGCTGTCTTCCTCCCTAAATGGTAAGGCCCTTGAGGGCAGAGATTATCTTTTGTTTATTGTTGGGGCACTCAATAAGTATTTGTTGAATGAATGGATGAGACTAGGAGAGTGGTGAGCTTTCTGAGGGAGCGAATGTGGTGTCTGCATGTTACTGTGAGCATCTAGATGCAGAAAAGGCATTTGGCAGGATTCAACACTCATTTTGATAAAAACTCTCAGGAAAACTGGAACAGAGAAGAACTTTCTTAACTTGATAGAGTATGCACATCTACAAAAATCCTCCAGCTAACGTTATATTTAATGGTGAAAAACTGAATCCTTTCAAGACTGGGAACAAGACAAAGATATCTGCTCCCTCTACTCTTATTCAACATCAAAAGTTCTACCCATTGCAATAAAGCAAGAAAAAGAGATAAAAGGCATAAAGATCAGAAAGGAAGAAATAAAGCTGTCGCTATGTGCAAATGACATAATGGTCTACTTAGAAAGTCCACAGGAATCTTTAAAAACAAAACAAAATTCTTGAACTAATAAGTGAGTTCAGTACGGTCAGGGTATACAATCAATTGTATTTCTCTATATTAGCAATGACTGCATGGACACCAAAATACAAAGTACAATACCATTTACAATTGTTCAAAAAGAAAAGACAAAAATATTTTGCTATAAATCTAACAAAACATGTATAGGATTTGTAAGCTGAAAACTACAGAAGGCTGAAGAAATCAAAGAAGATCTAAACAAATGGAGAGTCAGACTGTGTTTATGGATTGGAAAATGTAACATAGTAAAGAAATCAATTATCCCCAAATTGATATACAGGTTTGTGTTAGTTTCCTAGGGTTGATGTAACAAACAACAGCTTAAAGCAACAGTAACTTATTCTCTCACAGTTCTGGAGGCTAGAAGTCAGAAATCAAGGTGTCAACAGGCCATGTTCTCTCTGAGAGCTCCAGGGAAGAATCTATTAATACCTTTCTCTTAGCTGCTCCTATTGCCAGCAGTCCTTGGCTTGCAGCCACATCACTTCAATCTCTGTCTCTGTCATCACATGGCATTCTCCCTGTGTCTCAGTGTCTCTTCTTTTGTAAGGACACCAGTCATACTGAATTAAGGGTCTACCCTAATGACTTCATCTTACTTTGATTAAGTCTGCAAAGGTGTAATAAAAATATATATATTTTTTCCAGATAAGGTCATGTACATAGTACCATGGGTTAGGACTTCTACATATCTTTGTGGGGGACATAATTCAACCCATAAAAAGGCTTAACACAATTCCCATCATAATTCCAGAAAGTTTTTTTGTAGATATAGATAAGGTTATTTTAAAATTTATATAAAAAGAAAAAGGAGCTAGAATAGCCAACACAGTTTTGAAAAACAGGAATTACATAAGAAGTCTCCCTGACCTCGAGACTAATAGCTACAGGCCATTTCCTGTTCCCTGTGTTGTGTGTTGGAATCTGGAGCAATGAAGACCTCTGTGCCCTTAGGCGGGTCCTTCCTGTTTTCTCTATTGTTTTGGAATTCTTCTGGACTCGACCCAGTCCTAAGACACAGATCTTCAGTGGATAAAGAAGACACTGTTTGGACTGCAGCAATGACTGAGTTGACTGCTGATGGCTTAGGTCACTGTCTGACTTGCAATAGTTTCAATGTGTTCTGATGATTGGTTGTTAGAATGAAAATAAGGCCCTTTGATAACAACTCAGAAATTAAAACTGGTGACATACACCTGGGAGATAACTGTCCTGTAACAAGACTGTTGCCATTTAACTATGAGTTTTCTTATCCTGTCACTTCTTGTGGGATCAAGAAAATTATGTTCCAAAGAAATGATGTTGCTATATTATCAGAGATCAGTTACAGACCAGTGCTGCATACTACCTATAAATTTCCAGTGGTTTGCTTTGTAAAGAGGCTTAAGTTCCCATCTGTGATGCATTTTGGAATGAGTGGATTTGATGTCAACACCTTGAAAGATATCACTCAAAACATAGAAGAACAAGAGTCATCAGCTCCCACACAAAGTAAAACATGTGAACCTAATTTTAGCAGTGTTAATTAGGAGCAACTATCCACGAGTCACTGCATCAATAATGCCTATGTTATAACATCCTATCCTCCCTAAGGCACGGGAGCAAGTAGTACATACTTGTCTGAGAACCAGTTCCATTAATACTATGGTTGTATCTGTCCAAAGATAAGTAGCAGTATGTTACCAGTTTCACTACCTTTGGAGTTTTGGATAACATATCTATACTGTGATATTTACACCTTTTAATGAGTTAATTTTAAGTGTAATTGCTATTCTAACTTTGTGAAATCAAGGCCATACATAATAAAGCTTGCCTATACTAAAAACAAACAAACAAACAAAAAACTAATAGCTACAGTAGTCAAGATCATGTGGCAGGACAGCCACAAAGATCAATGGAACAGAATAGAGAATCCAGAAATAGCCCCCAACAAATATGCCTAAGTGATTTTTGACAAAGGTGCAAAAGCAATTCAATGAAAGAAGCCATTTCAACAAATGGTGCAGGAGCAATTGACATACACAGGCAAAAAAGCACCATCACCACAATCTAAACCTCACCCCTTATACAAAAATTAACTCAAAATGGAAAATGGATCACAAACTTACATGTAAAACTATAAAACACCTAAGAAAAAATATGGAAAAAAATCTTTGAGTCTAAGGCTAGGGAAAACGTTTTAGAATTGACACCAAAAGCATGAACTATAAAAGAAAAAATTCATAACCCGAAATTCATCAAAATTAAAACTTTCACTCTGCAAAAGACCCTATTAAGAGGATAAAAAAGACAATCTATACACTCAGAGAAATTCTTTGCAAACCACATATCCCCAAAGGACTAGTATCTAATATATACAGAATTTTCAAAATGCAACAGTTTTAATAAAAGGCAATTCAGTTAGAAAGTGAGCAAAAGACATGAATAGATATTTCATCAGAGGATATAAAGATGCAAACAAGCACACGACAAGATGCGCAACATCATTAGCTACTAGGAAAATCAATTAATACCTACCAGAATAGTTAAAATAAAAGACAGTGAAAACACCAAATGCTGTTGAGGATATGAAGAAACTGGACCCCACATACAATGCTAGTGGGAATGTAAAGTGACATAGCCACTCTGAGAAACAACTTATCAATCTCTTTAAAAACTGAACATGCGGCCGGGCGTGGTGGCTCACGCCTGTAATCCCAGCACTTTGAAGGCCAAGTCATGTGGATCACCTGAAGTCAGAAGTTCGAGACCAGCCTGACCAACATGGTGAAACCCCATCTCTACTAAAAATAACAAAAATTAGCTGGGCGTAGTGGCAGGCACCTGTAATCCCAGTTATTCAGGAAGCTGAGACAAGAGAATTGCTTGAACCTGGGAGGTGGAGGTTGCAGTGAGCAGAGACTGTGCCATTGCACTCCAGCCTGGGTGACAGAGCGAGACTCCATTTCAAAAAGGAAACAAACAAACAACAAAAAAAAACCACTGAACACACATCTACCATCCAATCAGGCATTACATTATAATTATTCCAGAGAAGTGAAAATTATGTTCACACAAAAGGTTGAACAAAGATATTTGTAGCAACTTTATTCACTATATCCCCAAACTAAAAATAATCCAGATGGCCTTCAATGAGCAAATAGTTAAACTGTAGCACGTCCATACCATAGTATACTACTCATCAATAAAAAGGATCCAACTACTGATAGACCAAACAACTTAAGTGAATCTCCAGAGAATTATGCTTAGTAAAATAACCCAATCCCAAAAGATTACATACTGTAGGATTCCACTTATAGAACATTCTTGGAATAACACAATCATAGAAATGCAGAACGCATTGGCGGTTGCCAGGGTTTAAGGGGAGGTGGGAGAGGGAAGTGGGTGTGGCTCTGAAAGGGCAACATGAAGAACCCTGCGCTGACGTTCTGTATTTGATGGCATCCATGTCAATATCCTGGTTATGGTATTTGTGCTACAGTTTTGCAAGATGATGCCATTGGAGGAAACTGAGTAAAAGGTATATGGAGTCTCTCTGTACTATTTCTTACAATTGTACGTGAATCTAAAACGATCTCAAAATGAACATTTAATTACAAAAAAATCTGTGCCAAATGCCACAGAAGTGGGTGTCTAGAATTCAGAGGGTGCCTAGAATTCACAGCAAAATGTTTCCGTTTCTCTCAGTGATTGTCATGATACTGTGATGCTGGCCCAGATCCCTTCCTCTGGGCTGGTGTACCCATCCCAGGCATCAACATATTTTCTTAAAGAAGCTCTCTTGGGGTAGTAAGGGTTGAGAACGAGTGACTTCTGAAATAATGAGTACAAATGAGTGAACAATTAAGTGAGGGGGAAAACAACAACAAAAAAATACTTTATGATCCTAATTGCAGGAATTTTGAATCACATGGTGAAATTGCAAACACACAGGCTAGCAGAATAGCTTAATAAAAAATAGGGCAGTGGGTTCTGAGAAGCAAAGACCCAAGATGCAGGGGGCGGGGCAGATAGCTTCTGCAAATAATAGCTGTAGGTACTTAACAAAGATTGGAGAGAGGCCTGTGAGATCTCAGGAGTGCACAGAAATGGCACCACTACTTCCAGGATCTCTTACAACAGTTATGGGTACATGACATATATGTTGAGAAAAGGCTTTAAAAGTTATTTGCTGAAAACCATTCCCAGTTTCCAAGGGAGTTAGTCAAGTATATACTGTACTTTGATTTCTTTTTCTCTGGAGTGCGAGTCAGGCTTCTGCTTGGCTTTCCTGTTCAAAATGTCCAGGTGAGGCCATGCCGTTGGTGATGGTGGAGTGAAAAGAAATAACATGGAATTAGAAATGAGCCCGTGCACTTGGTGCAAGGTATTCATTTTTCTGCACAGACATGCCCATTACTTCTTTCTTTTTTTAAAAAATTATTTTATTATTGGAATGATAATTGCATAGAAAATGGAGGTCTTTTATTCTATTGAAACTGAGTTGCATGCGTAAGAATAAAATGAAAGGCACAGACTCTTCTAAATGCCTCAGGCAGAGATCACACTTTTGGCTTTTCCCTCCAGAGCCCTCACTGTCTATAACTATATATCATTCGCCCCATTGTAGTGTGTAGTTCTGGGATGCAGAACTATGTACTGTTTGTCTTTGTGTACGTGGGGTCTTGAAGAGCACCTGAAACATTTATGTCTCCAATAAATACACGGTGAGTAAAGGAAAGAAGGGGAAAAAAAATGGATGAAGAAGAACCAATCAGATGGGTCCCATCACCATCTTATTATTATTATTGTCTCAGCTTTTTTTTTTTTTTTTTTTTTTGAGATGGAGTTTCACTCTCGTCGCCCAGGCTGGAGTGCAATGGCATGATCTCGGCTCATTGCAACCTCTGTCTCCCAGGTTCAAGCGATTCTCCTGCCTCAGCCTCCCGAGTAGCTGGGATTACAGGTATTTTTACTAGAGACGGGGTTTCACCATGGTGGCCAGGCTGATGTCGAACTCCTGACCTCAGGAGATCCACCCACCTCAGCCTCCCAAAGTGCTAGGATTACAGGCGTGAGCCCCCGCACCCGGTCTGTCTCAGCTTTTAAGCTGGTACCCTAACATGTACTACTAAAAAGTATTGTTAAGAGGTGTTATTTAAACTGAGAAACTTCTATATTCAAAATTTCAAAGAGAAGGGAACATTGACACCACCTCCCACTCCCTCTACCCCACCCCTGCCCCCACACCCTACTCAAGATCTTCCAACAGGCAAAGTAGTATGTCTTAAAGTGAGCCAAAGTGGCCTCACAACACAAAAGAATTTACTTTTCAATCAGCTGGCCAGATGCACAAGGCTTCAGGCTTATACCAGGGTCATTTCTGGGCAGGCAACTTGTATTCCTGACCTTTATCCCAATACTAAATACATCCCAAGTTTGATAGCAGGATACAGGAGAAAAGGAGTCCCCAGGAGTCAGCCTGAATTGGGGGCTGCAAACTCAGATGGATACAGGGAAGGGCAGGTAAAGGAGTGGAGTGGACCCAGTAAGAACAAAGCAACTGGAGAGATCAGACCCCTCCCACAAGAAAGTTCCCAACTTGATCCCAGACTTCAGATCTTGTGGTTTTCAAGAGAAGATAGAAATACAGATTTTTTTCATGACATATGCTTATTTTACTTTATTTATTTATTTATTTATTTATTTGACATAGGGTCTCACTCCGTTACCCGGGCTGGAGTGCAGTGGTGCAGCACCATCACTGCTCACCATGGCCTCGATTTGCTGGGCTCAAGCGATCCTCCTACCTCAACCTCCTCAGCAGCTGGGACTATAGGCGTATACCACCATGCCCAGCTAATTTTTGTATTTTTGGCAGATATGGGTTTTTTCCATGCTGCCCAGGCTTGTCTTGAATTCCTGGGCTCAAGTGATCCACCTGCCTCAGCCTCCCAAAGTGCTGGGATTAAAGGTGTGAGCCACCATGCCTGGCCTACATGTGCTGATTTTTAAACATTGGCCACCAAGCCAAACAACACCAAAACACTGGGGCCAGATAGCGCAGCCCAGTGGGCCAAATCTCCGGTCTGAACTTGTGATGCAGAGTGGGAGGAGGAGGGTCATTCCACCTGGGAGAGATGGTGATAGTGAAGGACTTCTTGGAGTTGATGGTGGGTAGGTTAGAGCTACCTCTGCTCTAAATTAATCCTTTTCCCAAGGGTAAATTCTCTGAATCACTGGCCAAAGTCAGTCACCTCGTTGCAAATGGCCTGGTTTTCTGGACCCTGGGAGTGGGCCTGCCAACGGCAGAAGGCAGGTCCGCGCCAGAGAAACGAGGGGCCTCAGCTTGGAAGGACTTCAGGACATGTGCTGGCCAGCCAGGGTATGTCTCAGGGGCCCTCTTCCTCTGATTCTCTGCCTATTCTATCCACTCGTGCACCTCTTGGCATTTTGTGATAACGTGAGAGAGAGAACCAGAGCCCCTGGCTGCTAGGATTGAGGGTGGGGTGGACACAGCCCTCCATTTTCCAGGTTGGCTTGTAGTCCTCTGTCTCCACTTTGAGATGGACACATTCGCAGGTTTTACTTTCATGAGTCCCAAATCTACCTTTACCTTGGCTGTCTCTTCCCTGAGAAGCATCTTCTGAAAGGACAGCTGTCCTCCCGGACTCCTCAAGGATGCCTTCCTTGTTACTTGAATGTAATGATAATTCTAGAAATGGCAAATGAAGAGGAGAGAGACAGAGAAAGATGGGGGGAAAAAAACACTGCTGAGAAAGAGAGCTTTGTCTCAGGGTGAAGATAGAGTTATTGTCAAAACTTCCAGGGACAGAAATATAAGTTGGAGACATTATCAACCAGCAAACGTGATATGCAGATAGTAATATGCAAACATAATATGCAGATGGTAATATGCAAACACAATATGCAGATAGTAAGGGCTGGTCCCTGGGTTAAGAGAATGTGTGAGAACTGACTGGTAGGGCACTAGGACATCTCCATTTTCAACATCCATCTGTCGTAACTCCTTAAATCCCAAATGTTAGCTTTCAAGCCTCTGGACTGACAGACTTAACTAGTTTCTGAACATTCTCTATTTGGATCATGAACCGAGATGAAATTTTTTATTTTATTTTATTTTTTTGGGGACAGGGTCTTGTTCTGTTACCCAGGCTGGAGTTCAGTGGCACCATCACAGCTCACTGCAGCCTTGACCTCCTGGGCTCAATCCATCCTCCCACCTCAGCCTCCAGAGTAGCTGGGACTACAGGTGTCCACCAGTATGCCTGGCTAATTTTTGTATTTTTTTTGTAGAGATGGGGTTTCACCATGTTGCCCAGGCTGGTCTCCAACTCCTCGGCTCAAGCACCCCGCCTGCCTTGGCCTCCCAAATTGTTGGGATTACAAGATGGAGCCACCGCACCTGGCCCCAGAAGGACTGAATTTTAAATTGTTGAATGCAAATACTTCTTGTTTTTTTTTTCCCACTTGTTTTCCCTCTTGTGCAACACCATTTAGCTTTAACCAAATTTTTTCATGTGCTCAACACTTTACACATATGACCTAATTTAATCACACTTGGCACAGTGAGAGACCTAGGGAACTCAGCAGGGAAACCATTAGTGGTGTGTTGGTAAAGGTTTAACAACCAACTCTCTAGAAAGCAAATTCCCCCTGATTTGTAGTTCGCCAATTTCTGTGTTGTAAATGCTCCTATCCTGGAGTAGTGGCATCAGTTCTCAGCTGGGCTGCCCCTGGCTCCCATCCCTGCACTGCATCCTGGAAACTCTCTCTCCAGGTAGTAAGCTGAGGCAATCCTAGGGCTCACCTCCCTGGTTTCCCCTCTCCAAGGGATCACTCTGCTTTTTTTTTTTTTTTTTTTTTGAGACGGAGTCTCACTCTGCTTTACTGTTTGATGTCCAATGTCTGAAAATTCCTGTTTCATGTATTTATCCAGTTTTTCAGGCAAGAGGCTAAGTCTGGTCCTGGTTACCCCAATGTTAGTTGAAAGTGCAAATCATCCCCTTTGATTTGTGACCCCGCTTTCACTTATTACAATCTTTTTTTTTTTTTTTTTTTTTTTGGAGACAGGGTCTCGTTCTGTTGCCCAGGCTGGAGCGCAGTGGCATGATCATGGCTCACTGCAACTTCCTCCTCCTGGGCTCAAGCAATCCTCCCACCTCAGCCTCCCTAGTGGTAGAACTACAGTTGCATGCCACCATGCTCAGCTAATTTTTAAATTTTTTGTAGAGACTATGTCTCACTATGTTGCCCAAGCTGGTCTCCTGGCTCAAGCAATCCTCCCTCCTTAGCCTCCCAAAGTGCTGGGATTACAGATGTGAGCCACTGTACCTGGCTTAAATTCTTTTTTTTTTTTTTTTTTGAGACAGGGTCTGCCTGGAGTGCAGTGGTGTGATCTCAGCTCACTGCAACCTCCGCCTCCCAGGTTCAAGCGATTCTCCTGCCTCAGCCTTCTGAGTAGTTGGGATTACAGGCATGCGCCACCATGCCTGGCTAATTTTTGTATTTTTTAGTAGAGACGGGGTTTCACCATGTTGGTCAGGCTGGTCTCGAACTCCTGACCTTGTGATCCACCCACCTTGGCCTCCCAAAATGCTGGGATTACAGGCATGAGCCACCACACCCGGACTTAAATTCTTATATATATATGTAGTGGGACCCATATCTGGTCCGTTGAGCTGACCCAATGCCAGTACATGACTGTTTCAATTACTGAGACTCCATGATAATATATAAAATTTTAAAGCATTTGTAATCCTCCTCCCATTACCTTCCGAATTCAAAAGTATTTGTTTATCTTTCTAGATGAACCTTTGGATCATTGTGCAAAGTTCTCCCCAACCAAGACCCAATTCTCTGATACATTTTTGGTAACATTTTAATTATAATTCCATAAAACTTATACATTAGTTTTAGAATATTTGGCAACTTTACAATATCAATCTTTCTATCTGAAAACATGACGTAGCTTTCTATTTCTCAAAACTCCAGCTCACACACATTAAGGTTATTGTTGTTTTCTTAGACTTAATTTCCTCATATATTTTCTTTCTTTTCTTCCTTCTTTCCTTCCTTTTCCCTTCCTTTGCCCTTCCCTTCCCTTCCCTTCCATTCCATTCCCTTCCTTCTTTTTTGAGACAGGTTTTCTTAGATTTAACTTATCTTCCTTCCCTCCCTCCCTCCCTCCCTCCCTCCCTCCCTCCCTTCCTTCCTTCTTTCCCTCTCTCTCTTTCTCTCTCTCTCTCTTTCTTTCTCTCTTTTTTGAGACAGGGTCTCACTCCCATCACCCAGGCTGGAGTGCAGTGGCATGCTCATAACTCACTACAACCTCAACTTCCGGGGTTTCAGGTGATCCTCCCACCTCAGCCTCCTGAGTAGCTGGGAGGTGTGCATCACCACGCCCAGCTAATATTTTGTTTTTTGTAGAGAAGGGGATTTGCCATGTTGTCCAGGCTGGTCCCAAACTCCTGGGCTCAACTGATCTGACTGCCTTGGCCTCCCAAAATGCTGGGATTACAGACATGAGCCACCATGTCCCACCTTCTTGTGTATTTTCTAATTAATAAAGTTAGTTTACTTAGGTTAATATGTTAGGTTAATAAAACATAAATATGTTAATATATAAGTAAATAACATATATATATAGCATACATAAAAATATGTTAATATATAAATAAAACATAACATGTTAGGTTAATAAAACATAAAACTTAGGTTAATTTGTTAGGTTAATAAAACATGACGGCCGAGGCGGGCAGATCACAAGGTCAAGAGATCAGGACCATCCTGGCCAACATGGTGAAACCCCGTCTCTACTAAAAATACAAAAATTAGCTGGGCATGGTGGTGCGTGGCTGTAGTCCCAGCTACTCAGGAGGCTGAGGCAGGAGAATATCTTAAACCTGGGAGGCGGAGGTTGCAGTGAGCTGAGATTGTGCCATTGGACTCCAGCTCTGGGTGACAGACAGAGACTCCATCTCAAAAACAACAACAAAACCAAACAAAACAAAAAATAAAAATAAAAATGAATGACTTTGTGTCTGTTTACAGAATCCTTTAATAAAATCAAACAGTCTCTCAGGTTTTTAGAGGGGATTTCTAGGTATGGCTACCATATCAGTTGCAAATAATATATTTTCTCTTTCCCCATGCATATATTTTTATTGCTTTATGCTACACTCCAAATCTCATGTTGGAATTTGGTCCCCAATGTCAGAGGTGGGGCTTAGTGAAAGATGCTTAGGTCATGGGGGTAGACTCCTTATGAATGGCTTGTTGCAATCCTCATAGGAATGAGTGAGTTCTTACTCTCTTAGTTTCCACAAGAGCTCCTTGTTGAAAAGAGCCTGGCACCTGCTTCCCCTCCCCGTTGCTTCTCCTTGCACCATGTGGTCTCTGTACACATGTTTCCCTTCTGCCATGAGTGGAAGCAGCCTGAAGCCCCCACCAGAAATAAACACTGGCACCACACTTCTTGTGCAGCCAGCAGAACTGTGAGCCAAATAAACCTCTTTTCTTTATAAATTGCCCAGCCTTAAGTATTCCTCTACAGCAACATAAATAGGCAAAGACACTTTATATCTGAAATTAGCTCAAGTTTCCAAATTAATGATATACAATAACAGAGATAGTGAAAATCTTAGTTTAGATCCTGCTTAAAAAAATATCTATTTAGATAAAAAACATTGAAGCAGATGATTTTAGAGTTAGGGATATTTAGTTCATGAAAGTTGAGTATAAGTAACTTACTTGCTAATATTTTTGGAAGGATGATATTTGCTTTACTTTTTGATGCCTGTGCTCTTTTTAGTGCTTGCTGGATTTGCCAATGTTTTGGAGACATTTGCAGCAGAAAAAAACCATATTTCATATACTCCCTGAGGAGGAATTCTGTTTTTGCTATTTCACTACTCAAAAGAAACAAAGATATGATTAGGTATATCAGTGTGAAAGCACATTCATTAGAAAAAAATTTTTATAAAATTGTTTCTCTTATGTACTGAATTAATAATTTAATTATCAAAAAGGATAAATATGGCCATAAAAATATGGGCTTCAGTGAATATGAAATGAGATGAAGGAAAACTCTAGGAATGCTGTTTAAATAAAACATGTCCAAGGATATGCACACATAGAATAGACATGATAGTTTTACTCGACTTGTTTATTATTCTGTAGGAAACACTGTATTAAGTTTTAGATATAGGGAGAAATTAGAAGGTAGCAAAAGGGCCGGGTGCAGTGGCTCACACGTGTAATCCCAGCACTTTGGGAGGCCAAGGCAGGCAGATCACCTGAGGTCAGGAGTTCAAGACCAGCCTGGCCAACATGGAGAAAACCCGTCTTTACTAAAAATAGAAAAAACTAGCCAGGTATGGTGGTGGGCGCCTGTAATCCCAGCTACTTGGGAGGCTGAGGCAGGAGAATCGCTTGAACCCGGATGGCAGAGGTTGCAGTGGGCCGAGATCGTGCCATTGCACTCTAGCCTGGGCAACAAGAGCAAAACTCTGTCTCGAAAAAAAAAAAAAAAAAAAAAAGCCGGGCATGGTGGCTCACCCCTGTAATCCCAGGACTTTGGGAGGCCAAGGAGGGCAGATCATGAGGTCAAGGGTTCAAGACCAGCTTGGCCAACATGGTGAAACCCTGTCTCTACTAAGAATACAAAAATTAGCCAGGCGTGGTGGCGCATGCCTGTAATCCCAGCTACTCAAGAGGCTGAGGCAGGAGAATCACTTGAACCTGGGAGGTAGAGGTTGCAGTGAGCTGAGATCACGTCACTGCACTCCAGCCTGGGCGACAGAACAAGACTCTGTCTCAAAAAAAAAAAAAAAAAAAAGAAAGTAGCAAAAGATGGTACATTTGTAAGGAAAAGAAAGAAACTAACACTTAATGAGGACCTATTACTACAGGCAGGACACACTACAGACATAGGCTGATCCTCAGGACAGCACTTTAAAATAGGTACTATTATTCTTATCTTGGAAAGGAGATGTAAATGGTAGAGCCAGCACTCAAACCTAGGTCCATCTGACTCAGATGCCCAAGCTCTTGCCAATATTGAGTGACTTGGACCAAAAGCTTTTGCCCAGCTTCACATTGCGTTATAGTAATTACATTACAAAGTGGACAAAGAGGGATGTTAAAATAACAAAAGAAGGCCCACTTGAAAGGGAGCTTCCAAACCTTTATCTGAAAGATATCAATATTACTTTGTATCAATGTTTTCAGCTTTAATACTTCTATCTGTCAGAGCCTTCCTTCAGCCCTGGTGCAAGAGTGATATTCAAGGGTCAGTAAATGGCTGCTTCACGTATCACCAGTTGGAAGATTGATGGGAGACCTTCATTCTACTGCTGCCTCCGTTTTAGATTGAAATCCTCCCAGATATGCTACAAAGAACACGAGGTGACAATTGGCTGGAAAGATACAGTTTCCAAGCAAAAGCTTCAGAAGATGCCCCCTTCCCTTTCCAGCCCTACCCGTAGAGGAGGCCTCCTGGGGCCATCTCGAGCCATAAAGAGAGAAGAGCACCTGCTGCCCTTGCTCCACTACAGGCTTGTTTTTCATGATCTCCTGCACCTTTCTAGATGATGTGATACATCAACGATCAAGTTATCTTCAGCAAGACCATTTGGAGGGCTCAACTCGGCGGCTATTGTGCATAAATGCAATACTTTGCACAAAAATAGAGGCTGCTACTCTAGCTCTAGAAATAATCTATAAATGGATAGAAACTTCTAATTGCATCGGGGGTGAAAGAGAGAAGGAAATTCTCCATCTTGGAGCAGCTTCAGCTTTAGGCTCCTAAAATAGAAGAGCCTGCTGTAGCCAGAATATGAAATGCACATTCTGTTAGTGCAGTTGGTTTCAGAGAAACCAACTCTGCTTTATTTCAGACTCGCTTGTCTGAAGGATGTAAGAAGCCTAGGACCTAGTTCTAGAGGGGAGGTAAGCATCAAGTTCTCAAAAAGGAAAAGTAAGTTTTAGCATTGACCTGATACCAACACTACAGTGTATTCTGAATCATGAAATTACTGTCCAAAAATGATGACAGAAGGAAGCTTCTTTAGCTACTTAAAATTAGTTAGGCCGGGCGCGGTGACTCACGCCTGTAATCCCAGCACTTTGGGAGGCTGAGGTGGGTGGATTGTCTGAGGTCAGGAGTTTGAGACTAGCTTGGCTAACGTGGTGAAACCCCATTTCTACCAAAAATACAAAAAATGAGCCAAGCGTGGAGGTGGGCACCTGTAATCCCAGCTACTCAAGTGGCTGAGGCAGGAGAATCGCTTGAACCTAGGAGGTGGAGGTTTCAGTGAGCCGAGATCATGCCATTGCACTCCAGCTTGGGCAACAAAAGTGAAACTCCCTCTCAAAAAAAAAAAAAAAAAAAAAAATTAGTTCAAGTGAGTTTCCTTGACCATAGAAGGAAACATCCAAGTTTGAAAAAGAGTGGCAGATGGTACAATTTTATCCCAACTCCTGCTCCAATGCTTTTTTCTCTTTATAGATCTTAGTTTTTTATTTTTATTTATTTTTACTAAAGATGGGGTCCCACTGTGTTGCTAAGACTTCACTTGAACTCCTGGGCTCAAGCGATCCTCCCGCCTCAGCTTCCAAAGGAGCTGAGAGGCAAGCAGTGTGCCCAGCAGATCTTAGTTTTTAATAGCAATACTAGTTTCCACTATGTAAGCGTAAATATAAAAAATACTGCCCATGATGACTGTAAGATGATCGTAGAATGAGTCCCAATTTCAGAGATGTTAAAATGTGGGGGAAAAAATGTCTCAGAATGAATGCAAAAGTGCAACCAGACTAAACTAAAAATATAAAAAGAAAAAAATGAATGAATGAGGAAGGGCACTTAGATAATAATTTATTGTTTATTCCTAATTGTTTTGCTTCATCTAACTTCTTTGCTTCTGTATCTACAAGTTAGAGAGACTTTCCAACCGGAAGCCACATACTGTCCTGATACCCAGGCAGGAACAAATCTTGATGGACAGGTTACTTATTTTTTAAAATTCGTTCATACTTATGACATCATCAACTGATAAGGATGATCAGGATTATTAGGTCTTACCTGGCATGAATAGGTTTTAATGGGTCGTGGAAATTTGGCCACGAGAAGATTGTGCCCACCCTCACCTTTTCACTGCTTGTACCTCCATGCTTGCTTTCTTCAGCTCTGCTGTCATTTGGAGTTTGTTTATTGTTTCCTGTGCTGCCCTGAAAAGCAATGAAGATCTGTTAATTTGCTTCTTAGAAACAAACAAACAAACAAACAAACAAAAGAGGTGGGAAGGATTTGGCCAGAGTGATGAAACAAACATTTTCAGAGCGTCTACAGATCTCTGGTCATTTTCTCGAAGGAACTCTTCAAAGGCCAGTGCATCATCTTGGAGCTTTTTCTCTGCTTTTTTTAGTTGCCGTTCCCTCATTGCTATGTCTTTTTCAAACTTTTTGATTGTGTTTCTTTTGGTTGACAAAGCATACTAGGGGCATTGAAGACAGAGGTGTAAAAACATGATTCCACATTTTTAGTAATTTCAACAGTCTTATACACAGCAAGTGAACATTTGTATTAGAAATAATAGTACGCCTAAATCTTGGAGCAATGGACTTTATTTCTTGAAGGAGTTTTATTTTCAGGGATAATTAGAGGGGAGACTAATTTCCCTCCCTTACTTCTATGAAGAGGGTCAGTGTTGTTCCAAAAGGGCTCTGCCCTACAAATAAAAAATAGCTGCATATTCCTCCAAAGAGCAGGTGCATCTGGTATTACCTACAGTGTATTACCCTCCAGTACTTTCTGGGAATTGGGAAACTGGGTTGTCTGCAGTCACAAAAGCTACCAGCTTCTCCTCCAATAGGAAGACCATGGGAGAAAGCAGTTTCAACTCTGCCATGCCAGTGATGCATTCCTGGGAGCCAGCCCAAGGGTACCACATCTAACTGTAATCAAAGAGGCCTGTTTAGATCCCCAAACACAACTTTGACATCTGCCTTCTAGTTCCTTCTATTTTTTTAGTACAGAATATAAAAGTCCATGTGGTGATTTTTGTTTTGTTTTGTTTTTGAGACAAGGTCTTGCTCTGTCACCCAGGCTGGAGTGCAGTGGGGTGATCTTGGCTCACTGCAGCTTTGACCACCCAGGCTCAAGCAATCTTCCCACCTCAGCCACTCAAGTAGCTGGGACTATATAGGTGCACACCACCATGCCCAGCTCATTTTTGTATTTTTAGTAGAGATGGTTTTTGCCATGTCAGCCAGGCTGGTCTCAAACTCCTGAGCTCAAGCAATCCACCTGCCTTGGCCTCCCAAAGTGCTGGGATTACAGGCGTGAGCCACCACACCCAGACCTATTTGGGTTTTTAATACCATGCAGGAAAAAATTAAATCATAAATAAGGCCACATACATAATATAAATGAATTGAAAATATGGAAATGAGATGATTTTAAAGAGATAACAACCAATAATTAGACCCTCCAAGTTTATAGCAAAAAATGCTTCATTCATTACTTTATTCCGCAAGTACTTACTGAGTGCCTACTGTGTGCCAGGACTGTTTTAAGGGGTGTAAATAGAGTGATGAACCAAAGAAACATAAATGCTTGTATGGAGTGTCCATTCTAGAAGAGGAAGGAAGCTGATGAAAGCGGGATGGGGTGCTGTGGACAAGGGCAGGGGGTTGCTATCATGTATAGAACAGCCAAGGAAAGTCTCCCTGATGTGGTGAGAATTAAACAGAGACTGGAAGGAAGTAGGAAACCAATCATGAGGATTTCTGAGGGAGGAATGTTCCTCCTATTAGGTTGGTGAAAAAGTAATTGTGGTTTTTGCCATTGAAATAGCAAAAACCACAGTTGTTTTTGCACCAGCCTAATATAAGGAAGAGCCTCCAGTGCATCAGCCTGGAGACAAGAGAGTGATTGGTGTGTCCCAGGAACAGCAAAGAGACCACCAAGGCTGGAGCAGAGTGAGCAAGAGAAAGGGTTTGAATCATAATCCCTAATACACAATACTGAATGCCATAATCCCAAATGTCAAAATCCCGAAAGATCAAAATTCTAAAATCCCTAATGTCTAAAATCCTGAAAATCAAAATCACAGGATAGTGGCATCATGTTAGACAAAACTATTACCTTGTTATCGTCTTTATTCAGACGAAAACGGATTTCAGTTGAGTCTCCAAACAATATGTTGACATAATGACAGATTTGGAATTAGGGGTGATCAAAGACTTCTAAAAAAATTTCAACGTGTTATTGATAAAGTTTATTTGATGACTGCAGTTGTAAAGCTGGGTGCACAAATTACCAACCATAGCAATATTCATTTATACATTTTGCTTTTGGATCTATTTCTTTCTGCATATAGTTAGTCTGCTCATAATGGTTACACCTGTGCAATTGTCATTAGAATGCCTGAGTATTTGTACTGGCAAAAATACATATGTTGCTGTTATTGCCTACTTCATTGTGCAAAGTGGCTTAACAGGTGGTCTGTCATGTTGTTATATGTTCTCAAAAAAATCCCCCTTTAAAAATGTAAATAAATAAATAAATATCTTTTAAAAATGTTTTAAGTTTACATTTTCCAGAACTATATTTTTGAGATTTTGATCTTTCAGGATTTCAGTGTTTGGGATTATGGCATTTTGGATCGTTGTCTTTTGGGACAAGAGAAAGAGTGATAGGAGTGAGGTCAGAGAGTAAGCTGGGGACCAGATCAAGTCGCTAGAGGCCTTTGGCAGAGGAAGGGCATGATCCTATCACTGTATGGAGAACAGACAGACTGCAGGGGAGCAACAGTAGAAGCAGGAGACCCAGGTTTAGAAGTTATAACCCTAATACATGCTAGAGATGTTGGTGGCTTGGACTGCAGTAGTAGCTGTGGAGGTCATGAACAGTAGTCTGATTATGGATATATTTTGAAAAAGAATATTTTTGAAGATCTGTTTGGATGTGGATTGTAAAAAGGAGTCAAGGATAACCCCAATATTTTTGGTCTAAGCAAGTGGAAAAATGGAATTGCTATTTAGTGAGCCAGGGACTATGGTATGAGATACAGACTTGCAGGGGTAGGAAAGAGTATATTAGGGGCGGAGTTTAGGAAACATGAAGTCTGAAATGGTTATTGAACATCTCGATGGGAAATGTTAAGAATTACAGTTGCATCTGTGAGCCTGGAGTTCAGGGAAGAAGATCAAGCTAGAGAAATAAATTTGGAAGTTGTTAATATGGAGGTGGAATTCGAAGACATGAGCCTGAAGGAGGGTAGACAGAGCAAAGGGTAAGGAATGGGCCCTGGACATTCCAACACTTGAAGATCAGGGAGAAGAGGAGAACAAGCACATAAAACTGAGAAGCAGCAGCAGTTAGCAAGGTGGAAGAGTCGAGAGAGTGGCTCCCAGAAACCCACAGAAGATAGTATTTCAAAAAAGGTGTGAATAGACCAATTGCTGCTGAAAGGCCAAGTGTTAAATAAAAGGAATACTGTGACAATTTGATTTAGCAACAGAGAAGTCTCTGGTAACTTTGACAAAAGTCGTTTTGGTGAATGATAAGGACAAAACCCTGATGGAAGTGGATTTAGCAGAGAATAGGGAGAGAAGAAGTGGAGGCAGGAAATAAGTATAATGCTTTTGAAAAATTTTGCTATAAAGGAGAGCAGAAAATTGGGGCAGAAGATGGTATGTAATGTGATATCTAAAGAGGGTCCCAACTCTGCTATAAATAAAAAAATAAAGATGCCATGAAACCACTTCAGTTTTTGAAAACTATTACAAGTTACCCAGAGTTAGCCAAACTGATATCTAAAGAGGGTTTTTGGGGTGGGGTTGTTTTAAAAGATGGGGTAAATAATAGGATGTTTGTATGTTGGTGGCAATAATCCAGCAGAGAGGGAAAAATAATAATTAGAAAAGATCAGTAATTGTAGAATCATTTTCATAATTTTTTTCTAGTTTAATTGAGGTATAACTATCCAATAAACTCCACATTTTTAAAGTATACAATCTGTTAAGTTTTGACATATGTATATACTTGGGAAATCATCACCACAATCAAAACAATGAACATATTCATCACCTCAAAAAGTCTACTCAAGCCCTTTGTAATCCATCCCTTCTTCCCTCCTCCCCACCTCCTTTCCCAGGCAATTACTGACCTGTCTTCTGTCACTATAGACGAACTTGCATTTTCTAGAATTTTATCTAGTGAAATTATAGTATGAACTATTTTTCTGTCTGGATTTATAAACTTAGTACAACTATTTTAAGAGTCATCCATGTTGGTAGAATATCCATAACTAATTCCTTTTTATTGCTGAGTAGTAATCAGTTATGTTGATATACCCCAGTTTGGTTACCCATTTACCTGTTCATGGACATTTTGCTTGTTTCCTACATTGGGCTACTTCAAATAAGGTTGCTATGAGCACATATGCTTTTATTTTTCTTGGATAAATTCCCAGGAGTGGAATGGCTATAAATAAGAAACTGTTCTTTATTTCTGACCCAGGAGTCTGGTGTCTTCTATTGAAACTATGAAACTGCAGCAGACTAACTTCTTAGCTTGCAAGTAGGATAGCATTTTAGATCCTTCATAGCTCTTGAAACTAGGTCCTTTGCATTTCCATAAAAAATTTAGAATCAGCCTTTCAATTTCTACAAGAAAGACGCCTGGGATTTGTACTGAGATTGCATTTATAGATTAAATAAATTATTTAATCTATAAACCAATCTGGAAAGATTTGGCATCTCAGCAATATTGAGTCTTTGGATCAATGAACATGGTATCACTCTCCATTTATTTAGGTCTTTAATTTTTCTCTGCAATGTCTTGTAGTTTTCAGTGTACATCTATTGTACATATTTTACAAACATATCTAGAATTATTTCATATTTTGATGCTGTTGGACATGGCATTGCTTTTTAAATTTTAGTTTCTTAATTCTTCATTACAAGTTTATAAAAATACAATTGATTTCTGTAAATTGACCTTGCTACAACCTTGCTAAACTCATAGGTTATGGTAGTTTTAAAATAGATTTCTTCAGATTTTCTGCAGAGAGGATCGTGTTGTCTGTAAATAAAGACAGCTTTAATTCTTCATTTCCAATCTAAATGTCTTTCATTTTTTTTTCTTGTCTTATTGCACTAGCTAGGACCTCCAGAACACTGACAAAAAGAAGTGGTGCAGTGGAAATCCTTGCCTTGTTCCTAATCTTAGGGGGAAAGCATTCAGTCTTTTACCATTAGATATGTAATGTTAGTGATAAGTTTCTAGTAGATGTCCTTTTATAAAGTTGAGGAACTTCTCTTCTGTTCCTACTTTGCTGAGAGTCTCCATCAAGAATGAATTTTGGATATTGTTGAGTGGTTTTTCTGCATCAATTGGGATAATCATATGGGTTTTCATTTTTAATTTGTTAATGTGTATTACATTGATTTATTTTTAAATGTTAAATTACTTTTGTATTCTTAGATTAAACCCTAATTTGTCATAATGTATTATCTTTTTAGTATTATTGGATTTGGTTTGTTACATTTTGTTCAGAATGTTTGCATATTTGCTTACGAGAGATCTTGGTCTTTAGCTTTCTTGTCTTCTAATCATTTTATCTAGTTTTGATATGAGGGTAATGCTGGCTTCACAGCATGAGTTGTGAGGTATTCCCTCTTCTTACTCATTTTTTTGGAACAGTGTGTATAAAATTAAATTTATTTCTTCTTTAAATATTTGGCAGAATTAACCAATAAATCTGGGTTTTTCTTTGTGAGAAGTTTTTTACCTGTAAGTTCAATTTCTTTAAGAGACATAAAGCTACCATTTATTTCTTTCTTCTTGGGTAGGCTTTGGTAGTTTGCATCTTTCAAGGAATCTATTTCATCTAAGTTGTCAAATTTATTGGCATAAAGTGTTTATAATATTAAATTCATAATATGTCAATGTTAATAATTTTTAAATGGGTATTTCATGTCCCAACTCTGCTATAAATAAAAAAATAAAGATGCCATGAAGCCACTTCAGTTTTTGAAAACTATTACAAGTTACCCAGAGTTAGCCAAATTGAAAATTTCATATCATAGTCCCCAAGACTGCTCTCACTTCTGACACTGACCGCAAGTTTGAGGGGTTCCCCCAAATACCGTCAGTTTTGATAATTTTCTGGAAGGACTCACAAACTCACTGAAAGCTATTATACTCATGGGTATAGTTTATTAAAAGGAAAGAATATGCATTGAAATCATCCAAAGGAAGAGACCCATAAGGCAGAGCCTGAGTAAGTTCTAAATGCAAAGCTTCCAGTGTTCCCTCCCCATGGAACTAGGAGGTGTTATCCTCCCTGCATCTACATGTGACAACGCACAGAGAATATTGTCAACAAGGGAAGCAGAAATGAGCTTCAGTGTCTAGAGTTTTCACTGGGGCTTCATTAACTAGGCATGATTAATTGATTGACCATGTGGTTGATCTGTCTCCAGTCTCCAGACCCTCTGAGTGTGACCCAAAGCCCCACCTCTAAGTCCCATTGTTAATATTTCTGGGATGGGCAGCCTCCACCCTAAGACTGTCAGATGTGACCAGTTCTATATTAAAGAAAGACAGCCTGATTAAGTATGATATAGATTACCACCCGGAAGTCAAGAGCAAAGGCCAGACTCTTTCTGGACAAGGCCAGATTTTTTACTACAAATAGTTGTTCCTTGGCATCAACAGGAGATTGGCTCCAGGATCCCCAAGGACACCAAACTTTGTGGATGCTCAAGTCGCTTATGTAAAATGGAATAGTATTTGCATATAACCATGTACATTCTCCCATATACTTTAAATAATCTGTAGATTAATTATAGTACCTAATACCAATGTAAATGCTATATATAAATAGTTGTTATACTTTATAATTTTTCAAAATTTGTATTATTTTGTTGTTATTTTTTATCATTTTTTCTGAATATTTTTGATCTGCAGTTTGTTAAATTCTCAGATGCTGAACCTGTGGATACAGAGGGTAGACTGTACAAGTCTTTTTGATAAGTGGACACTTCACCAAACTGGTTGAGGGAGGGAGGGATATAGTAAAGAAAGGAAATGAGGTATATTTAATATAAATGTCCTGAAATCCTAGTGTATCTGTCAAGCACCACCTTAAACTACCTAGGACATCAGTTATGTCAGTAGGACTTTATAATAAAGATCAAACTCACACCCAGGAAATGCTTTTTAACAAACAAAGCCATCAGGTTCTATTTATAACTTTATCAGTTACTTTAAGTGAGATATTTTATGTTGATTGCAGCTGGCAGCGTATGGAAGTACTAACTAACTAAATTTATGCCCCAAAATGTGTGATGTGAAATTAGGAAAAGTCAAGTACATTGTTATTTACTCATTAGCATCAAAGAGTTTAATTGAGACACATCAACATCTTTAGATTATTAGATACTTGACAATAAAGGTATAAAAATGTTCAATTCATTCATTTTGTAATTATTTTCCCATTAAGTGCTTGGCATCTCTGCTTTATCTATGGCAAATGAATATGCATATAGACATAGCAAATAATCATGTTTTCAGTTATATGCCTGGCATCTAGCTAAAGTTTTTGATGGCAGGAAAAAAAGCCTCTATTATTTTTTATAAAAGACTCCATAAGGGACCTGGCACACTGTTCTGACATGAATAGGTATCAAGGAAGCTGGAGGGATTCTAGAATTGTCTGAATTTCCAGAGTGCTTGGATTCCCACCATCTTCAGCCAAAGCATCAGGAGAAGCTGCATTAAATAGGGCATCTCAGGCACTATCCTGGTCATAGAAGAGATAATTGGAGAAAAAGGGACAAACTAGAACCAGACATTTTCTAGAATAATTTTTCTGATAGGTTCCAGGAAGTATAAAACCTTGTCTGGGATATTAGAATGTAAATCCTTTGAGAGGCAGGTCTTTGCTTTGTTTACTGCTTGGCACATAGTAAACTCTCCGTAAGTATTTTTCAAATTAATGAACACGTGAAAAAACCAACCTGTTCAACCAATAGATTTGGGACATGTAATAGACAAGCAAAATGTCAAGGTAAATATTTGAAAACACTATGAAAGAAGTCTTCCACTTGGCTAGGGGAGAAAAGTTATTTTTACTACCTCGAGCAGAAACCTGTCTCTCTGGTCATTAATAAATTCATGGACAGTCCTTTTTGTGTCGGAACCTGTGAAGAAAGTTGAAATAGACTTAAGTTTAGTTCATCATCCTTAAAAATGCTGTATAAAATAAAAGCCATATAATTAAATTATTCTACAGTATGTATCTGATCTTTTAAAAATACTATATCTTGAAATAAACCTTTTCCTAGCCACTCAAACTAATTTAGTAATAGTAATTACAATTTATTTTATGTCTATCATATTCCAGAAACCTCATTAGCCACTTTAAGCACATCATTTAATCCTAACAACAACCTGAATAAGGTACTTACTACTATCCCCATCCTGTCTATGAGGTCCTGAAGTGTAGAGCTGTCAAAATTCTTTTTTTTTTTTTTCCAATCAAGATTTCTTTTTATTTATTTATTTATTTATTTATTTATTTGTTTGTTTTTTATTGATCATTCTTGGGTGTTTCTCGCAGAGGGGGATTTGGCAGGGTCACAGGACAATAGTGGAGGGAAGGTCAGCAGATAAACAAGTGAACAAAGGTCTCTGGTTTTCCTAGGCAGAGGACCCTGCGGCCTTCCGCAGCGTTTGTGTCCCTGGGTACTTGAGATTAGGGAGTGGTGATGACTCTTAACGAGCATGCTGCCTTCAAGCGTCTGTTTAACAAAGCACATCTTGCACCGTCCTTAATCCATTTAACCCTGAGTGGACACAGCACATGTTTCAGAGAGCACAGGGTTGGGGGTAAGGTCACAGATCAACAGGATCCCAAGGCAGAAGAATTTTTCTTAGTACAGAACAAAATGAAAAGTCTCCCATGTCTACCTCTTTCTACACAGACACGGCAACCATCCGATTTCTCAATCTTTTCCCCACCTTTCCCCCCTTTCTATTCCACAAAACTGCCATTGTCATCATGGCCCGTTCTCAATGAGCTGTTGGGTACACCTCCCAGACGGGGTGGTGGCCGGGCAGAGGGGCTCCTCACTTCCCAGTAGGGGCGGCCGGGCAGAGGCGCCCCTCACCTCCCGGACGGGGCGGCTGGCCGGGCAGGGGGCTGACCCCCCCACCTCCCTCCCGGATGGGGCGGCTGGCCGGGCAGAGGGGCTCCTCACTTCCCAGTAGGGGCGGCCGGGCAGAGGCGCCCCTCACCTCCCGGACGAGGCGGCTGGCCAGGCGGGGGACTGACACCCCCACCTCCCTCCCGGACGGGTGGCTGCCGGGCGGAGACGCTCCTCACTTCCCAGACGGGGTGGCTGCCGGGCAGAGGGGCTCCTCACTTCTCAGACGGGGCGGCTGCTGGGCGGAGGGGCTCCTCACTTCTCAGACAGGGCGGTTGCCAGGCAGAGGGTCTCCTCACTTCTCAGACGAGGTGGCCAGGCAGAGACGCTCCTCACATCCCGGACGGGGCGACAGGGCAGAGGCGCTCCCCACATCTCAGACGATGGGTGGCCGGGCAGAGACGCTCCTCACTTCCTAGATGGGATGGCGGCCGGGAAGAGGCGCTTCTCACTTCCTAGATGGGATGGCGGCTGGGCAGAGATGCTCCTCACTTTCCAGACTGGGCAGCCAGGCAGAGGGGCTCCTCACATCCCAGACGATGGGCGGCCAGGCAGAGACGCTCCTCACTTCCCAGACGGGGTGGCGGCCTTCCCAGATGGGGTGGCGGCTGGGCAGAGGCTGCAATCTCGGCACTTTGGGAGGCCAAGGCAGGCTGCCGGGAGGTGGATGTTGTAGGGAGCCGAGATCACGCCACTGCACTCCAGCCTGGGCACCATTGAGCACTGAGTGAAGGAGACTCCGTCTGCAATCCCGGCACCTCGGGAGGCCGAGGCTGGCGGATCACTCGCGGTTAGGAGCTGGAGACCAGCCCGGCCAACACAGCGAAACCCCGTCTCCACCCAAAAAATAGGAAAACCAGTCAGGCGTGGCGGCGCGCGCCTGCAATCGCAGGCACTCGGCAGGCTGAGGCAGGAGAATCAGGCAGGGAGGTTGCAGTGAGCTGAGATGGCAGCAGTACAGTCCAGCTTCAGAGGGAGACCGTGGAAAGAGGGAGAGGGAGAGGGAGAGGGAGAGGGAGAGGGAGAGGGAGAGGGAGAGGGAGAGGGAGAGGGAGAGGGAGAGGGAGAGGGAGAGGGAGAGGGAGAGGGAGAGGGAGAGGGAGAGGGAGAGGGAGAGGGAGAGGGAGAGGGAGAGGGAGAGGGAGAGGGAGAGGGAGAGGGAGAGGGAGAGGGAGAGGGAGGAGAGGGAGAGGGAGAGGGAGGAGAGGGAGAGGGAGAGGGAGAGGGGGCTGTCAAAATTCTTATCCAAGGTCACACAACTAACCTAAGCTTGTGCTGTACCAAGTAAGACTGAAGTATTTTAAATCTTAATGTTTGGCCAATCTACACATACCAAAGCTCTTAGGCAAAATCTTTTTTGGCTCATAAACCAAACTTCTGTCAGGAAAGGAAATGATGACAACTAGTTTTACCATCTAGCAATAGAAAATACCAAATGTTTCTTTTCAAGCTTTTTTCATTCTGGAAATTTATACATATGCTACATTTCAATAATGTTTGCTTCATAAAAACCAACAGAATGTGGCATAAAATAAAATCTCTTGATAAGAATGTAACTGTAGCTAGCAGAAGAAAAGAAATAACTAAAATCAGAGCAGAACTAAATGAAATTGAGACAAAAAAATAAAATCATACAAAGAATCAATGAAACAAAAAGTTGGTTCTTTGAAAGAAAAACAAGATTGACAGACCACTAGCTAGATTAACAAAGAAAAAAGAGAGAAGATCCAAATAAGCACACTCAGAAATGACAAAGGTAACATTATAGCCAATCCCACAGAAATACAAAAGATCCACAGAGACTATTATGAACACCTCTATGAAAACAAACTGGAAAATCTAGAGGAAATAGATAAATTCCTGGAAACACACAATCTCCCAAGATTGAATCAGGAAGAAATTGTAACCCTGAACAGACTAATAATGAGTTCTGAAATTGAATCAGTAATAAAAAACCTACCAAACCAAATAAAGCCCTGGACCAGATGGATTCACAGCCGACTCCTACCAGAGGTACAAAGAAAGGCTAGTACCAATCCTACTGAAGTTATTACAAAAAAATCTAAGAGAAGGGATTCCTCCCTAACTCATCCTATGAATTTGGTATCATCCTGATATCAAAATCTGGCAAAGACACAACAAAAAAGAAAACTACAGGCCACTATCCTTGATGAACATAGACATGAAAATCCTCAAAAAAACACTAGCAAACTGAATCCAACAACACATCAAAAAGCTAATTCACCACAATCAAGTGGGCTTTACTCCTAGAATACAAGGTTTGTTCAATATACACAAATCAATAAATGTGATTCACCACATAAACAGAATTAAACCCCAAAACCATAGGATCATCTTGATAGACCCAGAAAAAGCATTCAATAAAATCCAACATCCCCTTATGATAAATACACTCAACAAACTAGGCATCGAAGGAACATACCTCAAAATACTAACAGCCATCTATGACAAACTCACAGCCAACATCATACGGAACAGGTAAAAGTTAGAAGCATTTCCCCTAAGAACTGGAACAAGACAAGGATTTGCACTCTCAGCATTCCTAGTCAACATAATACTGGAAGTCTTAACCAGGGCAATCCAGCAAGAGAAAGAAACAAAAGCATCCAAATAGGAAAAGAGGAAGTCAAATTATCTGTCTTCACTGATGATATGGTTCGATACCTAAAAAACCCCAAAGACTCCACCAAAAGAGGCTTAGATCTGACAAACAACTTCAGCAAAGTTTCAGGATACAAAATCAATGTACAAAAATCAACAGCATTTGTATACATCAATAACATTTGAGCTGAGAGCCAAATCAAGAATGCAATCCCATTTACATTACACACACACACACACACACACACACACACAAAATACCTATGGATATTTGTAAACAAAGAGGTGTAAGAACTCTACAATGAGAATTACAAAACACTGCTGAAAGAATTCATAGATGACACAAACAAATTGAAAAACATTCCAGGCTCATGGATTGGAACAATCAATGTCATTAAAAATGTCCACACTTATGAAAGCAATTTACAGATTCAATGCTATTCCTATCAAACTACCAATGTCACTTTTCACAGAATTAGAAAAAAACTATTCTAGAATTCAGGCTGGGCATGGTGGCTCATGCCTGTAATCCCAAAACTTGGAAAGGCCAAGGTGGGAGGATTGCTTGAGGCCAGGAGTTCAAGACCAGACTGAGCAACACAGCAAGAAACCCATCTTTACAAAAAAATTAAAAAATTAGTTGAGCATGGTTGTGCGTGCCTATAGTCCTAGCCTCTCACAGGACTAAGCCAGGAGGATTGCTTGAGTTTAGAAGTTCAAGGTTACAGTGAGCTATGATCATGCTACTGCACTTCAGCCTGGGGGACAGAGTAAGACACTGTCTCTAAATGAATAAATAATTCATAAAAATAAAATAAAAATTACATGAAGCCAAAATAGAGCCCAAATAGCCAAAGCAATCCTACGCAAAAAGAACGAAGTTGGACTCATCATATTACCTGATTTCAAACTATACTACAAGGCTACCGTAACAAAAACAGCATGGTACTGGTACAAAAATAGACAGACCAATGGAACAAAATAGAAAACAGAGAAATAAAGCTGCACACATACAACCAACTGATTGTCAACAAAGATGACAAAAATAAAAAATGGGGAGAGGATCCCCTTTTCAATAAATGGTGCAGGGAAAACTGGCTAGCCATATGCAGAAGAATGAAACTAGATCCCTTCATCTTACCATATACAAAAATTAACTCAAGAGGGATTCAAGATTTAAATGTAAGACCTCCATCTATAAAAAGAAATCCCAAAAGAAAATCTGGGACATACTCTTCCAGACATTGGCCTAGGAAAAGTTCTCAAAACCAAATGCAACAAAAATAAAAATTGGCAATTCACACCTAATTTAACTAAAGAGCTTCTGCGCAGCAAAAAACACTATCAACAGACTAAACAGACAACCTATAGCATAGGAGAAAATATTTGCAAGCTATGTATATTCGCAACCTTTGTCAAAGACAAAGGCCTAATATCCAGAATCTACAAGAAACTTAAACAAATTAACAAGAAAAAAACACATTGAAAAGTAGGCAAAAGAAGGCATACAAGTGACATCCGATAAACTGGAAAGAATGCCCGACATTGCCAATCATCAGAGAAATGCAAATCAAAATCACAATGAGATGCCGTCTCACACCAGTCAGAATGGCTATTATTAAAAAGTCAAAAAATAACAGATGACTAGGTTGCAGAGAAAAATGGAATGCTTATACATTGTTGATGGGAATACACTGTTAATTCAGCCCCATGTGGAAAGCAGTTTGGAGGTTTTTCAAAGAACTAAAAATAGAACTATCATCCAACCCAGCAATCCCATTACTGGGTACCTACCTCCCCAAAAATAAATTGTTCTGTCAAAAAGACACATGCACTTGTATGTTCATCACAGCAATGTTAACCACAGCAAATACAGAGACTCAACCTAGATGCCCATCAACAGTGGACTGGCTAAAGAAAATGTGGTGCATGTATACCATGGAATACTATGCAGCCATAAAAAGAATAAAATAATGTCCTTTGCAGCAACATGGATAGAGCTGGAAGTCATTCTCCTAAGTGAATTAACACAGAAACAGAAAAGCAAATACTGCATGTTCTCACTTATAAGTGGGAGCTAAACATTGAGTACACATGGACAGAAAGATGGGAATAATAGACACTGAGGCCTCCTAAAGCAGGGAGGGAGGGAGAGGAGCAAGGGTTGAAAAACTTCCTATTGGGTACCATGTTCACTATTTTGGTGATGCAATCAATAGAAGCCCAAAGCTCAGCATCATTCAACATACCCTCATAACAAACCTGCACATGTATCCCCTGAATCTAAAATTTAAGAATTTAAATACTCATCCCTACGTGGAAGCTAAAAAAGTTGACCTCATAGAAGTAGAGAGTAGAATAGTGGTCACTAGAAGCAGGGAAGGATGGGGGTGGGGGGATAGGAAGAGGTTGGTTAACAGACACACAAGTACAGCTAGACAGCAGGAAAAAGTTTGAGTGTGCTGTAGCGCTGTAAGGTGACTATAGTTAGCAATAGTTTGTTACATATTTTCAAATAGCTAGAAGAATGGATTTTGAATGTTCCCAACACAAATAAATGATAAATGTTTGAGGTGATGAATATGCTCATTACTCCGATTTGATTATGGCACATTGTATACATGTATTGAAACATCACACCATACCCTATCAATATGTATGATTATTATGGGGTCAATTAAAAATAGTAATAAAAGCAGGGCCAGCAGCAGTGGCTCATGACTGTAATCCCAACACTTTGGGAGGCTGAGGTAGGTGGATCGCTTCAGCTCAGGAGTTTGAGACCAACCTGGACAACATGGCGAAGGCTTGTCTCTACAAAAATATACAAAAATTAGCCAGGCGTGGTCGTGTGTGCCTGTAGTCCCAGCTACTTGGGAGGGGAGGCTGAGGTGGGAGGATCCCTTGAGCCAGGAGGTCGAGGCTGTAGTGAGTCATGATCACACCAATGCATTCCAGCCTGGGTGACAAAGTGAGACCCTGTCTCAAAAGTTAATAATAAAAGCAAAAAAAATGCAAATAGAAATAGAAAGGAAACAATATTTCCAAGTAACCTGTGAGCCTGTGCTGCCTAGGAGGCCCACATCTTCCTGGGTCACTTTTGACCTTCACCTCTTACTAGCTGTGGGAATATGAGTAAATTACCCTCTCTCCATGCCTCAGCTTCCTCATTTGTGAAATGAGGATATTGCCTGTGGCAGATTATGTTATTGTTCCCAAATATTTGCTGCCCCTCTCTGTGAGAGGATTCTCTTTCCCCACTAAGTTGATGTCAAACTTGCCTATTGACAGATTCAGCCCAGGGAATGGGAATGGGATCGGATGGGATTTATGTTGCCTCCAGGAAGAAGCTTCGAGAACCACTACCTGTTTCTCTCCTTTCTCCCTTTGCTATAACTCCAGCAACATCCTAGACAGGAAATATTCTTTCAGCAGAAGACCCAGAGAAAAGCACCCACATTGGAAAGTGAAGGATAATTAAACCTCTGTTATTGGAAGCCACTGAAATTTAGGAGTGATTTATTACCAAAGCATAAGTAAGCCCGGGTAGATACACTACTTTACTTTGTAATGGTGTTGTGAGAGGAAAATGATGCAATATATTACAAAAACACATAGTAACTTCTTAATAATTGTTACTGGCTATTATTTAAACAATACAATTGGGATGAGTAATTATTTAATTTCTCAAGGTTAATAATGGCAACAATGATTATTATAATCATTAATAAATGTTAATTGGGAGGTAAAAGAAAGCAAGCTTTGGAATCAGACAGGCCTTGGCTTGAATTCTGCACCCACCGAGAACTTCGAATAAGTGACAGACTCCGTGAGCCACGTTCATCAGACACAACGAGGAGGCAAAAATATTTAACAATGTTTTGTTGATGATTAAATAAAATACATATGAAATCAGTCAGCATTTATCACACAGCTGTCTTTTTAATAGATTTTAAAACTTTAGGCTGGGAGTGGTGGCCCATGCCTGTAATCCCAGCACTTTGGGAGACCGAGGCAGGTGGATTACTTCAGGACAGGAGTTCGAGACCACCCTGGCCAACATGGCAAAACCTCGTCTCTACTAAAAATACAAAAAATTAGCCAGGTATAGTGGCATGTGCTTGTAGTCCCAGCTACTCGGAGGCTGGGGCACGAGAATTGCTTAAACCTTGGAGACAGATTTTGCAGTAAGCCAAGACTGCGCCACTGCACTCCAGCCCAGGTGACAGAGAAAGACTCCGTCTCAAAAACAAAACAAAACAAAACAGAAATACTTTATATTATGGGAATCACTGACATTCATAAAAGTAAAGAGCCATATAATGTTCCCTGTGTACCTGTCACCTACTTCAACATTATCAACATTTTACCAATCTTGTCTCATTTATTGCCACCCTCCTTAATGTCTCCGTCACTGGAGTATTTCAAAACAAATTCAAGCCTTTGTATCATTTCACCCATAAATACTTTAATATGAAACTCTAGCAGATAAAAAGTTTTAAATCATAACCATAAAACCACCATCACCCCTAACAAAATGAACTATTCCTTAGTGTCGTTTTACACACAGTCTGCATTCAAATCTTCCCAGTTGTCTTAAAAATACCTTTTTGGAATTTTAAAAATTAAAATCTAAATATTTTATGGTAAGGATCCTAAAGTCTCTTTTAAATCTATAATAGCCACCCCCGCTCCTCACACCCTATACCCTACACACACTTTTTTTTTTCCCAAGCCATTCATTTGTTCAAGAAACGAGGTCAATTTCTCTGTAGAATTTCCCATATAATGGATCTGACATATTGTATCCTCATGGTGTTATCTAACATGGTCTTCAATCCTCATATTTATTTGATTAGATTCAGGTTCAATTTACTCAAACATTTTTAATAGAAGAAAAGAATGAAAGTGCTTACTGTAGCTTTCATTTGATCATTTCTGATGGGTCAGCCAAATTGAAAATAAACTTCAATATCCAAAAAAATCCTGTGCTGTCAACTTACTAAATCTTAGAGCCATATTCACCATTTCAGCTTACTTTGACATGGTACTCTCTGGCTGAGTTGATAGAATTTTATTCTTCAACTCTAAGTAGACTCGTTATAGTGAGTTTCCCATTTTGGCTATTCTAGCTATCAGGCAGATCTTTGAACCAAGAGGCCATGAATTAATAAAGCCCTCCCAAAGCATTAACATTCCTAGACCTGAGGGCACCTCCACCACTCTCTGGGGATGTAAAGACCAGCTTGAGAGATCTGAGGACATAGAATACTGCAACAGAGAGTCCTGCAACTATCCCAGGTGTTGTGCTTTGAGAGCAAAACCAGAGTCAGGCTGCTCGCTGTGCGAAGATGGAAATGGCACTTCTCTCATGTAGGCAGACTGATCTGTCTCTGACACTTAGTTGTGCATGTGATTTCTTTGATGGGCACCGAGCAGTTTGCCACTTACTGCATACACAAAAAATTAAAGTCACCTAACCTCCCAGCGTGTGGTTGCTTGCTCATTTTGCTTTCATGTAGGTTTGTTTTCAATCAGGATTCAGGCAGGGGATGCAAGTTTGAGGAGTAAGGTTTTCACTCAAATCAGCTCCTGATTGGAAATACAGTCTGAGGGTGACTTCTATATTTTAAGTTAAAATGTCCAAATTGCTTATCTGTGCAATTGGCAGAAACTGACAATCTGGTTTCCATTGCTGACAGAGCCCAAATTGCCTTGGATAATGCCAAACAATTTTACTGTTTCCTTTTGAAGAGTTGACCCTATGCCATTTACTTTGTTTTTCCTTTGTACCCAAAATTCATCCAAGACACCTACTTTTAAGAGACCGGTAACTTCTCTGTTAAATAGCAATGCTGTTGAATGGGGTCATCTGCAAAGCCATACTTCTGAGTTATTTAAGAACTGCTGGAGTGTCCTGGGTATTTTAAACCAGCCACTTGGTGTAGAACTCTTTCTAAAACATATCACATGTAATTGTAAATGCTCTTGATGACCTAAGGTTTACCACTCTACGGAGGCGAACTATGAGGCATGTGATTGAACGTAGATATGCCCTAGAACTTGTGGTACAGTCCCTGGCATCACCTTGCTGCCTATCATTTGCTGCTTTTACATACAATTATATATGCACTTGGAAGCTCTTCTGAATAAGTTAACATGGCTTCCTTTTCCTACATTAATTATTGACTCCAAAGCCCTTCCCTAAGTGGTTTGCTTGTTCTCTGAAAAATTTTTTTACAGTTTGAGAAAGTGCATGGGCTTTGGGATCCAGAGAAAATTTTTTTAAGTTGCCTGCCTGCCTTCCTTCCTTCCTTCCTTCCTTCCTTCCTTCCTTCCTTTTTTCCCTTCTTATTTTAAACTTTTTAATTTAACAATTTGGAAAACATTCATTTTGGGGGAAGATTTTAGACTCCATCATCCTAGCATTAATCACTTTATTTTCATTAACTTCAAAGTACTTTCTATCTCATCTATAGGCACTACTTGGTTTGACAAGTAGGATACCCCCTACTTGTCATTTTTGATAATCAGATTGCCTTCTTTTGTTGAGTAGTAATGATCATCTTATAGTATTTTAATATGTTGCCTCCAAAGGTCACTAAAACCAGATTAGGTATTTGCAACATTAGGTAAGCTCATTTAATTTTATTAGCTTCCTCATTCTGGATGCATGAGTTCTTTGGCTTGGATATCAAGGCTTTTTTATCTTTAGAAACTTCTAAGTTTGACATCTAGAACTGAGTATGAATGGCCAGAGCTATTACCTTTACATTTTATCCGCTTTTGCAAACTTTAATACTACATTCTTTTGGCAGTAACTGTCCTCCTGGGAGGACGGTTATGAAAATGAGTAACAGTCATCTTGGAAAAGTATGTTTTCTTATTTAACATAGAATTTCTCCTAACTCTCAATCCCCATGTACTAAGACTCCCTACCATTATAAGAGAGCATACTGTCTGTTTTAATCACCCTCCAACAAAGCTCCCAAACCTGACATTAATAGTAAATATTCAAAATGATGTTCTTAAAGAGTAATTTAGACTCACCTTCTATTAATCTAGGAATCGGAGCAGGACCTGGCCCAAACTTTTCAAATGACCTACCACTCCTTTTAGGGTAGAAAGCTAGTTGGCTCAGGTATGAATGACTCTTCATTCTGGATGAAAAAGTAGTTTTCTGGTAGACTTTCATGTTACGGTTCATAAATTTTTCCTGCCCAAGTGGAAAAGTTGAAAAGAATTTTTAATATACCAAAGTATGTTATCTTAAAATTAGTGATTATATATAAAAATAACATTTGCAACAAAAATCTTAACATTAAAAAAACAACCCCAGGTTCTTCTCTTTGAAGGAATGTGTGTTGTTTTAGTTTCCTTCTCATATGAAGCTGAGATCATTTAACTTTTATTAAATATGTACATCACAAATACAAGACTGGAAAATGTCCTCTCAGCTTCATTTTCACAATTTAGTCTTGCTCAAAATGCAGTTAAAATTTGGAAATTCCGGGCTGGGTGCGGTAGCTCATGTCTGTAATCCTGGTGCTTTGGGAGTCCAAGGCGGGCAGATCACCTGAGGTCAGGAGTTCAAGACCAGCCTGATCAAGATGGAGAAACCCCTCTCTACTAAAAATACAAAAATTAGCCGGGCGTGGTGACGGGTGCCTGTAGTCACAGCTACTCAGGAGGCTGAGGCACAAGAATCACTTGAACCTGGTGGTAAAGGTGGCAGTGAGCCGAGATCACACCACCGCACTCCAGCCTGGGTGACAGAGCAAGACTGTCAAAAAAAAAAAAAAAAAGGAAATTCTAAGTGTTGGTTCTGTGGAATTAAAACTTGAGAGGAAAGGGATCTCCCCAGTAGATATTTAAAAATTAGGCTTGTGATTTCATTCATCTTCTCTCAATTTAATTTTAAGTATGTTCCACAAAACCATACAACACTTGCTGAGGAACCATCGCATACAGATGAATCTGTTGTTGAGCATTTCTAGATAATTTCCTTATCTTAATTAGGGTAGACAAAGTCCTGTAATCAACTTTTACCTCTGGAAAGAAAGAAAGTAAATCTACTGAAATGTGAACCAGGCGATGTAGGTGTGATGACCACAGCAGTGGTGAGATTAACTCTGCAAGGCACAGTGGGAAAATCAGCCTTATCATTGATCTAGCTTCATACCACAAAATTTGAAAACAACACCCCCTCCTCTACTTTCATCCCTTCTTCCTTCCCCAGCACACACATATGCATTGTCTTATCCATATCTGATTCTTGAAGACCCACCTCCTTTTATCTCCTCACCACTAACAGCCTTTTTTCCATCTTCTCATCAACAAAGATGAACACCCCTTTCTCTATATTTCTTTGGCACGCCTCTGTTACTGTATTTCCTCCACTCTGAGATGCCACTTATTGTAAGATGTGCTATTATTTTATGCAGGGCCAGTGATGTATGACATCCCATCTATGTAAGCTAGGTACCAATTTCAGAAATGTAAAAAATGTGGAGATGTGTGTGTTGGAATCAATGAAGGACAGTGTACCATACGTGTCCTACTGGACTGCAGTGGTATATCTCTCTTCCTCCGTTAGGTGGCGATCTTTGTGCTGCCTACTGTCAGCTGGATGTTTTTCTGTCGTTTGTGTTCACACTGTCTCCCCATCATGGTGTGGGGCACACACCATCTGCGTCTAGTTGACTCCATGTCTCAGCCCAGCAAAGTTCATAAGAGCAATAGGTAAGTGGATATGATTCTAACATTAATTGGGGTTGTGATTTTAATTAAACTTTACCGTTTCCTTTGCTGCCATTTCATTTTCTTTGACAAGAAAGAGATCTCTGAAAAAGATCTTATAAGGCCTGTCCTCTTTGGTTGAGCCATCTTTTACTTTACCTGTTAAAAAAGAAAGAATGAATGAATGAATTCTGTCATCCTTCCTCTGCTGACCAGAATAGTAAGTCTCCCACCAGCTAGGGTGGAATGAATGGGATGCAGGGATCTCTGAGAAGGTAGTGTTAAAAGAAAAACTTTGGCCGAATTAAATTTAAAGGAGTTTAATTGAGTAATGAATGATTTGTGGATCGGGCAGCCCCCAGAATCACAGCAGAGTCAGAGACTCCAGGGATATCTCATGGTTAGAACAAATTTATAGACAAAAAAGGGAAGTGAAGTACAGAAATCTCAGGTGAGGTACAGAAACAGCTGGATTGGTTACAGCTCGGCATTTGCCTTATTTGAACACAGTTTGAGCACTCAGCAGTGTATGAGTGGTTGAGGTACGGCTGCTGGGATTAGGCCAAGATTCAGCTATTGTTACAGGGCATACTTCTACGTTAGGGTTTTAATTTTGTCTACCTATTAAGTTAGGTTGCAGTTCGTTCACAAGGACTCAAATATAGAAGTATGGAGTATGGAGTCCTTCTCAGGCCATGTTTAGTTTGCTTTAACAGTAGAATGCAGATAGCCTTGCCTCCACATCTCCTGGGTAGAAGTCACAGCTCCTCTGTCTGTTTCCCACAGCACCGACATAGCTCTTACTGCTTCATGAGGAATGAGTTGATAAAATAAGGAGGTCTTTACCAAAATAGTAGGATAAAATTTTGAGATATTAATATGTTTCTTCTCACCATTATACATATACCACCATTACCCTTACACCACCATTTCAACAGCAACAGATACAGCCACTACCCTTAGGGAGAGCCTCTGCCCAGATTAGAGAGTCTTAAAAAAGAAAGTCAAAGATAATAAAAAGTGCTGGAGAGCATGTGGAGAAATTGGACCCAAATTCACTCCTAGAAGGAATGTTTAAGTGGGGCAGTCACTTTGGAAAACAATCTGGCAGTTCCTTAAAAAGTTGAACACAGAATTGCCACATGACCTAGAAATTCTACTGCTAGGATATACCAAAGAGAAATGAAAGCATAGGGGCTCACAAAAAACGTGTACATGAATATTTAGAGCAGTATTATTTTTAATAGCCAAAAAATAGAGACAACCTAGATATCTGATATGGATTGGCTGTGTCCTCATCCAAATCTCATCTTGAATTGTAGCTCCTATAATTCCCATGTGTCATGGGAGGGACTCAATGGAAAGTAATTGAATCGTGTTGAGGGGTTCTTTCTTGTGCTGTTCTCGTGATAGTGAATAAGTCTCATGAGATCTGATGGTTTTATAAAGGGGAGTTCCCCTGCACACACTCTCTTGCCTGCCACCATATAAGACGTGACTTTCCTCCTCTTTCACTTTCCACCATAATTATGAGGCCTCCCCAACCATATGGAACTGTGAATCCATTAAATCTCTTTCATTTATAAATTAGCCAGCCTGGGTATGTCTTTATTAGCAGCATGAGAACAGATTAATACAATATCCATCAACTGATTAACGATAAACAAAATGCAGTATATCCATACAAGGAACTCTTATTTGCCCAGAGAAAGGAATGAAGTACAATATATGCTACAACATGGATGAACATTGGAAACATGTTAAGTAAAAGAAGCCAGTAACAAAGGACCACACATTATATGATTCCATTTATATAAAATATCCAGAATAGGCATATTCATGGAGATAGAAAGTAGGTGAGTAGTTGCTTGGGGCTGGAGGGTGGATGGGGCCTAGGGGTTGATGGCTGAGGGGTGCAGGTTTCTTTTTGAATTAGTGAAAATGTTCTAAAATTGGCTGTAGTGATGGTTGCACATAATTGTTCTACACTAAATAAAAAATGAAGGCTGGCCATTAAAAAAGCAAAAGAGGGCCGGGCGCAGTGGTCACACGTATAATCCCAGCACTTTCGGAGGCCGAGGTGGGTGGATAACCTGAGGTCGGGAGTTCGAGACCAGCGTGACCAACGTGGAGAAACCCCATCTCTACGAAGAATACAAAATTAGCCGGGTGTGGTGGTTCACGCCTGTAATCCCAGCTCCTTGGGAGGCTAAGTCAGGAGAATCACTTGAACATGGGAGGCAGAAGTTGCGGTGAGCCGAGATCATGCCATTGCACTCCAGCCTGGGCAACAAGAGTGAAACTCCATCTCAAAAAAAAAAAAGAAAAAGAAAAAGAAAAAGAAAAGTCAGTTGAATTTCTGCATGGACTTCCTGTTTTTCTTTATAACATTTGATATGACAAAAAAACTTTCTCTCTCTTTATTTCTTTATTTCTTACTTTCTAACTCTTGGGATGTGGCAGGATGGAAATCTTGGCTTTCAAAACCAATAGTCAAGGTCAAGTGTAATTGTCTATTTTCACACTGCTATAAAGAACTTCTCTGAGACTCGGTAGTTTACAAAGGAAAGAGGTTTAATTGACTCACAGTTCTGCATAGCTGGGAAGACCTCGGGAAACTTACAATCATGGTAGAAGGCTAAGGGGAAGCAAGCACCTTCTTCACAAGGTGGCAGGAGAGAGAAGCATGAAGGAGGAACTTCCAAACATGTATAAAACCATCAGATCTTGTGAGATCTCACTCACTATCACAAGAGCATGGGGGAAAACGCCCCCATGATCCAATCACCTCTCTCCCTCAACACATGGGGATTACGGGTCCCTCCTTTGACATGTGGGGTTTATAATTTGAGATGAGATTTGGGTAGGGACACAGAGCCAAACCATATAACCAAGAATACTGGGAGCCTGGAGTTGACACCTTAAATCAGAGATAGGAAGATAGGAAGAGGATTCCTGAAGACACATTCCCCAACTCTTACCCCACATCCCATGTCCACCTCAACCTTACAAAAAGACTCCACATCCTCCCAGCAAGCAGAGGGCCTGTGAAGAAACTCAATGATTCTTGCCCCAAATCACTAGAATCATTTTGGCTCCACCCACCTCCAGATATTCTGACTTAATTTGTCAAGGAAACATCAGCACTGGAATATTTTGAGAGTCCCCCAGGTGGCTGTAATGTACATCCAGGACTAAGAGCTAGTGGACCAAAGTTTAAGGAATTAATGGACTGGAGCTTAAAGTCTACCTGAGAAGCAGCCATTTGCCCAAAGATTCAGTGTAGAAAGTGGGAGTGGCTGGGATTATAGAAACTCCAAACACATTTTTCTGTAAGTCATGAGTTAGAGAGAAAGAAAATTGCAGAGTGGAAGTCTTGGGTTCAACACAGAGTACTCTGATCATCTCCTATTCACCCTGATGGTGATGGAGTGAATCCCCCATCCTAAATACTACGAGATAGCTGAACACATGATACCCAACACTGGACATATGAGACTGAAAGCAGTTTATAAGTCATATATACTCATAGCCTGGGGGAGGAGAATGCTGCCTGCAATGCAGTGCCACATGGGAATTGCACTCAGGAGCACAGTGAATCACCAGTGGTGGGAGGCAACTTTGTAGTAACAAAAGGCTGAGGTGTCCCCTGGTCCCCACAGGAGGATGTGATTGACTTGTTTGAATAATTTCATGGCTGACAGTGCAGTGAAACCCATTAGGTTGAAGACCAGGTGGAATGCAGCTGGTCCAATTGATAGAGGAACTAGCCAGGCCGGGAGAGTTTCCTGCTAGGTGGACGTCATATTTGGCAAGAGCAAGAGGATTTATGGTTAGGCTTTTGGGGCCCTGTGAGGCTGAAATATGTCAAGGCAGCACATACAATTTTAGGCCTTAAAAACATGAAGTAGAAACAGCTGAGGGTGGGTCCAGGCAGCTAGACTCTGGGACAGCAGAAGTGTAGACGAGCAAAGCCAACAGGCTGAAGACCAGGAGGTAGCCACAGAGATTGAGGACTCAAAAGGACCTGGGGCCAGGTGCCTGTGATGGTTAATTGTGTGCGTCAACTTGACTGGGCCATGGGTTCCCAGATTAAATGTTATTTCTGGTTGTGTCTGTGAGGGTATTTCCAGGTGAGATTAGCATTTGAATTGGTGGGCTCAGTAAAGTAGACTGCCCTCATCCATGTGGGTGAGTCTCGTCCAATCTCTTGAGGGTCTGAGTAGAAAAGGCTGAGGAATTAGGAAGTAACCCCTTCTTTTCTGCCTCACTGCTTGAACTGGGACATCTCATCTCATCTTCTCCTATGCTGAGACTGGAACTCACACCATCAGTTCCCCTGCTTCTCAGGCTTTCTGAGTCTGACTGAATTACATCACCAGCTCTCCTGGGTCTCCAGCGTATAGATGGCAAATCATGGGACTTCTCAGCCTCCATAATTATATGAGCCAATTACTCATAGTAAATCTCCTTCTTATTGGTTCTGTTTTTCTGGAGAGTTCTGCCTAATACAGTGGTGTTTACAGAGTCCATGGACCTATGCCTTATATACCATCACTCCCAGGCCAGGGCTGGACCCCAGACATCCCAATATGGAGCCACTGTTGTCCTCCAGGGGATGAGTAATTAGTGGGCTGGACACCTCTTCCCCAATCAGCCTTCTCTTCTTCCAAGAGAAACTCTACAAACTTAGATTCTGCCCTATCCCAAGTGTCTTTTTTTTTTTAATTTATTATTATTATACTTTAAGTTTTAGGGTACATGTGCACAATGTGCAGGTTAGTTACATATGTATACATGTGCCATGCTGGTGTGCTGCACCCACTAACTCGTCATCTAGCATTAGGTATATCTCCCAATGCTATCCCTCCCCACTCCCCCCACTCCACAACAGTCCCCAGAGTGTGATGTTCCCCTTCCTGTGTCCATGTGTTCTCATTGTTCAATTCCCACCTATGAGTGAGAATATGTGGTGTTTGGTTTTTTGTTCTTGCGATAGTTTACTGAGAATGATGATTTCCAATTTCATCCATGTCCCTACAAAGGACATGAACTCATCATTTTTTATGGCTGCATAGTATTCCATGGTGTATATGTGCCACATTTTCTCAATCCAGTCTATCATTGTTGGACATTTGGGTTGGTTCCAAGTCTTTGCTATTGTGAATAGTGCTGCAATAAACATACGTGTGCATGTGTCTTTATAGCAGCATGATTTATAGTCCTTTGGGTATATACCCAGTAATGGGATGGCTGGGTCAAATGGTATTTCTAGTTCTAGATCCCTGAGGAATCGCCACACTGACTTCCACAATGGTTGAACTAGTTTACAGTCCCACCAACAGTGTAAAAGTGTTCCTATTTCTCCACATCCTCTCCAGCACCTGTTGTTTCCTGACTTTTTAATGATTGCCATTCTAACTGGTGTGAGATGGTATCTCATTGTGGTTTTGATTTGCATTTCCCTGATGGCCAGTGATGGTGAGCATTTTTTCATGTGTTTTTTGGCTGCATAAATGTCTTCTTTTGAGAAGTGTCTGTTCATGTCCTTCACCCACTTTTTGATGGGGTTGTTTTTTTCTTGTAAATTTGGTTGAGTTCATTGTAGATTCTGGATATTAGCCCTTTGTCAGATGAGTAGGTTGTGAAAATTTTCTCCCATTTTGTAGGTTGCCTGTTCACTCTGATGGTAGTTTCTTTTGCTGTGCAGAAGCTCTTTAGTTTAATTAGATCCCATTTGTCAATTTTGGCTTTGGTTGCCATTGCTTTTGGTGTTTTAGACATGAAGTCCTTGCCCACGCCTATGTCCTGAATGGTAATGCCTAGGTTTTCTTCTAGGGTTTTTATGGTTTTAGGTCTAACGTTTAAGTCTTTAATCCATCTTGAATTAATTTTTGTATAAGGGGTAAGGAAGGGATCCAGTTTCAGCTTTCTACATATGGCTAGCCAGTTTTCCCAGCACCATTTATTAAATAGGGAATCCTTTCCCCATTGCTTGTTTTTCTCAGGTTTGTCAAAGATCAGATAGTTGTAGATATGCGGCATTATTTCTGAGGGCTCTGTTCTGTTCCATTGATCTATATCTCTGTTTTGGTACCAGTACCATGCTGTTTTGGTTACTGTAGCCTTGTAGTATAGTTTGAAGTCAGGTAGTGTGATGCCTCCAGCTTTGTTCTTTTGGCTTAGGATTGACTTGGCGATGCAGGCTCTTTTTTGGTTCCATATGAACTTTAAAGTAGTTTTTTCCAATTCTGTGAAGAAAGTCACTGGTAGCTTGATGGGGATGGCATTGAATCTGTAAATTACCTTGGGCAGTATGGCCATTTTCACGATATTGATTCTTCCTATCCATGAGCATGGAATGTTCTTCCATTTGTTTGTATCCTCTTCTATTTCCTTGAGCAGTGGTTTGTAGTTCTCCTTGAAGAGGTCCTTCACATCCCTTGTAAGTTGGATTCCTAGGTATTTTATTCTCTTTGAAGCAATTGTGAATGAGAGTTCACTCCTGATTTGGTCCTCTGTTTGTCTCTTATTGGTGTATAAGAATGCTTGTGATTTTTGCACATTGATTTTGTATCCTGAGACTTTGCTGAAGTTGCTTACCAGCTTAAGGAGATTTGGGGCTGAGACGATGGGGTTTTCTAGATATACAATCAAGTCATCTGCAAACAGGGACAATTTGACTTCCTCTTTTCCTAATTGAATACCCTTTATTTCCTTCTCCTGCCTGATTGCCCTGGCCAGAACTTCCAACACGATGTTGAATAGTAGTGGTGAGAGAGGGCATCCCTGTCTTGTTCCAGTTTTCAAAGGGAATGCTTCCAGTTTTTGCCCATTCAGTATAATATTGGCTGTGGGTTTGTCATAGATAGCTCTTATTATTTTGAGATACGTCCCATCAATACCTAATTTATTGAGAGTTTTTAGCCTGAAGGGTTGTTGAATTTTGTCAAAGGTCTTTTCTGCATCTATTGAGATAATCATGTGGTTTTTGTCTTTGGTTCTGTTTATATGCTGGATTACATTTATTGATTTGCGTATATTGAACCAGGCTTGCATCCCAGGGATGAAGCCCACTTGATCACGGTGGATAAGCTTTTTGATGTGCTGCTGGATTCGGTTTGCCAGTATTTTATTGAGGATTTTTACATCAATGTTCATCAAGGATATTGGTCTAAAATTCTCTTTTTTGGTTGTGTCTCTGCCCGGCTTTGGTATCAGGATGATGCTGGCCTCATAAAATGAGTTAGGGAGGATTCCCTCTTTTTCTATTGATTGGAATAGTTTCAGAAGGAATGGTACCAGTTCCTCCTTGTACCTCTGGTAGAATTCGGCTGTGAATCCATCTGGTCCTGGACTCTTTTTGGTTGGTAAGCTATTGATTATTGCCACAATTTCAGCTCCTGTTATTGGTCTATTCAGAGATTCAACTTCTTCCTGGTTTAGTCTTGGGAGAGTGTATGTGTCAAGGAATTTATCCATTTCTTCTAGATTTTCTAGTTTATTTGAGTAGAGGTGTTTGTAATATTCTCTGATGGTAGTTTGTATTTCTGTGGGATCGGTGGTGATATCCCCTTTATCATTTTTTATTGTGTCTATTTGATTCTTCTCTCTTTTCTTCTTTATTAGTCTTGCTAGCGGTCTATCAATTTTGTTGATCCTTTCAAAAAACCAGCTCCTGGATTTATTAATTTTTTGAAGGGTTTTTTGTGTCTCTATTTCCTTCAGTTCTGCTCTGATTTTAGTTATTTCTTGCCTTCCGCTAGCTTATGAATGTGTTTGCTCTTGCTTTTCTAGTTCTTTTAATTGTGATGTTAGGGTGTCAATTTTGGATCTTTCCTGCTTTCTCTTGTGGGCATTTAGTGCTATAAATTTCCCTCTACACACTGCTTTGGATGCGTCCCAGAGATTCTGGTATGTTGTGTCTTTGTTCTCGTTGGTTTCAAAGAACATCTTTATTTCTTCCTTCATTTGGTTATGTACCCAGTAGTCATTCAGGAGCAGGTTGTTCAGTTTCCATGTAGTTGAGTGGTTTTGAGTGAGATTCTTAATCCTGAGTTCTAGTTTGATTGCACTGTGGTCTGAGAGATAGTTTGTTATAATTTCTGTTCTTTTACATTTGCTGAGGAGAGCTTTACTTCCAAGTATGTGGTCAATTTTGGAACAGGTATGGTGTGGTACTGAAAAAAATGTATATTCTGTTGATTTGGGATGGAGAGTTCTGTAGATGTCTATTAGGTCTGCTTGGTGCAGAGCTGAGTTCAATTCCTGGGTATGCTTGTTGACTTTCTGTCTCATTGATCTGTCTAATGTTGACAGTGGGGTGTTAAAGTCTCCCATTATTAATGTGTGGGAGTCTAAGTCTCTTTCTAGGTCGCTCAGGACTTGCTTTATGAATCTGGGTGCTCCTGTATTGGGTGCATATATATTTAGGATAGTTAGCTCTTCTTGTTGAATTGATCCCTTTACCATTATGTAATGGCCTTGTCTCTTTTGATCTTTGTTGGTTTAAAGTCTGTTTTATCAGAGACTAGGATTGCAACCCCTGCCTTTTTTTGTTTTCCATTTGCTTGGTAGATCTTCCTCCATCCTTTTATTTTGAGCCTATGTGTGTCTCTGCACATGAGATGGGTTTCCTGAATACAGCACACTGATGGGTCTTGACTCTTTATCCAATTTGCCAGTCTGTGCCTTTTAATTGAAGCATTTAGTCCACTTACATTTGAGGTTGATATTGTTATGTGTGAATTTGATCCTGTCATTATGATGTTAGCTGGTTATTTTGCTCGTTAGTTCATGCAGTTTCTTCCTAGTCTTGATGGTCTTTACATTTTGGCATGATTTTGCAGCGGCTGGTATTGGTTGTTCCTTTCCATGTTTAGCACTTCCTTCAGGAGCTCTTGTAGGGCAGGCCTGGTGGTGACAAAATCGCTCAGCATTTGCTTGTCTGTAAAGTATTTTATTTCTCCTTCACTTACGAAGCTTAGTTTGGCTGGATATGAAATTCTGGGTTGAAAATTCTTTTCTTTAAGAATGTTGAATATTGGCCCCCACTCTCTTCTGGCTTGTAGGGTTTCTGCCGAGAGATCCACTGTTAGTCTGATGGGCTTCCCTTTGTGGGTAACCCGACCTTTCTCTCTGGCTGCCCTTAACATTTTTTCCTTCATTTCAACTTTGGTGAATCTGACAATTATGTGTCTTGGAGTTGCTCTTCTCGAGGAGTATCTTTGTGGCGTTCTCTGTATTTCCTGAATCTGAATGTTGGCCTGCCTTGCTAGATTGGGGAAGTTCTCCTGGATAATATCCTGCAGAGTGTTTTCCAACTTGGTTCCATTCTCCGCATCACTTTCAGGTACACCAATCAGACGTAGATTTGGTCTTTTCACATAGTCCCATATTTCTTGGAGGCTTTGCTCGTTTCTTTTTGTTCTTTTTTCTCTAAACCTCCCTTCTCGCTTCATTTCATTCACTTCATCTTCCATCGCTGATACCCTTTCTTCCAGTTGATCGCATCAGCTCCTGAGGCTTCTGCATTCTTCACGTAGTTCTTGAGCCTTGGTTTTCAACTCCATCAGCTCCTTTAAGCACTTCTCTGTATTGGTTATTCTAGTTATACATTCTTCTAAACTTTTTTCAAAGTTTTCAACTTCTTTGCCTTTGGTTTGAATTTCCTCCCGTAGCTCGGAGTAATTTGATCATCTGAAGCCTTCTTCTCTCAGCTCGTCAAAGTCATTATCCGTCCAGCTTTGTTCTGTTGCTGGTGAGGAACTGCGTTCCTTTGGAGGAGGAGAGGCGCTCTGCTTTTTAGAGTTTCCAGTTTTTCTGTTCTGTTTTTTCCCCATCTTTGTGGTTGTATCTACTTTTGGTCTTTGATGATGGTGATGTACAGATGGGTTTTTGCTGTGGATGTCTTTTCTGTTTGTTAGTTTTCCTTCTAACAGACAGGACCCTCAGCTGCAGGTCTGTTGGAGTACCCGGCCGTGTGAGGTGTCAGTGTGCCCCTGCTAGGGGGTGACTCCCAGTTAGGCTGCTCGGGGGTCAGGGGTCAGGGACCCACTCGAGGAGGCAGTCTGCCCGTTCTCAGATCTCCAGCTGCCTGCTGGGAGAACCACTGCTCTCTTCAAAGCTGTCAGACAGGGACATTTAAGTCTGCAGAGGTTACTGCTGTCTTTTTGTTTGTCTGTGCCCTGCCCCCAGAGGTGGAGCCTACAGAGGCAGGCAGGCCTCCTTGAGCTGTGGTGGGCTCCACCCAGTTCGAGCTTCCCGGCTGCTTTGTTTACCTAAGCAAGCCTGGGCAATGGCGGGCACCCCTACCCCAGCCTCACTGCCACCTTGCAGTTTGATCTCAGACTGCCGTGCTAGCAATCAGCGAGACTCTGTGGGCGTAGGACCCTCTGAGCCAGGTGCGGGATATAATCTCCTGGTGCGCTGTTTTTTAAGCCCATGGGAAAAGCGCAGTATTCGGGTGGGAGTGACCCGATTTTCGAGGTGCCATCTGTCACCCCTTTCTTTGACTAGGAAAGGGAACTCCCTGACCCCTTGCACTTCCCGAGTGAGGCAATGCCTTGCCCTGCTTCGGCTCATGCACTGTGCATGCACCCACTGACCTGCGCCCACTGTCTGGCACTCCCTAGTGAGATGAACCCGGTACCTCAGATGGAAATGCAGAAATCACCTGTCTTCTGCGTTGCTCACGCTGGGAGCTGTAGACGGGAGCTGTTCCTATTCGGCCATCTTGGCTCCTCCCCTGCAAGTGTCTTAAAATCTTTAATGCCTGAGTTAAAATCTCTACTGACCAAGGTTAACTGTCTTGGAATTGACAAGGTGATATTTTTGTCCCTCCAAGTTCAAAGCTGAGTTTATTTCAGTTTACAGAGAAATAGAAGAAAACTAAATTTCTGAACACCAAGTATATTAGTTTCCTCTTGTTTCCATAATAAGATATCACAAAATTGGTAGTTTAAAACAACAGAAATGTATTCTCTCCATTCTGGAGGTCAGATATCTGAAATCAAGGTGATGGCAGAGCCATGCTCTCTTGGTGAAGCCTCTAGGGGAGAATCCTTCCACAGTTCTAGCTTCTGATGGCTCTAGACATTCATTGGCTGGATAATTCCAACCTCTGCCTCCAACTTCACATGGCCTTCTCCTTTTCTTTCTTTTATAAGGACACTTATCATTGAATTTAGGGCCCACCCTAAATTCAGGGTGGTCTCATCTTGAGATCCTTATCTTAATTACATTTGCAAAGATCCTTTTCCCAAATAAGGCCACATTCCCAGTTTCCAGAGGTTAGAATAGGAAGGCCAACCATTTGTGGAGGGCCACTATTCAACCCGCTACACCAAATTTCCTATATTATAAACTCACCACATGAACTAGTCCCTAGGCAACACTTCTCCCCGTATTTCTTTCCTAGTCACATAGGACTAGGGCTGCTGTAGCAGATTACCACAAACAGGGTGGCTTAAAACAACAGAAATGTAGTCTCTCACAGTTCTGGAGGCCACAAGTTCAAAATCAAGATGTTAGCAGTGTTGGTTCCTTCTGGAGGCTCTGAGGGGGAATCTATTCCATGACTTTAACCTAGCTTCTGGTAGTGAAATTCCTGGGATTCCTTGGATTGTAGATCCATCACTCCAATCTCTTCCTCCATTCTTCACATGACCTTCCCCTCTGTGTGTCTGTATCGCAAATCTTCCTTTCTGTTCTCTTATAAGGACACTAGTAATTGGATTTAGCCCTTGTCCTAAATCCAAGAAGATCTCATCTTGAGATCCTTACTTTAATTACTTTTGCAAAGATCCCCCTTTCCAAACAAGGTCACATTTTCAGGTTCTTGGTGGAAATATCTTTTGGAGTCTAAATTCAACCCCTTACAGCACTCCATACCTGCAATGTACATCAAATTCCACCATTAATCATGTCTTCTACCTCAACACAGAGTCTCATTCTACCAGCTCTTTAGCAAACTGGACGCTAGGCTCAACCTCTCTCCAATACTCCATTTTAGCAATAAGGGGTCTGCTTAGATCTACAAATCAAATTCTAGTAGCTGAATCCTGGCTACTCTAAACTCTAAACTCTAGATCTCTTCCTTTTGTTACTATTATATTCTTCTCTAAGCTGCCTTGCAAATCCCTGACATTACTAATTAACAACCTTGAGAGAAGGCTTTCTCTTCTCTGCCTCACTGTATTAGTTTCCTATTGCCGCTGTAACAAATTACCACAAACCTAGTGGTTTAAAACAATGCAAATTTATTTTCTTACACTTCTGGAGGCCAGAAGTCTGAAATGAGTCCTTTGAGCATAAAATCAGGATGTTGATAGAGCTGTGTTCCTTCTGGAGGCTCCAGGTGAGAATCAGTTTCCTTTCTCTTTCCAGCTGTTAGAGGCTGCCTGCATTCTTTGGTTTGTGGTCTCTTCCTCCATCTTCAAAGTGCATCACTTTAGCCTCTACTTCCATTGTCACATCACCTTCTCGGTCTTTGAATAAAAGGACTCTTGGATTATATTAGGCCCATTGGCTAATCCAGGATAACCTTCCCATATCAAGGTAATTAACTTAATCATATTTGCAAAGTCCCTTTTGCCATGTAAGGTAACGTATTTACAGGTTCCAGGGATTAGAATGTGGACACATTTGGGGGGCCATTATTCTGTCTCACACAGTCTCACTCCTTTCCTAGACTTGCTCCTTACTGACACTCTATTTGTCTTGTCCTAATTCTTCTATTTATTCATTAATTCATTCATCCACTCATTCATTCATTCAACAAATACCAATGAAGCCTCAACTATGTGCCAGGTAGTGTTTTAGGCACTGATGTTACACTGGTGAACAAAACAAAGATGGCTGCTCTTGAAGATCTTATACTGAGGTGAAGTGGCAGGTTTGGAAATAGAAAGTATAAACATTAATATAATAAAGTAACTTTTATGTTTTAAAGTAATAAAGTTCTGTGGGAAAAATAAAGCAGAATATAGGAGGGCTGGGGTGAACAATTTTAAGTAGAGTGATCAGAATGGGTCTCATTGATCAAGTGGTATTTAAAGGAGTTGAGAGAACCAGTCAAGTGGATATCTGAGGAAGAGAGGTACTGGCTGTGGCAACAGCCAATGCAAAGGTCCTGAGGCAGGATCATCTCTTGTGTGTGTTCAAGAAAGGCTAGTGTAGCTGGAGTGAAATAAATGGGGTCGGGGGACTGTAGTAGCAAGGATAATTACTTAGTATCTTGTAGGCAGTCTTGAAGACTTTGGCAATGACCCTCAGTAAACCAGAGAAGTATTGGAGGGCTTTGAACAGAGAAGGAATGTGGTCTGACCTACTTAATACTTTGTAGTTGGATAAGAAGAGACTTGGAGTGGGGGAGTCAAGGATTGAGATCAGACTAGTTCAGGTAAGAGGTAATGGGCTCAGACCAGCATGGTAGGAGTAAAATGGTGAAAAGTGGTTGGGTTCTGAGTACATTCTGAAGGGAGAACCAACAGAATTCCCTAATAGATTGCATATGAGGTATTTTCCCTCAAGCACTCATTTTTCCTTCCTTCTTTCCCTCCTTTCTTCCTTCCATTTGTTTCTTCATTTTTTGGTGTTGTTTCTGGACTTGATTTTGTTTTTTCTTAAATCATATTTGGAGTACATACCAATATTAAGTATCTTTTTAGAAATCATGGCTTTTACTGTCTCCAATCGTACTGATGTATTCATATTTGAACCCCGAGCAGCTAGGTTAGTATATAAAAGGCACTAAAAAACTGCAGAATTGAAATAACTGCATAACATAATCTTAAAATACATTAAAGTAGATCTAAATTAATAGAGAGATGAGTCATGTTTGTGGATAGAGAGACATGATTTCATAAAAATGCCAATTCTCCACGAATGATCAATGGATTCACAGTAATATAAGTACATAGTCCCATACGAGTTTCTCTAAATAAACTTGATAAGTAAATTCTAAAATTAGTAAGGAAAACCAAGAGACAAGAATAGTGAGAACCCTTCCCAAGAGGAACAGGATGGGGAGATTGCTCTGCTGTGTATCATTATGGAGCTACAGTAAAGGGAAAGACAAATTCACTAATGGACTAGAATGGAAATCTCAGGAACATATCCATACATGGGGAAAGGAGAGACTGTTCAAAAAATGAGTCGGAGAAAATGGTTATTCTCATGGAATAAAAGGAAATTGGATCTTTACCTCACACTCCATACAAACATTAACTACAGATGAAATAAGGATAAAATTGTCCCCCAAAAACCTTTAAAACAAACAGTAGAACATATAGGTTTTATCATTTAGGCCTTTGCTAGGGAAAGATTTCTTAAAAACACAAAAAGTAGTAACTATACAAGAAAATATTGATAAATTCAGCTATATTAAGATTAAAGACTTTGTTCATCAAAAGACGCCATAAACAAATTGAAAGATAAATTAAAACTGGGAGAAAATATTTGTACTCCATAGAGATGACATAATTGGGATATACCACATCTACAAAACTGCAAATCAATATAAAGAGCACTAACAACCTAAAGAAAAATAGAAAAAAGACTGTATTAAATAAGCATTTAACAGAAGAAGAAACATTTATGGTCAATAAACATATGAAGAGTTGTTCAACTTCATTAGTTATCAGGGAAATGCAAATAAAGACCATAATTTCACCCATTTGATTGGCAAAGCATTAAAAAACTTGACAATGCCAAGTGTTTGGAGAGGATATAATTCCACAGGATCTCTAATACATTTCTTGTAGAGTTATGATTGGCACAACTACTTTGGAAAACACTTTGACATTATTATCTGAAGTTGAATACTCAGCTAACGTCAGATTCAGCAATTCTATTCCTAGGTATACATGCAAAGAAACTTTCTTGTATACCAGGAGATGTGAACAAGAATGTTTATTAGCAGCACCATTTAGTAGCAATAAGCTGAAAACAACCCAAATACCCAAAGAAGTGTCAACTGTAAACTATGGTACATTTGCATTTTGTGATATTATACAGCAGTGAAAATGAATGATCTAAACCATACAACAGTATGAATGAATCTTAAAATATAATGTTGGCTGGGCATGGTGGCTCACTCCTGTAATCCCAATAGTTTGGGACACTGAAGTGGATCGCTTGAACCCGAGAATTCAAGACCAGCCTGGGCAACATGGCAAGACCTTGTCTATAAAAACAATTGTTTTTAAAAGATTAAAATAAATATATATGTATGTATATATATAATGTTAACTGAAAAATTTCTAAAATATGATAGTCAACAAGATATACTTTTTTAAAAGTTAAAACTAAAATGAAAAATATGCTCTTTAAGACTGCATATATACAGTATAAAACTATACATACAAATAAAATAGTGAAGAAAAATTCTAAACAGACTTCAACATGGTGCCTGGCTTAGGTGTTGAAAGCCAAGGGATAGGGTATGTAGTTATTGTCAGGTTGTAATTTCTTGTGAAGATCCTCGTCTTTGGGTTCTGATGGGTTCAAAGGTTCATATTATGTTATTAATATATAATTGTATTAATCTTAAAAGAAGGCTATGGGTCTTAGGGAACTGGTACCAAATATGTCAAAACTCATGCTGCTTGTTGTTTTGTGAGTAATAAAGTCGTTTGTCTCTGACCCAAGAGTTTTGTATCTCTTGTCAACATCCAGGAAACTGTAGCAAGCTAACTTATGAGTTTGCAAGTAGAGGAAAATCTTAGCCCTGTCACAGTTCTTGACAAAGTAATATAAATCCTTTAATTAAAAAAGGCATCATCCAATCCATACTAGTCTAATATTCTGCATTTTGTTTTTTTTGGTTAGCAATATACCTAGGAGTTCCTTTTATATCAGCAAATATATATTCACGACATCAAAAAAAAAAAAAAAACTAAATAACTAGGCTGGGTGTGGTGGCTCACACCTGTAGTCCCAGCACTTTGGGAGACCGAGGCGGGCGGATCACCTGAGGTCAGGAGTTGGAGACTAGCCTGGCCAGCATGGGGAAAACCCGTCTCTACTAAAAATACAAAAATTAGCCAGGCGTGGTGGGCACCTGTAATTCCAGCTACCCGGAAGGCTGAGGCACGAGAATTGCTTGAACCCCCAGGAGGCGGAGGTTGCAGTGAGCCGAGATGGTGCCACTGCACTTCAGCTTGGGTGACAGAGAAGCTGTCTGTCTAGTATCCCATTATCCCATTCCCTGGTTGTATTATAGTTTACATAACCAACCCTTTCCAATGGACATTATGATTGATTCCAGTCTTTTGCTATTGTAAACAATGCTGCAATAAATATTCCTGTACACACATCTTTAATCACTTGTGCATACATATCTGTAGAATAAATTCCAAACATGGCTCCTTTTAAATGCTTTTTTAAAAAAAATGGTAGTGGAGCAGATACTACTAGTGAACCCCCAATATCCATTCTTCCTTCTTCTATAGGAATAGAACCCTAAATGAACACTCAGAGTAGAGGCTATGTTTCTCAGCCTCCCTTGGAGGCAGGTCAGCGGAAGTGGTGAATGCAACTTCAGGGCATGTCCCCCCTTCCCCTTTTCTCCTGGCTGGCAGGAATATGGATGTAATCACTGGTGTGGAAGCAGCCGTCTTGGACCAAGAACATAGCCCAGGAACAGGCCAGAAGGAGTTGGGCCCCTGATGTGAACCTCCATATGGAATGCTTGTATCCAGACTTAACCTGAGAGAGAACAAACGTCTATCATGTTTAAGCCACAGTTGTTTTATATTTTCTGTCTCTTGCAGCCAAACTTTTACATTGTAAATACAAATAGTGTCAAATGTTCCTTTAAAGAGAATGCCTATAGAGAGCCTGAGTGCCTGTTACCTATTACAAACTCTTAGTGTTATCCAAATGTTAAATTTTTGTCAGATTTGTAAGAGAAAATTGTAATTCCTTATATACCAATAAATACTAATTCCTTGTATGCTCATAAATAAGCAGAAGGAGGCTGGGCATGATAGCTCATGCCTGTAATCCCAGGTCTTTGGGAGGCCGAGGTGGGTGGATCACCTGAGGTCAGGAGTTTGAGACCAGCCTGGCCAACATGGTGAAACCTTGTCTCTACTAAAAACACAAAATTAGCTGGGCGTGGTGGTGCATGCCTCTAATCCCAGCTACTTGGGAGGCTGAGGAAGGAGAATCACTTGAACCCAGGAGGCGGAGTTTGCAGTGAACCAAGATTGCGCCAATGCACTCCAGCTTGGGCAACAAGAACGAAATTCCATCTCAAAAAAAGTAATTAATTAAATAAAATAAAATAAATAAAAATAAAAAATAGGCAGAAGGATAAGATGAGAAAGGGTGGGAAAGGAAAGAAGAGGGCAGATTTTCATAAAGTTTAGTTAGGTATGTCCTTGACTATGACAAATAATTGAGTTACTTGTTTTCTGTCATGAGAGACTGGGGCAATCTGGCTAAATATGACAATTTAATGCACCCTCTGATTTGAAGATTTTTTTTTTGAATTAAAAAGTAGAACAGAATCTTCTCTGCAGGTAGTTTATAAACTCATTACATTTTATATTTATGGTGTAACATTCTCCTTTTCTTATGCTCACAATCTGTTATGGAGCCTAACACTGCCAGGCCCAAACAAGAATATATTGATTGATTTCTTTTTACCTCCAGAATTCAGTGTTGGCAATAAATTTGAGGACATTTTCTTGCCTGGCCCTGTTGAAAGAAAAAAAAATACGTTTTTTAAAAATTCTATGAACATCATATAAAAGGGCTAAATTCAACTGCCAATGACTCCTTAACAGTCCTTATGGCTTTTAAAAGCAGTGAGCACACACATACTCTTTGACCCAGCAATTTCAATTCTGGTATCTTATGTCAAGAAAATAATCAGACAAGCAGCCAAAAAAGCATGTGCAATAATGTTTGTTCAATGTCATTTCATAAATACAGAGTTGACCAAATAACTATGGTATATCCATAAAATAAATTCCAGTTGGCCCTTAAAATGATGCTGTAGTCACTATTTACCTCTCTCCATGGTATTGGTTAAAAAACAAAACATTTCAAAAGAGTAGGGATAGTGTGGATTAAAAAATGCATGCAAAAATCTGAGAGGTGTTTGAAATGCCATTCATCAAACATGAATCTTGATTACATGTGATTTGGTGCAGTCTCTCATTTTTACCAGGTTTGGGATTAGGGTTAGGTGATTGAGGCACTCAATCTTAGCTGCAAAGCTTAAGGATTGCCAAAATAAACAAACAAAAACAAAACAAAAAAATCAACTTTCAGTTATTATGATAAATTAAATGTTAATGCAATATATTTTTATAAAATTCCAAATAAATGCAGGAAATTCTATAATGAACAAAATATCAAAATTGTAAATACGGACAGTCTCTGACCCTGTACTTGTGTGACCCTGAGAGCCAGTGCCTCACTCTACTCACCCAAATCCTGGCCCACAGAACTTGTCTCTATTTAAAATTCTGTTATTTCATTTATCATGAATTTTTTACATTAATTTATATATTTAAAATAGTGAATTAAAATATTGCTTATTTTGATTACTGAGTTTTTGCTTTCCCCTTAAATTTTATGCATGAAGCTAGAGCTTCACTGGCCTTACCCTAATCCTTGTTCTGATTTCTATACTTTGAGTATCATTCAAATTTCTCAGTGAGCTGGTGTAACTGTTACAATGAGAAAAATAATAAAGATATATTCATTTTGGGGATAAAGGACACCCAGGAGTTTATATTTAAAAATGTGCCCGCAGCAGAAACAATGGACAACACATTCTATTTTGGGCTACTCATTTAAATATGTGCCTCAGGAATCTCAAAGAGCCATATATAAGAGCTAAATATCCCGGAAGCAGAGCAGCAGATGATTAAGAACACAGACTTTGGACAAGCCTGATTTTTGAATCTTGGTTTGGTATTTACTTATGTGTGAGCAAGTTCATGTATCATTCAAAAAACATTTATTGAGTACCTACTATGTGTCAGGCACTGTTCTACGTGTGGGGGACAGGGCAATTTTTAAAAAGACAAAAAAGAACAAAAACTATTGTCTTCATGGAGCCTACATCTTAATTACTCAGCATCTCTGAGCCTCTGCTTCCTGTTTCATAAAGTGGACACACCTCTTAAGGCTTTCTTGAGGATTCAGTGGGCAATGGATTTAACCAAGTGGGGTGCCTGGCTTACAGACCAGCTCAGTAAGTGGGAACTATTATGTGCTAATATTTACTAATTAGCATCTGATTTTAGTTCCAGTGGTTATAAAAACAAATATTTAAAAAATTATGTCAAAGCTTATAAAAGAGAAAAAAATGAATAAAAACTATAACATTGACATTATACTTTTTCAAATGACTGAACATTTTTTCACAGGCATTAAATTCATTCTCACGGGGGAAAAGAAAGATCGGTGAAAAATTGGTGACAACCTGTGGTTGATGAGTATTTGGAATTTGGATGGCTAATACTAAAGATTTGTAGATTTTCTCAATTTTACACTCTGTACTCATCTCCACTCTTAGGATTCTGATCACCTCTTTCTTGTCACATTTTCACTCCTTTGGTCCTTCTATCTATCTAAATTCACTCTCCTTCCCACTCTCATTCCCTTTATCCTTAAAGTCTTTTTGCAATGAGCATCTTTATCCATGGGTTCAAGGACTTTTTCACTCACAGAAAAACTGGAAGTTCTGTTCCTTTAAACCAATTGCTAAGAGCAGATATCTGCTCTTATTCTGTCTCTATTATATAGTTCATATAACATGTAAATGCAATCAGCAGTCTCCAGATGTTGTTATACTTCTATACTTCCATATGCATGAATTCCTGTATTGATGAATGAAAGGTTGGTGAACAAAAGGGAGGGAGAGGAACAGAACCAGTTATTGTTAGGAAGGGATTATAAAGTCCCCTTTCCAATCAGAAAAAATGTTGAAGTCAGTGGATGTCTTTGTTGTGCGAAATAAAAATAGCATGATGGCTAAACAAAGGCTCTGTACCAAAAGAGAGGGAAAATGTTATTGGATTGCATAGCAAATGCCTGAAAGTTCACATCTTAAATACACGTTCACATCCAACTTCCAATAGATGAAAAAGATCAAAAGCTCAGAAATATCAGGAATGTAAAATGGTGGTGTATAACTGCCAGCCATCCATTTTAGAGGTCGCATAAGCTAAATGATTAAGAACATAGACTCTCTCTATGTCCCTTAATCCTCACACTTCAATTTCCCCATCTTTCAAGAGGAATGATGCAAATAGTATCTACCTTGTGGGATTGTTAGGTAAGTTACCACGTCCAGCCTTTGGATGGCCTCAGTTGCATAGTATGTGCTATGGGAGTGTAAGCACATGGAGAGGTGCACTCTGAGGGAGGAATGTGCCTGGTGTGTTTCAGGAACAGTAAGGACACCAGTGGGCCTTAAACACAGTGAACAAAGGGGACAGCACCCCAGATGAAGCCAGAGAGACAAGAAGTCCAAGATCACGAGGGCCCTGGAGGCCATTTTCTCAGTGAAATGGAACCATTCAATGAATCACTCTGATGCTGAGCTGAGAAGAGACTGTAGAAAGGGAAAAGGGTCACACAGGGAGATCTACTAGGAGACTACAGCCACTGGGAGGCAAGAGATAATGCTATCCCTTCCTTGGGATAGCAGTGGAAGTGGTGAGAGGTGGTCCGATTCTAGATGTGTTTTGACAGTAGAGTCTACAGGATTGGCTGATGGTTTGGATGTGGAGTATGAGATAAAGAACTGATTGCAGAAAGGATGGAGTTGCCATAAATGGAGACAGAGAAGGCAGTGGGGGAAGGGGCACTTGGGAAGATCAGAGGCTCATTTTGGAACATGTGAAATTTGAGATATATATTAGATATCTAAAGGGACATGGGTGTAATGTATACTGTTCTTTCAAGTGAACCCCATGCTGGTTGATTTAATTAATTGTTGTGTTCCTTTAATAGCTGTACAATTATATGTGGTCTCTGAGTCAGGTCTCTTGACAAGTGTCATTGCAAGGGTAGTAGGAATGGCACTATGGAAAGACCCCTGGCCTTTGGGGGCAGGTAGGTTTAACTCCTGCCTCTGACTCTTATCCACTCTTTCTCTTGGGTCTAGAGAATTATGCTTAATGCACTGTAGAATCTTCTATCAAGTATGAATAATAACACCTTCCTTACAGGCCTGGTGCAATTTTCAAACACAGATAATATATGCAAAGTGCCTGCTCATAGTAGGCTTGTGAAGAAGTGATCCCTTATACTTTTTTCAAACTAGATATTGTCCAGATCCTTCCTCTTTCTGGCCCACTCTGTCAACTGCCGCCATTTGAAATGGGAGCATAACTGACAACTACTTTTTGTAAGAAACTCCCAATCAAAGTTCTTGAAACCTGGTCATTGGAGAGGAGTCTACCAGCAATATCAGTGCAAATCTGGGGGACCTGAATCAGCTTCATGTAGAGTCTTAACATTCTGAGCTCCAGGGGAAGTGGGGAAAGAGGAGTGGGATTTGATAAGGCCCAGTCCTAAGTTTCTAAACCAACTCTAAATAAAATGAATAATAACACTGTCTACCAGATATTATTCGAATCAGTTTATTTGTTTTTTTGCAACAACCCCCTCTAAAACCCAATGAAAACGAATTTCCAGATGATCTCAATGTGAGATAAAAAGCAATGTTTATCTTCACATGCATATGAGGATTTAGACTGGTTCTCTCAGACCCAATGCCCTTCCATTTTTTTTTCCCACCTCCTCTCCGCCTACCTTGGACAAATACTAGGAAAAGGGGCTGTGAACTGTGTCCTTGGATGGTGTGGGGAGATCACAGTTAGCAATTTTTTGTTTACCTAAAAGCCAGGAGCCACTGGGTCCTTGGCCTGCTTAGATGCACGCTGCCGCTTCTGACTAGGTCAGAGCACAGCACAATGATGAGGAAATTACTTTCACCTTGACCTTTAAGGCACTGCTGGCGTCAGGCTATTTAGTATGGACGCTTCTGTTGACATTTCTGACTGCCCCTTTTGCGAAGTGAAAAAAAACAAACAAACAAACAAAAAAAAAAACTGGAGGTCAAGAGGAAGGAAGGATGGGTTAAGGAGTCAGCATATACAAGTCAGATAATGTGAAAAGTATTTTATAAGAGCTGCTATCGGGATGTTGGTTATTACCAAGGAAAAATGTGTCATCCTTATCCATCTATAACTACTGAACAGTAACTAAGGAAAGAAATTCACTCATCCTTTCTGCTTTTGCAAACCTCCTGTTTGCAGGAGCTTATCAGGTAATGTTGTCTGTCTGGACTGTGAATCAGATGCACAGTTCACCCACAAACATAAATACCTATGAAAAAGAAATATAATTTCTTTTAGACTCACCCAGAACTTGCAAGCTTTAAGTACATGGTCTGTGAAGTCAGGAGAGGAACTATACTATTGGCTGAAATCTAATCTTTAACTTAATTGGCCAGGAAGACAAATAGCAGGATTAAAACACACGAATAATAGTAATAATACCTATTACTTGTTTAGAGCTGGGCACTGGGCTAAGTGATTTATGTTTTATTTTATTTAAAACTCAGACAAGCCCATAAAGTAGAAACAGCTCTCCCTATGATGAGGATGAGAAAACGAGGCTTCGAGAAATTACTGTAAAGAAATTCCCCAAGGTCAAACAGCTTATAGGAAACAGAACTCAGACTAAGACAAGTTTATTGAACCCTATTTTTCTATAATTTTAACCCATCCTTTATACATACAATTGCATAGTTCTGCAAATATGCCTAAAATTGCAAAATGTAACTGATTAAAGTCTTCAGCAGAAATTTTATAATAGAAAATTTTAATATTTCTCTGTGAATTAGTGACTTTATGTGTTTCTATTCCCCACTATTTCTACTTCTCTTTTTAAAGACATAGAAATATATGTATGTATAAACTTTTTAAAAGCTATGCACACACACACACAAACAACCTGTTTGTGATTGTGTATATGAGCTGTGAATAATCTTCTGATGCCCCCTCCCCCCCACCCTTAGGGTCTCTTTCACTCACATTGTCTATATATTTTCCAATTTTTATCTTTCTCTTTCCTAACTGATCTCTCTTTTATAGGCCATAATATGAAGCTAAATTATATTCTTATTTATCGTGGTCATCTAAAGGAGTGTTTGCTTTCTGTTCCAGGTTTTTTTAATGAGACTAAATTAACTTTTATATTTTGTGGGTTTGCAGGCTTAGTCTGCTTTTATAGTATATTATTTGTGTCCACATCTATCACTTTTATTGTAAAGTCTTTACTGGGCAGGGAAAGCGCCTTTCCTATCTTTGTATGTTCCACAAGACTTAACACAGAGCTTGTGATAAACATGAATAAACGAAATCAAGTAATTAAGGACTCAAAAGCCTGGGCCTGGCAGTGTTTCCATAGCAATTGGTAGCAGGAAGCGACGAGGCTGAGAATCACAGACCATCTTCCATAAACTTGATTCTGTCTCCAATTTTGGTCGCAAGTTGCTTGTAGGCCCACCAGACACAGCTGAGGGGTGGGAGGGGGCATGCGGAGGGGCGGACACTGAGCTGAAACCTATTTTACCTCAGCGAGTTTGGATCCAGGAGCCTTTCCAACCTATCGTTCGGGAAGGCGTTGTGGGAAAAGTGGGCGGAGGTGCCAATCGATCCTCCAGTCTCGGCTCTATCCTCCCCCAGCCCGGTTCCCGGTCATCTCAGGGACCGTCTGGTAGCTGATCCCGGAACGCAGCTGGCCAACGGATAAGTGCGGGGCACCCGCCACCCGCGCGGACCCAGGAGCACCTCCCCTACCGCATCCCCCTCCTCCCCACCCCCAGGTTCCCTCGGCTCGCGGCCCTCCGCGTCCCGGGCTCCCGCCCCAGAACCTGTGGGCAGATGTTTCCTCCACGCAGTACCCTCCCGGGGCTCTGCCTCCAGGCTCGCGTCCCAGCACCCTAGGCAGAGGTTTCCCCCACTCTGTCCTCTCCCGGGGCTCTACCTCCAAGCTCCCGTCCCTGCCCCTGGGCACAGCTTTCCCCTACTCTGCCCTCTCCAGGAGCGCTATCTCCAGGCTCCCACCCCAACCCCCCGGGCAGAGGTTTCCCCCATGGCCCCCCTTCCGGGGCTCTACCCCAGGTTCCGGTCCCTCACTCCCGAACACTCCGGGTGCCCTCACCCAGCCAACCCTTGACGCGCTTCCACATACCACGTGATCCACACAGCTCACTTTGATCTCTCGGGGTGACCAAGCTTAAGTTTCCTTATCTGAAAAGTAGGGACACTAGTCTCCATCTCGTTTACTCGGGATGGGACAAGACGACCAAAAAAGAGAGGATTCCTCATCAGGTTTATTACTCGTTGCCATTCTTGCAATGATTACCGCCCCCGTTGCTGTGGTTGGGGGAGGCGAGCAAAGGGCAGCGGCTGCGAGCGCCCGCCCCCGCCCCACCCTCCCAGCCCCGGACAGCGCAGGCTGCGGCTTTTCGTCCTCCACTGAGTCCTGCCGGTGGCCCGAGCCCGGTGGCCTCCCGGCGACCCTCGGCGCGAGGCGACATGGCAAGCGGCCACAGCCTCCTGCTGGAGAACGCGCAGCAAGTGGTGCTGGTGTGCGCCCGCGGCGAGCGCTTCCTGGCGCGGGATGCGCTGCGCAGCCTGGCGGTGCTGGAAGGCGCCAGCCTGGTGGTGGGCAAGTAAGTGGCCGGGCGCGCAGGGTGGGGACCGCCACGGGCGGAGCTGGCCGCTCTTCCTCTCACTGTGCACTCTGGAGGGAAACAACGCCGTGAAAGCGTCCCTGCACAGAGATACACGGGCAAGCCAGCCTTTGGGGTACCTGTTGCTAACACGCTCTGCTGCTTGGGGTTGTCATTCCGTCCAAAGAGCTCAGAGAGGAACACCCCATTGGAACGCATCAGGGTCCTGCCTCTGCTGGTAAAATATCACTGTCCAACCATCAGAAGGGGTTGAGGTCCTCCCCAGTGCTTCTTAAAGGGAGGCCAGAAGACCACCTTTGTCAGGGTGGCCTGTGGTTATTTTATTCTTACGGCAGATTTCTGATTCCACCTGCGTCCCCCACTCCCTATCCCTAGAATTTTAGAATCAGCATCACTGGGGCTGGAGTTCTGAGACCTGAATTTTTCAAAAGTACCTTTCACATCCTCGTGATCTCGTACACTAAAGCTTTAGAACCACGGAGAACATTTAGACGATAATGGCCCTGAGTGATAATAAATCAAGATTTGACCATCAGAAAACAAGATATTTCTCTTACTCATCTGAGCTTCCTGCCAGATATGAATAAAAGAACAAAGTTTGAGGGCGACCTGGGGTAGCAAGGGAAGTTGGATGAGAATTTGAATCCAAAGCGTGCCATGGGACCACAATTGCACACGATCAATGAGTCTCACAAACTGACCACGGCTTATCTGAGGCAGTTTAGGGTTGTGCAAGAGCCCAGCTTTTAAGGGACTGTGGGTTGGTTTAATTTTATTTATTTATTTATTTATTTATTTATTTATTTATTTATTTATTTTTGAGACGCATGAGCCACTGCGCCCAGCCTATTTTTTGTTTTTTTGAGACAGGGTCTAGCTCTGTTGCCCAGGTTGGAGTGCAGTGGCATGATCTTGGCTCCACCTCCCAGGCTCAACTGCGATCTCCACCTCCCAGGCTCAAGCCATCCTCCCACCTCAGCTTGACAAGCAGCTGGGACTACAGGTGCACGCCACCACGCCAGGCTAATTTTTGTATTTTTTGTAGAGACAATGTCTCACTGTGTTGCCCAGGCTGGTCTTGAACTCCTGGGCTCAAGCCATCCACCTGGTTTGGCCTCCCAGTGCTGAGATTACAGGCGTGAACCACCACGCCCAGCTTGACTGGTTTATTTTTAATTAAGGGATGAAAACATTCCCAATTTACTATGAAAATATTATTTAAAATTTTGCTTAGAAAGTTGAAAAATATGTACCTGGGTTGGGACTGGAGTATCTTATAAAAATTATATCAATGCGACCAGGCACAGTGACTCACGCCTGCAATCCCAGCACTTTGGGAAGCTGAGGCAGGTGGATCACCTGAGGTTGGGAGCTCGAGATCAGCCTGGCCAACATGATGAAACCCCATCTCTACTAAAAATACAAACATTAGCCGGGCATGGCGGCGCACGTCTGTAATCCCAGCTACTCGGGAGGCTGAGGCAGGAGAATCGCTTGAACCCGGGAGGCGGAGGTTGCAGTGAGCTGAGATCTCGCCACTGCACTCCAGCCTGGGTGACAGAGCGAGACTCTGTCTCAAAAATAAATAAATAAATACATAAATAAAATGATACTAATGCACCAACATGAAGTCCTGGGTTCCAAGACATGTTCTATGTTCACATCAAAACCACAAAAAGTAGGGAAAGGAAAAGGAGGGAGCTGACTTGTGGTCTGGAAGATGGGGCTTTTTCATTTGAGTCTGCTACATTGTTCTCACAGTTTGTTGGATTTATTACAATGAAATAAATTTACAAGAATATTGAGAACTTTGCCATTCAAATATGATTAGCTCGGTACAGGATGGTGTTGTTTTTATTTTCACTTACTATCATCACTGTCTTATATATTAGGTTGGTGCAAAAATCAAGTATAGAATTGGAATAATTATCTGGTTATTTGAGATGCTTTGAAATATATCTCCCACCTCATTATCTGAATGTTTTAAGGTAAAAGTGTTTTCAGGGTGAATTATTTAGGTGATTGTCTTAAATTTTCACATCACTTCCCTTATGCAGAACCTGTGTGTTCAAGGACAACTTAATCCTGCTCTTCTTTTGGTAGACAAGAAGAACACAGGCTGTGAGTGTGAGTGTGTATAGGGAGAGGGGTACTGATTAAAAGCACAGAGAAGTGGAAGAAAGTTCCATTTCAAAGCCCAGAATTGGATGGATTTTAACAGTGTGTGTTTTTTTTTTTCCCAACAAGTATATACATACCATGGTGTGTCCTGATTAGAATGAATCTCAGTAAGATCAACTAATAGTTAATCCCCTATATGCTATAGATATATAAAATGAGTCCTGGAAAAGAATATGGTTTGAGGGACACCAGAAACTCCCCCTTCCTAAAAATAAATATCTCAGTGATTGTCTGCCATAGGGTGTAAATTCCACCATTGTGTTCATTCATTTAGGTCTCTAAAGGTATCTCATTCTTAAATTAAGTTCTCTCTCTCTTTCTCTCTGTGTGTGTGTGTGTGTGTGTGTGTGTGTGTAGATTGCAGTTAATCTTGAAGAGGCTCCCAGGTGTGGAAAAGAAGCACAAACTGTCATCCAGTTGACAATTGTCCCATCCAAAGGCTAAAACCTAGATGAAAATGTCTAAATGAACAAAACAAACAGGAATTAAAATATAGATTCATACACAAGGACCATTTGTTTTAGCACTTCAGAGGAGGGGCAAAAATGGAAAATGTTGAAGGAAAAATTGGTGGGTGTTATATTTTCCTTCCTAGAAGCCAATTAAACTGTCAGGTGGACAATGAACCTAAAATAGGACATTTTCATTCATTCACAAATATGTGCTGAGTAGTTAGATTGTGCTCAGCGTAGAGGATGCAAAAATGACTAAGACTGGTTCAGACCTCAAAGAGCTCAAAGTCTACTGGGAAACAAGACACATGAAAAGATAATTATAATACAATATGGTAAGCACAAAGGTAGAGAGATGTGTGCATGCAGGCTTATTATAAGAGACTGCTCCCCCTCCCCCTCCCCCTCCCCCTCCCCCTCCCCCTCCCCCTCCCCCTCCCCCTCCCCCTCCCTCTCCCTCTCCCCACGGTCTCCCTCTCATGCGGAGCCGAAGCTGGACTGTACTGCTGCCATCTCGGCTCACTGCAACCTCCCTGCCTGATTCTCCTGCCTCAGTCTGCCGAATGCCTGTGATTGCAGGCACGCGCCGCCACGCCTGACTGGTTTTGGTGGAGACGGGGTTTCGCTGTGTTGGCCGGGCCGGTCTCCAGCCCCTAACCGCGAGTGATCCGCCAACCTCGGCCTCCCGAGGTGCCGGGATTGCAGACGGAGTCTCGTTCACTCAGTGCTCAATGGTGCCCAGGCTGGAGTGCAGTGGCGTGATCTCGGCTCACTACAACCTACACCTCCCAGCCGCCTGCCTTGGCCTCCCAAAGTGCCGAGATTGCAGCCTCTGCCCGGCCGCCACCCCGTCTGGGAAGTGAGGAGTGTCTCTGCCTGGCCGCCCATCGTCTGGGATGTGAGGAGCCCCTCTGCCTGGCTGCCCAGTCTGGAAAGTGAGGAGCGTCTCTGCCCGGCCGCCATCCCATCTAGGAAGTGAGGAGCGCCTCTTCCCAGCCGCCATCACATCTAGGAAGTGAAGAGCCTCTCTGCCCGGCCGCCCATCGTCTGAGATGTGGGGAGCGCCTCTGCCCCGCCGCCCCATCTGGGATGTGAGGAGCGCCTCTGCCCGGCCGAGACCCCGTCTGGGAGGTGAGGAGCGTCTCTGCCCGGCCGCCCCGTCTGAGAAGTGAGGAGACCCTCTGCCTGGCAACCACCCCGTCTGAGAAGTGAGGAGCCCCTCCGCCCGGCAGCTGCCCCGTCTGAGAAGTGAGGAGCCTCTCCGCCCGGCAGCCACCCCATCTGGGAAGTGAGGAGCGTCTCCGACCGGCAGCCACCCCGTCCGGGAGGGAGGTGGGGGGGGTCAGCCCCCTGCCCGGCCAGCCGCCCCATCCGGGAGGGAGGTGGGGGGTCAGCCCCCCCGCCCGGACAGCCGTGCCGTCCAGGAGGGAGGTGGGGGGGTCAGCCCCCCGCCCGGCCAGCCGCCCCGTCCGGGAGGTGAGGGGCGCCTCTGCCCGGCCAGCCACCCCGTCCGGGAGGGAGATGGGGGGGTCAGCCCCCCCACCCGGCCAGCCGCCCCGTCCGGGAGGGAGGTGGGGGGGTCAGCCCCCCGCCTGGCCAGCCGCCCCGTCCGGGAGGGAGGTGGGGGGGTCAGCGCCCCGCCCGGCCAGCCGCCCCGTCTGGGAGGTGAGGGGCGCCTCTGCCCGGCCGCCCCTACTGGGAAGTGAGGAGCCCCTCTGCCCGGCCAGCCGCCCCATCCGGGAGGGAGGTGGGGGGGTCAGCCCCCCGCCCGGCCAGCCGCCCTGTCCGGGAGGGAGGTGGGGGGGTCAGCCCCCCGCCCGGCCAGCCGCCCTGTCCGGGAGGGAGGTGGGGGGGTCAGCCCTCCGCCCGGCCAGCCGCCCCGTCTGGGAGTTGAGGGGCGCCTCTGCCCGGCCGCCCCTACTGGGAAGTGAGGAGCCCCTCTGCCCGGCCAGCCGCCCCGTCCGGGAGGGAGGTGGGGGGGTCGGCCCCCCGCCCGGCCAGCCGCCCCATCCGGGAGGGAGGTGGGGGGGTCAGCCCCCCGCCCGGCCAGCCGCCCTGTCCAGGAGGGAGGTGGGGGTGTCAGCCCCACGCCCGGCCAGCCGCCTCGTCCGGGAGGGAGGTGGGGGGGTCAGCCCCCCACCCGGCCAGCCGCCCCGTCTGGGAGGGAGGTGGGGGGGGGTCAGCCCCCCTGCCCGGCCAGTGGCCCCGTCCGGGAGGTGAGGGGCGCCTCTGCCCGGCCGCCCCTACTGGGAAGTGAGGAGCCCCTCTGCCCGGCCAGCCGCCCCGTCCGGGAGGGAGGTGGGGGTGTCAGCCCCCCGCCCGGCCAGCTGCCCCGTCCGGGAGGGAGGTGGGGGGGGGGTCAGCCCCCACCGCCCAGCCAGCCGACCCGTCCGGGAGGTGAGGGGCGCCTCTGCCCAGCCACCACCCCGTCTGGGAGGTGTGCCCAACAGCTCATTGAGAACGGGCCAGGATGACAATGGCGGCTTTGTGGAATAGAAAGGCGGGAAAGGCGGGGAAAAGATTGAGAAATCGGATGGTTGCCGTGTCTGTGTGGAAAGAAGTAGACATGGGAGACTTTTCATTTTGTTCTGCACTAAGAAAAATTCCTCTGTCTTGGGATCCTGTTGATCTGTGACCTTACCCCCAACCCTGTGCTCTCTGAAACATGTGCTGTGTCCACTCAGGGTTAAATGGATTAAGGGCGGTGCAAGATGTGCTTTGTTAAACAGATGCTTGAAGGCAGCATGCTCGTTAAGAGTCATCACCAATCCCTAATCTCAAGTAATCAGGGACACAAACACTGCGGAAGGCCGCAGGGTCCTCTGCCTAGGAAAACCAGAGACCTTTGTTCACTTGTTTATCTGCTGACCTTCCCTCCACTATTGTCCCATGACCCTGCCAAATCCCCCTCTGTGAGAAACACCCAAGAATTATCAATAAAAAAATAAATTAAAAAAAAAAAAAAAAAAAGAAAAAAAAAAAAAAAAAAGAGACTGCACAGAGGGGTGCCTGAACCAATGGGAGGATCGGGAGAGGTGTCAGATTTATCTACTATAAAACAAGACCAATTTTTAGGTTTTAGAAACTGAGACAGTGTATGTGCCAATTCTAAATTTTCACAAAGCACCCTGAGAGCCACTCAAAGAAGCATCATCCTCCTTAAATCATCATCATTACTGTTTTCATTATAATTATACTTTAGCTCCTAAAGTAGGGTCTTGCTTGCTAATTTGCTTTACTTTCAGAAGACTCTGCAGAATTTTTCTTCCTAAATTTCTCAGAATACAAAGTAAATAAAACCACATGTGCCTATTATTTGTATCCCCTAAAAAAGTATATGTGATATACGTTCATTGTAGGAAAAGAAAATACAGATGAACAAAAAGGAAAAAGTCACTCAAACCCCATCATTAGGTGAACTAATACCAACATTTAGTGCTTCTGCTTTCAGATGTTTTCCTATGCAAATAGAATCACATAAAAATGCATGCTTTAGAAAAGGAAGCTATGCATATTGTTTTGTATTCGGGTTTTTTCACTTAGTCATAAATAGTGAAAATCTCACCATAGCAGTAATATGTATCTTTGTAATTTTAATGACTACCTTAAAAAAACACTTTTGGGGGAATGCTTTTTGTTGGTTTCCTTCAATAACTGCCCTCATTATGTCCTCAACAAAGGAACATAAGCCTTTGTTCAAACATAGGTACATCCACAGATGAATGAGAGAACCACACTGTTGAAAGGTAGATAAGCATGGGATTAGTGGGGTCAGGAAGAGGACCCAGTGCCCTCAAAATTCACCTCCTGCACAGACGGAGAATGTTAGAGATTTATTTCTTAGGTTTGACTTTGTTAAAACAACCTCTCTTAAAGCAGTGTCAGTCATTAACTCTTTGCATAAGAGCATTCTCTTTGTTCTTTCCCATTCAAGGGTCAATTTCTAATCCTGCCGGTCCTTTCCACCACCAGATTCACTGCACACTGGGTAGATTATCTAACTGGGCCAGATAAAAGCTGTTAGTGATGAAGAATTGTCTTAATCAGGATACTAAATTCTATTTCAAGACTTAATTTCTTATTCCACCCTAAGTTTATCCTCCCCAAATCTCCCACAATCATTATTTCTTTTCCTATCATAACATCTTCTCTTTCCATCCAGTTTCTTCTGCTCTTCCACTCTTACATTTTGTTAGGTTACCCCAACCACTTCTGTCCCAGTTCGGAATCCCTTATCCTAATTGCTTTTCACAACACATTCCAGCTCTCAGGTTTATAGCCCTCAATCTCCATGTTGGAAATACGAATTTGTTGTAAGTGACCAAGACCTAAATTAATAGTGGCTGAAACAAGATGGAAGTATATTTCTCTCCTATGTGAAAATCCAGACATACGAATGCAGGGCTAGTTGATTGCAATACTCCATGGGGTCCTTAGGAGCCAGGCCCCTGCTGCCTTGCTCTCCCATGCATGGCCCACTTTCTTACACTCACTCCATGACCCAAGATGGCCACCCCATCTCTAGTTGTGGTGTCTGCATTCCAGCCAGTAAGAATAGGAAGAGAAGACAATCTTACCGGCTAGACCTTAGTCTCATAGCCACACCTGGCTAGTGGGAGGTGGGGAAATGTAGTCTGTATTTTGGGTCATCATGTGTCCAGCTAAAATTTAGGGCTCTACTAGTGTAAAAAAGGGAACATTGATCTTGGGGAACAAATGGCAATTGTCTGCTACATATATTTGACGTTTAAAGTTTTTTTAATTGTAAATTTTCATGGGTACATATATATGGGGTACATGAGTTATTTTAAACAGTCGTACAATGTGTAATAATTATATCAGGGTAAATGGGGTTTCCATCATCTCAAGCATTCATCATTTCCTGGTGTTACAAACATTCCAATCGTACTCCCTCAGTTATTCTAAAATGTGCAACATATTATTGCTGATTGTAGTCACCCTGTTGTGATATCAAATACTGGGTCTTATTCACTGTATCTAACCATATTTTTCTAGCCATTAACAATCCCCATTTTTCTCCTCTCCCCTTCTATTCTTCCCAGCCTCTGGTAACCATCATTTTACTCTCTATCTCCATGAGCTCAATTGTTTTCATTTTTAGCTCCCACAAATGAATGAGAATATGCCAAGTTTGTCTTTCTGTGCCTGGCTTATTTCACTTAACATAATGTCCTCCAGTTCTATCCATGTTGTTGCAATTGACAGAATCTCACTCTTTTTTATGGCTGAATAGTACTCCATTGTGTGTATGTATTACATTTTCTTTATCCATTCATTTGTGGGTGGGCACTTAGTGTACTTCCAAATCTTGGCTATTGTGAATAGTGCTGCAATTAACATGGGATGCAGACATCTCTTTAATATACTGACTTCCTTTCTTTTGCATATAGATCTACCAGTGGGATTGCTGGATCATATGGTAGCTCTATTTTTAGTTTTTGAGGAACTTTCATACTCTCCATAGTGGCTGTACTGATTTACATTTCTAACAGTGTACAAGGGTTCCTCTTTCTCCACATTCTTGCCAGCATTTTTTATTGCCTGTCTTTTGGATAAAAGCCATTTTAACTGGGGTAAGATGATCTCTCATTGTGGTTTTGTTTGCATTTCTCTGAAGATCATTGATGTTGAGCACCTTTTCATATACCTGTTTGCCATTTGTATCTCTTCTTTTGAAAAATGTCTATTCAGATCTTTTGTCCATTTCTTAATCAGATTATTAGGTTTTTTCCTATTGAGCTGTTTGAGCTCCTTATATATTCTGGTTTTTAATCCCTTGTCAATTAGATAGTGTGCAAATTATTTTCTCCCATTCTGTGGGTTGTTTCTTCACATTGTTGATTATTTTCTTTGCTGTACAGAAGGCTTTTACCTTGAAGTGATCCCATTTGTCCATTTTTGGCTTGGTTGCCTGTTCTTGTGGGGTATCCCTCAAGAAATTGTTGCCTGAACCAATGTCCTAGAGAGTTTTCCCAAGGTCTTCTTTGAGTAGTTTCATAGTTTAAGTTCTTAGATTTCAGTCTTTAACCCATTTAGATTTGATTTCATTCTTTTGCATATGGATAGCCAGTTTCCCTAGCACCATTTATTGAAGAGACTGTCTTTTCCCCAATGTACGTTCTTGGCATCTTTGCTGAAAATGAGTTCACTGTAGATGTATGGACTTATTTCTGGGTTCACTATTCTGTTCCACTGGTCTATGTGTCTGTTTTTTATGCCAGTACCATGCTCTTTTGGTTACTATAGTTCTGTAGTATAATTTGAAGTCAGGTAATGTGATTCCTCCAGTTTTGTTCATTTTGCTGAGGAGGCTTTGGCTAATCTGGGTCTTTTATGGTTGCCTCGAATGTGGCTAGAGACGCTTTTCCAGACTCAGGTTCAAGATAGAAGCACAGTAAATGTTGACTAATTAACACCAAAGAATCTGAAAACATATTTTAAGTCACTCATCAGATTTCTCACAAGATTTCCCCAAATTTAATAACTATTTCTTGATTTTTCTTCAGAGATGGATTTATAAAAGCTATTGGTCCTGCTGATGTTATTCAAAGACAGTTTTCTGGAGAAACTTTTGAAGAAATAATTGACTGCTCTGGGAAATGTATTCTACCAGGTATTTACCTCTTTTTCAGTAAAGGTCTACAAGTAGCTTTAACAGTTGCTCCTGAAATGTAAAGAGGAAGAGTAACAGCTTATTTTAAAGTCTCAAAATAATATTTAAAAAAAATCATCGTTCCATGTATTGAATTTCTATTATTGAATGTATAGCTGCTTTCAAACATGGTTTCACCTTGAATCCTTATAACTGCCCTGTGTGGGAGGTATCATTATCTATACTTTACAGATTAGAAAATTGAAGCTAAGGGTGAAATATGTTACCCAAGGTTCCTAAACAGGAAACAGACAACCTAGGAATCAAGCCCATTCATTCGACTCCACTTCTTCCCACTCACATGCTGAATAGAAACCAGCTGTGTTGTGTTTAGGTTCAAAAACAGTCAAAAGAACTTTATTAATCCATGGCATAGGAGAGGCTAACAAGGCAGCTGCTGTCTCTAATACTAGAAATACTCTAAATTTGTATAGGATGTGAAACAAAGGATCCAGCTCTGGGCAGAAAAAGAAAAACAAAAATCCTAGAGCTTTCACTGCAGTTCACTTGTATCTTTGATGATTGACAACAGAATCAGTTTATTAACCATCATCTCCTACATTATGTTGTATGGCTTCATATAATCATCCAAAACAAGTTTCACAAACTTTCAGTTCTACACAAACAAAAGGGCTTCATATTTATATTTTTTTATATAAAATTTTTATACTTTTAAATATTTATTGTACACATCTGACAGAGCTTCTAACTGATGGGTTTTCATTTGTTTGTTTATTTTGAGACAGTCTCACTGTGTCACCAAGGCTGGAGGGCAGTGGTGTGATCTTGGCTCACTGCAACCTCCACCTCCCAGGTTCAAGCAATTCTTTTGCCTCAGTCTCCTAAGTAGCTGGATTACAGGCATGCACCATCATGCCTGGCTAATTTTTGTATTTTTAGTAGCAACAGGGTTTCACCATGTTGGTCAGGCTGGTCTCAAACTCCTGATCTCAAGCGATCTGCTGATCTCGGTCTCCCAAAGTGCTGGTATTATAGGCATGAGCCACCACGCCCGGCCTTCCTTATGATTCTTGAGAGTCAGGAGACAAAGTCAGGGTGAAATGTTATGAAAAAGAGGAATATAGCAGAAAGCAATCTGAGTAGGCGCTTTTGATTTTAGTCCAATCAGAGCCAATAATGAGTCATTTAATCCATAAGGTATCTAAAACATTTTGGAAAGACACACTTTACTGAATTGTACCTGGATAAACAAAAGTTTCAAGTGATTGCTTTACAGTTTCTCCTTAATTAAAATACATTTCTTTCTTGAAAATAGATTAATCTTTCTGATTTCACATTTTCCCTTCTCAGAGTTGCAGGGGGAGGGGATTGTAGTATTGTTTTCATATCCAGATTATTCCTTGTGATAAGGTTCATGGTTTTGCCAACTAGGGGGCTTGACAACCTAATTTCAAAGCTTATTTGGGCCAGGAGTAGTGGCTGATGCTTGTAATCCCAGCACTTTGGGAGGCTGAGTCAGGCAGATCATTGGAGGCTGAGGCAGGCAGATCGTTTAAGCCCAGGAGTTCAAGACCAACCTGGGCAACATGGCAAATTTTAGCTTGTGTGGTGGTGCATGACTATAGTCCCAGCTACTAGGGAGGCTGAGGTGGGAGGATTGCTTGAGCCTGGGAGGTCAAGGCTGTAGGGAGCTGTGAGTGTGCCACTGCACTCCAGCCTGGGCGACAGAGTGAGAACCTTTCTCAAAAATAAATAAAATAAAATAAAATAAAATAAAATAAAATAAAAGCTTATTTGGTGAGCATGGACTTACTGAGCAAAAGGAGCTGTATTTCTGTAAGGGATATTTTCATCATGTTGCATCACCTCCTTCATTAGAGCTTTCTAGACCAACCATACAACAGGGCAGTCTTCTTTTCTCTCTATCAAGGGAACCAGACAGACAAATTCTTCCTTTCATGCTCCTCCAAAATGGATGGCCACCATCACACTTTCCCCAGAGCAGCAGGGTATAGTGCTGCTGTTTGCCTGCTGTCTAAGTGCTCTCTATTTCTTAATTGTAAGATAACTTGATTTATTGATTATAGGTTTGGTGGATGCACACACACATCCAGTATGGGCTGGTGAAAGAGTTCACGAATTTGCAATGAAGGTAACTGCAACAAATCATGGCAAATCAAAATAAAGCACAAATATGAAGTCTTTTGCTGAAGAGTTAGTAGGCTATCAAGCTTTGCAACATATGTCAACATATTTTTTAATGGATATTTTTACTTGCTTGGGTATGGGAAACAAATGACAACAAAACTTATTTATAACTGCCCCAAATCATTGTATTATACACAGGGCTATTCCTGCCCACTAATGTCTCCCTCTCTTTCCTTCCCCACATTCCCATTCCAAATCGCTATCTCTAGTAGCTTTTGAAAGGGCTCCAAGGAATAGTTTGAAAATTGCCATTCATTGGAGTAAAGCTTGGAAAAATATGTTACTAATCACAAAAATAAAATACCTTAATTTTTCTGTTATAAACTGAGACTTATTAAGAATCACAAAATGTAAGCTGTGTTAGTCCTATATTAGCTGTAACCAACTCCTAAATCCCTGGTTGGAGAGATTTTCACATGTGTTTTTTAAAAAAGAAAAAAAAAGATGTGCCTCCTAGCAGCTAAACTGGCTTATTTCAGGAAAAGAAAAAAAAAATTCTTTTCTTCAGCTATCATGTACCTGCTTCAACAAACTAGAGCTGTTTTTAAGATTGTTTTATTAAATCACAGAATTTCAGAGCCAAAAGCAGTCCAATCCTCTCATTGTATAGACGGAGAAAGAGATTTACAGTCCAATCCTCTCATTATGTAGATGGAGAAAGCTGGGTCTAGAGAAGGGAAGAGTGTTGACTAGCGTCACCAGCTGGAGGATGGCAGAACCCAGATGAAAACTCCGGCCAGGAGACCCCAGGCCTGCATCCTTTCTCTGCACCACACTCCTTGCTGCCCAGAGTAACTGGAGCCCAGTGGGACCCTAGAAAGAGCCTCTTTGAGTGACAAAGATCAAGCTCCAAACTCGGATGGCCAAATATTGAGACAAGGAAACTTCCTGGGGCCGCTTTAGTGGAGATCTGAATAATTGCAATGGGGTTCCCTGCAACTCCTGAATTGCCTAAGCTTTGTTTTCTCAAACAAGCTGAGGGATGGAGGGAGGGCTGATACTTAGCAAGTACACATTGCGGGTTGATTGACTTGTTAAAATATTGCAATACTCCTGTGCCAGTTTTGTTTTGTTTTGTTTGTTTGTTTGTTTTTTGAGATAGAGTCTCGCTCTGTCACCCAGGCTGGAGTGCAGTGGTGCGATCTCAGCTCCCTGCAACCTCCGCCTCCCGGGTTCAAGTGATTCTCCTGTCTCAGCCTCCAGAGTAGCTGGGGCTACAGGCGTGTGCCACCATGCCCCCGCTAATTTTTGTATTTTTAGTAGAGATGGGGTTTCACCATATTGGTCAGGCTGTTCTTGAACTCCTGACCTCGTGATCTGCCCACCTAGGCCTCCCAAAGTATTGGGATTACAGGCGTGAGCCACCGCGCCAGGCCTCACTGCCCTAAGATCCCAACAGGCCACCCACCACATCTCCCATCTCTACCACTCCAGTCTCTTCCCAAGACCCCTTCGGAGCTCCCCACAATCCAGTGTCTGGCAGACTAGGGGCTTCCAGGACTGTGTATCCCAGCACCTTTCTAATCTGATGGGTTGGTGCCCATGCCATATGGCTTCTTAATCATTATATAATATTGCCCCTGGAAGTAGATTCTTCAGACCTCCCTGCAACTTCCTGGCATGTGCTGGCCTAAAGGTGAGGCGTGTGTTCAGTTGGCAGGAGCCACCTACATGGAAATTCACCAGGCCGGAGGAGGGATCCACTTTACCGTGGAGCGCACGCGCCAAGCCACAGAGGAGGAGCTGTTCCGCTCCTTGCAGCAACGGCTCCAGTGCATGATGAGGGCTGGCACCACGCTGGTGGAGTGCAAGAGTGGATATGGCCTCGACCTGGAGACCGAGCTCAAGATGCTGCGCGTGATTGAGCGCGCCCGGCGGGAGCTGGACATCGGCATCTCGGCTACCTACTGCGGGGCTCATTCAGTGCCTAAGTAATCTCAGCCAGTGGGGGCCCGGGTTTAACTCAGAGCATTGAAAACGAACCCCGGGGGTGGAGGCGCATTAGCACTTTAGCTCTTGCAGGGAGATGGATAGAAGTCTTTGGAAAGACCTGATTCTAATGGCCACTCATCCCGCAGACTCGGTTTTAGGAAGGCGATCCCTTAGCCTCATCAGTCTGCTAGTCCTTTAATTATGATAGAAGAGATGTTTCAAGCTCTTTGGGTTAAGACAAAGAAATGGCTCCGTGTAGGTCGTTTAAAATTACACATATTAATTTGAATAATTTCCCATGATAATTAATTAGCATTTCTAAAAGCACTTTAGAAGTTAATAGTAATGCTCTTTAAGAGGTAGCTCAAACCTTGTGGTCTAGGTGACTCAAAGGGGTTCGTTTTTGTTCATCTGCTTGCTTTCTTAACAGCAAACATTTTTGTTTTGTTGTTGTAAATGATTTTTAGCCTTCCCCTTTATCTAAAAGTTCCTCCTACATGGCCTTACTGTAGAGAACTCTGTTCCTTTCTGTACTTGCATTTTATTTGTCCAGAGTTCCTTTTGGTCCTGGAATTTCTAAATAGGAAGGCTCATGGTTCCAACAGCCAACTGAACTATCTAAAAGAAATCCAGGACTTGAACATGCATAAGGTGCCTCCAAAGTCTTAGTGTGGTCTTAAACATTGATAACTTAAATAGATAAATATAATACTACAGACTTACAATCATTATTTAAAAATTTAATTGTTTAAATTTCTTTTACATTTATCTGATTTTGTAAACTTCGGAATATAAATTCCGTTTTTAGGCCAGGCATAGTGGCTCACACCTGTAATCCCAGCACTTTGGGAGGCCAAGGCAGGTGGATCGCTTGAGCTCAGGAGTTTGAGACCAACCTGGCCAACATGGTGAAACCCCATCTCTACTAAAAATACAAAAATTAGCGAGGCGTGGTGGCCCATGCCTGTAATCCCAGCTACTCAGGAGGCTGAGGCACGAGAATCGCTTAAGCCCGGGAGGCGGAGGTTGCAGTGAGCCGAGATTGTGCCACTGTACTCCAGCCTGGGCGACAGAGCAAAACTCTATCTCAAAAAATATATATATATTTTTTTAATTGACAAATAATATATTTATCATGTAGAGCATGTTGTTTTAAAATATGTATACCTTGTGAAATGGCTAAATCGAACTAATTAATATATGCATTACTTTACATACTTATCACTTTTTGTGGTGAGAACACTTAAAATCTATTTTTTAACAATTTTTAGGAAAACAATACATTACTATTAGCTATAGTCACTTTTTAATGGAAAAATATAAATATTTAATATCAATAAAAATTAACTTCATGTTATCTTCAATCAGAGGAACTAAAAAAGTAACATTAAAATTTATTATTCAAAATTAACAAAACTAGTTGTGTAGAAAAGACATAAATATTTAATATTTCCAGTGATCTTTGTTGTAAGTTTTTAGCATTTATATTTCTGAAATTATTAAAGCTCAAAATTTCACTGAGACTCTTGAGACATTCTCTATAGAAAACAGTAGATTTTTTTTCAAACAGAATATAAAGTGTATAATAGTCTGTTTTCTTTTGCAGTAGAAAGGATAGTGTGGCATGGTGGAAAAGTCTCAGTTTGAAGTGATGCCAGACCTGGGTTTGAATCCAGCTTGGCTACTTCCAGCTGGGTGATTTTGAGGTCATGACTTAACTTTTCTGAACATGAATTACTCATCTGTGAAACAGAGCTAAATGCCACCCTATTCTATATGATTGTCTTGAGAATTAACAATAACTTGCGCAGGCAGGGCACGGTGGCACATACCTGTAATCCCAGCACTTTGGGGGGCCGAGGCGGGTGGATCACCTGAGGTCAGAAGTTTGAGACCAGCTTGATCAACATGGAGAAAGCCTGTCTCTACTAAAAATACAAAATTAGCTGGGCGTGGTGGCACATGCCTGTAATCCCAGCTACTTGGGAGGCTGAGGCAAGAGAATCACTTGAACCCGGGAGGTGGAAGTTGCGGTGAGCCGAGATCATGCCATTGCACTCCAGCCTGGGCAACAAGAGCGAAACTCTGTCTCAAAAAAGAAGAAAAAAAAAAGAAAAGAAAAAAAGAAAAAGAAATAACTTGCGTAAGTGCCTGTCTCTCATAGTCCACCTCTACCCACCTACCCAAATGGTTTTGCTGAGTGAGAGCCTTCTGTGTGCCAAATATAGGGCTGAAGTTTCACAGAAATTTTCTCCATCTGCCAATGAGCCTCTGAGGTCTGCATCTGGATTCCCATTGGTAAAGCCTGAGCTCAAATAACAGCTAAAGAGCATCTCCTAAGTTACGTGGCCACCATGTGGTAGAGCTCTGTGTCTACCAGACTCTAAAAGCCCAGGCTTTTCTAACATATAACTACTGCAGAACTTTATTTTATCTACTCTTCTTATTGTTAATTTTTTTTTAGAGACAGGGTCTTGCTCTGCTGCCCATGCTGGAGTGCAGTGGTGCAATCATAGCTCACTGCAGCCTCAAACTCCTGGGCTCAAGCAATCCTTTTGCCTCAGCCTCCCCAGTTGCTGGGATTATAGGCATGAGGTACCATGCCCAACTCCACCAGAATTTTAGAGAGAATTTCACAGCCTCCTACTATCCTCCTCCCCCATACCCCCAGATAGTGAGACAGAAAGCTAAGGCAGGTGCTTCAGGAAACATTGTGGAGGAAGAAAAAGGCAGGGTGATAGCTGGACTCAGGTAAGGGGACCACAGGTGGGTCATCAGGGGGAGTATCCAGGATGCCCTCTGAGTGTCCTTGACAGGAAGATTATGCTTTTTTTTTTTTTTTTTTTTTTTGAGGCGGAGTCTTGCTCTGTCGCCCAGGCTGGAGTGCAGTGGTGCGATCTCGGCTCACTGCAACCTCCGCCTCCCTGGCTCAAGCAATTCTCTTGCCTCAGCCTCCTGAGTAACTGGGATTACAGATGCATGCCACCATGCCCCGATACTTTTAGTAGAGACGGGGTTTTGCCATTTTGGCCAGGCTGGTCTCAAACTCCTGACCTCAAGTGATCTGCCCATCTCGGCCTCCCAAAGTGCTGGGATTACAGGCATGAGTCACTGTGCCTGGCCAAATTAAGCTTTTCAGCCAGGTAGCCTTGCTGGCATCCCCAAAGGTAACACAGGTATGCCAGAATGGATAAACCATTTGAGTCTCTGTGCATAGGGTCAGTGCATACAGAAGTCTTGTCAATACCTCCACTATGTAGACATGGCCCAATAGTTAAGAGCCCATAGTTGTAGCTTTGAGTCTTTCTCTACCTTTCTGAGGCTTGAAGTCATTTACCTCTACTGCTCCTCAGGTTCTTCAAGTGCCAGATTACCCTGTCTTTTTGTGTTTTGTTTTTAATATTTGCCCATGGCAATCTCATTTTCTTCCCCAGAGGAAAAACTGCTACTGAAGCTGCTGATGACATCATCAATAACCACCTCCCAAAGCTGAAGGAACTTGGCAGAAATGGGGAAATACACGTGGACAATATAGACGTATTTTGTGAGAAAGGTGTCTTTGATCTCGATTCCACCAGAAGGATTCTTCAACGTGGAAAAGATATAGGGTTACAGATTAACTTCCATGGGGATGAACTCCACCCGATGAAGGCTGCTGAGGTGTGGTTGACTTTTAGTTTTTCCCTCGTCAACATTCATTCTTGCACATTCATGCTATGGGAAACTTAATTAGTTTCTTCAAAGCCCTCTGAAAAGATATTGAATGGGGAAATTTGTTTGAACAATGTACAGATTGGTCTGGTTGAGACTTGAAAACCCTGACCTCTATTAAAAACTTACTTTTTTGCTGATGATTTACTTTCATTATCATCCACTGGTGATATTAGTATTAATAGCAAAAGAATTGGCTGGGCGCGGTAGCTCACACCTGTAATCCCAGCACTTTGGGAGGCCGAGGTGGGTTGATCACGAGGTCAGGAGTTTGAGACCAGCCTGGCTAACACGGTGAAACCCCATATCTACTAAAAATATAAAAAATTAGCGTGGTGGCACGCGCCTGTAATCCCAGCTACTCGGGAGGCTGAGGCAGGAGAATTGCTTGAACTGGGAGGCACAGGTTGCAGTGAGCCGAGATCATGCCACTGCACTCCAGCCTGGGGGACAGAGCAAGACTCCATCTCAAAAAAAAAAAGGAAAGAAAAGAAAAAGAATTACCTCAGTGATCTCTTTTACTAAATTTCTAAAGTATTTTGCTTGGCACACAAAGCCACACTAGCACAGTATATTAATTTCACTTGTACCTTTTCAGATCTTTCTGTGGCAGCATCCAAATCATTTTAGTGGAGCACACCAAAAATAGCCACAAGATGATTTTCAAATCCATATATCTTTGCTCAAATTAATTCACTTATTCATCCTTTCAACAAATATTTGAATGAATACTGTGTGCCAGGCACTGTTTTAGGCATTGAGAAATCAGCAGTAAGACAAAGTCCCTACAATCATGAGTCTAGGCTTCTCTCCTCTAAAGCCTGAGACCTAAATAAACAAGCCCTTGGGGCATAAATACAGACATAGATACCCCACCTGCATGCCTCTTAACTGGCTTATATCCAGCTTGATCTCTTCGTATTTCTTCCAAGTCTTGTCCCATTTTCTGCTTCAGTAAATGACGCCATCACCTGTCTGTCGCTTAAGTCAAAATCTTGGATATCATTTTGACTGCTGCCTCTCCCTCACCTACCGCATTTCATGCAAACACCAATTCCTCCCAATTCTCCCAAATAGCTCTAGATCCCCTTATCTCACCTCTGATCCATAAGATTCATAAAGTTTTCTGTTTCAGAAAATGTCTGAAGGATTTGTGTTTAAGAATAGTTTTTGAAGTAGCCCACTAGCTAATTTTCAAATGAGTGCCCATTACAAACCCTTTACCCATTTGGGGGATTGGGCTTACAACGGTTGGTTGGCAAGAAATCTTAATAATAAAACGCTGTTTCTCTTTATGGGAAAAACAATTTAGGCCATGCTCGGTGGCTCACGCCTGTAATCCTAGCACTTTTGGAGTCCGAGGCAGGCGGATCACGAGGTCAAGAGATCCAGACTATCCTGGCCAACATGGTGAAACCCCATCTCTACTAAAAATACAAAAGTTAGCTGGGCATGGTGGCACACGCCTGTGGCCCTAGCTGCTCGGGAGGCTGAGGTGGGAGAATTGCTTGAACCCAGGAGGCGGAGGTTGCAGTGAGCTGAGATTGCACTACTGCACCCAGCCTGGCTACAGAGCAAGACTCCGTCTCAAAAATAAAACAAACAAAGCAATTTAATGGAACTTCATGGATTCGTTGTTGCTATTTGTTAAATCTTTCCCTCTCTGCCCATTCTCCTTAGCTTGGGGCTGAACTGGGAGCGCAGGCAATCAGCCACCTGGAAGAAGTGAGTGATGAAGGCATCGTTGCCATGGCAACGGCCAGGTGCTCTGCCATCCTTCTGCCCACCACAGCCTACATGCTGAGGTAAGGTCGTTTCTCACCCCAGACCAAGAGCTGCAAGTACAAGCTGTGAAGACACAGACGTCCAAAGTGCCCAGACATTATTTCATTGCCCTTACAAATCCCTTAAAAATGCAGATGAAGAAAACTCAGCTAATGAAGATGCCAACCCTGGACTGATGTTCGTAAACGAATTTCTCTGAGGAAGGAACTTAGACCCAGATTGCCTTTGAGTGGCAGGATTATTGAGGAAGATGGTGCTTTCTTTTTCTTTTTCTTTTTTTTCATGGATTTTGGAATTTTTCAATTAAAAAGAATTACTATGCATTACTTTTATAATTAGTAAATAATGAAATAGGTGCTATACTTTTAAATATATGCATAAGATGTTAAAGATATTTAGCAGTATTCAGAATCTGCATGAGCTGTTTTCTAAAGGGATGTTAGTGGGTACCATAATTGCCATAAATCTTTATAAATCCTGGGGGTGGGAGGAAAGAGGAGACATATATTTTATAAAATCTCCCCAGATATTTTGCTGTATGCTGTCTATGAATTGAATATACTTAGTTCGTCTGTTATTACTGTTGCTCTGATTCTAACCAATATGAGATCTGAGGTCTTCTGACACTTCCCATTGTACCACTTACTTATATGATATCCAAGATTGTGGTCTGGGAGGCCAGCAGTCAAGAGGAAGTTTATCTTCTCTTAGGACTAGGTGCTTTCTGTGTAGCTAGGACATGTGGTCTTTTTCATGGGGAGTGATTCTGCAGTTAAGACAGTGGTTCTCAACCCCAGGGTAATTTTGTCCCTCAGGGGACATTTGGCAATGTCTCGAGACATTTCTAGTTGTCACAACTAGGGGATGCTACTGGCATCTAGTGGGTAGAGGCCAGGGTTGCTGCTAAACAGTCCTCATTGCACAGAACAGCTCCCAAAACAAAGAATTATCCAGCCCAAGACATGAATTGTACTGAGGTTAGGTAAGACCAGGCTCCAAGTAACTTTTAGAAGGGCGAAGAAAGGAATACTTCAGTGCTTTTCTCAAATCTACTATGATTTTATATGCACATGTATGATATTATACATTTTTATTATTATTACTATTCTCTTAAAGAGTAAACACAATGTAGACTATAATCAGGAAATATCAATAACGGTTCTTGGTATGACCAACGTCTTATACATTTCAAGTGTCATCAGTCTAAGTCATCAATCAATATTTGTCTCCACCACCCAAGAAATAAGTTTTTTGTTTTTTATTTTTTTGGAAAGAAAAGGCTTTCTTCGGCTGGGCACAGTGGCTCACGCCTGTAATCCCAGTACTTTTGGGAAGCCGAGGTGGGCAGATCACTTGAGGCCAAGAGTTCAAGACCAGACTGGCCAACATGGTTGAACTCCGTCTCTATTAAAATACAAATTTAGCTGGGCATGGTGGCGCGCGCCTGTAGTCCCAACTACTCGGGAGGCTGAGGCAGGAGAATCCCTTGAACCCAGGAGGGAGAGGTTGCAGGGAGCCAAGATCATACCTCTGCACTTCAGCCTGGGCAACAGAGTGAGTGAGATTCCATCTTAAAAAAAAAAAAAAAAAAGGCCTTTCTTTAACTAGTCTTGAATCTCTTGACATGGAGCAAAAGCCTAAGACTTTGTGGTACTGGAGGGCAATTCAGCATTAAAAGTCTGAACTTTGTTCCTATACCAGCGGAGGCTGTCATCTGCCATTGCCACAGACAGGTTTAGCCTCCTATTAGGACCACAGGGGCAGTCGAAGTGAAGGCCACACTCTGCTTTCTGGCTTCTCGTTTCTATATTTTTCTGATCTCTGCATCAGGAGAGACCAGCAGGGCCCCCTGCTCTCCCCTGAACCCTCTCTTGACTCTCATTTCCAGAATAACCATTGCCTTATGCTACTTAAGGGCTTGCTTTAATCATGTATTTTATGTAAATTTGCATGTAATATTTAAATGTATTCAGGAAATATTCACCTTGGTTTTTATGGAGTGCCCTAATACTTTTACAGCCTCACTTTTTCCTCTTTTACCCCTAAGTATTTATGGAAGGGGGGGAGGGCCATTCAAATGACTTGCAGGGACATTTGAAGCTGTACCCTTTCCTCACTCTCTGTCTCTGCTTCACTCACCTCCTCTCATACGTTGTTGAAAAACATTTTAAGTGGTCCTACAAATGATCGATCATAGACTGGGAGTGACTCTAGGATGAGAATTATCTCTGCTGGACTCTTTCTCTATTGCAGCTGTTATTCCCAAATTAAATCTGTCCTCATTGCTTTAACGAGCTTTTAGGCTTTGTTTATTTTTGATGTAACACTTTTGAGATATGTCTTAAAGAATAAAGAATATTTCACCAGGGAGGTCAAGGGGATGCCTAATCCAGGAAGAAGTATAAACATTTTACACACTAAATTCTTGGGCCTTCAAGATTTTAAAGGACCTACAGAGATGTTTGAGGCAAAAAAAAAAAAAAAAAAAAAAAGAGGGCAAAGGGAGAGATGTGAATAGGAAATTGCAAAATGGAAACTAATAAAAATAGCATATTGTGGCTGGGCACAGTGGCTCATGCCTGTAATCCCAGCACTTTGGGAGGCCAAGGTGGGTGGATCACCTGAGGTCAGGAGTTTGAGACCAGCCTGGCCACCATGGTGAAACCCCATCTCTACTAAAAATATAAAAATTACCTGGGCGTGGTGGTGGGTGCCTGTAGTCCCAACTACTCGGGAGGCTGAGGCAGGAGAATCGCTTGAACCCAGAAGGTAGAAGTTGGAGTGAGCCGAGATCGTGCCACTGCACTCCAGCCTGGGCAAGAGACAGAGATTCCATCTCAAAAAAAAAAAAAAAAAAAAAAGCATAGTGTAACCTCATTTATTATTTAATTTGGGAGTCACCAAAAAGCTTATTAAATTCCAAAACCATTTGTAAGTTATATTTTCCTCCCTTTGCAAGAATGCCTTAATATGTAAAAAGATGGATGAGATAAACAATCATTAATTAAATGTTAGTCATATCTAAGTAACTGCAAAAGCAGAATGATAAAAATCAGGAGTCCTTGGATTATATATGTAACTCTACCACTAATCATTTAATCTTGAGTTTCTGCTTCTTCTTCCAGAATATGAAGGCGTTGACTGTCTCAAGTTCTCTTCTGTTCTGAACAGCTATTCTACAAAAGCTCCCATTCTAGAGACTGACATATTTTTTTCCTCCCCTTAGACTGAAACAACCTCGAGCCAGGAAGATGTTAGATGAAGGAGTAATAGTTGCTCTGGGAAGTGATTTCAACCCCAATGCATATTGCTTTTCAATGGTAATTATTTTTTTCATGTACCTTTCTGAGCAGAGTATCTACCAAGCATATAAATAATTTAAAAATATTTCACTAGCTTTTAAAACAGTATAAAAAATCTAAAAATATTTTTCTGTGAAACAAGAAAAAAAGGGGTAGACAGCAGTGTAATTGGATTTTTCTGTCCCACATAAATGCCTGCAGGCATAGAGAGAGGAGAGAAGCTTCTACATGCATTATTTTCTGATTCAGCTTTGAGTATTGTAGTTTTACAGTAACCCATTTCCTTTCTCCAGAGAATAGCATAAACTCCAAGAGGTCTTAGTAAGTATGGAAGTGAACTTCATTGTGTGCAGTAAGTGGTCTTGAAAAGTTGTCAATAAATATTAAATACGCAATCCCTATAATAAAGTAATCTTTTCCAAAGTCTAAGAATCTTTATGTATAAACTTAGATTTTTCCCATTGCAACTGAGCCAATTCCTCCTATACCTTTAACTGCCTCTATTTGTTGTGCTGTGTTGAGAAATGTTTTAAATTGCAGTTGCCATATGTCACTTTCCTCCAACACTTTTCTCTTCCTGCCTTAGCCAATGGTCATGCATCTGGCCTGTGTAAACATGAGAATGTCCATGCCTGAGGCCTTGGCCGCTGCCACCATCAATGCAGCTTATGCACTGGGAAAGTCTCACACACACGGATCGTTGGAAGTTGGCAAACAGGGAGATCTCATTATCATCAATTCATCCCGGTGAGTGTGCTTCAACTTAGCTCTTTTATATTATGCCCACTGAAGTATGCAGATGAGGCCTAAATCCCTTTTCCACTAATTATTAGTGTCAGACTCTGTCTGGACTCAGACACTATCCAGTCCCCTCTATCTTGATCCCTTTCCAAAGAGCAAATCTACTGACAGACCCTAAACAACAGGGTAGACCAAGTTTTCAAGATCTCTTCATCTGTCTGGTATTTTTCGTAGATTTCCAGATTTCTGCTCTGTTTACCTGGACTTTGGCCGGGTTGTGCCCTCTGGCATGTGTTTGTGTTTTTCTGCTCGGCTTCTGATTTTCAACTTGCTCCCAACTCTGGCTTCTCACTTTGGTTCTGATTCATTCCCTCTCTGATTTCTCATGCCGACTGGCTCCCAAAAGCTTAAACTTAGTTTTCTTGTTCCTGGTGACTTATCACTCACCCACCCATAGTCTGTTGCCACCTGGGCCTCCAGTGTAATATTAGTCTGTTATCACACTGCTAATAAAGACATACCGAGACTGGGTAATTTATAAAGGAAAGAGGTTTAATCGACTCACAGTTCTACATGGCTGGGGAGGCCTCACAATCATGGCGGAAAGCAAAGGAGGAGCAATGTCATGTCTTAAATGGCAGCAGTCAAGAGAGCGTGTGCAGGGGAACTCCCATTCATAAAAACATCAAATCTTGTGAGATTTATTCACTATCATGAGAACAGCATGGGAAAGACCCACTCCCATGATTCAATTACCTCCCACTGGGTCCCTCCCACAATGTGGGAATTATGGAAGCTACAATTCAAAATGAGATTTGGGTGGGCACATAGCAGCAAACCATATCAGGGTTTTACTGTTCTAGACCTACAAGTTGTAAATCCTATGGCTACTTGACTCTTACGAGCCCATTGCAGCCCTTGGACCTCAAGTCCTCCAGAGACACCTGCTTTAAAATTCTCTCCATGATCAGAAACCACTCCCTGTATTGGATATAATGCTGATGGTGACATTTATGTATCATTTAATGAAGCAAATATTTTAAGATCAAGTACTTAAATGATATTATTAAACAATGTTTGATTTACCATAGACCAGTTAGTTATATACGGTTTTTTAGAAAGCCCAAATACCATTGACTGGGTGTAAATAAATGTGTAGGGAATGCATTTTAAAATTAGCATTTATTGATAAAGTAATAATTTTTACTTGCACACATTGAAGTAATATTTGTTGTTTTTTTTTTTTTTTCTAGATGGGAGCATTTGATTTACCAGTTCGGAGGCCATCATGAATTAATTGAATATGTTATAGCTAAAGGAAAACTCATCTATAAAACATGATAGATTTGAAAAGAGAAGACTTTTTGACTATATGAAATAAGTCAATATAGTTATATTAAAAGTTAAAACACCTTAATATTTACAAGAATTATATCACTTAAACCTAAATGTACTTCAATGTCTTTTTAAGTCACTCAAAAAACCCAAGGGATAGATTTATTTTCATTTAACACATGCATTTGACATATAAACAGGTAAACCTATTGTGATTAAAATCACAAAACATCCAATTAGTTCACAAATATTGGTTACAAATATTCTGTAGATTAATATGGTGGGGTATCACAAAAATGCCTTTGTGGGGAAAAGTAGGCTTGGCTTAAAATTTCCATTTTGTGTCTGTATTTCACATCTCAGTTTTTAAACTATATTTAGTGAACATTGAGGGATCGAAAGAAATCTAAGTGATACGCCCCAATGAAGCTAAAATATAGCCTTCTGTTAAGCAAATAGTATTTCCTTTCCCCAAGTAGTTCATTTTCTAGATGCTTGTCAAATGAATTAATGTCCTCTGATGAAGAGTGTCCTTCCGTTTCTAAGGTCTTCTCAATCTCAGCAATAGAGCTTCCCAGCAGCGTTCAAGACACATCATTTATACACAGGCACAGGGGCCTTCCTGAAATGGGTGCATTTTTACCAACTACAATCATGTAATTTTTTTGGAAATTTTTTAAAATTTTCGATTCTTTACATTACAATTGGGTGAAACACATTTTACAGCTCTCAATAAATGTTTGCTGTCGCTCTTATTGTTGTTGTTTCCTTTCAGCCTGGAAGTAGATCAGCAGCGTTGTCTATTAGAGTTTTTAGGAAATTACAAAATTATTTGTAAAGAGTCGATAATTATTTACATATAAATGGGTGTTTTTAAAAGCCATGTAAGTTGATTTGAAATCTTTTTAAGTGTTTCGATCATCTTTATAATCACAACTGCATTACCAAACTTGGTAAGAAATGATTTGAGAAGTAAAGATTAACTCTCCAAGTGATCACTAATTTCAGTTTAATAGAGCCTGAATGAATGAGGCTTTGCTGTAGTCAATATAAAGCAACTCAAAATGCCCCTCACTGGAAGGTTAAGGGTAACATTGCACATTGTTGTCATCATGAGAGGTGACAGCATGCTGGCAGTCCTCAGAGCCCTCGCTTGCTCTCGGCATCTCCTCTGCCTGGGCTCCCACTTTGGTGGCATTTGAGGAGCCCTTCAGCCCCCCTACTGCACTGTGGGAGCCCTTTTCTGGGCTGGCCAAGGCTGGAGCCCACTCCTTCAGCTTGCAGTGAGGTGTGGAGGGAGAGGCGTGAGCGGGAACAGGGGCTGCGTGCGGCGCTTGCGGGCCACCTGGAGTTCCGGGTGGGCGTGGGCTTAGCAGGCCCCGCACTCGGAGCAGCCGGCCAGCCCTGCTGGCCCCGGGCAGTGAGGGACTTAGCACGCGGGCCAGTGGCTGCGGAGGGTGTACTGAGTCCCCCAGCAGTGCTGGCCCACCAGCGCTGTGCTCGATTTCTCGCCGGGCCTTAGCTGCCTTCCCACGGGGCAGGGCTCGGGACCTGCAGCCCGCCATGCCTGAGCCTCCCACCCACTCCATGGGCTCCTGTGCGGCCCGAGCCTCCCTGACGAGCATCACCCCTGCTCCACGGCGCCCAGTCCCATCGACCACCCAAGGGCTGAGGAATGCGAGCCCATGGCGCAGGACTGGCAGGCAGCTCCACCTGCAGCCCCGGTGCGGGATCCACTAGGTGAAGCCAGCTGGGCTCCTGAGTCTGGTGGGGACTTGGAGAGTCTTTATATCTAGCTCAGGGATTGTAAATACACCAATCAGCACCCTGTGTTTAGCTCAAGGTTTGTGAGTGCACCAATCAACACTCTGTATCTAGCTGCTCTGGTGAGGACGTGGAGAGTCTTTTTTTTTTTTTTTTTCTGAGACGGAGTTTCGCTCTGTCGCCCAGGCTGGAGTGCAGTGGCGCAATCTCGACTCACTGCAAGCTCCGCCTCCCGGGTTCACGCCATTCTCCTGCCTCAGCCTCCCGTGTAGCTGGGACTACAGGCGCGCGCCACCATGCCCGGCTAATTTTTGTATTTTTAGTAGAGACGGGGTTTCACCGTGTTAGCCAGGGTGGTCTCGATCTCCTGACCTCGTGATCCGCCCGTCTCGGCCTCCCAAAGGGAGAGTCTTTATGTCTAGCTCAGGGATTGTAAATACACCAATCGGCACTCTGTATCTAGCTCAAGGTTTGTAAATACACCAATCAGCACCCTGTGTTTAGCTCAAGGTTTGTGAATGCACCAATCGACACTCTGTATCTAGCTGCTCTGGTGGGGCCTTGGAGAACCTGGGTGTGGAAACTGTATCTAACTAATCTGATGGGGATGTGGAGAACCTTTGTATCTAGCTCAGGGATTGTAAACGCACCAATCAGCGCCCTGACAAAACAGGCCACTAGCCTCTACCAATCAGCAGGATGTGGGTGGGGCCAGATAAGAGAATAAAAGCAGGCTGCCCGAGCCAGCATTGGCAACCCGCTGGGGTCCCCTTCCACACTGTGGAAGCTTTGTTCTTTCGCTCTTTGCAATAAATCTTGTTACTGCTCACTCGTTGGGTCCACGCTGCTTTTATGAGCTGTAACACTCACCACGAAGATCTGCAGCTTCACTCCTGAGCTCAGCAAGACCACGAGCCCACCGGGAGGAACGAACAACTTCAGACGCACCATCTTAAGAGCTGTAACACTCAGCCCGAGGGTCCGCGGCTTCATTCTTGAAGTCAGTGAGACCAAGAACCCACCAATTCCGGACACAATCACAATGGGGTCTCTGGAGCTCTGAACCTCATGCGATTATTTAAGAAGTCTTGAGACAGTGTAGGGGGCACACAGTTGCTGTGTGTGATGGCTCCCCTGTGACCAGTCACCTAGGCACTGAACATTTGGGGCGCAGGAGATACACATAAAAGCCAAAACGGAATGTTAGGTCGAGTCTTCCCTGGAACTCAAGCAACACAAGATTAGATTCTTCTATTGAAGAAACAAGAAGGAGAAGCACATCTGATTTTTCATCTAGGAGGCACTCACTTTAAACAAATAGCATTCATGCCTTTTTTGAAAGAAGACAGAAAAAGACATCTACCCAAACTGCCCTAGTCCTCCCAGGCCAGCGTGCTGCAAGCCCGTGCAACTGACGGAGTTTGCTAGGAATGCAGAACCTCTGGCTGGACCCAGACCTGCTGAGTCCGAATCTGCATGCTAATAAGCCCCGGGTGATTCACATGCACATTAAGGTCTGAGCAGCTCTGAGTTCTAAGCCCTAATCACACCAATCTTCACACTGTTCCTTAGGGGACAGTGAGCTGCTCAGGGCCATGCAATACGGTTCCCTCTGCCCAGAATGCTTTCCTTCTCTTCCTTACATGGGAAACTGGAGCTGGACGCCCTTCCCCACATTCCCACATCTCTATGATAGCCTTTGTAGCATTGTAATTTAACTGTCTTTTGTATGTTAGACTAATGAAGTCTACCCTCTGGGCTGAAACTAATGTTCTCCAACTATTTTTTACATTTACATTTACATTTACAATGTTTACATTTAATAAATTAATACTCTCAACAAAAGTAAGCAAAAAGGCAAAATGAGTTGGGAGCAGTGGCTCACGCCTGTTATCCCAGCACTTTGGGAGGCCAAGATATGTGGATCCCTGGAGGTCAGGAGTTCAAGACCAGCCTGACCAACATGGTGAAACCCCATCTCTACTAAAAATACAAAAATTAGCCGGGTGTGATGGCGCATACCCGTAATTCCAGCTACTCGGTAGGCTGAGGCAGGAGAATTGCTTGAACGCAAGAGGCAGAGGTTTGCAGTGAGCTAAGGTAGCATTATTGCACTACAGCCTGGGTGACAGAGCCGAGACTCCATCTCAAAAAAAAAAAAAAAAAAAAGCAAAATGAACCATAAAGAGAACCATAAAGTTTAATAAAAAGCAATCCAGTGACCAGACCCAAAAATCAGACACAGGTTTAAAGCAGTATGAAATGTATCTGCTTTTGAATTTTGCCGGTTGTAATGACTTTTTTTTCTTTTTCTTTTCTTTTTTTTCTTTCTTTCTTTTTTTTTGAGATGGAGTCTCACTCTGTCACCCAGGCTGGAGTGCAGTGGCACGATCTTGGCTCGCTGCAACCTCTGCCACCCAGGATCAAGCAATTCTCCTGCTTCAGCCTCCCGAGTAGCTGGGATTACAGGCACCTGCCACGGTGCCTGGCTAATTTTTGTAATTTTAGTAGAGACAGGGTTTCACCATCTTGGCCAGGGTGGTTTTGAAATCCTGACCTCGTGATCCACTCACCTTGGCCTCCCAAAGTGCTGGGATTACAGGCATGAGCCACTGCACCCAGCCTGTGATGGGATTTTATGCATGTGGTAGATTGTCAGATACAGGCCCATGGATCACGTCAAATCACATGCCCATGCCCTTGAGTGTTACCCTCCCAAATTGACTCTGGGCCTGGAACGTGACTCGCTTTAGCCAACAGGACATTAGCGAACGTGGCACAACAGGGACTTGAAAAGCCCTTGTTCTTTAGGGTTTGCCTCCTCCAGCTGCCCTGAGACAACTTGTGACAAAGACCAGGTGAGCCTGCGGGGCTGGGGAGGAAATCCTGATACCTCCAACTCTTTTGTTGCTAGCCAATGGGAAAAAGAGTGTACTGAGTCAAGCATATTGTTCTTAAAACGGTTGACATCTGTCAACTGAATCCTTCAGAAGCTTGATTAACTGCTGTTAGAGGCGCTTAACTTTGCTATAAATACCTAAGAATAAAGCGACACCATAAGGCAATTGAGACTTAGTTTATTCCATGTTTCCCTTGAAGTTCCCTTGAAGGCGTGTGCTGTCAGTTACTAATAGAGCTGTGTAGAAAACTCAGTGACAAAGTGTCATTTTGACCTGGAGGGCTGCAGGGGCTGAAAGAATCCAGCATTCCCCAAACTGGAGCGAAGAGCACCATGAGACCACTGGGGGTTACTGGCTCAATGGCAGCCCACGGATGACAATGCACAAACCTCATTTGTGTGTGTTCACATTTTGACAAGGAATAGCACCAAGAACAACCTTTAGGTAAACAGTCTCCTCAGCACATTTTTTGCTCCCTGAATTGCTGTGTGCAGCAGTTTTCACTTCAGTTTCCACCTGACAGGTTGTAAATCTAAAGGGTGAAAACTCTATTGTGAAATCCACTGTTCGGCCCATTTTAGATGGCAATTAGGTAGGCAAGGTGGCAAGTGTGTCTGTCCTCCTCTCCACCAGCTGTGGTTTTTAGAGCCACGGTTTCAGACCACTTGAAGGGCCTTGCACATATATGCACACACTGGTGCAAAGTCACAGAGCTTAGACTTGGGAAGCCAAGAGGTCATGTGACCCATCCTTCATCTGGACAGATACACTTAAGCCATCCCTGAAGGTCCTTTATCTTCTCGGGGAAAAAAATAGATGCAGTAATACACTCTAGGGCTCCATCTGACCTTTATCAATAGGACTTATTTTAATGATTACCATTACAGAAAGGAGGTTGGTTAATCCCCAAAGATTCCTTATCTGTGAAATGAGGAAGGTTACAATAAGAATGTGAATAGAGTACTAACACCAAGGAAGTGAAAATACTAACCTCAAACTCCCATGTAAGCATTTGGGGGATACGTGTAGTGATAAGTACAAAATACACAGTTTAATAAGAGCCACCCAAATAGCAATCTTTATATTCATTCCTTATCTCCTTTGCACATGAAACTCCTTGTTGGTTTTAATCACCTCTACAATTAATAGCTGAAGACCCTATTGACTACTCTTTACTATGATCCAATTAATAGAAGAAAAAAGCAGCTTAAGGACAAATTATGACTTAAAATGGTTATTTATGAAGGCATATTAAGGCATATCATGCAAAGTAAAATTAGCCAAAGAAAGTCAACTGGTGGAGAGCTTGTTGAAGCAAATTTAAAAAAAAAAAAAAAGGTTAACAAAAGTCTAATGTTTTTAGAAAAAATTGCTATCAATCTGTTTCCAAATTTGAATTCATCTAATGCTAAGAGTAAAAAACAGGCACATACAATTGTGGTTATTCTTCTCACCCTTAAGAGTGAGTGGCCTGTTGAAACTGTTAAGAAAGAAAGAAAAGTTTTATAATCTGAAAATACCTGGTGGGTCTTGAACCACGACAACAGGAACACAGTGCTGAATTTAGCAACTATAATACTGCCATCAGCCTAACCAACGTAGGCTTTAGAAGAACTGAATGATACAATGGATTGATCTACCTAGGAAAGTTCTCAGGTCTCTCCTTCAGCCTAGTATTGCTTTGTGCTAAACTGACTGCCCTCTCATCTGCTACTTCATGACAAAGCCCATTAAAGGTCCTCAGACTCCGGGATTTTGGTGGATTTCTTGTGCAGAAATTGCAGTGAAAAGGCTGTTGGAGAAAGAGGTCTTGATTCTGGAATATGCTCCATTCTGTATTTTTCAATGTATGGAGCAGCTACTTCCCAAACCTGAAAAGCAAGGACAAAACAAAGTTGAAATATTGACGACATTGTTTCCACATGCTATTAAACATCAACTTCATCCGAAGTCAAAACATACTCTATACATGACCAGACACAGCTGCTGTTTGCTTGCTTTTATTTTAAGCCATTTGACACATGACCTGTGTCAATTAGTCTTTGGTTGCATTAAAGACTGTAAATATACAAAGTCCAAAACTTTCTAAAGTCATCATAAAGATTTTAAGCTGCATACTTTTCCTAAGCAAAACAAGCAAGCAAATAACAAAACCCAGAGAATTCAGTGTGGATAGAGTGAAGGATAGTTGCTCCAGGGTCTTAACAGTACCTATGTGGTTTTTTTCTTGTTTTTTTGTTTTTTTTCTTTTTTTGTGAGACAGAGTCTCACTCTGTCGCCCAGGCTGGAGTGCAGTAGCATGATCTCAGCTCACTGCAACCTCCACCTTCCAGGTTCAAGCAATTCTTGTGCCTCAGCCTCCTGAGTAGCTGGGATTACAGGTGCATGCCACCAGGCCCAGCTAATTTTTGTATTTTTAGCAGAGATGGGGTTTCACCATGTTGGCCAGGCTGGTCTCGAATTTCTGGCCTCAAGTGATCCACCCACCACAGCTTCCCAAAGTGCTGGGATTACAGGCGTGAGCCACCACACATGGCCTGGACCTGTGTGTTTTCTAAAGCAAGCCTTAAATGGTAAAAGGCAGTGAATTGTATTTCCCTATTGCCTTATTTCCATGCCACAGGTGCTCTGTTCCTTTGACCCTGCTACTCAAAGCGTGGCCTGTGCCCCTGCAGTATCAGCATCACCTGGGACAAGTCAGAATCTTGGCCTTCACCCAGACCTACTGAATCCACACCTGCATTTTAACAAGATGCCCAGCAGATTCATAGCCACTTTAATGTTGGAGAGGCACTGCCTCAGATCCTTGGTTAGCTTTTGCCTCCCACCCACCAACCTCTTTTTTCTTTTTTTTTTTTTTTCTTAAGCATAACATCATCTCAAAGTAAGGCCCTGGACGGGCATGGTGGCATGTGCCTGTAGTCCCAGCTACTCAAGAAGCCAAAGTGGGAGGATCACTTGAGCCCAGGAGTTTGAGTCCAGCCTTGGCAACATAGCAAGACCCGCATCTCTAAAAAAATTTTTTTTTAAATTGAATGAAATTAAGGCCCTGTTTTTGGTTTATATCTGCTTTTTAACTGATTGCCACTGACAGCCAAGGAGCCTTTCCTATTATTTTTTATGACCTTAGCAAATGAATACTCTTAAAGGCTAACCTCTCGTATACCTCCCTCCTAGCACCAAAGTTGGCAGCAGGCAAGCAGCTTCCCCATCCAGAGTGCAGGGCATGCTTAGAAATAATGGGTGTGAAAATCACAGGGAAAAATCACTGCCCCAGAGCAGAGCAACTGTTTTAAGGAAATCAAGCGATTCTAGGGAACATAACACCCACAAGTTATTCAAAAGGTTTAAAGCACTTCAAAAACGATATTTAAAAGATAAGCCAGCATGCTGGGCATCTGTACCTGGCAGCTGAGTATACGGTCAATGTAACCAGTGGAAATATGCAAGAAAGAAAAACCCGCATCTCACCAGAGCACTAGACAGACCGAAAGTCTTCTGAAGTAAACACCCGGGCCTTGGTTTTCTCTCCAGGTCTACGCAGCCATTGCACCCAGTGGTGGTAGTTGTGATAGCATCACCCAGAAGGGAACGCACTTTTGAATCAAAGAGGACATCTTGCAGGGGTGGGGAGGCATCAATGAACCTGACATCTTATTTTTTTCCCCATGAATATTGTCCCAAAACTCCATTTAAAATCCATTTCTGTTTCTAATCCTTAGATATTCAACCGTTGGCTGCACCCTGGTGCACTTAGTGTTTATTATATGGCTTCTTAGTGGTGCTGCAAGTTGTTGCTCAAATACCTTTTTGCTCATTCCCAAGGAATGGCCAGAAAACAATAGAATAAGGCAATGTTTCTCCATCCCCGACTTTGCTTTCCTGTAACAATTAAAAATTAAGAAACAAGCCAAGGAGCCAGCTTGCCTTCTGCTCCAGGAGCAGCCTGTGGGCTGCCTCGATGTCCGGGGCCATGAAGCGATCTTTTATCCAGGGCCTACAGGGAGAGCACATCCGCCCATCAGCCAAACATGAAACCCTGCCAGGGTTCACAGTGCTGAACTGATGTAATTTTCAGAGACCTGTTTGATCTTACCTTACAACAGAGCGCACCAGGTCATAGACCTTCTCCAGCGGAGTGGTTGTTTTCAGGGGACGTAGAAACTCTATGCCCTGGCAGGCTGCAAGGAGCTCGATGGCCAGCACTGAAACAAGAAATTCCAAGAGGGTAGCTTATGAAAGTCTGACTTCATGCTTAAGGAATGTGGATTTCCCAAAGTTGACACCCATCACCACCCAACTAACAGATGGTTTGTTCTCTGTCTATTGGTAGAATGAAGTTGCTTTGGTATTTAGTTGCCATTTTAACCTGTTTTCTAACCCCTTGACTATATCTTTAATGCTGAGAAGGGGAGAATTGAGACATTTACCTGAATAATTACCAGACCTGCACACCTACCCAGGAAGCTGCCCATTCATCTGCACTAGCAAAATCTGCCATGTCCCCCATTCACATCCTCTAACAAAGGTTTGTTGGCCAAGTTTGGGTCATGTGGGTAGGGAAGGAAGTCAGAAAGAAGAGCTGATCCTCATCTTGAGCCCCAGTTCTATTAAATAATTGTATGCATTTCATCAAGATGCTTTACATCTCGTGGTTTCCAATTCCATATGAATTGCGGGGTGGGGATACTGGACTAGAAGATGAGAAATTGCTTCCAGGTCCACCGTGAATTCCACAACTTCATCCTCTCCCACTGTGACCTGTCTGCACTCACTAGAGTTCATAGTGTACTTCATAAATTGAATGTGCTGTTGAATCAAGGTGGGGTGTGAGAGTTCATGGTACTCTTCTCTCCACTTTGAATATGTTTTAAAAGTCTCATTAAAAAAAAAACCACTTTGGGGGTGAGGTGGGAGGATCGCTTGAGGCCAAGAGTTTGAGACCAGCCAAGGCAACACAGCAAGACCCCATCTTTACAAAAAATTTAAAAATTACCCAGGTGTGGTGGTGCTTGCCTGAGGTGTCAGTTACTTAGGAGACTAAGGAAGGAGGATCACTTGAGCCTGGGAGTTCAAGGCTGCAGTGAGCTATTGTTGCAACACTGCACTCCAGCCTGGGTGGCAGATAGAGATCCTGCCTCAAAAAAAAAAAAAAAAAAAGAGAAAAAAAAAGCCAGCCAAAGGACCAGCTTAGTTCTGCATGGTTCCTTGGTTCTTAATCTTTAGTGAAGATCAGAATCACCTGGAGGGTTCGTTAAACACAGATTGCTCCGCTCTCCTCCTGGAGTGTCTGAATTAGCCAGCCTGCAAGGAGGCCTGAGAGTCTGCCTTCCTAACAAGTTTCCAGGTGATGCTGATGTTGCTGGTGGGAGATCCCACTTGAGAACCACGGGCACAGTGGTCTATCAGGCAGGCCCGCCACCCCGAACTCATCAGCATTACCTTGCTCCACATGCTCGATGACCCTGAGGGCTTTCCTTGCTGCCCATCCTCCCATGGAGACGTGGTCCTCCGTGGCTGCGCTGGTGGAGAGGGAGTCAACAGACGAGGGATGGCACAGAGCCTTGTTCTCAGAAACTGCAAGAGACCAGTGCCAGTTAAGAAGTGCTCCTCACAGGATGAGCTGTCTAAAGGACCCGTGGCTTCCACAGAGTGCTCCACAGCATGGGATACACTCTCCAGAAGATCTTGGACATTATCCAAGCACCTGATGGTAGAAAGCTGCTTTGGGAAAAGGAAGCAGGTCATTTTTTTTCCCCAAGTGAGGACTCTAAAGCAATAGTGAGTTCTGAGGTAAGACGGAGATGGGAGAACTGGGAATTCTAATATAACAAGGCCAAGATGACAACCTGGGAAGCATATAGCATGCCAGGGAGACTAGGGGAGAAAGAGACATGATGGCCATTTTCAGGTACTTGACGTCAATTTGGTTGTGTCACCAGAATTCCGATGTGGCATTTGGGGACTGAGGCTGGACCCATAAATCTTGGGCAAGAAGATTTAACACTTCAGAGTGTTCAAGGATGACATAAATGGATGTAAACAGGGGCTCGATGACTGCCAGAAATATCTGGGAGGTGGGGGAATTCTAGGGAGGACCAAGACATGGGACTCTCAAGCTTTCCAGTGCACATGAATCACTCAGGGACCTTGTTATAACAAATATACTGAGCTTTGGGTGGGGCGTGAAATTCTGCTGTTCTAACGAGCTCTCAGGTGATGGCCATATTGTTGGTCTGAGGACTACACTATAAGTAGCAAAAACTTAGGTTATGAAGTTCCCTCACCCTAGCTTAGAAGTCAGGAAAGGTCAGACTCAAAGTCTCTTCTCCTCTTTCTCTGGCTTTAAGAGTGGTCATGGGTGAGGCTTCAGTTGTTTTCTATGCTGCATGGGATCGCATCCTAAGATGATCTCGCTTTAAACTAGGGTCATGCTACTTTGTCAAGGTCATGTTGGTTGGCCAAGGACTTTCCAGGTTTCAGCACTGTAAGTCCCAAGTCCTTGGACCCTAAACTGTGGACTATACAGATAAGTAAACTGTGGTAAGGCTTGTTCGGAAAGATAACTTACAAGGGCCAAAAAAAGAAAAACACTAATTTTACTACAATGAAAGCAAGCCAAACAACCTCAATAGGCAGCTTGGGAAACTAAAACATATTCAAATGAGGCTTCCCAATGTCCATCCTGTTCTCTAGAAATCAATGACTACTCCCCCACTACTACGTTATTGTGAGAAATTTCTACCTGTTAAAGGGGTATTTTATTAATAAGCAAGTAAGCAAATAGAAGATACCGGTCAGAGGAGGTGAATTCAGTGGCTCTTAGTTGGTTATTTGTGTTCGTTGGGAATAATATTAATAGCAACTAGTATTTTTTTAGTGCTTATGATGTGCCAGGCTTTATATACATCAATTCATTTAATCCTCCAAACAACCCCCTTAGGTAAACTGATCTCCATTTTATGCAGGTGTAAATTGAGGATCAACAGGATAAAGAGGCTCACAGAGCTAGTAAATGGCAGAGCTGGGCTTCTGATCTAGCATCTACGCATGTAATAACTCATGCTATCCTGCCTTTTAGGGTAGGGTTGTTAGATAAAGTAAAGGATGCCCAGTTAAATTTTGATTTTAGATTAAAAAAATAATTTTTGTAGTACAAGTATGTCCCAAATAATTCAAATTTAACTAGTCATCCTGTGTTTTTGTTAAATTTGACAACCCTATTTTAGGATTAAGTATTGATTAAAATGAGATCCTCATTAATTGAAGTAAAAGCACATTTTTGCATGCCAAAATTCAGGGTTTGAATTCTGCTTTACATCTTGCTAGCTGTGCAATATTGGGCAAGTCACTTAACTCTCAGATCTTCAGATATTCATCTATAGATAACAATAATAGCACTTACCTCAGGTGACAATTGTGCAATTAAGTGAATGAACATAAATGAGGCCCTTAGTACTTACTTAGTGCCAGGCACTGTTCTGATGTGTTAATCTGTCTCTTACAATCTTGAGTCAGAAATAAACTATATTGAAGCTCAATCTTCACAGAGGGTATCCTGATTCTTATAAGCATTTTTTTAATGTTGCAATAACATCTTTATGTTTTTAGTGGTTGTTATATCTAGTGAAATGAATCCAAAGTTTAATTATAGGTTTAAAAGTTCAAAGTTTAATTATAGGTTGGTTCAAGTTTCACCATTAACTATAACCATCTTAGTCTTTTTCCAATAGTCTTCAAATGGAGATTTGGAAAAAAGCTATAGAGATGAAGTTCATATGCAATGTCAAATTGCTTTCCACAGAGAAATTGTCCATTACAGCCTTATTATTGTATTATTATATTTCAGCATAACAGTATCGAAGTTTTTAAACTATTTTTTTCTGAAAAATATTAGAGTTAACCTGTTACCTTTGCACTGAGAGAACTAGGATGCAGATAAAAGTGGTGAAAAGTTAGATCTCACTCACAGACCACATTTGATACTTCTAGGTGAAATGGAAAGACCCTTAGATGGACGGGCGTGTGTTCTGGGAAAGGGGCAGTGTCCTTACCAAGGGCTGCTGCCGTGCAGTGAGCTATCATGAACCCAGAGTTCAGACCACCTTCAGCCACCAGGAAGGCAGGCAGCTCACTGAGGGAGGGATTGCAGAGCCGCTCGATTCTTCTCTCACTGATTGCAGCAAGTTCATGGATGCCAATGGCCAAGTAGTCTAGGGCCTGAAAGAGGGTCTCCATTTAGTCAGCCTATATTGAAATGTGCCTTCTGGGTCAGGAGCAGTTTTAAAAAGCTTACTTTGGCTGGGTATTCACCATGGAAGTTTCCTCCAGAAACTGTCTCTCCCCTATTGGCAAAGACCATCTTTCAAAAGAGGTTAAGGCTTGAAGATAATGTTTGCTGGTCACTTCAAGTACAACCCCTTCCTGCCTTCTTTTTTAACGTGGAGGTGGCAGTCTGTGTACAAATGTGGGGTGGAGGGAAAGAGACAAGTCTTCCTGCAAGAGATATAAAGGGGCACAAAAGCAAAAAACAAAAAGCCTTAAAGGTGGATCATGTACACCCAATTTGGAGGCTGAAAAAACATGAACCTTGAAATGATGTTTTCTCTTGAGATTAGATTCTAAAGCACCATAACTGTACTAACCTGGTGGTTAGTACCTGCCCTCAAAAGGTTTATAGCCTGAAACTAAAAACAGAGACCAACACATCTGTTTGAAAGCAACTTCTGTTTCTTCAATGGGCACTGCAAATTTGTGTTCCATAGAAGAATCTGTTGAATGGGAAACTCTGCTGATGAGCAACTACCAAAATGTCTGGAACAATCAATTTTGAGAAAATTTTCAAATTCTTTACTCAGTAATCTGGTGTCAGCGTTCAACAGCAGATGGTGGCCAATATGTCCTCATGAATCCATTTTAAGTAGGTGGCAAGTTTAAATTTGCTGAATATTATTACTCTGAGGTAATTCTTTTTTTATTTTCTGTATCATTCTGTCACCCAGGCTGGAGTGCAGGGGCGCCATCTCGGCTCACTGCGACCTCTGCCTCCCGGGTTCAAGTGATTTCTTGTGCCTCAGCCTCCTGAGTAGCTGGGATTACAGGCATGCACCATCACACCCAGTTAAATTTTGTATTTTTAGTAGAGACAGGGTTTTGCCATGTTGGCCAGGCTGGTCTTGGACTCTTGGCCTCAAGTGATCAGCCCACCTTGGCCTCCCAAAGTGCTGGGATTACAGGTGTGAGCCACCAAACCCAGCCTCAGATAATTCTATTCCATCATGCACTTTACTTAAACCAGCAAGCACCCAGGAAAAGGCAGTAACAGATCCTTCTTCCTGGTTCTAAAGAGCTAATCTTTGCCTCTTGGGCTCAAGAATATTCATTACCTATTAACTGAGAACTTGCTGTGTGCAAGAAAGTTTCTAACTTTGAAAGAGTTAGAGATGTATGTGTTACATTAACCTACTCAAGTGTGGATTACTCTGTTCTGCATGTGTAACTGTGAGCCCATTGGGTCTAGCTCCTTGGTCTTGGCCTCTTCTCCATTCTCTGAATCCCTATAGCAATGGAATTCTGCATCAATTTAGAACTTAGACATGTTTTTATTGTCCTCTAGTTGTTCCAAATTTGTTTGTTGGCTATTAGATTAAAACAATTAGAATTTAACTCCCATAATATCCAGCATGTGTGATGGGGCTCCGTATCTGCAACAGAAAATTGAGACACATATTCTTTCAGGTAACAGCAGTATTGCAAGAGAACTCCCAAATATTAGCCTATTGGAAATTTATCAATAATTAGCAATCTTTAATTGAAAAAAATAAAAGACTTTTGGCTGAAATTCTTGCTGAGGCAATTGGTAGCAGAAGAATTTAGTGAGGAATTAATTATCCCCTGCCCCATATTCAGTAATTGAATGGTAATTTCTAAAAACTATGAGATACCCTTTAAAAGCAATGATGTAAATGTAGAATAGATACCTCTTCCCTACAGTGAAAAGACTGGTACGTGAGATAAGACTACATAGAGTTCATAAAAACTACTATTCCATCTGGGGGATGGGGTGGTATTGAGGTGAATGGAGAGACCCACAATTTCTGAGGCTTATTTAGTGTGGGTTTGACTTCAGTGTAAAACAATGTGAGAGAACATAAAACACACATTCTGAAGTAAGCTTGTCAAAAAACACATACATACAAAAGCCATCTCATGGGAAACCTTATGGAGCTATCACATAACCATCTTCTAACTCAGCCTGTGACCTGCTTTTGGGGCTGCTTACTCAGCACTTTCTCTAGGATTCAGAACTGAGGCAGATGTGGAATAGGAAAAATAGATTCCAAAGGCGTTTGATTATCTTCAGAGGCAGTGCTATCTCCATGAAAACTGTGCCAGTGTGACTCCTGACTGATCACCTCAACATCTGGGGAACTGAGCCATCATGGAACATTCCAGAGAAAAACCAGATGGCTCTGAGATAAGCCACACCATTAAGAGAGGACCTCCATCCTTGAGAAATGGAATCAGTTTTACTATTTCTTTGAACAAACGCAAAAGCACTAATTTGAGCAAAGTGCGCATGACAAATAAAAACTCATGATGGGGGCTGGGTGTAGTCGCTCACACCTGTAATCCCGGCACTTTGGGAGGCCGAGGCAGGTGGATCACTTGAGGTCAGGAGTTTGAGACCAGCCTGGCCAACACAGCAAAACCCTGTCTCTACTAAAAATACAAATATTAGCCAGGCCTGCTGGCACATGCCTGTAATTCCAGCTACTCAGGAGGCTGAGGCAGGAGAATCGCTTGAACCCGTGAGGCAGAGGTTGCAGAGAGCCGAGATGGCACCACTGCACTCCAGCCTAGGAGACAGAGTGAGACTCCGTCTAAAAATAAACAAAAAAAAAAATGCCAAAAACCTCAGGATGAGGAAGCCATAACTCTTTAATCAATACTTTGGTAAGTGTTAAAAGGCTGACCTCTGCATAATGCAAACTGCTCTCACTCAAAGCAGAGAGGCCTGCATAAATTGTTCAGCATTTCTGCAATCACATTTGTGACCCACGTCTTCACCCTTCCACCAACAACCTTGGCAGTGGGTTTTAGGGCCAGTGTCTTCAGGAAACATGTCAGCCAATGCTGGAAATATCTTCTTAAATCTTGAATAGGTCCATTTTGAAAGTACAGCATGTTAGACTTGGAACCTGAGAGTAAGTTCACAGGTCACCTCTGCCACTTACCAGCTCTGACCTGGAGAAAGTCAGTTAACCTCTGAGCCTCAGGTACTGATTCATTTACTCTGTGAAATGGAGCAATGGAACTGAGAAGCTACACAAAATGATTGTTTCAGTAGATCCTAAAATTACCAGCTGCAATTCTATAATTGCAGGTTAGTATACAATCAAAAGATACAGGATTATCTGTTGCGCTGTTCAGTTCTGTGGTAATGATGTTCTTCACAAATGCTATTGTATCATTCACCACACCATGGACCTAAAATACAATCAAAATAAGGTATATGACCCATTTGATTACCTGAAGAGTACCAATATTCTTAAAAGAATATAGAAGATCTTATCTTAAAGTTATAAAGAATACAGAAGATCTTATTTTAAAGTTATAACCATGGAAATTATTTGAACTGAAGATAATTTTGTTATAATTCTTTTGGGTTTTCACTGAAACAAATTAGAATAAATTCATTATCATATATATTCACATTAGATCAATCTATACAAAGCAGCATGGTGTGGGAGGAAGAATGCCAACTCTAGACACAGGCAGATTCACTCCCAGGTTAGTGGTAGGACTTGGGCAAGTTCCTTAGGTTTATAGTTAAAAGATAGGAAGACTTAGAAAAGAGACAATAGCACTTATGGCTTTTGAGAAGTACATAAAATAATGCAAACAAATTCTTAGATGTGACTCGCAGAGATTACTCAAATGGTAGCTATTATCCAAGGCGGTAAAGTTCATTAAGCACGAAGGCATCACATTAGAAGATGCTCACACATAAGGCAGCTACGCTGTACAAACCCCAGAAATAGCCACAATGCTATAAAGCAGCACCTGGCTCTGGTTTCTCCCAGAAGTCAAGGAAGTAATTATCTGTCTGTGTGATCGTGGGCAAGATACTTAATTCTGTGCCTCAGTTTCCCCATTGCAAAATGGGAGAAAGAGTATCTTATAGTTGGGAAGATTAAATGAATTAATAAATGAAAGACAGTGATAATGGTGCCTGTCACATAGAATCTGCTATCGTTATTAAAATATCAGGGAAGTCTTACATCAGGACTTAATCTTCCTGTAGATCTAATTTGGCAATTCTTACCCATAGGTGTTTTGATCTATTGCTCAATAAGCTAGCTAGAAAAGATAACTTGCTGACTAAAGGGAAATGAGGGTATTTATTCTAGGGAGGACTCTCTATTACACCATAGACTGAAATTTGGCACAGACCAAAATATGGTTTATTGAGATGACTGGCTCTCTAACTGTCATATGTAAATTACACATCTGTAATACAGATGCCTAATGCCAACCCAGGTCATCTGCATTTTTAATTTAAAGTTAAGCATCACAAATTCATTTAAAATAATTTATATTGCCCATAAAATGCAAGTAAGGTATAACCATTACTATGCACCTGAGTTTCAAAATGATATAATTAAGACTTTCCTGTAAACACCTCTGACTATCTGGTTAAAGTTTCATCTTAACAGGGAGAAACAGTACAACTCTACTAACTGGTTATGATTTTATTACTAAGAATTTTTAAAAGTTAGGGCACTGAATCAACATAAGAGGTTGTCTGGGCCGGGGACGGTCCTCACGCCTGTAATCCCAGCACTTTGGGAGGCTGAGGCAGGTGGATCATTTGAGGTCAGGGGTTCGAGACCAGCTTGGCCAACATGGTGAGACCCCATCTCTACTAAAAATACAAAAATTAGGCATGGTGGCACATGCCTGTAATCCCATCTACTCGGGAGGTTGAGGCAGGAGAATCACTTGAACCTGGGAGGTGAAGATTGTAGTGAACAGAGATCATGCCACTGTACTCCAGCCAGGGTGACAGAGTGAGACTCTGTCTCCAAATCAAAGAGGTTATTTGTTGGTTGTCTGTCTCAAAAAAAAAAAAAAAAAAAAAAAGAGGTTGTCCTCTGAAAGTAGGTTGAACAATCAAAAGAAAACAAATAGTTCACCATATAGAATAGAAACTTTACAACAATTGCACACATAAAGGTAAAATATACATAACTTTTCATAGAGACAGTAAGAAATTTGGACTATAGTTGACCATTACATGTTTTTCTAACACTTTCCTATTTTAAAATTTTTCATCCTGAACCTGGGGAAAGAAAAACTTTATTGGCATTTTTTATTGACCTTTTTTTTTTTCTTTATTTTACCTGTGGACAGCAGCGCAAGGTGTATGCATCCTGGACGCGATCACAGAACCTGTGACTCTCTGTGGAAGAGGTGGAGGGGATGAGACAGGGATCATGTTACCAATTCTTTTCACAAAACACGTAACCAAATAGGTCACTCCCATAAACATGGTCAGACCTGCTATTTCTGATGGGTGGTGATCTGAGTCCAAGAGTGACCGAAACCGAAAAGCAACTTCAATTTGCCCACGGTGAGGTCGAAGAGCATGAATGTCTAGAATTGATGAAGGAGAAAAAGTCTGAATAATTCCATTTATTTATTTTTTTTAAAGATGGGGGTCTCACTACGTTCCCCAGGCTGGTTTCAAACTCCTGGGCTCTAGCGATCCTCCTACCTTGGCCTCCCAAAGTGCTGGGATTACAGGCATGAGCCACCATGCCAGGTCGAGTAATTCTGATATTAGAACAAATGACCATCAATGGTTCAGGACCATCTACGGTGCTGACACAGCCCTCAAAAGTCCCAGGGGTCCTTAGCCACCACTCAGAATTAGAAACTTAACTCCGAAAGCACGATTTTCCTTATTGACTTGACTCCTTCTACTTTAAATATCTGAGAGCAAACTATATGTTGAGACCACTGGGAATTCCACTCAAGACACTGGGCCTACCTTAAAGGAACAGGGCGAATAACAGGAGGGAGCCCTACAGTGGCCTAATTTAACTCATTCACTTTTAGACAATGTTCTGCCCTTTTTCATATTATAGTTGGGAGGTCGTCAAAATTCACTACTTTCTAAATAAGCTACCAATTCGACAGTTTTTCTTCCCCAATTTTCTAGTCGGGACCAACTCTAATCCTACTCCTTTTTACAGGACTCCTAAGTCCTGTAAAAAGATTCCTAAGACAGCACAGAGCTTGACACACCCAGATCCCTGGGTGCTCTCAGGCAAGTCACTCAACTTCCGGGCTGTGTGTATCTGTAAATTGCAGTTCTTTCAAAGATCAGTTGTGCCATAGCCTAGATGAAGAGGCAGCACACTGGGTACGCCACAGGCACTTGGGTTTTCTCCTTCCCTACTACCTGCCCCCACCACTTCTGTGTCTAAAGATCTCAGCCACCCCGCCCCACCACCTCTGGTTGAATGAATAACAACCAAAAGGAAGAACCCTGCTGACCAGTGTCAAAGGCTTTGGTGGTGCCCTTCAGCACCTCAAGGGTCAGGGCTGCCACAATGTCAGCCTGCCGTGCAATAGCACTGGCTCGCTCTACAGCTTCACAGCCCAGGGATGTGATCATCTGCGTCCCATTGATGAGTGCCAGGCCCTGTCGGGGGAGAGAGCAAAGTTTCCTACTGTGATTATTGTAACGAACCTACATACCCGTGGATTTTGTATCTTTTGCTTTCATAAGAGAAAAATTAGCCAGTCATAAACATAAAAAATTATGTTTATGTTTTCTAAAGTGCGGGACAGTAATGTTTATTTAAGCCCTTGAAGAATAAGTGCTATCATATGTGAACTCGTAAGCACAAATCTGGCAAATGAAACACTCATTAAGTATCCACATTCCCAAAGCAGCAATGCAGCTCTGGAGTGTAGACTGCACATAAAATCTTTAGTGCATTAGGTTGCATTTCTTCCTTAAATTCTTACTGTTATAGATGAGACATCCAAAAAAACCCAATTCTGGTCCAAGACTCTTAGCTTAGAGCATTCTAAGGAATTTGGGCTGAGAACATCTATCTCTCAGAGATCCTAACAGAACTCGATTTGAAGTTTTAAGTTCCTAAGAGACCCCCTATGCATTGTGGCATGAAGAATCTTTTTTTCTTTTTTGAGACAGGGTCTTACTGTGTTGCTCAGGCTGGTGTGCAGTGGTGCGATCATGGCTCCCTGCAGCCTTGACCTCCAGGGCTCAAGTGATCCTCCCACCTTAGCCTCCAGGGTAGCTGGGATTACAAGTGTGCGCCACCATGCCTGGCTAATTTTTGTCTTTTTTGGCGGGGCGGGGGGGGCGGGTAGAGATGGGTTTCACCATGTTGCCCAGGCTGGTCTCAAACTCCTGAGCTCAGGCAATCCACCTGTCTCGGCTTCCCAAAGTGCTAGGATTACAGGCATCCGCCACCATGCCTGGCATAAAGAATCTTTTAAATTCTTACGGAGTTGCCCCTTCTTCAGGGATGAACTTTAAGCAAACATGCAAGTTGCATTTAAGGAATGATTGAGGCTGAGATTAAAACTGAAAATACTGCATAAATAAAAACTCATGCACTATGAACATATTTTTCTTGAGTTTCCTTACCTCTTTTGGTTTTAAAATAACTGGTTTCAATCCATGGGCTTCTAGCACCTATAGAATGATTAAAAATATGAAAATGGGTATCAAATGAAATACTAGCCTATTTCCAATATCATATGGAATCCAATAATAGCTCTTTATGCCCAAAAGTCCATCTTATAAGAAATGAGACCTACAGGAACTGGCTGTATTCATGTTCTCTGGTCTATTCTCTAGTTCTGTTCTTTAGTCATGAAAGCAGACTTATCTTTCAATTAATTTTTGTACTGAAATCAGGGGCTCCATTGTCTATAGAATCAACCCTAAATTTTGGTTTCTACGTCCTTCGTGTTCAGTTTCTACCTTAGCAGTTCACCTTTTTTACCACTGCCTCCTGACATGCAGGCATCTGACACACATACATGCATCTGTGTTGTGCTCAGGCTGGACTCCTCCCAGTTCACGCTCCCTTGCCTCCAGAGCTTGACCTAAAAAGTCCTCTAACCTCATTAGTGCTTCATTTAAATACTGGCAAAACCTCAGAGCAGGGTTTTTGTGGCACATGTGTGAGCACCAATGAAGAGGGGATTATAAAATTCCCTCTACTAGATGGAGACAGAATCCCGAGGGGGCGATGGGCAGAACAATCTTCCCTTGAAAGAAAAGAAGTAGAGAGTCATTAAGTTAAGGTCTCTCTAGGAAAGAAGGAAGGGGAAGTTAAGGTAAGAGAAGGACAGAGCTGGTCCCATTTACTACGTCAATTTCACAGATTCAAGTATCAGCTAGAGGCTGGATTCTGTTCTGGGTGTTGGGGTCGGTCTAGGAGTAGGCAAAATGAAGACAGGCAAGCTCAGGGCAATCTGAGTAATAGTACATTCAGTGCTTGAGGATGTGGGAAGTGGGTGGGGTGCAGTGGAAAACAATCATTTGCTAGGAGAGCATACAGGAGGGTCACAAGGAACTCGAGAGGTAGGAAGTGGAGCAGCGGAGACGGAAGCTTCTTAGAGGGCTTTTCTATTTTTCTTTTTATTTTTTAGACACCTGTCTCTGTAACCCAGGCTAGAGCGAGCACAGTGGTGCAATCCTAGCTCACTGCAGCCTTGAACTCCTGGGCTCAAGTGATCCTCAGCCTCCTGAGTAGCTGGGACTACAGGCACATGCTACTGTGCCAGGATAATTTTTTAATTATTTTATGTAGAGGCGGAGCCTCGCTTTCTTGCCCAGGCTGGTCTTGAACTTCTGGCTTCAAAAGATCCCTAGAAGATGTTTCAGAAGCAGAAATAGGAGAGAGAAGAACGTATTTGTACCAGACCCTCTGCCCAGAACATTCCTTCTCCAAGCAACCTCCAGTTTCTGCAATGCAGAACCACACATAGAAGGGATTAGGGGCTAATGTGACAAACAAGACCCTTGAAAGCCACTTTAAGTTTAGCCTTTATCCTGAGGACAATGGGAAGCATTACAAGTTTTCACCAGAACATGCTTGAATTTGCTGTTTAGAAAGGTCAGGGTGATTGCTGTATGAGGGTGGTCGGAGGAAAACGCTGTCCATAGTGAAATAATCAAAGACAAGCCTGCACGGAAGACAGATGATCTAGAAGCTGCATCCCCAAAAGGATTATCTATTTCCTTAGCTGTTTCCTCTTCTGGGGCCCTCTACCCCTTTCACTTACTATCAGGGAAGCTCCCAGCAGTTCATCAGGGATGATACATTAAATGATGCTTTATGCTGCTGTAATGAAATTCAGACACAGATGAAGAAAACACCAAAGCTTTATCAAAAACAGGCTTTTTTGATTAGCCACTAGGGTAAGAGCTTAGGGAAAAATGAAACCTGCTTTCCAGAAGCCATATAGTAAGTGCTATGAGCCATACCACTGCACCTGTGAGACCAGCTCGTAATTAAAATTGTGAGAGTGTGTGACCTCCCTGCTAGGCACTGGAAATGTTGTAGGTGCAGGATAAATAGTTGGGATTAACAGTAGCAGTTATGCCTTTTCACCAAGGTGATGACCAAACCCAGAAGGCTGACAGCCGAGTATAGAAGCTAACAACAGTCTTGCCTAGTCTGACTTCTAAGCTTTCGCTGTCTCATCTGTAAAGTAAGGATAGTAGGAGCTCCCTCACTGGGCTGTTGTAAGGACTAGGTGATACGAAGCATGCAAGCACAGTTGGTGTCCAACCTGGGGCAATTGCTGCAGATAGAAGCTGCTACGAGTCTTACGTATTTAGCATCAGCCCAGCCACTCTTCGGAGACCACATCTTCCCTTCTCCAACTAGCCCAAGAGCAAGATGAGAGAGTGGGGCAAGGTCTCCACTGGCACCAACGGTTCCTTTCTCTGGGACATAGGGCAGGCAGGAGGCTGGGAGAGAAGTAGGCAGCAATTAGTTCAAGAGTACTGCATTCTGACTCTCCTTGCTTTGCCAGTGAGTGCCCCCACTGCCCCCGCAAACACCCTGCCTCCAATATCTATCACTTTATGGCATAGATACCTGGGGAAAGACAATTCTTCAAACCCAGCTAATATGTAAGGGACCTGGATGAATTGTTATAGAAAGAAAAAGAGGAGTGGGGGTGGAGAGGAAGAAGAGAGAAAGGTAAAGAGGAGACAGGGAGGAAAGGAGGGCTGGAGGGAAAGTCAGCAAGAAGGAAAGAAGGGCCAGGCGCAGTGGCTCAAGCCTGTAATCCCAGCACTTTGGGAGGCCGAGGCGGGCATATCACTTGAGCCCAGGAGTTCAAGACCAGCCTGGGCAACACGGTGAAACCCTGTCTCTGCAAAACATACAAAAATTAGCCAAGTATGGTGGTGCATGCCTGTAGTCCCAACTACTGGGAAGGCTGAGATGGGAGAATCACTTGAACCCGTGAGGTGGAGGTTGCAGTGAGCCGAGATTGTGCCACTGCACTCCAGCCTGGGTGACAAAGCAGGATCCTGTCTCCTAAATAAATAAGAAGAAGGAAGGAGGACACTTCTGGATGCAAAGCCCTCAAAATCTGTGTGCTCTAATTCAACCTAGTACTTCCACTTGTAGAAATTTTAGCAATATATCTTGAAGAAGTGATCAGGAACTAGCTGTTTTTTTTTGTTTTTGTTTTTGTTTTACAGTTCATTGTTTATTATAGGAAAAATAGTTAGAAATTATCTAAATATGAAATTAAAGGACATTCATTTGACCAAGTTTAGCCATTCACAGCTATTGGAAAATGTTTGGAAACATTGGAAAAGTAATATAAAATGTTCCAGAAGGAGGTGGTGCACCAAAGCATTAACAAGGTTTCCCAGGGGAAGAGAAGTCATAGGCAACTGAGTCTTTTCATTTTGCCAGTCACCCAGTCTACACTCCACTGCCCCTTATCAATGAACACGTGCCATTTTCTAAGAAATTCCCAAAAAGTTACCAAAAAAGAGGCTTCATTTTTCTGAAATAAAATCAGATTCCTGACAGCAGCATTTTTTCCAACTGTTAAATAATGTCAGTCGGGTATGGCAGTGCCATCCACAGACCAACTTCTGGCTGATAGTTCACGCTGGGGAATTCTCAGAGGTGCCTTAGACTCCCCCATAAAGTACAGGTGGGTTTAAGGTTGGAGTGCTACTATCTGGGATTTTAGGGCTATATAGTATGGCAGACCAAGGTAGGAGTAAAAATAGGTGTTGGAATCACTACTAGTCTGTTCAGCACAGCCCTGTATATACAATAGACTGCTCATTGAAATTGCTCTCCACTCATTGGCAGATCCTATTCACGTGCCACTTGCGTCCATAACATGGAAACTCAAGAATGTGTTTTGCTGTTTGTGACTGCCTCAGCACTGCTTCTCCTCCCTCTCCTTCCCCTCAAAGAGTTCTGAGTCTCCACTGACCTAGAAGGCTTGTCCTTACCTGTGAGAAGGGACAATACCTCCAATCACTGCAAATCTGGTTTCCACATTAGAATTTTCCTATCCAAGAAGAAAGCTCCAGAGTTGAGTTCCCTCATATCCTGCCACTACATGGCTTCTTGATTACAAGGGAGTCATTAACCTCTTTGCATTTCTGTTCTACCCTTGCAAGAAGTTGGATTTTAGTGTGCAAGTCTGGCCATCACCTGGGGGACATTACGATTTCAGATTCCCAGGCACCAACCAGAACTACTGAATTGGCCTTTGGGATGGACATTGATATCATGCAATTTTTCTAACCATATTCATGTACCACTTAATCCAAGTTTCTTCTAGGCAGGCTTGAATGTAAGGGCAGACTTAAGAGTCCTGTTCTAGTCTTGAAGATGACAAATGCTAGGGAAAGGGTCTTGCAGAATAAGTTAAAGTTCATAGGAGTAAGCATCTCTGATCGACTTTCTCCTCTTCCCCCATCTAACTATCCTACTTTTTGCCAACGGCATTTCCCACTCATTTCAATTATTTCATGTCTTCTCAGGTGATTCCTCAGCATCTGGCCAATCAATTCTACCCTGTGGTACATGTCCAGCCTCCACAGAGGTTCCGTCTAGGGAGCCATTGCATTACCATTAAACATTTCTATGACTTGTTTGAGGGTCTCCAGGGAAATGCCACTGTATCCTTTGGCTAAGACATTGATCCTTAAAGCCAAGAGCATCCGACACCTCTCAGGACTTAGTGGTTTCCCAACACCTGCAAAACAGAATTGATGTTTTCTCCAAGAAAAGCAAACTCCTTTTTGTCTCCTGACAATTGCCCTCCCTCCCTCCAATCTTTCCCATATGTAGCCCAGCCTGCTATTACCTTCTCCTCTCGGCTCAGGTAGTTGGACTACTCTCCCTCCTGCCTGTCTGACTTGTCTGAGCCCCATCTTCCTGACAAAGGTTAAGACCCCAGTTTTGCCTTCTCAATTCCCCTTTTTGGGAAGCTTCAGTGAACCCCTGACCTCCCACTCACCTTTAGAATAGCATCCAGAGTCCTTAGCACAACTTCTTTACCATCTGATGGGTGCTGATTGGTGACAGTCTTTCCCATCTCACTATGCCCATCCTAACTCATTCTTTGAGTTCCAGGCTTTATTTCCTTCCCTGAATGCAACAGTGTCTCCATGGCATGGGACATGTGTTCTCATACCAACCCCATCCCTCCACCTGGCCCATTTCTTTTTCTGAGGCTCAGCTGATTCTTTCTGCATCCCTTCTCACCTCGGCACCTAGTTCTTGAAATGCTGTTTTGAGAAACTAGCTTTTTGTGACTATAACTGGATAACTCACACTGTGCTGTGCTTTATTCATCTAATCACACAAGATCCAGGAGGCACCCAACGTTTTGACTTACCTGAAGAATGTGAGCGTACTAAGTTGACCTGAAGCTCCCTGCAACAGAAAGGTAAAAACCCTCTTAGATACATTGCAGTGAGAAAATGTTCCCTCAGCTGGGAAAATGAAGGGAATCATGGTCAAATCCTTGGAGGGACAGAAGGAAGGCAATGGGAGAAACCAGCCAGCCTGGGTTTTCAATACCAACTCACATGCAAGGTAACCCAAGCCTCATCCTCTGATCTGTAAATTGGGGCAAATGTGAATTATTTCCCTTGTTGAAAAATATTTAAAAGATGAGGGTAGGTGGAACGTGAACATATGTGTGTTTTAAACTTACTGTAGCTTATTGATAGGAATTACAGTTCTGGCAAATTTCCCAAAACCTGTAGTAATACCGTAAACAACTAGAATAAAAAGAGACATTATGCAATTAAATGCAGGGATTTTTGTTTGTTTATAAAAATATTTATAACATAAAGATAAAAAGATACCTGTTTTCTCTTTTATGATGCTATCTATGACCTCCCTGGATTTCTGCACCCTCTTCTCAGCTGTTGGGGTGAGCTAGGAAAATGTTGATCAGAACTGAGCACGTTAAAGACTTCCACGGGCAACAAAAATGGCCAGAGGACATCTTTCCCCTCCCTCCCCATACCTTTATTTTGTAGCGTCCCTTTCCCAAGTTGACCAGATCCTCCGTGGTCAGACGGTCTCCATCTAACTCGATGTACTACACAAAAGAAGGGGATCTCAGTGAGTCTGAACAGCTTGATTATTCTAACCAGAGTAGGGACACCTCCAACAGAACCAAACTGACATTTCAGAGATCTGATCATTGCGTGAAACATGAATATGCTAAATAAAAATGCATCTTGCATAAGAGGAGGCTTATTGGTGCAAAAGCATAATGCCTTTCCAAGCCCCCTTTCCCCACTACAGAGCTGGATAAAGCCCTGTGGTTGGTTGGTTTGTTTGTTTTGAGGCAGAGTCTCCAGCCCAGGCTGGAGTGCAGTGGTACAAACATGGCTCACTGCAACCTCTGCCTCCTGGGTTCAAGCAATTCTCGTGCCTCAGGCTCCTGAGTAGCTGGTATTACAGGTGCACGCCACCATACCTGGCTAATTTTTGTACTTTTAGTAGAGATGGGGTTTCACCATGTTGGCCAGGCTGGTTTCAAACTGATGACCTCAAGTGAACTGCCCACCTCGGCCACCCAAAGTGCTGGGACTACAGACATGAGTCACTGCTCCCGGCCAGCCCTGTTCTAATTGACAGTGTTTTCTCAGAAGTTTTCCTGGCTTTCCTCCCTCTTAAATAAGGGGCCTTAATTTTCTGAAGAAAAAGAAAGTGGTTTGAAGCTTACCTTTTCAGGCTCCCGGTACTTGCTGTATCTGTATCCAGGTAAAGGAACATATAGGGTGGTGTGGAAAAACCCCCAGCCCCACCATCTGCAGGAGCCACCCCCAGAGCAGACCAAAGAGCCTGTGGGAAAGGATACAGATAAACTCCTTCTGGTTGAGATGGAATGAAGTCAGGAGACATGGCATCACCCTCTATAACTAAAACAATGCACGGGAGACTCGTTACAGATCACATTGTACAGCCATGTTCCCCCTGTTAAACCAAGGAACGGCCCATCATTGGCCCATGAATTCTATAGAAATGGCTGCTTTAAAACTGCTTCAGATGGTTTCATGTGGTCTTAGCATCTTTATGTAGGAGGAGAGCAAAAAGCAGAAAGGTAGGTGTCAGGGCAGAGACCAGGGGTTTAGATGAAAGTTCAAGACAGAATTCCACTTCCATCCCCATTCCCAGCTTTATTTTCTTCAAAATCTGAACTGATGCTATGCTGCCGGCCTCCAGTCTGGGGGTGGGGGTGGATTCTTTCGAAAGGCAAAATAACCTCAAAATGATTCAGTCACTGCAAAGGGATTCAGACCTGCAGCCTTGAGTACCAGTCTAGTCTTTGTTACTTACTAGCTGCTGGAGTCTGGGTAAGTTACCTCCTCTCTGATTTCTCCTCCATCAGAGGTGGAGGAGAATCCTACCCATCTCACAGGGTTGTGTGAGGACTTAAGATCCCCAGAGGCGTGGCATGTGCCTGCACAGGGCCAGCCTCGGCAAGCCTGACCTCTGCTCATCATTTTCCCTGAGGTGGGGGTTCAATGCTGCAAAGACTAAGCCAGGCCAAACCGCACCCGTTCGCGGCCCTCTCCTGCAGCCACTCACCCACTTCCACGAACTCGTTGTTCTCTAGGGCCACCTCGAGCCGGTCCTCGTTGTCCAGCAGGCCCAGGCCCTTGCACCGGCGCACAAGGAAGTGCGCGTCATCCACGGAGGTGAAGCCACCATTGTCGGGCTTATTCTTGATATAGCGCCTCACGGCCTCCCGGCCCAGCCAGCCCACAGTGAGCTGCGCGTCCTGGCAGGGCACTGCCAGCCATTCCCCACGTACGTGCACCGTGTATCTGGGCATGGCTCCGCTGCAGCCTGAGGTCCTCAGCTGGTCACAGGAGGGGAGAGCTTTATGCAGGAGTGGCTACCGGGGTGTGGTCAGCTGGAAGGATGAGAATAGACTTTCAAACCACTCCCCCTCCTTCACCTTTACTCATTCATGCATTGGACAAATATTTATTGAGGTACCTGCTGTCCCTTTGGTTTTTGTAGCCGAGCAGGGGCAGGAGCAGGGGATGCAGACGGGTGAGCCTCCTGTCCACTTTCCATCCAGACCTGCTGCCAGAAAGGCCTGGGGTCTCCCACCCTGGGAGGTGCTGTTCTTGTCCCTGATGGCACCTACCTGCTGCTGGCCCCCTTTCTTCAGGGTCCCCAATTTCTCTCTCTTCCCTCGTTTCTGTCTGTGTTCTCTGCCATTAAGGGCAGCTTATAAACACCATGTTCCTGTCTTTATCTGAGATTACTCAACTGTAAAACGTGTTCTGTGGGCCAACTGTGACACTGGGAGTGTGGCAATCGTCACTCATTTGTTTATTCCACAAACATGTATTGAGCAACTACTTCCTGTCACCAGTAAGGTTTTCTGAAGCTTTCTTTCCACCAGGGAAGACTGCAAAGGCCAGAGATCATTTTCACAACTAAAGGTCGTCATCTGGGCAAATGAACCACTCTGACTTGGAGATTAGGGGCTCAGACAGCCGTGGATGAGAGTCCAGCTCTACTACTTATTAGCCTTGATTAGGTGAGTATTACCCTGTATTTCCTTATCAGAAGGCCTAGGGGCTAACTGCCTCCTTCCAGTATGTGCAGGATTTACCTGTGATCAAATCCTGGCTCTGCCATTTGCTAAGTGTATGACTTGTGGGCAAGTGATTTGACTTCTCTGGGCCTCAGTTGCCTCATCTGTAAAATGAAGATAATGGTAATGATGATAGTATATATGTCAAAGGGCTATTGGGAGGATGAAGTCAGTTCATATATGTAAAGCCCTCAACACAACACCTGGCATAGTGGAAATATTATAGAAGTGTCTGTGATTACTAGTATCTGGACACCAATACTCCATGTAACTATAATGCTTTATAAATGTTCTGTATGAATCATAAAGCTATAAAGTTCCATAAATGCTCTTTCATCTTGGCACATGGATATCCCTCACCCAATTAAGCTTCTTCACCACAGATAACTGCTCCCTGCACCCGCCTTATTACCATTGGTATTAAGGAACTCTGGATAGCATGATTACGGCATCAAAGATATGCAGATGCTATTTTGACTAAGCAGCACTTTCATCGTAAGCCAATTTTTAGAGATTTGATTATTGCACTAGAAAAATCCTGAAAAGTCTGTTTCCACTAAATCAGACTTCTGTTGGGAAGAGAGACATGGTTGCTCAAGAAAAACACCTATACTCATACCCAGAGTCCCTCTCATCTGCTGACAGCTTCCCAGGAAGCGTACAAATAGCTACCCTTCCTTGAGCCTTATTGAAACTTGCTCTTCAGATACCCACACCATGACTGCACCCTGGAATTTGTCATGACCTGAATTTGACACACTTAAGAAATCACCCTGGAATCTGTCACGACCTGAATTTGACACACTTAAGAAATCTGAAATTCCAATATTCCACCTTCTGACCACAACCTTCCAGCTGCCCTTTTACTCTAGTCACTGCCAGCCTTGGACCTGACCTCCAGTCAGTCTCTTCATCCCTCCACTTCCCACCAGCATCCTCACTTACTATCCTAGGAAGCTGGTCCCTAGTCGCTCACTGGACCACTCTTTCTTAAGCACTCTGAGATTCCTTTGCATCCCTAAACTTATGTCTACACTTGGAATAACACCCATCCCCTTAGTCATCACAAAAAACAGCCATCTCTTGGAAGGATTGCTTAAGCCTAGGCAGTCAATGCTGCAATGAGTTATGATTATACCACTGTACTCCAGCCTGGGTGAGAGCAAGACCCTGTTTAAAATTAAAAGAAACTGTCATATCTGTTCACCCAGGCAGAAGACACTGATAGAGAAAGTCCTGTGATCACATAGTTTGATGGTATTGCCCTTTTATTCCATCCAGCCCACAGTGACTTTCCAAAACTTTGACCCCTCTGCCAGGACCTTCTCGACATCCACCTCTAATTCTCAGAAGGAGACCTTACTTCCTACATCTGTGAGAAAACTGAGGACTGCACATGTGAACCACCTTAACCTTCTGCCCCACCCCCCCCCATTCATTCCTTGACTCATTTAACAAATATTTTTTCAACACCTGTTATGTAACAAGCTCTATGCGAGGTGCTGGGGATGAAATAAATAACAAACACGCTCTACATTCATGAGGCTTACTGTCTGGTGATGGATAAAGCTGTATAAAGATGACTAATAAGAGGTCTAACTATCTTCATGCTGCAAAACAACCCAAACTACTGCATGCTCCAGTTGACTGTCACTGCCGAGACCAGCTTCTGAGTAATTTCAGCCCAGGCATCAGACTAGTGAGGGAAGGAGCTTCCAGGTGATACCACCTCCCAGCCATGTAAGTCACCCCCAGCAGTTTGAGGATTCTAAACTCAGGCCCTACGCATTGTGGAGCAGAGTCTTCCTTGTTATTCTTTCTCCAGAAACGCACTTTCCAACTTCCTTTGCCTGTCTAGATCTTTCTTACTCCTTAAGCCTGTTTAGGCCTTTTCTTCTCCAGGAAGCATTCCCTAAATTCTTCAGTTGGGTTAAGTGGCCCTTCTCTGGGATGCCTTAGCATAGCTCTTCTTTAGTATTATCTAGGAAATTACTTGTCTGTGTTCATCCATAATTATGTATATATCCGATCTGGCACAAAGACATTTAGCATATGCTTACTAGCTGAACTGAAGAAATGTGAACTGCACCGAGCTGGCCCCTAGGTAAACCAGCAAGCAGGATTAAGTTTGTCTTTAGCGCCCTCTACCTTCTTCACAGCACCCTTCCATGCCACCCTTCAAGCATCCCTTGTCACAATTCACTTTCAGTATCACTAAGTGATAACTAAAAACGACATTAACTTACAGCTTGTCTTGTAAGCTCATAGGGCAGAAGCCTTAAAGAGCAGTATTTGGGTAAATGGATTTGCTAAAGTCTAATCTTAGAACATGATCTTATGCCAGTGATTTGAGCTGAACTCCCTTCTCTGTATTCTTGGCAAGGAAGGCAAGGGAGAGCAGAGCCTGGAGAAAGAATCACACTGCAGCATAGATAAGTGACCAAGAGGACAGAACGAGGCGGGTGGATTGCTTGAGCCCAGGAGTTCGAGACCAGCCTGGGCAACATGGCCAAACTCTTTCTCTACAAAACAAAAATTAGCCAGACATGGTGGTGCATGCCTGTAGTCTCAGCTACTCCAGAGGCTGAGGTGGGAGGATGGCTTGAACCCAGAGGCTGATGCTGCAGTGAGCTATGGTCATGCCACTGCACTCCAGCCTGGGCGACAGAGTGAGACCCTGTCTCAAAACAAAACAAAACAAAAACTGCTAGGGAGAGTGAGAGCCAGGGAAAAGTCAGGATTCCGGGAATAGGCAGGAATATGTCTCTTCCATACCTGTCCCACCTTGGGTGTTCACTCCTATTGTAACTTTAGTCACTGCATTAGCACTTTGAGGGGTTATTTGGTCAGGACACCGCTCCCCACCCCCACCCCATGCCAACAATTATACTCTAAGACACCATTCCTCTTACACAATTTATTTGACCAGAGGTGGACCCAACCTGGGTTAGAGTCTCACCTCTGGGAATTTGGAATTGTGATAGCCTCCCCATGTGGTCAGAGCTATTTGTAACAGTAAAGCTGGAGAGTGGCCGGCCTGTACAACGTGGACTAGAGAGGCAGAGGTGAGGGACAGGAGCACTGACGGTGCTGCAGTCCTGGGCATCAGACCCCTTCTGTCCGTCCCAGGTTCTGATAATCTCCCCATACCTAGCATCCTTAAAATAATCTTCCTTTTCCCTTTTTGACTTCTGGTCACTTGGATTGCTGTTACTTGCAATCAAAGAATTCTAACACAGCTATGGTTCTAATTAATTCTAACTAATAGAGCTAATACACTAATAATTCTACCTAGTACAGCTATGTGTGCTGAGATGCCCTGGGGCACTACGTTGCATTGGCAGGGGTGCTTTGTTATGTTTGTCTTTTATTTGGTTCAAGTTATTTTGTTGTCTTTGAACAGACTGTGAGAGGGATGGGAAAGACTGGTGCTTGGGGTGGCCATCTGACCCCTGATGGACAGGAGACCAGGACAAGCCCACTGGATGAGCCGGAGGGGTCCAGGAGGAGGGAGTTGAGAGCTCCTGCTAGGGTTGACACATTCTGGTAAGGAGTTCATCTGCTGTCCACCAGGTAGGTGGTGTGCAAATACAACTAAGCATTCATGTTTAAGGTTTTTTTTTAATTTTTTATTTTTCGAGGCAGAGTCTCCATTGCCCAGGCTGGAGTGCAATGGCGCCATCTCGGCTCACTACAACCCCTGCCTCCCAGATTAAAGTGCTTATCCTCCCTCAGCCTCCTGAGTAGCTGGAATTACAGTCGTGCCTCCACGCCCAGCTAATTTTTGTATTTTTAGTAGAGACGGGGTTTCACCATGTTGGCCAGGCTGGTCTCAAACTCCTGACCTCAGGTGATTCACCCGCCTTGGCCTCCCAAAGTGCTGGGATTACAGGCATGAACCACTGCGCCCGGACTTATGTTTAAGGTTATTTAAAAAGCAAAGCAAAATCCTAACCATGTTGAATTTTTGAATCTGCAGCAGATTCAAATTAATGAATTTAAATCATATATCAGGTAAAATACTACCTTGACATATTTTGTGATCATACTGAGAGAAAATTAATATAAAGCTAATTCAAAATTTTTTAATTTGTAAATCAAAAGATTAAACCTTGTTAAAATTTACAAAGAATATGCCACTATAAGAAGAAGTAGCTCAACTTTATTTCAGTAAAATCACCAACAAAACAATAAAAAGCCAAAACTAAAAAGACAGTTTTAATTGTGAGCTGAAGTTTTATATTTCTTTACGAATTCCATTTAAAAAAGAGAAATCTCTAAAATCATCAATACGCAGGTCTTTAATCCACTTTTAAGTCTTTCCCCACCAGCATTGCAGTCACGGGATGCATGCTTGCTTTGTGCTCTTGGTAGGTTCGGACAGCTTGATCATGGGATTTGTCAAAGGCAGCAAGATCCCTGCCAAAAAAGAAAAAATTGAAAAGAAAGAAAGGCGAGAAGGAGACAGAGGAGGAGAAAGGGAGGGAGAGAAGAAAGAAAGGAGGGAAGGGGTTCAGAGGAAAGGAAAAAGGAAGGAGAAAGAGAATAAGAACACAAGTCAATACCCAAGATTAAATTAAAGGATGTCAGCAGGGGTGACAGCCAGCATCACCCAAATAAGGCACCAGTCCCAGCCAATCAGATGGGTATGGTCCTGCCACAGGGTCCCAGAGACCTCCTTCTGTACCAGAGACTGGCCTTTATACTGGCAGATCAGACATTTTGCAGCAAGTTACAGGGAAGGGCTAGAGTGGCTGGGACCCGTGGCTATTTACCAAGCAGCATGGAAGGATTTTATTATTTGAACAGAGTCCTCTCATCTCCTGGCTAAATATCAGCCCTGTATGTGAGAGTGAGCCTCAAAGCCTTTCTTTTTAAAAACTGCTTTTAAAAAAAATTTTTTAATCAAGATTTTAAGAGTATGAAAACACTAAAATTTATATAGAATTTCTGAAAACTTCAAATAATTGAGAATAAAAGTCCTGACCACAGTGAAATAATAAATACATAATAAATAATACACGAAATAAATAATAAATACACTAAATAAAAAGGACCTACCATACAAAAGGTAGGATTAGTCATTTTTAATGTAACTACTATAAACATCATAAAACAGAAATACTTATTTTTCCCACAAAAGGTATACTCTTATTTATTTTATTCATTTTTTTTTTTTGAGACAGAGTCTCGCACTGTCACCCGGGCTGGAGGAGCTGGAGAGCAATGGCGCAATCTCAGCTCACTGCAACCTCTGCCTCCCGGGTTCAAGCGATTCTCCTGCCTCAGCCTCCCAAGTAGCTAGGATTACAGGTGCCTACCACCACACCTGGCTAATTTTTTGTATTTTTAGTACAGACAGGGTTTCACTATGTTAGCCAGGCTGGTCTCAAACTCCTGACCTCGTGATCTGCCTGCCTTGGCCTCCCAAAGTGCTGGGATTACAGGCGTGAGCCACCGCGCCCGGCCCAAGTATACTCTTATTTAAAAACCTATTTAAAGTATACTTTACTCAATTCAAAGCTAGATGGGTTTTAATTAGGGAAAGCATATAAAATATACTTAAAACTTAATTTTGTGGTCACATCAAAAAAGAGATAATGACTTATTTTGCCAAGTTTTATGATATTATATGGCCATCACTTTTGATGGCCAAAACTGCAATTACTTTTGCACCCACCTAAATACTTGTGAAGTAAATGAAAAGCAAACAAAAGTAATCATGGATATTTATGGCATGATTTTTTTTTCCAGAATTTGGACAAAATTCATAAAGACCTTGACTGAGATATTCTTGTATCTTGCTGTCAAGATACAACTTATCCCCCTCTCACTAAGCATTCCTTTATTATGTCAAGCAACCTACCCTTGACCTCTATGCAACATTTGAACACAAAAGAGTTAGCTTTATCTGCTTATTTCTCCTTACATTTAACTTCAGACTCTCTTTCTTGTCTATACCTACCCACCAATTATCTTCTAGTTACCTTTAAAAATCTTTGTGTATATAAGGCTATCTTTGATTTATTTCTATTTTATCAGTATCTAACTCTATTTGATCCAAAATAGTAATCCATATATAATGCTTCTAAAAAGAGGAATGAAATTATTTCACATTTTAAATATTTATAAGTGTGAATCCCTATTCCAAAATTATACTGATAAACTTTAACAAATTAAAAAATATTGTCATATAGATTACGTTTAAATATTTGACAGTTTTCTTCCTGTTTCTTAGATGAATTCAAAGTACGGTCTGAGTGGGTTCTTACTTGAATAAGGGCCGGGTAAACTTCATTCTTCCTTGTTCAGTTGCCATCTTTAGCGCCAAAGGAATTGCGTCCTCCCACTTGGATTGAATGCAGAGCCGCAGCCATCTAAAAGGAGGATTTGGGGGGAGCATGGAGTAGAAAATGAGGAAGGGGCAGGATATGACAGGTATATCTTAATATTACTTCTGTAGTGATATGAATAACCCCACTATAGTTATACTGTACACCACTTTATGGTATGTCTTGATTCTGAGACTCTCAAATCCTTATATATACAATTTAATAATTGGTGAAGAGAAAGAAGAGGAGCTGGTTCTTGAAAAAGATCATATATTTTTAAAGGTCTGGATCAGGTAGGTGCTCACATACCTTATAAATCCAATTTCTGAAGGAATTAAACTTTGGTTTAAGCCTCACATTACAAATTTGAATTAAGAAAGATCAGGTAGGTGCTCACATACCTTATACATGCAATTTCTGAAGGAATTAAACTTTGGTTTAAGCCTCACATTACAAATTTGAATTAAGAAAGATTAACATATAATAGAATAAAATATTTCTAACTATTCCCATTTCAAAGTAGATTTAGTTGGTTGTGGAGAAAGCCTATTTACCACGGAATCCTTCATTCTAATTTTTTTTTTTTCTTTTAAGGCAAGAGAGGTTTAGAGCAAAGTCTAACAAAAAGATTAATACTACCAGATTACATATTGCAACTATTCCTTAAATACCACTATAAGTATTTATATAGAAGCAGTCAGTTTGACAAGGAATTCTCAAGACTCAAGTATGTCTCATACTCTGCATTCCCTTTCTCCATCTTTCAAAGGAGTTTAGTTTTCTGCTTTCTTCCACAGAGACAAGTTAAAATGATGTACCTGAATCGTATTTCAGAATTGTTAATGGCATTGAAGTTGTACACCTCTTGCATTCGCTTTATGTGCCCCAATGGAAGAGGTGCCTAAGAGCAAAATAAAGAAGTATACCGTATCATTTCAACAGGATTCCTTGGAAGAAAGGAGCTGGAGAGAAATGCATAGCCAGATTAAAATCCTAAATATTTTATAATATAGAAATAAGTCAGATAAAAATAAAAGAAACAAATTGCACACTAAGTAAATTCTGTGCAAACTTATTCCAGATGAGGATATTCTACTGGGAGCACAGGGATAATTTACTTTGTGAAGTATTCAGCATTAAATGAGAATTGCTCTTCTTAGACTTTTTAGCATGTATAAATATTATCTTTCAGACTTTTCCTAGAGTTTTTCTAGTTATTCTCTATAACTTATATATCTTAAATGCAATTCCATTCTCCAGATGAAATCATAGTTCCTTAATTTTTGCCTGATTCCCCCTAGCTTTATCTTTGTATATTTCCTCTGAAATCCCTGTTAAATTATCTGCATACCTACATAATAGCAGTTCTTAAATGTTTGTATTATAGATCTCTTTGGGAATCTGATGAATAATGTGGACTCTTTCCCTAGGGGGAAAATACACTTACTACATGAATACAAACTTCTGTATACAATTTCAGGGGGTTTATAAGCATCCTATCCCTACCTTAACTCACCCTAAAAGGGAGGACAAGTTTGGGTGAAGGAAAGAAAAAAGATGAGTTCAGTTTGGACAAGCAGAGAGTTTGTAGTGCCTGTGAGAGGCAGAGGTGCCTCTAGGTAGATGATAACTCTCCCCTCCAACCACGACCTCCTTACCTTACAGGACTCCACACTCACTAACCAATCTCTGCTTTCATGAACTACTAATCCTGTCGCTAATAATTTAGTCCATTAGCCCCTTATGGACACATGCAACTCCAAGTCTACCCTGGTAGACCAACTGGTTAAGGTCATCTCCAAGGCTCCCTGACTTGCCCTAAGTTTTGCTATACCCATTCCAGAATCACCCTACCATGTTCTCTCTCTCTGTGGCCCTAGACCACCCACCAGTGGTAGAGCAATTTATGAAACCATGATGACCCGATGCACTAAAAATAGATTCTCTCTTTGATGGGTCCTTTGTTGCGTCAAAATCCTATTCCTAATTTTTGCATCAATTCCACAGAAAATTCCGCTCCAAATCTTCTTTCTTCTCAAGGTCCTTAGACTGAAGACTTCCCTTTCATGGAAGTCTTTAAAATCCAGTCATTGGTTTATCTCAAAATGCAGCAACTCCTTTCGGTTTCATCTATTCTTTCAATTGCCTAGATTCGAAACCTTAAAATCTGCTTGGATTCTTTACTGTCAACCCCTATAGCCAGTCAGTCACAGAGCTCTGTGCTTTCACCCTGTGTAAACTCTTTCTCACGTCCTGTTCTCTCCTCTCCCCGCAACTTACTCCCTCAAGTCCGGTACTCCTGCCAGTCTCCCAACTAGTAACTTCACCACCATGCAACCTTCATGGCCCCAGATTAGTTTTCTACAACCCAGCATTTCATCCCGACTCTTCTGCTGGATTTTTAAAATCTTTTCCTACTGATCAGTGTAAGATCTAAAATTTCTTAGCTTAGCATTGAGAGTCATCACATCTGGTCCTACCAGCTTTTCTAGTGTTACCTTCACTGACTTCCTTACCCAGTGCTACTGTTTACTCCAGCAATGCTGCAGACGAATTCCAGCCCTTGCTGCTCCCTCCACCTTCAATTTCTACCTCCCTGCTAGCCCTGGGGGTGCAAAGCAAGTCTCCTCCAAAATTCCCTCTCTGATGCCCCCAGTTGGAAGAGTCTTTCACTAATTAAGTTTTTCCAAATGATACCTAAAGTATGCCTCCTTTTATTGCTAATGTTTTTAAAAAAATTTTTTTATGAGATGGAGTTTCACTCTGTTGCTCAGGCTGGAGTACAGGGGTGTGATCTCGGCTCACTGCAACCTCCGCCTCCCAGTCCAAGTGATTCTCCTGCCTCAGCCTCCTGAGTAGCTGGGATTACAGGCACCTGCCACCATGCCCGGCTAATTTTTATATTTTTAGTAGAGACGAGATTTCATCATGTTGGCCAGGCTGGTCTCGAACTCCTGACTTCAAGTGATCTGCTTGCCTCGGCCTCCCAAAGTGCTGGGATTACAGATGTGAGCCACCGTGCCTGGCTTATTGCTAAATTTTGCATGTGTTCCCCTTCCTACTAGATTATACGCTATTTGAAGATAAGGTATATCCTTTCTTACATATTTTCATATTTAGCACAATATAAAACACAGTAAGCATTCAATGCTTTTTTAAAGAAATGAATAAATTTTATAAATGATTTTTTCCCCATTAGTTTCCACATTAATAATCTTTTGCCAAGTTGGGTAGAACATAAATGCTGTGCCTTTCTGTCCATTTTAATTTCTAAGATTTTGAGCTAGTACTTACCCTCTGGAGCGTCTGTGCTAAAAACTCATTCAATTGATGAGAAGAGAGATCCTTCAGGTCTGTGGCATTGAATGAATTTAAATCATCTTCTTTGGCCTGAAATAAATGTTACCTAGTTATTTTTGTTCAAGTACAATTTAATAATACTTATTGGTTTATCTGACATAAAAGTAAAAATTGAGAAAAAGAACCATATGAATGAACAAGATTATTCAAAATAAATTTAAGCCTGAGTTACTTAAATAATCCTGAGATTGAGTTACTGTAATTTAAATAGCTGATATGACTCCTAGAATCTATATTACTTAAGAAAAAGTAGATTATGGGTAGGAAGAGTGGAAGAAACTGTTGACATTCATTGTACCATTCGAGGTATAGAAATTTCCAAAGCAAAGAAACATTTCAAAATGTATGCATGTCAACTAATCTATAGACCAATTCAAAAAGGTAAAGAATGAAATCGTATATTTTTAAATATTACATTAATAAATTGGTAAGGCCATAAACTAATGTTTTCCTCCATCCCCACATATTCTGTTTTCCCCACTTAATCTTAGAAACCATCTAAGAAAAATAAAAATGAGTCTGCACTTTTCAAATTTGGATTTACTCTCAAAAATCTTTGAGAAGATGATTAAGCAATATTAAATAAAGCTTATAAAAATAAGGATTTTTAAATCTTTTAGAACTACTTTTATAATCTTTTAAACTAGGGCTTTTGTTACTTTAAAAGAAATATATGCAAATACTAAAAAATCAAATAGGACAGAAGGAAAAATTCTTTTGGATCTGCTCCCTGTCTCCAAGTACTACTCCTCAGTAACTAATATTAGTAGTTTCTGTATATCCTTCCACTAAATTTAATGCATAGGTATATACCCTTTTAAATAAATATTTTGCATCTTCCCCCTCTTCAGAACTCTCTTTAATAGCAATACTTCTTTTCCCTTTACAACTTATCCTTAATATGAGAACTTACAGCTCCAGCTCATTTTCTGTGCAAAAACCTGCAAATCTAAACTATATATTAATTAAGGATATATTTATGTGGTAAAAACATAAAAAGCAAGAGAATGATAAACCAAAATTCAGGACAATGGTAACCTGGATGGGTCAGCAAGGAGGGTGGAGAGGGGCATAAGATGGGGAGGGATGCTACAGAGGTACCGCTAAGATTTTACTTCTTATGCTAGTGGTGGGTCACACAATTGTTTTATACACCATATGAATATGTTATAAATATTCTTTTGCATTTATTTACTATTTAAGACAAATCATTGAGAAATAAAATACATAAGGAAAAGAGTGCATTAGTGAATACAGTGTCCTGAATCTGTTCCTAACAATGCCTGTTTCTACTAATATTGAAGAGTTGATCATTATCCACCTTAACTGCTGGGCCCAAAGGAATATTTGAGCAGAAATTAGTAGCAGTTTTAACTAGCACCAAATAAGCTGGAATACATTTTTCAAACTAAAACAGAGAATTTTAATACACTCACACTGTTAAAAAATCCTGTTTCCCATAGAAATCTCTTATACTTTTCTTCATGACAAGTTTGTCAACTACACAAAACAGGTTTTAAAAGGCAATAGCTGAACTGATTGCACAGCTGGAGGCCATTATCCTAAGTGAATTAACACAGGAACAGAAAACCAAATACAGCATGTTCTCACAAGTGAGAGCTAAACGACTGTATATTCATGGACATAAAAGTGGCAACAATAGATACTGGGCACTACTAGGAGTGGGGCAAGGGTTGAAAAACTACTGGGTACTGTGCTCAGTACCTGGGTGATGGGATCAATCATACCCCAAACCTTAGCATCACACAATATGCACGTGTAACAAACCTGCACATGTGTCCCCTGAACTTAAAAGTTGAAATTACGTAAAAAAATGATAAATCTGTTGCAAATTAATAGGAATAAAAGTATTCCTAAATCTTCTGTTATTTTTCATTAAAGAATTATCAAGGGCTCATCCTTACTTTGGCTTCAGTAAAGGGTTCTATTTTAGTACATATATGAAGAAGCTCCTCTTTAAGAAGCTTCATAGAAAGTGAACAAAGAGCAAAAGTGCTTCGATTCTTTGCACCACTAATAGTCAGCAGCTGGTCACCCAAGATCATTTTAGATTTACCTGGTATGTGAAATTGCCATATTGGAAGCAGTATCTTATAAATGATTTAAAAGGAAAAGAAGAAAGGTAAGATGCAAATATTTTTGCATACTTTTTTTTTTTAAGAGTTAAGAAGCAAGAAAAATCAGGATTAATGCCTTCAACATCAATTTTTCCCCCCATAAAACTTAATTTTCTAGGCTGGGCACAGTGGCTCATGCCTGATGCCTGTAATTCCAGCACTTTGGGAGGCTAAGGTGGGAGGATCACTGGAGACCAGGAGTTTGAGACCAGCCTGTACAACACAGACCCTGTTTGTATAAAAAGTTTTAAATTAGCCAGGCATGGAGGCACATGCCTGTAGTCCCAGTTACTCGGGAGGCTGAGGTGGGACAACTGACTGAGCCCAGGAGGTTGAGGCTGCAATGAGCCATGATCACGCCACTGTAGTCCAGCCTGGGCAACAGAGCAAGACCCTGTCTCAAACCCTTAATTTTCTATATTGAGAGTAGATATAATATCACCTTAGATAAACCTGACTTTCAAATAGCCTTTCCAAATATAACTGTTTGTGATTTAAAGTACCCTCCCTGCTTCATGAGTAAAGACATATTTGCACAATTCAAAAAGGAATCAAAAATCACACATTATTACTTACAGTAATCCATCTTTGACTTAAGGCAATACAAGCATTTGTCAGAGTCATATCATAACTGCAAAGATAAAGATTACATTGTTTAAAAATGCACGTGCTTTTGCAGAAATGCAGTTTTAAAGCTACAGTACATACTTAAATTTCAAAGTCCCTTTTAAATAAGGAAAACAAACTCCAAAGTGAGGAAAATAGGAAATATTTTACCTAACTTACATACTACTGGCATCATCCAAGAACTCACAAACCCAAATGGATACCACATTAATGAAACACCCATCTATCTTTTAGAAAGAATGCCAAAGCACCTCAGCAAAAGACTGTCATGTGCTCGAGTAGTATATGCTAAAGTAGTTGGAATCAGTTGAGCATATTTAGTACATGGCAGGAACAGTTCTAGGCACTCAAGACAACAAGATGAACAACATCAAGTCCTTGCTGTCATGGATTTTACTTGGTTGTTCCAAACATCTAATCATCTAACAAACCTGCAAGCACCTGCTACATAATTGGCACCGTTCTAGATGCTAGACCCTTGAGAGAGCCCGATACCATTGCCTGATGATTTCATTCCTTTTTAGAAGAAAATGAAATTAACACATGGTAATTGTTAAGCAAATTATACCAATATTTGTGTGTTCTCAACTTAGAAATCATATTTTGCAACAATGGGAAAGAACATGTAGTGTGTGCAAAATTCTTGCAAAACATCCCTCTTTCTCCGTAAATCATGCTTGCTTGTACTGAAATGCTTGTATTAGGGAACAGAGAGGCACCTGCCCCTTAGAGCCTAAATGAAGTAAGTTTTGATTAGAAGTTACCACTGAATCTCCCTTAAAGAGAGTTGTGACTGGGACTCCGTTTGTTCCCTAGGGGAGACAATAAAAAGGTCAACACAGCTCCCACCTCGAAGCAGCTGCCAGTTTATTACATGAAGTGTCAGGCTGTGGACTGCAGGCATGCCATTTTGTCTTCAAGAACAGGTGGGATCAGAGGTCCTTGACTGATCAGAATACACTGCTTTCAACCAAAACATTATTAGCATTGATTTCTTAAAAAATAATAGCAAAGTAGAAAACCTTTAGCTGGTCTGTTTCTTCGTGTCCTGAAACTTCCTTATTAGTGTAATTAAAAGTACTAAGTTAAGAATTAGCCTGGGAAAGGACCCTACTTATGGCAAAGTCTTCAGAAAAGTAAAGAGCAAAACCAGATATGTGCCTTGTTCTCATGGTGCTGACAGTATAGCGAAGAGGAAATACTTTAATCATACGAATAAATAAATGTAAAGTTAGAACTGTGCAACTGCTACGAAGAGAGGATATAGCACTAAAAAGCCCTAGAATGGGAGATTTGACCTGGCCAGGGATGTCAAGAAATGCTTCCAAGAGGAAGTGGTTCTTGAGCTGAGATTGGAATTAACTGGGCAAAGGGCTCCGGGTAGAGAAAACAGCATGCTCAGGTACTATGTTGGAGGACATATGGGGAGTTCGAGAAACTCCAAAACTGCCAGTGTGACTGAAGCAAAGGGAGCTAGAGTGTTAGGAGCTTATAATCCCCACTAAAGGATTTTGTCTTAGCCCAAGAGCAAAGAGATACCAGTGGAGACTGCTAAGCAGGAGGACAACATGACACATTTGTGCTTTTAAAGGTTTACTCTAGCTTTAGTGTGGAGAGTGGCTGGGAGAAGTCAGAACAGATACAAGTGCACAGTTTGGGTGCCAGAACAGTCTTCCAGGATGTGAAGATGTGATACTGAACTTGGACAGTGGTAGTAGAAATGGAGAGATGTGGATAGACTCAGATATTTAAATACATATACAAATGATGAGAGCATTATAAAAAGAGGATCGTGGAAGCCAAGATTCTGTGCTGCAATGGATCAAAGTATTTTCTGTGGTTTGAGATTTTCTAAGATACTCTCTCTTTACAGAATTCCCGGGCACACGAATGATTCCAGGGTTCCTCCAGCACTTTGGTATTACTTGAAAGCAATCTTAAGGGATCTAGAATGAACCAACGCCCAAAAAGGATCCCTTAGCAGCGGTGATATCAAAGAAACACTTTTGAAGAACTAATTTTCCACCCAGATTTCCCCAATTTTAAAAGCAATGGGCAAAGCCTTCTCCACTCCTAAACTTCCTGGAACTGTCTTTTGGCTATATCAGGCCCCTGAAGTTAGAGTCTTTGAAAGACTCCAAACTCCAAATTCTATGCTTTTATTCTCAGGCTCCTCATAATTCTACAGCACACCAGACTGCTGACCACTCTCCGTACCACTTTTAAATTATTTCTTCCCACAGCTTTCTTAACAATGAACCTTTGAAATCTTTTTAGTTTTCCATTTATTTTGCTACCTTTCCTCTGTCCTAGCTCTAAAATGAAGATCCTCTAAGGTTCTACAGTTTACTTCTTGTATTCTCCTTTGTAAGTCATCTCCAAGACGATGTCCAAATCCATCACCATTAAAATTAATAGTTTCCTCACCCACAACACTTAATATTTTAAAAAAAATACTTTTCATTGTATTATAATTACTTGATACATACATATTTGCTCTGTGAGTTCCTTATTCATCATATTAGTGCCTGACAATAAATGTGTGCTGGATTGAGCTGAATCTTTATTACATCTCTGCTCAGTCATTTTTAATTTCTTCTTTTCTCACCACAGCCAATCAGTTGCCAATAGATTCTAGCCCCCAAACGTCTCTTCTCTCAGTTACTCCTTTCTTTTCCACTGCCTTTGTATGACTTCAGGTCCTCATAATCTCTAGCAAGGCTGTTGTAAAAATTAACGAGATAATGTATGGCACTTCTTAATGAAGTGCTAGGAAAAAAATCTAAAGTATTATTTTTGCTGATACCTTTTTTAGACGTTAAAAGGGTTTACTGATGATTTGTGCCACCTGTTTCCAACACAAAATTCGAAACATTCTATCGTAATCACCCCTCCCTACCTGAGCTCCTGTTTCCCACCACAGCCTATGATAACCAGGACTGCCCAGTTAGTGGGGCGCTCTGACCACATTTGTTCCATACTCAGAACTCCCAGTAACTTCTCAACCAAACACTTCTCGGCCTGGCTGTTTAAAGTGCTTTACAAACAAACATGACCAGGCCTCATCTTGTTTCTTAGCTTCTCTCCTGCTGCTCCCTGAACATCAATTAAACTGGCCTGTTTAGTGTAAGAGAAGCTGGTAGGCAATTTTGGTGATCCAAAAGAAAGGCAACAAGAGAACATGCCATGGAACATGCCATGGTCAGTGTCCTCACACAACTCGTGAAAGACCAGGGTTCAGGTCCGATTGAAGGAGGGGGTTCAGTATAAAAAGCAGTATATTGAGGCCGGGCACGGTGGCTCACGCCTGTAATCCCAACACTCTGGGAGACAAAGGCAGGTGGATTGTTTGAGCTCAGGAGTTCGAGACCAGCCTGGGCAATATGGTGAAACCCTGCCTCTAGCAAAAGTACAAAAACAGCCGGGTGTGGTAGTGCGCATCTGTGGTCCCAGCTACTTGTAAGGCTGAGGTAGGAGGATCACTTGAGCCTGGAAGGCAGAGGGTGCAGTGAGCTAAGATCACATCACTGCACGCCAGGCTGAGCCACAGAGTGAGACCCTGTTTCTAAAAAAAAAGAAGGAAGAAAGCAGTATATTGGAGGCAATAAGACTGCCAGGGTTTGAATCTCAACTTTTACTACTCACTAGCTGTGCAACCTAGGGCAAGACACTTTACCTAGCTAAACCTAACTTACCTCCTTGGGAAATGGGGATAATAACTTATAACAGTGTTGTAATTAACATAATACTTATAAAATATTTTTATTGCAGAAGTTTGAAGGAAGATACAATAGCTTATTGTCTAAATCCCTCACCATCCTTGTGCAGAAAGGAGGCACTCAATTACTTGAAGTGAAAAACCATATTTGTAAACTGCAGAAATTATTCTTTTGGCCTCAGGGTTAAGGCCAAAACACCTAAGAACTCTGCTTTCATCATTTACTAGTAACAGTTTCAGGAAGGCATACTATTCTTTCAGATATTTTGAGGCTCTCTAGGAGTTAGGAGAATGAGAAGGAAAGCATTAGCAGGCAAGTACTTACTTGGGCTTTATGGGAGGCAGTCCAGGAGAGTAGAGCCAGGCATTCCAATCAACTTGATTGAGAACATCAACCTATGAATAGTAAGAATTCACAGTTTACAATAGAATGCCCTTTCCTGTCAAAAAAAAATTTAAACTTGTAAGTCCTTAGATATATAATTTTGTCTAATCTGCTATATCAAGATAATTTCTAAATCTTTTTTAAAAATTAATATTTTAAATTGATAGATCATAATTGTGTATACTTATGTGACACAATGCGATGTTTTGATATATGTACTCAATGTGGACTAAGTCAAGCTAATATATCCATTACCTCATCTAACTCTATCTTCTAAAATTTATATTCATCACCATACTATTGATGACTTCTCTGAAATAGGAAAATTCTACAGGTAGTTCATGTGGTTAAGATCACATTTAAAATAGAAAAAATATGCAATGAGAGGTTGAGTCCTAAAGTTCTGAACCAATACTACTATTAGATAATACAAGTTAACCTAATCAGTCAATAAATAGAGATATATCGAGCATGAAAAATAGAAAAGGTTTTTAAATCCAACCTTATCTTTAAAATAGGAATACAGGAAATCCTTCCAGTCATCAGTAGTTATGCTCTTATAGGAAAACTTCTCAACATAAGCTTTTAAGAATCCTAGGAAAATCTCTAAGAGTAAAAAAGAAAAGAAATCAATTCATAGAAAGGTAATTATTTGACATTTTGTGTGCGTGTTTGGCATTGTACTATTAACCACAGAGAACAGAGAACATTCAGAGAATAGGGAAATCTACGAGGACTTTCAGAGTGAAAGAATGTTCAAAAAAGGAGGTGGGACTTAAGTTGGGCCTTGAAGAATATATGTAATTCAGTGGAAGGGAGAAGAGAAATTCTAATTATAGGTAAGGGGATAACACATGAAGACACAGAAAAGGAATGCATAACCCAAGTTCTAAAAGCAATAACCTTCACATGACTAGAAAGGAGAAAAATAAGACTGGACAGGCAGAATGGATCCAGGTGACAGACAGCCTTCCAAGTCAATCAACCAAGGAGAACACCTCAATGTCCATCAGTGGGGGATGGGTACATAACTCAGCATAGCTTTATCATGAACTAGTATGATGGCATTAAAAAGTATGAAACAGATTTATATGTACTGACACAGAAGGGTGTATGTGAAATATCGAGCAAAACAAAACACAAATGCAGAGCCAATATATAGCATGACCCATTTTTTGTAATTAAAATAATTACATGTATTTATTTGTCTGCTTGTTAATTTACACCTAGAAAATGATCTGGAGCCATTTACACCAAACTGCTAACAGTGGTTACCCCTGGGGAGTGGAAAGGGGTTGATGGACTCTCACTTGTTACTCTTATAAACTTCTGTACCATAGAAATGTTTTCAGGGAATACACACTATTATCCTAATTTCAAAAACTGATGAGATTTTTTAAAAAATGAAGCAGCATAATTTAAACCTTAGGGGTTATTAATGGTTTTAAGTTGAGAGGTAACTCAGAAAACAATACAGATTTCTTCAGCAGCTACATCCAGAATGAATTGGAAGTATTAAATGGAACAAAACAATAGTTTACAATTCTTCCTAATTCTCACATTACCCTCAAAAAGAAAAAAAAAATCATAAAATACCAACTACTTACCTGGTCCTCCAAGCAGTTGTTCAAGGTAAAAAAGTAAAGCAAAGCCCTTCTCATAGGGAACTGAAGAATAAGCTACATCAGGGTCTATATCTGTCAGATCAACCACAAGTTTGGTGAAAGGATGTGTCTCCCCAAATGTCTTTACCTGCAAGACATGAAATAACATGGAGAAACATATAGAAAGACTGCTATCACCACGCAAATAAGCTAATAAGGAGGTATTACTTCACTCAGTGGTGTAACTTTAGGGGAATCTAAAACTTGGAGACTGGAACACTAGGATATGTTGGCATAAACTTCTGGAAGTCTATTAATAGAATGCTTACTTAAGTAATATTCTCTGTTGTTTCTTGCTCAATAATACAGGCTTTATTCTTATAAAAAGACTAGAAAAATGATTTAATGCCTGGTCAGCAAATTTGGCTTTCAGGAGACAACACTTAAAAATGACATACCAAATAAGATGCAAACATAGTAAACAGCTATATTAATAGCAAAGACCCAGTGAGGTCCCACAGCTCCCTATTTAGACCAGGTCATCAAAACTACCTTACATAGAACAGTGAACAGTGTGGATCAACACAGTGTTATACCAGCATTGACTTCACTTTCCACACTTGTAAAAATGACTTTTTGGTTGCTACACAGTAAAGACGCTTTTATAAAAACTCAGTTTTTAACACCTATACAACTTTGGATGAAGGTTTTTAAAACTTTGACTCCTTTACCGAATTCTGTAGTTCTCCCCATCCTCCCAGAGCATTAAAATGTCTGAACTTTTCACCAAACAATCGTCCGCAAATGTGGCGTTCCAAGTACACAGTATGTCCCTCATTTAACCTGAAAAAAAAATATTTTAATAAAAACACGGACACAGCTGAGAAGAAAAGACATTTCAATCAAGATATTTTCTTTTTGGCTTTTCTACAGAGGAAAGCAGTTGTAAGGCATGACCACTACAGTCTAAGCCGACTCTGGCTCCCAGGCAGTCAATCCAGAGCAATGGGAAGCCCAGCCCAGCAGATGGCAGCAGGGAAAGTTAAGCCCTGCTTCTGCTCTTGCATGTCCCTATGTTAAAAGTGGGAGTATATCAGGAATTAAACTTAACACCTAGACTGAACCTAACACTCCTAACGCTGTAATAAGTGTTACAGAATTTTTAAGAACTATCCTTGTTGGCCGGGCATGGTGGCCCACGCCTGTAATCCTAGCACTTTGGGAGGCCGAGGCGGGAGAATTATCTGAGGTCAGGAGTTCAAGACCAGCCTGGCCAACATGGTGAAACCCCGTCTCTACTAAAAATACAAAAATGAGCTGAGCATGGTGGCGTGCACCTGTAGTCCCAGATACTCGGGAGGCTAAGGCACAAGAATTGCTTGAACTGAGAGGCAGAGAGATCACACTACTGCACACCAGCCTGGGCGACAGAGTGAGACTCCATCTCAAAAAAAAAAAAAAAAAAAAAATCCTTGTTGGCTGGGCGTGGCGGCTTATGCCTATAATCTCAGCACTTTGGGAGGCCGAGGTGGGCGGATCACTTGAGCTCAGGAGTTTGAGACCAGTCTGGGCGACATGGTGAAATCCCATCTCTATAAAAAATACAAAAATTAGCCAGGCATAGTGGCATGCGCCTTTAGTCTCAGCCACTTTGGAGGCTGAGGAGGGAGGATTGCAACCCTGGAGTTGCAGTTAGCAGAGATTGCACCACTGCACTACAGCCTGGGCCACAGAGTGAGACCTTGTCTCCAATTAAAAAAAAAAAATAGCTGGGCATGGTGGCTCACACCTGTAATCCTAGCACTTTGGGAGGCCAAGGTGGGTGGATTGCCTGAGCTCAGGAGTTCGAGACCAGCCTGGGCAACACGGTGAAACCCCATCTCTACTAAAATACAAAAAATTAGCTGGGCGTGGTGGCGCATGCCTGTAATCCCAGCTACTCGGGAGGCTGAGACAGAAGAATCACTTGAACCTGGGAGGCAGAGCTTGCAGTGAGCTAGATCGCACCACTGCACTCTAGCCTGAGTGACAGAGTGAGACTCCATGTCAAAAAAAAAAAAAATCCTTGCCTACCTAAGAGATGATAACAAAGAAAAACAAGAGATACACACAAAACAATTCAGAGTGGTAGGAGGCAGGGAAAAAAAAATCAGCAACATGAACCAATAAAGAAATAATAACAAAAATCTTACCAAAAGTGATCCCAAGTTTTGTTGGTCACTAGATTCCCTGTCCAGCTATGAGATATTTCATGTGCAATGACCTAAAGAAAACAGTGTGATTAATAGTAAGACTGATTATCTTAACCTAAAATAACCCATTCTACTGTAAACACTCCATGTTATTCAATTTTTAAAAAATATTAGCTGAGATATTCAGGGAGTTACTCAGTTCAGCAAAATCTTTAATTTAACCAAAGACATACACACACACACAAATATGGCATAAAGTAATTAGAAAACAAAAATTACTTAGAAAATATTAAATAGATATATCACTGCATTAAAAATATTTCATAAATATATGAAGAGATCAAACCATAAAATTTCCTTAAATCTATTACATCTAATTGTTAATAATGTGAGAAGAGTCCCCAAATTGTCCATTATAACCATATCTTTAACATAAAAATACAAGGGATATTTTAAAATCAGTTGACGTAATACTTCTTGAAGGTAAGGCCATAATGAAAAAGTTTAACTTACATTGGAGAGTGACTTGTCGCCTGCCTACAAAAAAAGAAAATTACCTTAGTATTTTAGTAATCGAATTACAGACTATCTAAAAGACTGCCTACCTAAATACTTAGCATACTGGCACTGGTGATCCACTGTATTTCTACTACAGCACTTCAAAGAAGGTAAAAGAGACCTTAATTGAAAAAACAAAAAAAATACAGAACTAAAAATTAGCATCATTCTTTCTTGCCCTAATTCTAGGGAATTTTTGCAATACAATGAAAGCCAGTCTATTTGTGTCTAACTTCCATGAAACATTTCTTCTACTTCCATTTTTATATCTGCTCTTATTTACCCATCACTTTCTTTCTCTCCTATTACCCAAAATATATTTAATAAAACTTTAGAGTGTCCTATGTGTCCTGTGCTGTATTTTATTTATTTTATTGCTAATCCATCACTCATTTTGGTTCTAAGAAGAATTTAAAGTAGCTCACAGGCATATTAAACATAGCAGCGTTCTATGGCCCTAATCCTTTCCTGTACATGGTGTACTGATTTTTTTTTTAATTGTACCTACACACCAAGTGTAATTGGTATAGTCTGATTGTCTGGATACATAATTTATCAATGAATTGTTGTTACACAGCACCCCCATGCCCAACTCCCCAAATACCGTGAACATAATATTCTCCTTCTCCAAATGGCCTGATTATTTTCCTTTCAAAAACAAGATGGAGGCCTGGTGGGGTGGTTCATGCCTGTAATCCCAGCACTTTGGGAGGCCAAGGCAGGTGGATCACGAGGTCAGAGGATCGAGACTACCCTGGCCAATATAGTGAAACCCCATCTCTACTAAAATTACAAAAATTAGCTGGGCATGGTGGTGTGCACCTATAGTCCCAGCTACTCAAGAGGCTGAGGCAGGAGAATCGCTTGAACCCGGGGGCAGAGGTTGCAGTGAGCTGAGATTGTGCCACTGCACTCCAACCTGGGCAACAGAGCAAGCCTGTGTCTCAAAAAACAACAAAAAAAAAATGAGATTGTGATAACCACAATAAACAATAAAATTAGAAACAAAGGTTACACGAACAAGAGAAAAGATTTTTATACATATATACATTATTAGGACTCTAAGGTTCTTTACATATATATACATATTATTAGGACTCCTAAGGTTCTTAAGTTTATTTTTGAAACGTCAATTTCAAATGAAGAAACATTTACACTTACCAGTAGAGTAGGAGTTACAAAAGTAAGGCAAGGATTCTCCATGCCACCATAAGGGAAGGATGGTGGCAGGACCAATAGGTCATACTGTCCCCATACATACGGTCCTCCCAGATCTTCTGCTATTTTAAGCATAGATTCAGTCTGAAAAATCAACATATATATGTCTGTATGCCTTAATTATCACCATTGTACATTTCTTAAAATTGTATATTGCTTTCTATGAAGGTTACAAGTTAATGATTTTTATGTTAAATGAAAATGATAAAAAGAATGTAGCAACTACACATCTACATAAAAGACAATCTGGTTCTTTCCCCGTATCACTTAAAACCATCACATTTCACACTCAAAATCTTCAATCTACTGTCTATCACAATGATTACAAAGGATAACTAAATGACCAACCTCAGAAAACTCATAAGCAGACTTTTCCACCTGCTCTTTCTCAGACCACACCAAAGTTCTTGGGCCAATTTGCCTGCAAGATTAAAAAGCTTAATAAAAAAGAAATTCATGGCAAATGATTCATCTGGTTCTAAAAAGTAGTTAATGTCTTGTAGACAAACCTTTACAGTGAGAGTGCATTTACCATGTGCCTATGGGAAAGGGATGAGGTTACATGGCGTGAGCTGCAAACCTGCTGTTGTATATGCAGCAATAGATATGCAGCTCTCTAAGGAGGTACAGGCTGGGCCAAAGGAAAAAAACCAAGACATAAGGTGTCCCCAATTAGTTTATTGCCTCTTGTAAGACCTCTTGAGGGTCTCATTTCATCCCTCAATTTCACAACTATAGAAACCCAGTCACAACTCATAAGAAACTATTTTTTTTTTTTTTTTTTTTTTTTGAGACGGAGTCTCGCTCTGTCACCCAGGCTGGAGTGCAGTGGCACGATCTTGGCTCACTGCAAGCTCCACCTCCCAGGTTCACACCATTCTCCTGCCTCAGCCTCCCTAGTAGCTGGGACTACAGGTGCCCGCCACCACGCCCAGCTAATTTTTTCTTTTTTTTGTATTTTTAGTAGAGACAGGGTTTCACTGTGTTAGCCAGGATGGTCTCAATTCCCTGACCTCATGATCCGCCTGCCTCGGCCACCCAAATTGCTGGGATTACAGGCGTGAGCCACCACGCCCAGCGTTTTTTTTTTTTTTTTTTTTAAATATACAGGGTCTCATTCTGTTGCCCAGGCTGAGTACAGAGGGGCCATCACAGCTCACTGCAGCCTCCACCTCCTGGGCTCAAGCAATACTCCCACCTCAGCCTTCTGAGTAGCTGGGACTACAGGCATACACTACCATGCCCGATTAATTTTTTATTTTTTTGTAGAGACATGATCTCACTTATGTTGCCCGGCCTGGTCTTGAACTCCTGGGCTCAAGCGATCCTCCCACTTTGGCCTCCCAAAGTGACGGGATTACAGGCATGAGCCACAGAGCCCAGCCTGTAAGACTATTCTAGAACAGGAATGGGTATAAACTTTGTCATGCACTTAAAGGTTGAATACTCTTATATAAGAAGAAACAAATAGAAAATGAAGGAAATCCTGTCAGATGCTATAACGTGGATAAACCTTAAGGGCATTATGACACCTTGAATGAAATAAGCCAGACACAAAGAGATAAAATCATACTGTATGATTCTACTTATGTGAGGTATCTAAAGTAATCAAATTCATAGGAACAGAAAATAGAATGGGTGTTACCAAGGACTGGGCGGTGGGGGAAAGAGGAGCTATTGTTTAATTGGTGCAGAGTTTCAGTTCTGCAAAATGAAAAATTTCTGAAGATCTGTTTCACAACAATGTGGATATACTTAACACTACTGAACCGCACACTTAAAAACAGTTAAGTGTGCTTAAAACTAAGAATGAACAAAAAATTAAGAAGGAAGGGCACTTTATTTGTAAAATATTGATAAAATATCTTACATTTCTGTAATATTTGTAGGCTTCCAAGTTCTTTAATATATTTTATCTCATTTGTTTCACATAACCACCCTATGAGGTAGAAAGTCAGACATTATAATTTCAAGGATAAGGAAACAGAGATTGAGAGTGACTTGTTCAAGCTTACATGAGAATCCAGATCTCTAAAGGTAAGAGCATGCTCATTTTACAATACTTGAAAAAATAAGGGGTAACTGGTCAAGATTTTTAAATGTAAAATTAATTTGTTGCCTACATTTTAGATTTGAATTTTTCTAGAGCTGTCAGCTTGATATCTTGAGAAATATGCAAATGATTGACCAATTAACCTTGAGAGAAGTTCAAGATGCCTAAGTTTTGATCTTTCCACAAACCTGAAAATTTTTCCAAAAGCTCACCTGCTTTCTAAAGCTCCAACAACTAAAGCAATCAGGTAGCAGGGTATTGGAACCTAAAGAGGGCAAACAAACGCACACCACGTGCTTGCATTAGTGTTCACAAATGTTACACAGTAAGACAATTCATATTTAAAAGTAAGTAAATTCCCTTTCAAATCTCCTAATATTAGTAGGGATAACTTTGCTTTTATACTTCTCAAATAGTTCTCATCTTTAACATATAGCTTAAAATTGTGATATAAAACATTGTTCAAAACATCTATTTGCCTTTTATTCTGCTAGGAACAAAAGCTTCTCACACATGAAAAACAAGATCACACATACTATTAAAAGGTGCATTTTGAGCATTTCTCAAAAAGTAACCTACAGGAAGCGCATTTCCCATATGTTTGCCTTTTTCCTCCTGACTTTTAAAAGGTTTTGGTTTTCTTTTTTTATTCCTTTATGTTTCAAAGCACTATTGGCATGTTGTAGAGGCACACAGAGTTACCCGGCAATAAGTAGATGCCAAAGTTATGGGAGCTTGGAACCACAGAAGCTGCAGTGGAAGTCAAATTATCCATTGTGAGGTCAATTAAGAAAACACACACACACACACACACACACACACACACACACTCACGCATGCATACACATTCTGTTCACTGAAGGTCAAAGATACATGTCTAATGACCAGGACTGTAACTGAGTGCTTTTTTGGTCTTGACTCCTCCATTTGTAAACACTCTCAACAGCCACTTGCCCACACTGTAGTACCAGGGCAGGTGAATGCGTAAGAACTCAAAAGAACAGGAAGCCAGCCCCTGAACTGGAGTGAGGGAAAATGAAAACAGGTATGCTCCCTATTCTGTCTCTACAGCAAACCCTCTCTTCAATACAACACTCTGTAAGTAGAACAAAACCCTTTAAAAGCACAAAAGAAAAAAAAATGAAGAAAACAAAAACCAAAAGCTGTTCTCAAAATTCTGAAATATTTCAAAAGTAATTTTGCCCTCTGGATGTGTACAAGCTAACTGTAGTTTACCGCCAATGAAAACAAAAATCTAGACCCTAGGATCTTACTTTTTGGATGAATTTGTATATTTTCCTGCTTGGGTCTTCTGGGTCAGGTGTTTCTCCATCACGAATAGCACTCATAAGTGCCACCAGTTCTTTAGGGACAGACACCTAATCAAGGAGAAAAATCATTTCTAGTCATAAATAAAAGCTTCTATGTGTCTTAAACCATATATGTAAAATAACCTTTTCTTCCCATTCTTGACTATCTAATAAACAGACTATGAACACAAAAAGTATATACATATACAAAAAGTATATATATACACACACATATATATGAACACAACGTGTATAGATGTGTATATATATGCACACATATATATGTGTATATATATAAAACACATATACAAAAAGTATATATATACACATATACATATCAGTTTTGTAAATAAAATTAGCAATATGGGAAACTGGCTTCTTTAAAAGTGAATGTGAAATTTCTATCCATTCACCCATGCACATTAAGAGCAGAGTTTTGGTAGAAACTGGATTAAAATCCCAGCTCTGCCACCTAATAACTAACTGCACAAACTTGGGCAAATAAATATAACCCCCGAGCCTCAGTTTCCCCATCAAGTAAGTGTAAAACTTCAAAGGCTTGCTGCAAGGAATAAATAATATAAGTGAAGAGCCCAGCACCATCCCTGGCAATGGCAGCCACCATCCCTGCTCCCGCTACACTCACAAAACAGATTCAAAAGGACGTTATATACTCACTGTAGGACAGAATGGTTTTGAACAATTTTGTTTTGAAAACACACACTTGGAGTTACAAATAGAGGAACATTTTAAAAGTAGTAACTGTGAAAAACTAAAATTTATTGCTAAAAACTGTCAAATAATTTTCTCTGGAAATCCATACGGAAAAGACCCTTATGCGGCAAACCATATAGTCATTTAACTGTGTATCCTAGCTCCATGATTCTGAAAGTTTGATTTCTGATGAATGCCAGAATAAAGGACTCCCCCAAGTATTAATGATCAAACAAGAATATATTCCAGTAGGGGCTAGACTTTCATGTTCTTCTTGCATGGCTCAGGACCCAAAGCTGTGACTGAGGCAGGCACAGAATTAGAAGTTCCTGAACCAGTGCTACAACAATTGTAGATTCTAAAGCACAAAACTATTCAGGAAATAATTCGGTTCAGCCACCTCCCTTCATTTAGGTGGTGATACGTTATATATATGTGCCAGCTGAGGTTGCGAGGTCATAAAACTTGTTCAAGTGTCACATCATTATTTATTTATTTTTTTAGAAATGGGGTCTCGCTATGTCGCCCAGGCTGGCCTTGAACTTCTGAGTTCAAGTGATCTTCCCACCTCAGCCTCCCAAGTAGTTGGGACTTCACGCAGTTATTAAGTGGTGGAGAAGAGCCAGAGCCCTGGGATTCTTTGCCTCCAAGTATAATATATCACTGCACTATCCTAGATGTAATTTGGTTGTGGGATGATTTGGGAAGCAAGAAGGCCCCATAAATATGGGTTGGTCCTCATTCTATTTGCTTGGTCTAAGTAGGTCTAGCCTCCGGGATAGTGATTATTTAGTAATTACAGTCCGCCTTTTCCAAAAAGGATTAGCAGTACCTACCAAGGGAATAAGTTGGAATTGCATACAGACAAGTCTGGAATATATGCCCACTAGGCTTATATGGCTACAGAATGCATTTATAGAAACTTAAATCATGCAAATGTCAATTTTTAAAAGTTAAGTAAAAATTGTTCCTAAGTTCTTATTTCTAGATCCAGGATTCTGAATTTCTTCTTTTTGTTTGTTTGTTTTTTTGTTTTTTGGGTTTTTTTTTTGAGACGGAGTCTGGCTCTGTCGCCCAGGCTGGAGTGCAGTGGTGCCATCTCAGCTCACTCCAAGCTCTGCCTCCTGGGTTCATGCCATTCTCCTGCCTCAGCCTGCCGAGTAGCTGGGACTACAGGTGCCCGCCACCATGCCCGGCTAATTTTTTGTGTTTTTTTTAGTACAGATGGGGTTTCACCATGTTAGCCAGGATGGTCTCGATCTCCTGACCTCGTGATCCACCCATCTCGGCCTCCCAAAGTGCTGGGATTACAGGTGTGAGCCACCACACCTAGCCCTGAATTCCTTTTTAAAAGTCAGATTGGTTTCCATTTCCTTTTTTTCACAGTTAAAATGTTTAAAACTGCCTTTAAAGTAGAGATTCAGAATGAGTGCCACAGCCTCTTTGTTTACATATTTCAGGTAGAATTTCATTAAGAAAAATAATTCTAGCTCTAGGAATTCAATTATCATCTCTGCTTATCATTTATACCATATTTACTGATATGCATCATTTAATTGAGTTAATAATTCGTAATATTTACCTCTGCAGTATAGGTTAATTTCACAGAAGGAGTGTCCTGACAAGGAAGGATTGCTCTGCAGTGGATGGCCTGAAAAAGGGAGAAACAAGAAGAAATAGCTATTTATCTTTCGCATAAGTCATTAAGAAATCATTAAAAATTGCAGCATTGTTCTTAGACATTAAAATAAAAACAGTCCTCATTTCTTGGGATTTTTTTTTTTTTTTTGAGACGGAGTTTCACTCTTGTTGCCCAGGCTGGAGTTCAATGGCATGATCTTGGCTCACTGCAACCTCCACCTCCCGGGTTCAAGCAATTCTCCTGCCTCAACCTCCCGAGTAGCTGGGATTACAGGCATGTACCACCACGCCCAGCTAATTTTGTATTTTGAGTAGAGATGGGGTTTCTCCATGTTGATCAGGCTGGTCTCGAACTCCCAACTTCAGGTGATCTGCCCACCTCGGCCTCCCAAAGTGCAGGGATTACAGGCGTGAGCCACCACGCCTGGCCTTTTGGGATCTTTTAAAGTCCAAAAATAGATTCTTGGACTTTTAAAAATCAGATTTTCCATTTTAATCTATGGTTAACCCTCACATTTCAGTTGAAGCATGGAGAAACTCTTAAGCAGTGTTTCCTACTCTATGGTCTGGGTGACAGTAGTGCCCAGTGAGAAGCTTTTAGAAACCTGAGAAAAAAGGGCTCTGTAGCAAAACAGACCTGAGAAGTATGGCATACTGCACCACTGTCTTGCAGAGCCACTAGAATATTAGCCGCCTGAAGGCTCTGAACAGACCTACAATAAAGAAACCTGTTTGATTTCTTACATTTATGTTAACACAAAACCCATTTCTCTCTGGTTTAACACCTAATGGGATGTCAGTATTCTAATGAACACAGCCTGAGAAATGTTGCTGTAATCCTGACACTTCAATCTTGCAGCAAACCTTGTAAGTAAAACAAAGAAGCAAAGAAGGGAGAAAGAACAGTCTCTTTCAATACCATCTAGACATATTCATTCATATCATATGCAAAGTGTTTCTGTACTGCCACACCAATCGTTATTAACATTGGTTCCATCCAGTATGACCACAGGCCAGGTGCCGTGGCTCACTCCTGCAATCCCAGCACTTTGGGAGGCTCAGATGAGAGGATTGCTTGAGCTCTAGAATTTGAGACCAGCCTGGGCAACATAGTGAGACCTTACCTCTACACAAAAAAAATTAGCTGGGCATGGTGGTGCACACCTGTAGTCCCAGCTACTCAGGAGGCTGAGGTAAAAGGATCGCTTGAGCCCAGGAGTTCTAGGCTGCAGTGACCCAAGTTCGCACCATTGCACTACAGCCTGGGCAACACAGCAAGACCCTGTCTCCAAAAAAAAAAAAAAAAGAGCACCTACAATCTTATACCCGGTCTGTTTACAAATAAGTCTGTCTACTGCTGGTGAACAATGAAATGAAAACCCAGCCTCATTGAGACAGTCTACTAAACTCAAAGGAATTCTGATATTAACACCCTTCTCTGAAGCTATTACAAATCCTAAACATACTTCATTCCACCACAAGCTTTCTTAAAACCCCCAAACTCCAGGTCTTTTCATTTCAGTTCTAGAAAATTCTCCAAAGATATAGGCTCCCAAATGACCTCTAGATGGATTAAGTAGGACTAGCAGAGCCACCTGGTTCTCTCTCCCAAAATAGATTTCCAAGACCATGCCTCTATAGTTCCTTAATGGTTTCTAGTTAGGTGACATGGCAACACCAAAGGGGTTTTTAAATGTATTTCATTGGATAAGGCCAAACCCAGGCAAATATGCATACAGAACAACCGTAAGCAAATTCATCAAACAAAATCATGTCTACATGATTCCTATCACCTCAATCATTTATTAATTTAGCTGAAATCTGTTTCCCATATTCCCACCATTGCTGCCAATAAGAAATGGAATAATATATTCAAAATTAACATTTTCATGACTCATAAATCTTGCATTTCTTGCCAACTTTGGTTAATAGACATTCTATTAAGACATACTGCCTGAAAATCAGATATTTATGAGATACAGATTGTGCAATTTGTACACTCTTGCGTAGAACATTTCATCTCTTCTAGATTATTAAACTGAGGGTTTCTTAGATTAAAAAGATGTTTCAAGTGGCCATAGAAAGTAAACAGGTCTGATTCATATGCTAATTCCTTTTTTAAATGGACTTGTATTGAAATTTGAACCTAACACACAGGAATATTGGGAGGGATGAAACATGTAAAGAATCTAGCACAATGCCTGGAAATAGAGCAAACGTTTAATGAAGTCAGTTCCCTTAATTGTAAATTATTTGATTACTATGAAAAGTAGGTATTTTTTCTTTCAGAAGACAGTTTGAAATGTATTATCCTTGTGACAGGTTATCTCTAATTGTATGGCTCTTTACCCTTAGTTTTAAAACAGAAAACAAAAGTAGTTTAAGTCATGCAATTTTAAAGGTACAGTTAATATATTGATATAATACATACTTTTGTAAATGTGTAAGAAAAATATGGAAAAGCTACATTCCAAACTCAATGGTGGTTACCTCTGGGCAATGGTGTCTGGAAAAGGTTTGGAAATTAAATCTTTCACTTTCCATTTCTTTACTATTAGCATTTTTCATAACCAGTACATATTATTTATTAATTTTTCCTTTCATTTTATGACTATTTACTGAGTACCTACTCTCTGCTAAGTTCTAAGTCAGGCCTAGAGAGTCCAATCTAGGTGGACATATTTCCAAACTGAAAGAAGCTTCTTATTTAAAGTAAGGCATGAGTGTATTAATAGTGAAAGATAAAATGAAAATATATAATTCATCTTATATGTTTCTATAAGATCAATTAATACATTTTATTAGGTAAAACCTACATAATCCATAAAACCACTGTTCATTTTGCTTCATTCAACCATAGGTGCTGAAATTTTCTGCATCAGAAATCATTCTGGAATCCTTTTTACCTGGCACTGACTAAAGAGATATGGGTGTTCCTTCCCAGAAGTCTGTTCAGGAGTGAGCCACTGGAGAGCAGAAGATTTTGGAGAGGTCTCAAAAGAAATTTCTATAACAATTTCTTGATTTCTGTATGAAACACATAAATATATTAGTAGAGTATGATTCCATCTAGTGAAAATTTAAACTCATAATACATACACTGAATAATATAAATAACATAGTATGCATTCTCATCACTGATTGGCAGTAAGCTCTAGGTATGCCACATCCTCAGTGGGTAAGTCTCCTCTCAGTTTTCCTACCTAATTGCCAGCCTGTGGGTCCTTTTACCTCTCCCATGCTAACTGCTAGCGAAGGCTTAATGGCAACTAACAGTGGTTGACTACCCCGTTGTGTGTCACGTACTTTGCATCTGTGATATCATTTAATATTTTATTAGAGTGAAAAAGTAAAAGAAATCATTTTTGGGGCTTCAACTACCACAGCAGCAGGTGCCACAGCATGACACAGAGCAGTGCTAGTCTGCAAACTGTTACCGGCCCAGGACAAGACAAGACCAGAAGTTGAGAGTCAGCATTGCAAAACTTTTAGAGTCATTTTTGTCTGTTGAATCTAATAATAAAAAATGTGTGCTTGTATTTCATCTCTTCTTCCTCATATTTCATTTTTATTGCATTGTACAAAAGTATCAGTCTATGACAGATTGAAGAGGATAGAAATTGGTCCTTTACCCCAGAGAGTTTGAGAAGCACTGATAATAAGGAAACAGCAGAGGTTTAGAGACCAGCAGCCCTGCTGGTGTTCGAATCCTGACTCTATCACTTACTGGTACTGTAAACTTGGGGAAATTATTTGACCTCCCTATGCCACAGTTTCCTTGTAGAATGGGGTGAATACCATCTACCTCACAAGCTAGACTTAAGTGTTTCCCTTCTCTTAAAGGGAAAGAGAAGGCATGAAAACACTGGCCTCTGAACAACTGGGGTAGATCACCCTTGTTCTAGGCCAATAGTTTTCACCCTCTTTCCCCTCAAGAGGTGGCATATACTCCCAGTGTGACAATTCTGGTTGCCACTTTCTTGAATAAGTTATTTCTCTAAGGTTCCCTTTCCTCATCTTTAAGTGTAGATTATACCAGCAGGGTTACTGTAAGGATTAGATACAAGAATGCATTTAAAGCACTTATCCCAAGATTGCTGCACTGTAACAGTTCTATCTTTGGCATTATCATTGTCCCATTAATAAATGCAGCTGGCCTCTGGGGCAAGGGCAAGGAGGGTGCAACTTGTAAAGCTGCCCAGGTTATCTTGAAATGCCTTCTTATGATGGCATGCCCCCACCATCACTCTAGATATTAGTAAAAGGATGAATCGTTTAGAAACTAACAGTTCCCAAAGTCCTTGTTGTATTATATACAAACAACATTTTTAGTATCTTAAGTATATATAATTTTAACTGCTGTATCAACTTTAATCTGAACAGAAGATCAGGATAAGTAGTGTACCAATCATTACATATTTACAAACTAAAATTTAAAAAGAAAAAATATTTAAATTAGTTAAGAATATGTTTCCCCATTATTTAGCTGTAAAAGAGAAAGATCATAACATTCATACTTGCTCAAAGCGATAGGAAGAGAGATTTCCATTGGCGATCCCTTGTAACTTTGTCTTTCTCCAAGAGCATATTTGACTTCTTGTCCATTGATCACTACTTTTTCTATTGTAAGGTCCTTTGTATCCAAAACCTAAAATTAATATTTTTAAATAGTAAGAAAATAGTTTCATTTACCAGAAAAAACTCATATTAGATATAGGCTACAACAACTAGTTGCTTATGGAGAGTAAAATACAGAGTGAAATTAGAAGAATTGAAGAGTCAAAAGCTAGTCTAGGTCTCATTTTTTGGGACTCTAAGCATCTTGAAAATTTTTGGGTTCTAAGATTTGCATATATATTGTTAAATAACCCTAGGACAGTCACACAAATTTTGGGCTTTAAGTAAAAGTCAAATCTAAATCAAAATATGTTTGCTTCTGACTCCTAAAATTTTCTCTATTATGAAAAACTTTATCTATAACTTAAGTTTCTTTCACTCTGGCTCCTCAATACATTACACAATATATTTCCTCCTAGAACTCATGTACTTTCAAACTTCATGTTCGTTAAGCAAATCAGCAAACTGTATATCACTGTGGTTGTATATCTAGAAAAAGCCCAACCTGGTATGGTAACTCAGACCAAATGATTCTGCAGAGGATTGGGAGGCCATATCTACTTGCCATGGCCAATTAAGGACAACTGCTTTGGGCATGAAGGAGTGACATCAAGTGTCAGAGTATTTTCTATCCCCAAAATCCTGAGCCCTACAAATCATACTCTTTAATTATCTCTCAACTAATCTCTTGTCCTAGAATCTTGAACCTTCCTATGCCACAAGACTGTTTCCTAACAACATAAACAAAATTCTACTTGATGGATCTACCCACTAAATATTCTAGTTTTCCTCCTTCCTTCCTTAAACTCCAAGGGAGTTTTTGACTGCTATGACTACTACTTCTACTTCTTCATTAATCATCCTCCCTTTCCCCTTCTTCCATCTGGCTTCTTGCTATTGAAAGGGCAGCCCCCACCCCGATCAACAAAGTCTTTTCTGTCCAATAACCTTGACCTCTGTCTACTCACAGCCCTTATGGACTATGTCATCTGGTTAAAACCCCTTCCTTCACTTCTTTGCCTGTACGCATACATCATAAATGGTTCTCTATTTGTCTAATGTTTTTTTCCTTTCCCCTCCTTTATTCCAATTCAAAAATATGGATATGTCCCAATGTTCCAGCCCCGGTCCTTTGATTTTCTTGCCATATCCTTCACTCCCTAGCTCTTACTCATGCCCACATCTTCAATTAGTATCTCTGTGAAGATGCCTGCCATTCTAGTTCTACAGTTGTATTCCCTCCCCAGGACCTCAGTCGAATCGCCTGCTCAACATTTCCATGGGACATAGCACCACACATTGAATAGGCTTCTAAAAATTCCAAAAATGATTTTTATACTCCCTGAATCAGATTTCTCCCCAGATTTCTTGATTCTGTTAAAAGAACTCTTCCAGTTACCTAAGGTTTGATCCCATTTCCCAACCCCACACAGCCACTTAAAAGTTGTTCTTTCACAATGTCTTCATACTTTTCCTTTCTTTCCACTACTAACCCAGGTCAGGCCCTGGACTGGCAGAACTGCTTTCTACCAGATCTCCCTACCTCTGGCATTATTTTTTTCCTTTTCTGAAATCTGACCTGGCTACATGTGAGGCCAAGAACCAGCCATTTCCCAGCTGCCCCTGGGTACTTTCTTTTGGGGGTACCTCATTTGTTATCCTTACTCTAAATTAGTAGAAGATACGGTTTATATCTTATTTAAAATAATAGGGTTACTCCTTCATATTCTAGTACCTCTCTAGTCTCTTCATAGTCTAGTACCTAGTTCTGAATAGCTATTCAGAATAGCTAACTTGTTTTAAAAACTTGATTTGAGTATCTTGTGTTTATAACACATGCTTATATAGATGAATTAACTGGGTCATTTCCCAGTGGAACATATTCTGTTTTCTATATTGGCTAAACTTTCCAAATCTGTTCAGAATCAGAAGTGTCATAGTGACAACTATTTTTTGTGAAACGTTTTGATATCCCCTGTGTCTGTTATAGCTCTTGGCCCTACCCTTTCCTATAATACTTACTGTACTGCATTATAATGATTTCTTTTTCCATTAGACTAAGGGTTCTAAAACAGAGAATGTTACTTAGGTCTGTATTCCCAGGGTTTAGCACTCTGCCTCAAAAACACTAGGTGTCAATTAATGCATGAAGCAGGTCCTAGACCAAGAGAAAACAAAAAATGCAATGTTTAAGCTGTATTATCTCAAGTCCTAAGTCTCAACTATCATTTGCAAACTACTTTTTAAAATTCCCCTTCAAATTTCAGCGATGTTATTTTTAAAAAATAGTCAAAAACTGTAATAAGAAAGAAAAATAAAGAAAACTGGATTGTTGACAAGTTGGATTTAGTACTTTTTAAGAAACGTGTTAAGCATCAACAGCTCTACTAATTATAGGATATAATTTATATGTTTCACAGTATCCTCTTTGAACAATACCCTCCATCCCCCTAAAAAGCAGTTGTACTTCTCAGTAGCTGGTCAGTTGACATGGAATAGGTATCTGATTCCTTTTTTGCACAGGCTGGTAGGAAGCTCCATGTCAACCCTGTGGCCCACTTCTTTTAAAGTATAGAGGGCTTTATGCCATGGGTTTTGTTTCTCCTATCCCTATTCTCTCTTCCTGCAAATTATTTAATTATTTTTAATCTTATACTATATATGTTGCTTCAAGCAGTCTCAGTCCTTTCTAGAACAAAGCAGAGTTTTTTTAAAAAAAGCTTTATGCCTCATTATGATGTCTAAATTTACATTTTCTACTTGCTATGTGCAGGGATATGATGAAAAAAAATAGGTTTATGTGTGAAACACAAAGCTAAAACTAAAAAACCACCTTGATTTGATTCCCAGTTGAGACATTTACTTAGTGAAAACAAGATGGTTTGCAGTCAGAATTACCTATTGTTAACTGCTGGCTTCTGCCTTGGCCATGGCACTAAAACCTCTTGAGCCACTAACCAAAAGAACACCTAAACATTTCTGAAGGTTTCAGTGAAAAGAAACAAATGTATGAAAGTTATCATAAATTTGGAGGATCAAACTTCAGTGTAAATAACCCAAAACTTGAAAAGAATTTTAGAAAGCTTAGAATTTGTCCGATTAAGTCTCCTTCAGCATTCCTCAACATCACAAACTCTAAGAACGGAGAGGAAAAGAAGACATGACGTCTCTCCTGATTCCGCACTGGCACTGGGTCTTCCCATCTCACCTCTGAAATACAGCTGGCACTATTATCAATGTAGCCCATGTTAAGCTTAGGCACTGTTTTCTAATTGAAATCATCCATTAATCAAACTTTTGAATGTCCTCTACATGCCAGACATAGACTATACTAGGAAGCTGAGATACAAAGAGTTATGAAACACAGTCTCTACATTCAAGAGTCCACAATCTAGTGGAGGAAAGAAACAAGTTAACTTTAAATAAATACTAATTAACTAATTAATAAGGATAAGCTCCTGGTCTAAGGCTTTTGTCATAAATAAGCAAACAATTATAAACATGTTATTTTGTACCATAAATTGCCTTCCTTGTATAACATGTAACATTATTATAATTCCAGGCTCTAATTTGCTAAACAGACATGCCAACCAGAAATCACTATTTTAAAATCTTACTTTTCTCTAGATTTGGGGAATGTAAAAACAATGAGCAGATTTTTAGATTGGGACATTCTTTTCAAAATTTAAACATCCTGACTCTTGCTTACTTATAGAACAGAGATAAAGTTTTTATTCTACAAAAGTGATGAGAACACATGGATACACAGTGGGGAACACACACTGGGGCTTACTGGAGGGTGGAGGGTAGGAGAAGGGAAAGGATCAGGAAAAGTAACTAATGGGTACTAGGCTTAATACCTGGGTGACAAAATAATCTGTACAACAAACCCTCATGACACAAGTTTACCTATGTAACAAACCTGCACATTTGAAGTACACCTGAACTTCAAATAATAAATTTTTTAAGTTTTTATTTTACAAAACAAAGGTAAGTGTGAGGTCACATTAAGCAGCAAAAAGCTATAAAAATTTTCATTCTTTTACTTTTATCAGCATAGTTTATAATTTAATTTTTTTAAATAAAGGTGAAGAACAAGAACTTTCCAGTTAACTAAGAGCTTTGAGTGGGTTTGGGGCTTAGTCAAGGTTTTATTATATCTTAAACCAATTGGAATATTTCTTCTGAAATATATGTTGCAGCTAAAGATTCAAGGAAGAATTTGCTGTTCATATATTAGAAAAACCTCTTTAAATTTCTTCCACTAGCGACCTCGGTTTTGGTTTGCAATTATTCACATCTGAACACAAGTGTCCTGAATTGCTTAATTTTTAAATCTCTAGTACTTTTGAATGTAGGACGTATAAACTCATGTTCAAATATGGCAGTCTCACAGTGTGGTTTTTCTTTTTTTATTATTATACTTTAAGTTCTGGGGTACATGTGCAGAACGTGCAGGTTTGTTACATAAGTATACACATGCCATGGTGGTTTGCTGCACCCATCAACCCGTCAGCTACATTAGGTATTTCTCCTAATGCTATCCCTCCCCTAGGCCCCTACCCCCAACAGGCCCTGGTGTGTGATGTTCCCCTCCCTGTGTCCATGTGTTCTCATTGTTCAACTCTCACTTATGAGTGAGAACATGCGGTGTTTAGTTTTGAAACTGCATTGAAATAGGACTTCAGCCCTGCCCAGGCAAAGTTGCTACTGCAATTAAAGATAGCATGGTACTTCAAGAAGACCAAAGTGCGATCTGCAAGGAAATAGATGCCTTCCTGCTTATAATATCTTAATTTTCTTTCTTATGGTACTTTTGTTGATTACCTATCAGTACATAGAGGAATCGACCTATTTTTCAAATCAATCAGTTTAGCAAAATGTTGAGGGATGAAGAGTAAGAAAGTAAGTACTTATTAGTTCATATTAATGAAATCAAAATTCAGATCCTTCCTACACAAGTAGGAAAAAGAGGCCTGAAAGCCACCAATTCTTATCTGCCCGATCTGATCTGATTGCTTATTGATGTGCTTTAGTAGATTTCACCATGCTACACTGTGTAAAATACACATGTAGCATCCTGCCCTGGTGAAGAAGCCGAATTTGGCTGTCTTTTCATGACCCTCTTATTTTTAAAATGATCTTCTATGAAATTCTTCAGGTGAAAGGTACCTTCAGATGAAAGGTATAAACCAAATACTATTGGGCAATTTGAGCAAGAACATTAAATATAGGTTATGATACAGATAAAATCATTGAATAATATTCCATGAATCTACAACCTTTCTTCATTCCAATGGTTATAGAGTTTGTAGAAGTATGTGTTTTCTAAGTGAAATAACTACTTGGCTCCTTGGAACCAACTATTAAAAAAGCGTATTGAATCATCCTTAGAAAATTTGAACGTCCCATCCGTTCTTAAATTATTAGAAGAAAGTTGATAAGATTAAAAAGTAGAAAGGACCCTGAAGAGAGAGAGCTGCGCCTAGAGTTAGCAAGCAGGGACTGTTAGTTTCAAAGTAGGGCGGAAAGAAGAGGCCTGCCCGGCCGGGGCTGGAAATCCTAAGAGGCTTGAGAACGACTAGCAGGGAGATCCAGGGAACTAGGAGGGAGACGGATGGGTGGTGCCCTGCAGACCTGTGGATTGAAATAAGTGTTCCCGGGAGGCAACCGTGGGATCAGGGATCGACAGGACATGGGATCTGAGACTTGGGTGAGATTGTTGACTGAGGAAGGTGCCCAGGGGGCTGGGAAAAGTCTGGGGCCTGAAGAAGGGGGTTCTGGGCCGCAGGCCGAAGCAATGGGGAGGCCATGGAGTAATTAGAGCCAGGAACTAAAATTATGGGGGCTACTGCAAAGATGACACCTAAGGGCTGGGTGAGTTGAGAGGAGTGGACGAGGCGCTGGATGTGCCCAGGGACCTCGGAGAGAGGATCCAGGCGAGGGGCGGAGGAGACATACGTATAAGTGGGGGCTGAGGGAAGGGATGCAGAGGCGTAAGCGGGGTTGAGAAGGGGTGCTGTGAGAGATCTGGGGGCTGAAGTGCACAACATGAGTTGGATGGAGGCTACAGAAGAGCAGACGGGGACGTGGGGCTAGGCAGGGGCCGCGGCGGGGTGAGCCGGAGATCCGGGAGCCCGCAAGGACTAGGGTCGAGGGGCAGGGAGCCCGGGAGAGGCGGGCACTGGGCAGGCGCCCCACTGTACCAGGCTGCGCAGATTGTCCTCCTGAGACTGGACCGTGAGAGCAGCAGTCCCGGTCAGCGTCCGGCGAGTAAAGTCGACGCTGCAGCGCAGGTGCAGGTGCTTGGTCCGGCAGACGGAAGCCGGAGAGGCCAACGAACAGGTATCCACTATCTCGGGCATGGCTCTGGGGGATCACACAGCACAGCGACCTACAGCCCAACGCTCAGCTACCAGACTCGTCGATAGAGAACCTGAGGAGGAGGGAGAGAGGTAAAGAAGAGGAGGAGGGATTCGCGGTGCACGCCGGGAAAGGAAGTTTCTTAAAGTCAGACGAGCGTTGGGGGATGGGTGAAGGAACTACAAGTTCCATGGTGCCGCGCGGCAAGCGGGCGCTTGGCTACCTGGGAGCGTGTGTGTTAGGGATGTTGAGGGGGACCAAGCGTGCTCCTGGAGCTGAAGAAGAGGAGGGGAGTAGGGGCAGTTAGAAGGGTGGCCGAAGGGAAATGATGAGAATGGAGGGGGAGATAAAACTGAACACTACCATTTTGGCTCTGTTCAACTTTCGTGGAAGCTGTGGTGGCAAACGTAAGAAAATCAGGTTCATTGGTGTTTGCATATAGCGAGGGCGGGGCGGAGCAAAAACGTAGAAAAGGCCTATCAGAAGGCTTTCTTTCGTGCGGTTCCTCGTTAGTATAGTGGTGAGTATCCCCGCCTGTCACGCGGGAGACCGGGGTTCGATTCCCCGACGGGGAGGCACAGTAATTGTTTTTTGTTTTTAGCTGTAAGTAATTCAAGGTTTAAACAGTTGTTTTGTCAGTTTCAGTGTTTATTATGTATATCCCCAGAACCTGCATCTCTCAAACGGAGAAAGCCAACATTCCCATCTTAGAAACTAATGAATTTCTATAAAAGTTATGCACTGGTCGCAATGGGAGTACAGAGCTGGGACATCTAGCTCAGCTCTGGGGCCTTTGTGGCAGGTGAAGGAGGATTGAAGGATGCCTTGCCTTTAGGGTGGGGCCTCAAAATTAAAACTGGAAAAATTGGAAGAGGCTAGGTTTCGAAGGACCTTAAATAGGTGGCCTTTTAATCCTGGGTGCATTAATGGGGGACCCACTGAAGAGTTTTCAGCAGGCGACTGATAAAGCATGGTCAGACTCATGTTATAAAATGCGGTATCAAAACCATTAGCAGGAGATTTAGGAAACTATTAAAATGGCTCAATCAGAAGATGCTGGGGGCCTGACATAGGTAAGTAGTAAGTTAGGATAGAGAGGAAGGAATGAATAGAAGGAATACTTATATAAGTGGATTCACAGATTGAGAGGAGACGAAGGTGGCCCAGGCTTTCGGCTTCAGTGGCTGGCTAGTCATTAACCAGAGGTAGTAGTCTATATGAAGAGGACAGTATGTTAGGCTGTACTTGCATTGCTATAAATACCTGAGACTGGGAAGAAAAGGGGTTTAATTGGTTTACAGTTACGCAGGCTGTACAGGAAGCATAGCTCCAGTATGCTTCCAGGTAGGCCTCAGGAAGCTTACAATCATGGCAGAAGGTGAAGAAGGGGCAGGCCTCTACATGGCCCGAGCAAGAGCAAGAGATTGCGGGGCCGGTGCCACACACTTAAACAATCAGATCCCACAAGACACTGTGGCGAGGACAGCACCAGGCCATGAGGGCTCTGCCCCCGTGACCCAAACACCTCCCACCAGGCCCTACCTCCAACACTGGAGATTATAATTCAACATGAGATTTGGTAGGGACATATATTCAAACTAAATCAGACAGATTTAAGGGGAAGATGCTAAATTCAATTTTGGACATATGAAATTTGAGAACCTATGGGAGTGGAAGTGGAGATGTCCATGAGTCACTTGGATATTTAAGTCCACAGCTCTGGGGAAGTGCCAGGTAGACATGACCACGTCACATAACGTGGTGGATGAAATTATGACAGTGGGTAAGCTCAACCCAAGAAGAGTGTGTAAAGAGAAGGGTAATGAAAACAGGTTGGAAGCTGAGAGAACACCAGAATTTATTGTTTTAAAAAGGGCTAGAGGAAGAGAAACCCATGAAATAAACCAGAAAGAGCCAACCAACAATGCCAGATGCAGTCCCGAGGACCACCGAAGTAAGAAGTGAAAATTCTCTAGATTTGGCAGTGGGGTGAGAATGGGGAAGGTGGTGATTTTGTTGACTGTCGTGATTTGGTTGAAGATGGAAGCCAGAGAGTAGTGGATTGAGCAATGAAGAGAAGAGGGAGGTGAAGCATAAACCACTGTCAAGTTGCTTGGCCAATGTGAGAAGGGAAGATAAAGGGGAAGCTAGAGAGGAATGCAGCATTGAGAAAGCTTTTTTTTTTTTTTTTTTTGAGACGGAGTCTCGCTCTGTCGCCTAGGCTGGAGTGCAGTGGCGCAATCTCGGCTCACACAAGCTCCGCCTCCCGGGTTCACACCGTTCTCCTGCCTGAGCCTCCAAGGACTACAGGCGCCCGTCACCAAGACCGACTAATTTTTTGTGTGTGTATTTTTAGCAGAGACGGGGTTTCACCGTGTTAGCCAGGATGGTCTGCATCTCCTGACCTCGTGATCCACCCACCTCGGCCTCCCAAAGTGCTGGGATTACAGGCGTGAGCCACCGCGCCCGGCCGAGAAAGAATTTTTTTAATGTTTGCTTTTTAAGGCAAGAGAAAACTTTAACATGTTTAGATATACAGGTGAAAGGGCTTCTGGAGAAGAGGAAAGTTTCTGCAGAAGGATCGACTCAGAGGCAAAAAGGTAGAGAAGAAGAAAGTAAAGATTTCAGAGGTGTGAGGGATAGTTGATGGGTTTAGCATGCTGGTATGGTTCAATTCTCTATCAAAAGTGACGAAATTTAGCTCCAGCAACAACAACAAAAAACTGCTATATTTCTGGATATCCTTGTGTTGGCCCCTGCAAGCCAAAGGAAAACAAAATAAAACCAAAAAATCCCAAACTATGAAATCTAATACCTTACACATGCATAGGTCCTAATTCATAGGGTGTAAGAATTTGTCATCAACATTTGCATTTTCGGATTTTTTTGGCAAATGTCCTGTTGCCCAGGCTGGATACAGTGGCATGATCATGGGTAACTGCACATTCAACCTCCTGGACTCAAGCGATTCTCGTGCCTCAGCCTCCAAGTAGCTGGGACTACAGGCGCCCGCCACCACGCCTGGCTAATTTTTATATTTTTTTAGAGATGGGGTTTTGTCATGTTGCCCAAGCTGGTCTCAAACTTCTGAGCTCAAGGGATCCACCTGCCTTGGCCTTCCAAAGTGCTGGGATTACAGGTACGAGCCACCACACAGAGCCGCAAACATTTTTTGAGGTCACCAAATCTAGGGTGACAAATACAATAGATAACATAGAATTCATTTAGTCAAATAATACACAGTCAAATCATCTTATTTATCTAGTATGGAGAAAGGATAGTTTGTTTTAATAAGAACGTCATTATCATCATCTTCTATTATTGATTACCAGGAACCCACAGAGTTTATGCCACTTGTGTTTAAATAAAAATATCCACACACAACCACAAATAAATTCCTCCATTAATATATTCATCAAAAAATAAATTACAGTAGGAATTGTTTTCTGAGATACCACTCACCCCAAATATAGAATGTACAAAATTTGCAATTTACAAGCAATTGGAGTATTATTGATATCCAATGGGGAATTGAGAATGCTTCAAAAAATGAGGCTTTCCACTGCATCTATAAAAGAAGGGTAAGGCTGGGCACAGTGGCCCACACCGGTAATCCCAGCACTTTGGGAAGCTGAGGCAAGCAGATTGCTTGAGCCCAGGAGTTTGAGTTCAGCCTGGGCAATGTGGTGAATCCCTGTCTCTACAAATAATAGTAATAATAATAATAAAAGAAGGGTAATATCAGGGTTTAGTTACCAAAGGAGACTTAAAGATGAAAAGATGATCTATATAAAATATTATGAAAAGAAATAATACCTATATTTATAGAGCCATATGAACAGGAAGAATTCCAGCCCTGCTATTCACCTGGAAAAGTTACTTAATCCCTCAATCCCCTCAGGATAATTGAGGCACCTGTGGCCCGTGCAGTTGTTGAAAAGATGAAATGAGATAAAGTATGGGAACTGCTTGGCACTGTGATTGAAACAGATTGGGCATTTGTTACATGTTAGCTAATATGATTATTGCTGTTGGCTTTTGTCTATTTTAACCACTGTAATGTTATTTTTCCTTGTTGTGTTAGCAAGAGCTTTTAGGACAACCTGGGAAGTGAGAAGCAACCACGGTTTGTACAGCAAAACAAGTCACACCAAATTAGGCCTCTAAAAAGGAATGGCAACATTAGCAAAGATATGTTTTGAAATGCATTTACGGGAAATTTCAATTGTTGCACAAATGCTTCCCTTAAAAGGGCAAAAAGACTTTACATTGTTTTCTCCCCTTCCTTTACATATACCTTTCCTTTCTTGAAATAGTCGATGTAATTTGCAGATATTTATTAGATGCATTCTACTACACTGTGCTACCTAGAAAATAATTGGGGAAGGTTCTGTCTTACCTCTTGGATAATTTATACTCTAGTACCCAGCTGTACTAATGACCTAAGACAACATGGTGTTAAGAGGAGACTAAGGCCCTAGAAAAACTATACATGAAATTCTAGAGGGACAAGTTCTATCCCTTTGGAGAAAGTCAAGAATAACGTCATGATTAACATAGCATTTGAGATGGGATTTGAAGGATGAGCCGAATATTAATAGGAAAAATGGTAGGATTGAGCATGGGGAGTGGGAGGTGGGCAGATTTTTCAGGTGGACTTAGCAGGAATCAAGGCGTGGGGCCAGAAGTAGAGATGTGTTTGGGAAAGAACAATTCTGAAGGTACAAAGTCCTACAAGTTAATGCAGTGCCCTCACACACTCCTCAATAATCTGCCTTTCTTCTTTCCTCTCCAGGTTATACATCTGGCATGATAGAGATCATTAGTTGTCTTCTAATACCTATATATCTTTTCATCCTTAGTAGTAAAACCTTCCATGTTTAGCTGGACACATGGCCACCCGGAAGTAGACATTTCCCAACCTTCTTTGCAGTTAGGCCATACCATTAAGTTCTGTCCAATGGCATGTAAGTGGAATTGTCAATTATGACTCCCAGGAAGTGTCCTTAACAGTAACTTTATTTTCTTTTTAACCTTTTCTCTATTCTTTTCCTGGAATGTAGATAAGATACATTGATGGCTAGAGCTCTGACTACCATGTTGTATCATGATGTTGGAGCCATGTGCTGAGAGTGGTGGAGCAGCAAGGTAGAAGGAGCCATGAGCTGGAAATAGCCAGGTCTCTGGGGATCATGGAAACCCCATGTGAACTGCTCTGAATTTCTCAAAGAAATAAATTTCTACTTTGTTTAAGACAGTGTTATCTTGGGTTTTCTGTCCTTCACAGGGAACTCAATCTTTACTAAGACTCCTGGTCTCAGTTGGGTGAGTTTATCAGTTTTGCCCCAGATACTTGCCCTTATCTGTTGGTTTTCCACCACATTATCGTGGACAGATCTTTCTTCCTTCTTGCTTGTGTTATCTGCTAGAGCATTCTTTCTAATGTAATCATCTCACTCCCCTGCTTAAAATCCTTCAAGGTCTTACTAACATTGCCAGTTGATATTATCTGCCTTTTTTGATTTAAGGCCCATTTTCAAATACTAGAATTTTTGGCATACAATCCAAGGGATTAAAAGATGAACGTAAGCTTTTTTTTTAAAGAAAGCTTTGGCAAATTTTTTTTAAATAACCAGTTATTCACAGTATATTATAATATTATATTTGTATGCTTTTATGATTTTTTAAATCTGAAATTATATTAAAATGAAAGATGAGTCTCATTTCTTGTATAAGTTCACTTTTTTGTTGTTGTTGTTTTGGCATTTGATGTTTGTAAGAGTTGAGAACCCTAATTTTCTGAGAAATGACATGGAAGACTGCAGCAGTACCTCTGGACTCCACAGTTGGGTGCTCTTCGAGACCATGTTGCCATTTAAACAGAATGGTTTCCTCCCTTTGCTCTGCCTGCTGATGTGGTCTAGCTAGCTCCTGATTAAACTCTGCCTCTTGCCTCTTTTTTACAGAAATGTGTATCCTCTACATGCATCAAAACATCACACTATACCCCATAAATACATACACTTTTTATGTCAATTAAAAAAAAAACAAAAAAAGAAATGTGTATCCCCCTTTACACCAAGTTAAATCACTCAGCTTATTATCTTCAAAGTAGTATAAACCCCCAGTTGTTGTTGTTTTTGAGGCAAAGTCTCTCTGTGTCGCCCAGGCCGGAGTGCAGTGGCACAATCTCGGCTCACTGCAAGCTCCGCCTCCCGGGTTCACGCCATTTTCCTGTCTCAGCCTCCTGAGTAGCTGGGACTACAGGCGCCCGCCACCACGCCCAGCTAATTTTTTGTATTTCTAATAGAGATGGGGTTTCACCGTGTTAGCCAGGATGGTCTCAATCTCCTGACCTCGTGATCCGCCCACCTCAGCCTCCCAAAGTGCTGGGATTACAGGCGTGAGCCACCGCGCCTGGCCATAAACCCCTAGTTTTAAATTAAACGTTTCTTTTTGTTTTTTTTTCTTTTTTTTTTTTTTTTTGACAGGGTCTTGCTTTGTTACCCAGGCTGAAGTGCAGTGGCACGATCTCAGATCATTGAAACCTCTGCCTCCTGGGCGCAAGTGATCCTCCACCTGAGCCTTCTGAGTAGCTGGGACCACAGGCACAAGCCACTACGCCGAGCTAATTTTTGTATTTTTAGTTTGTTTGTTTGTTTGTTTGTAGTGACAGGGTTTTGCCATGTTGCCCAGGCTGGTCTCGAGCTCCTGAGCTCAAGCAATGTGCCCATCTCAGCCTCCCAGAAAGTGCTGGTATGGCAGGCCAGGTCCACTAACGCAGGCCTCCATAACAACTGTTTCAGTACTGACTGAGTGGTTAAATTAAATATTAAAATCCAGTACCCTTATGCAAAGGCTGGAATGTAACAAAAGCCCACCAAGAGTTTTGCCTAGGCCTTTCCTGAACCTTAAAGCATGATTAAACAAGTTTATTGGGAGTCTGAAGGAACTCCCCAAACCTCCATGATTTAGCAGGAGACAAGATAAGGATAATCACCCCAGCACCTGCACCCATTTAGATTAATTTACTGACGCTCCACAGGAAGGTCTTCAAGACTCAGACCTTAGTTATAGACGGAAAGAAGTTAATCACCTACGTCTTTAGATGAATGCACACTTACATATAGACATATAGCTTAGAAGGTATATAAGCTCTGGAAAACTTTGTAATTTTGAGTTGGTCTGGTGATAATTTCCAGGCCTTCTCCTTAGAAAAAAATAAAGGTCCCTATTCCTGTAACCGGTTACAGAAATAAAAACTCGCTTCCTCCCCAGTTCACCTGCATCTCATTATTGGGCCACGAGAAACAGCAGCCTGACCCTCACTTTGGTCCAAGAACACTGGGATTACAGACGTGAGCCACCATGCTCAGCTAAATCAAACTTATTTCTATATATTGGTCCACAGCAATGTTCATGATTGATAAATGACCAGTCTTACTGTGGCCACCAGGTCTGTCAGGATCTTGATCCTGCTTACCATTCCCATCTCATACTTCATTCTTCCCCCAAAGCACTCTGTCCTTGGACTGCACCTTCACATCAGCCTATCTCACAACTCCACTTCTTCGCTTTTGTGTTATTTCTCCAGAAACATGTTGCTCCTCTTTGCTTTCTCCACATTCTGCCTAGAAAACTCCCTGACGCAACCTGCAGTAGTTGGCAAAGTGAGAACATGTCGGGTAGACCCGGGAGGTGAATTGAAGGGGTAGGCAGGGACTCGACTTGAAAGAACCTCACATGCCTTGAGAAGGAGCTTGGAACTTACCTTTAAGGCTGCAAGAAGTCGACGAGTCTTAACTGGGATATGCATGGTCGGTACTTGTCTTTTAGAAAGATTTCTCTGTGGCAGCATGGGAGACAGATTAGAGGAGGTGTAGACAGGAGGAGAGAAAATAAACTCCCAAGCCCATGCATCCTCTTGCCCTCTTCCCTTGTTGCTTTAAAAGACAAACATGCGCCTGTAGTCCCAGCTACTCGGGAGGCTGAGGCAGGAGAATGGCGTGAACCCCGGGGGGCGGAGTCTGCAGTGAGCTGAGATCGAGCCACTGCACTCCAGCCTGGGCGACAGCGAGACTCCGTCTCAAAAAAAAAAAAAAAAAAAAAAAGACAAACATGTAGTTCTTTTCCATTTAGAGAGTTTTATTGGTGATTATTATAGGAAAACAGACTGGAGAGAGAATAAAAGTAGGCGCTGCAGCAATTCTCAGGTGAGAGATGATGGTGGCTTGGACCCAGGAATCAGCAGTAGAATTGGTAAGAAGTGATCAAATTCAGCATAAATTTTGAAGGCAGACCTACTAGGATTTCTTGGCAGTTTAGATATGGAGTATGAGGGAAAGGGAGGAGTCAAAGATAATGCCAAGACTTTTGACCTGATAAACCAGGAAAATGTAGTAGGATTAGCTGAGAAGGAGAGATTGTGGGAGAAGCAGACTGGAGTGGGCGAGGGTAAATTCAGGAGTCCAATCCTTTTTTTCCCCTTAATTTTATTTACTTATTTATTTAGAGACAGCGGTCTTGCTATGTTGCCCAGGCTGGTCATGAACTCCTGGCCTCAAACCATCCTCCTGCCTCAGCCTCTCAAAGTGGTGGGATTACAGGAGTGAGCCACTGTGCCCAACTCAATCTTTCACATATTCAATCTGAGGTGTCTGTGATTCGAGTGGAGGTGCTGAGTAGGCAGTTGGACATATGAGTATGAGTCCAGAAGAAAAGCTGGAACTGGGCTGGAGATACACATTTGGGAGTTCAGCATGTGGATGGCACAGGGGGAAGAAGAGACGCTAGCTATGGAGACTGGAAAGGAATGGCCTCGATGAAGAAGGAAAACCAAGGAAGTCCGTGTCTTGGATGACAAGTGACATCTGGAAAAATAAAGGAGCAGTGTGGTCAGGGAGCCTGATGAAATTCTGACTATGGATGACTCACTGTTTTGTGTAAAAAGGGGGAAGAGAATTTATTCTAAAAATTTGTTCATATCTACATAAAATACTTCTGGAGGGATGCTCAAGAAACTCATGGTATTGTTTGCCTGTGTGGACAGAGAAGGAAGGCCAAAGAACAGAGGTGAAAAGTAGATATTTCAACTGAATAATCTTGTAAGCCTTTTGAATTTTAATGTGAATATATTTCCCAGTCAAAAGGTTATTTATTGATATGAAAAAAAATAAAGGTCACTGGAATCCCAAACCACAAACAAAAACAGCCCTTGCTGACTTCCTGTGGACTTCATAGTGTCTACCACTGGCCCCGCGGGGCTCTGCAGCTTCCACTTGAGTGGCTCGATACACCCTGCGTCAGCCATGCTGAACCAAGGTGTTCAAGCTCTCTGCACTCTCTGGCCCTTCCTTGAGCCTGCATGCCCTTCCCACTCCCACTCTTCCCGCAACCTTGGCAGGGCTCTCCTCCTCCCCTTCAGGACTCTGCCCCCCACCACCCTCCAGTCTGGGCTAGAGTCTAGTAGAATCTCCCTTGCTAAGAGAACAAGGTGCATGTGACACCCTTCTCTTCCTCCCTTCAGTGTGTGAGCAAATAGAAGAAATGATTTTAGCCACATTTTTAATGTTCACCTTACAACATAGTTGAGGCAATCCTGACCAGTTTCTCCATCTTCTGTGAAATTTCTTCTTCCTTGTGCAGCCATGCGCATGAATTCTATATTTATAGTCACATCTCCAGTCTGTTCTGCATGTCAAGAAAAGGTTTGGGACTGGGTGCGGCAGCTCATGCCTGTAATCCCAGCACTTTGGGAGGCCAAGGTGGGCAGATCACCAGGTCAGGAGATCAGGAGCATGTTGGCCAACATGGTGAAAACCCATCGCTACTAAAAATATAAAAATTAGCCGGGCGTGGTGGCGCACACCTGTAGTTCCAGCTATTTGGGAGGCTAAGGCAGGAGAATCACTTGAACCCAGGAGGCAGAGATTGCAGTGAGCCGAGATCGCACCGCTGCACTACAGCCTGGTGACAGAGCAAGGCTCCATCTCAAAAAAAAAAAAAAAAAAACAAAAACCCAAGGTTTGGGCAGCTGGGAAGGCCAAAATGAAAGAAGCACGAGAAAAAGTTCTGCCAATTTTGTAAAATAGCATAAGTGGTCTCCTCCCAGATGCCTTTCTGGCACCCCACCCCACCCCATGGTTGACCGCAGGCAGAGTCTGGAAAGCCCCACAGCCACCCGTGTTTCCTCCCACACAGTTCTGTCTTTTATTTCTCGGCTTGTGTCCTTGGGAGGGACTGGCCTGAACCAAATAGGCTGTCACGCTGTCCTGAGTTGGAGCCAGACAGTGCCAACCATCACATGGCCTTCTCTCTTAGGTCTCACAAAGTGTGTTTGAAGATCAGCAGCATCTGCACCTCCTAGAAGCCTCATCAGAAATGCAGATCTTGGCCGGGTGGCTCATGCCTGTAATCCTAACACTTTGGGAGGCTGTGGTGGGCGGATCACTTGAGGTCAGGAGTTCAAGACCAGCCTGACCAACATGGCAAAACCCCGTCTCTACTAAAAATACAAAAATTAGCTGGGCATCGTGGTGTGCATACCTGTAATCCCAGCTACTTGGGAGGCTGAGTCTGAGGCATGGCGTGCACCTATAATCCCAGCTCCTTGGTAGGCTGAGGCAGGAAAATTGCTTGAACCCAGGACGTGGAGTTTGCAGTGAGCTGAGATCACGCCACTGCACTCCAGCCTGGGTAACAGAGCAAGACTCTGTCTCAAAAAAAAAAAAAAAAATGCAGATATCAGGCCTGCCCTGACCTACTGGATCAGAATCCACATTTTATTCAGATCCCCAGGAGATCTGTGTGCATTTTAAATGAGATCACTGCCTTAGAGGCTCAAGAAATACTTTTGGCATTGGAGAAAATTCAGTCCAAGTGTTAATCAAACATGTCAGGACTCCTTCTCTTAGGGTCCACTGCCCTTGACCGCCATATCAGTACTCTCTTAATACCCTAGTGTTATCCTCAACAAAGCATTTACCACACTGCATCATTGTCAGTTTACTTGTCAGCCTTCCCTACTACATGGTGGGTCTTTAAGACCCTGATTGTATATTCTCCCTCTCAGCACATGTCTGTTGTATGAATGAACAAATGTATAAATGAGCGAATGAGATTTCACATGAGGTTCCAGGCAAACTTTTATTCAGTGTTTCACTCTGTGTTGACTTTGCAGCAAAGAAAAAGCCACCTTCTGCACTTGCCCTTGTCCTCTGATGTCACCAGGCAATGTTTGTTTGTGATACAGAATGCCCTTGCCAGCCCACCCCCCCACTAATTGTAAACACTTTTAAAAACATTGTTATTGAAGCATACTATCCATTCATAAAAATGCACATATTGTAAGTGTATAGCTCACTGAACTTTATAAACTGAGCATGCCAGTGCAATCAGCACCCAGATCAGAGACAGAACATTACCACCACTGCACTGTTGCCTCCCTTAAGTTCCGTTTCAGTCTCTATAAATCCTGCTTCCTAGGGGTAACCACTGCCTGACTTCCAATAGCATATTACCTTGACCTGTTCGGCTATTTATCTTTCCTTTGCATAAACAGACACATACAGTATATTCTGTCATGCCTGGCTCCTTGGCTCAACATTCCTTTTGCAAGATTTCTCCATAATGTTGTGTGTACATCTAGGCTGTGCACACTCACTGCTGTACAGTGTTCCATGTGTGGATATACCATGATTTACTTATCCTTTCAACCGTGGATAGACATGTGGGTGATTTCCAGTTCTGAGTTATTATTATGAATGGTGCTGCTATGGATATTCTGGTACGTGTCTTTCGGTGAACACATTGTAGCCAGGTTTTGACATGCTGCTTTGAAGTTTAGACAGTTGCACCCTGCCAGGAGATTTCCTTTAAGACCCCTGCACCAGGCCAGAAACATTCACTGCATTGCAGCAACCTGATTCTGTAGTTGTTGACACAAATCCAACACCCTTCTCCCTACCCCAGCTTGGGTAGGGGTTAAAAGTAGATGAAGTAGGGAGGGAAGCTGTTTTCAAGTTACAAGAAAAAGTTCTTTACAACTGCTGGCCTTGTTCATACTTTATTTTCCTCTCACTCACTTCCGTTTCTTTTCCAGGTAAGCCTGATTGCAAGCTTCATTGTACCTGTTTCTTTCTGACTCAGATTCCAGCTCAGCTTACATTTTTCCCACTAAGTAGGCAGTGATATTTCATCACAGCAGGTACTTACACCTTTTGTTCTGATGACTTAAAGCACAAGTAGGTTTTGATAAGTGCTTGCAGGGTTTCATTTTCAAAAGTCCTATTTCTGTGTCATATTTGTTGGCTTTGAGCCCAGTTTCTCTTGCTCTGCCAACAGAGCAGGTTATGCCTATTTGCTCATGGAAATAACATTTTCATGAGCAAAGGCTAACCCCAAATGCTTTCCTCCTAAACGTTCTTCTCATCTACAAATCCATGTTTGAGGAACTATTATTTTGTCATTTCTTACAAAAGGTTTTTATTTGAAATTCAGAGTTGAGTAAACCCATGGAAGAGACTCACATGGTTGACTCACTCTCTGCCCTCTCCTGCACATGTGTCTCAGGATTTCTTAAACCCAGCCGAGCACTTCCGCAAACCTCCCAGACCTGACCTCCTCCTCCCTTCCAAGCTGCTCCCCTTGGCTTCCAAAGCAGCCCCCTTCTCCTTTCTTCCTCACACACACACTGCACCCCACTCAGCTCTATCCAACCAATGCACGGTCCTGGAAGGCCCTCCATACCCACTTCTCTCACCTCTGCTCAACTGCCCCCTTTCGCCATAGATATATTCCCAGTGTATTTTTCTCTCTTTTGGTTATTAATTCTTCTGAACATGAACTTCACATACCTATGTATGTATGTATGTATGTGTATGTATATACACATACATATATACATGCAGTTAATCCTCATTATTCATGGATTTGGTGTTTACAAGTTTGCCTACTTGCCAAAATTTATTTGTTATTCCAAAATCAATATTTACAGAGCTTTTGTGGTCACTCTTGGACACACTCAGAGCTGTGAGAAATTTGAGTCTCCGGAGGCACACAGTCTCAACTGAGGTTAAACAAAGTGACCCTCTGCCTTCCTGCTTCTGCGCTTATACTGTAAACAAGTGTCCTTTTTGCAGTCTAATGTCACCTTGTTTACACATTTTTGTGCTTTTCGTTGGTGATTTTGCAGTTTAAAATATTCCCCAAGTGGGTGCTGAAGTGCTGTCCAGGGTTAAGCGCAAGAAGGCTGCGATGTGTTTAGGGACAAAGTGTGTGTGTTAGATAAGCTGCATCAAGCATGAGTTACAGTGCTGTTGGCTGTGATTTCAATGTTAATGAATCAACTATATATTACAAAAGTGTCTTGAAACAGAAAAACATATACAATGAGATTTTGTATTGATTGATGAAAATGTGAACAGAGGCTCTCAGGAACCTACTATATTTCCCCTGGGAGCAAAGGTTCAGGATTCACTAATGCAATGTTTATGAACTTTCTAAGATATAATTACTGCAAATCATGAGAATCGACTGTATATATTTCTTGTCCTTCTGGTTAATTTGTATTTGTTTCTTTATACCTTTCTCACTCTGTTCCCAAAGAAGTGGAGAGGGGCAGTTTCTTCCAGGTATACCTTACAATTCTGTCGTCTCTATTGCAGCCCCCAGCTCAGTACAAACAACATAGTAGGTCCTCAAAAGATTCAAAAGGAATAAAAGACAGGAGTGGAGAAAGGAAGGAACAAAAGAAGGAACGATGGCAGAACGAAAAGACGCACCATGGAAGCTGAGGGTGCTGCTTATCTAAGCGGGCGTGGCTTCCCAGAACTTCTCATCTCTCACTCCTTAAATGCTTCCTCTTTATTTCATTGAATCATTGAACTAGAATAATATAATATCAGAAATCAAGTTATATTTTATGATAGATTTGGCTTTTTCTGCTGCTCTTTGCAAAATCTAACAAAACAAACCTTCCAGTTTCTTTGATTTTTTTTTCAAACTTTTCTTCTCCCTCTCCTCATCCTCTACTCCTTGATCTTCACTTGGAGAAGGACAATTCTAGAATTCCTGAACTCTAGGCCAAAAGGAAGTGGGCAATCATGGCAAGCATAAACACATCCATGGCAAGTTATCAGACACCTTTTGTGGGTACTAAACAGCAGGGATGCCCACTTGTCCCTTGGAAGTTTGCAAACATACTGGGAAAATGGGGACTATAAAATTAAACCACCAAAGATCAGTGTGGGAGACTGAATAATTAAAGGGTATCCAGGTGGACCAGTCACAAACGCTGTAGGAGCTCAATGGAGACATCAGTGGGCATCTTCCTGGAAGCAGTGAGGCTTGCATGGAAATAAAAAACAGGGGGTTCTAATTTTTGTTATTGTTCACCAATATCAGCAAAAAAGGTGGGCACACCCTCAATAAATGTTTGCAAATTCTTTACATGTGCTAATTAATCATATCTTAAGATGCAAAATACATTGAGGGCAAGGTTTACTCTTAACAATGGTCAATGTAAATCCTTACTTTAAATAAGCATCTTATAATTATGATTTGCATGGGGGGCACATTTTGTCAGATCTTATTTGTCATCATTATTTTGTTTTGTTTGTTAATACACTCATCTTATCTTGGAGTAGGAGAATTATTAGGTCTGTTAATCTTTCTTGTTGCTCACTGTTATTTTGCTATGGCAGCTCAAGCTGAGACAGAAATTGGTACCAGGATGGGTGCTGCTATAACAAATGTATAAAAATAGCAAAGACGTGGAATCAACCTAGGTGCCCATCAATGATGGATTGGAAAAGAAAATGTGGTACATATACACAATGGAATACTATACAGCCATAAAGAAGCTGTCCTTTGCAGCAACGTGGATGCAGCTAGAGGCCATTATCTTGAGTGAATTAACACAGAAACAAAATTAAATACTGCATGTTTTCACTTATAAGTGGGAGGGAGATAAACACAGGGTACACACAGGCATAAAGATAGAAACAATAGACACAGGGGACTCCAAAAGGGGAAAGGGAAGGAGGGAGGAAAGAGAGTTGAAAAACTACCTATTGGGTACTATGTTCATGTTCACCATTTGGGTGACAGTTCAGCAGAAGCCCAAACCTCAGCATTAGGCAATATATTCATGTAACAAACCTGTACATGTACCTCCTGAATCTCAAATTAAAATAATACTACTACTAATAAAGACCAAAGTATTTCAGAGGGAGGAAGAATTTGCATGGTGAAATTTGCGTAGTGAAATTGGCATCCATATGGTGCATAAGGGATATCTTTGGATCTTCTGAATTACATTATATACATTTTTTAAATTAAAATAAATTCTAAAAATGTGGAAGCAGTAATGATGCAGGGTGATGGGTGAAGGCTAAAAGAGTTTTGAGATACATGCTACAAAAAGCCAAGGTTGCTGTGAAAAAATTGCTAAAGATGATTCTGGTGAGGACTCAAAAAGAGCTTCTGTCTTCCTTCTTTGAGGATGCGTAAACAATCGTGAACAGAATGCTAGCAGAAATATAGGTGGCAAAGGCTATTCTGTGAGGCCTCAGATGGAAATGAGGAACATGTTATTGGACAATGGAGAAAATCCTTTTTATAAAGTGGCAAATAACTTACTGAATTGTTTATGTTCTAGTGTTTTGTGGACGGTAGAACTTTCAAACAATGAAATTGGATAGTTGGCTGAGGCCATTTCTAAGCAGAGTGCTGAAAGAGCAGCTTGGTTCCTCTTGACCACTGATAGTAAAATTTAAGAAGAGAGAAATGAATTGAAGAAGAAATTGTTAATCAAAAAATAACCAGCACTTAAAGATTTGGAAAATTCTTAGCCTGTCCTTACTGCAAAAAAAATGAGAAACCATGTTCAGAAGAGTTAGGCCAAGCATGGTGGCTCCTGCCTATAATCCCAGCACTTTGGGATGCCAAAGCAGGCAGATTACTTGAGCTCAGGAGTTCAAGACCAGCCTGGGCAACATGGTGAGACCCCATCTCTATTTTAAAAAATAAAAAAAGAAAAGAAAAGAAGAGATTATTAAGAGTGTGGCTGGTCACCCATTTGATAAGGAGAGTAGTGTGAGTATCAACCATGGACCTAATCAGCCATCTCAACAGAAGCCAGAAATAGAGTTGGGATTATTCCAGGAGAAATAATGCTTTAGTCCCCTGCCAGTTGGGACTAAAAGGAAAAGAGAAAACAAGATGGAATGAAGTAAGGCTGTGAATATGCAATCCCCTTCAGGAAAAGAGAGGAAGGATCCCAAAGGCAATTCAGACATCATCAGGGCTGCTACTCCCACCACAGGCCCAGAGTGGAAAGGCCCCTGGGAACAAGGCTACCTCCATCTTGGTTTCAAAGAGTGGGACTGCTACTCAGCACTCATGTGGGTGTGGCCCTCACAGACAGCCATGTGGGCAGTGCTACACTGAGCTGAAGAAGCAGGGACACCCCACTGAAAGATGGGGGTGATACCTTCCAGTGGTTCTGGAAGGGAGGACCACCACCCCAGTGGGCCTACAGGGCAGAGCATTCTTTGAGCCAAAGAGGATTGTATTTCAGTTTTAAAGCCTAATGAAGTTTGACTTCTAGATTTTGGATTTCTTGGTACTTGTCACCCCTTTCTACCTTTCAATTTCTCCCTTTTGGAATAGGAATATCTATCCTGAGCCTGTTCCATCATTGTATTTCGGAAGCACATAACTTGTCTGGTTTCACAGATTCACAGTTGGAAAGGAATTTTGCCTTAGGGTGAATTTTGAGTCTCACTCATATTGGATTTACATGATATTTAGATGAGACTTTAAACTTTAGAGTTGATGCTGGAATGAGTTGACTTTTGAGACTGTTAAGATGGAATGAATGTATTTTAAATGCAAGGAGGATGTGAATTTTGAGAGGGACAAAGGGCAGAATATTATGAACTAAACGTTTAAGTCTCCCCCAAATTCATATATTGAAGCCCTAACCCCCAATGTGAGGGTATTACGAGGTGAGGTCTTTGGGAGGTAATTAGGTTTGGATGAGGTCATGAGGGTAGATCCCTTGTGATGGAATCAGTGCCCTTATAAGAAGAAGAGAGACTAGAGCTTCCTCTCTCTGCCATGTGAAGATACAGCAAGAAGGTGGCCATCTGCAAGCCAGGAAAAGGGGCCATGGCAAACACTGAATCTGCTCACAGTCTGAACTTGAACTTGTCAGCCTCCAGAATTGTAAGAAATGAATATCTGTTGTTTAAGCCACCCAGTCTATAATATTTTGTTTTGGCAGCCTTAGCTGACCCAGGCACTCACTTATGCTTACATTCTAACTTCTAAATTAAGGCTGCAATATATGAAACATGATCATAGAACTTGTAATTATCTGAGGATCCAGAAAAATCACGAGCCTGCACAAGGTTTATCCAGAGGCAGAGGAAATACCAGTTCACTGAGAAAAATTAAAGGGACAGTAGAAGAATAAAATATAGTTGTTTATAATTGTATGTTACAAATTATGTTTGTGAAGCCAGTTACATAAATAATCTTAAAGATTTAATAGTTTCTGCCTGCATCCAAATAATTGCCATGTGCCTATGTCCATACGCCTATGTCCATACTACTTTGGAAACCTCTAATGAATGAATGTGTAAAGTTTGGATGGGTATTTGAGAGGGAAAATACTTCTTATGAGGTTGACAGTTATAAGCAAAGTTAGGAACAAAAAGCAAATTCAGAAAAAAACTCATCTTTTGTTATGGTCTAAATGTTTGTGTCACCCCCAAAATTTATATGTTGAAATCCTAACCCCCAAGTTGATGGTATTGGCAGATGGGGCCTTTGGTGAATGGAATTTGTGCTCTTACAAAAGGGACTTCAGAGAGCTTGTATGCCCTTCCACCATGTGAAGACACAGGAAGAAGGCACCATCTATGAACCAGAAAATGGGCCCTCACCAGACATCACATCTGCTGGCATCTTTATCAAGGACTTCTCAGCCTCCAAAATTGTGAGAAATAAATTTCTGTTGTGCATAAGCTACCCAGTCTATGGTATTTTGTTATAGCAGCCTGAATGGACTAAGACACACTTATTGAACCCCCACGTGTTTTTCTGAAGAATGAATGCCTCACATTTTACACAAGATGTCTGTGTGCACTGGGGCCGTCTAGTCTACCCTGGCCTGGTGATCAGGGCAGGGAATCACTGAAGTTTCCCATTCTCTAAAAGTGGAGGAAATGGCAGCCATGGGGAAGCTGCCTTCTGCTAACACAATTGAGCCGTGAAAACAATATACAACTATTTTTGTTATATTCCAGTGGTCACACAGAGCAACCCCAATACAATAGGAGGGCACACCACAAAGCCATGAGTACCAGGAGGGGTGATCACTGGGAGACTCCTTGGAAGCTGGCTGCCACTGTGAGGCATTATCTCTGTTTCACAGAGGAGAAACAGAAGCTCCAATAAATAATTGCTCAAGTCAACTCAACTTGGAACAGGCAGGTCTGGGGTTCAAACCCAGACAATGAGACCCCAGAACACATCCTTTTAGAACACTGCCCTATACCCTGGCCTCACCACAGGCCTTTTTTTCTAACTTCCTCTCTTCCCCTCACCGCGCAAAACATTGCAAATGAGATTTTTCCTTTTTCTTAGACCATTTCAAAAGTCATTGTTACTTAAGGGTGGAGGTTGGAAGATTTCCAAAGAATAAAATATACAGAGAATATCTAACCAAAGTTCCTAACACATACACAATTCAGAAAATGTAACTCACAGACAAGGGATAACAAGACCATTGACCCAATTTCAGAGCTTGACGTTTACAAAATGAACACAAGGCAGTGTGGGTTGTATGCGCGTTCTGTTCAGTTTCTCTCCTTTGGGGTTGTTTGGGTCAGCCTGTTGTCTCATGAGACTGGGTGGGCTAAATTGAGCAACATTTTGCTATAATAAGTCTGCAAGATTAGACCTTAGGCAACAAAAGCCGGAAGGAGAAACTACATTTCCTATAAAATGTGGAACTGTGGGATAACAGTGTAACAACACTATGACTACAAACAGGGAAATTTATATATGAGAAGGAACTGGATTGTATGTTACCTATATAAATGATCATGAGAAAGTCATGTTGTTCTTTTGTTGTGATCTTTTAAACCAAATTTATAGTGCATTGAACCAAGTAATTGTAGGCCATTATTTTAAAGTAGGTTGTAGCACAGCATGAATTAATAATCACACCAATTTTATTTTACTTCATTGGATTTATTTAGCAATTGTTTTTAGCACTTCCTATATCCCAGGCCCTCTTCTACGCACTTTAAATGTATTAACACATTTCAATTAATCCTGGCAACAGCCTGAGAGGTAGGTACTATTACTATTCCCATTTTACAGATGGTGAACTGAAGCATGGTGCAATTAAGTAAGCAGCCAAGATTCAACCGGAATTCAAACCAAGCAATCAGGCTCCACAACCTGCCTTTTTAATCTGGCTCTCTGCCTTGTGCAAAAAGATGGTGAGTTAGTCCGTTCTCGCACTGCTATAAAGAAATATCTGCTGGGCGCGGTGGCTCACGCCTGTAATCCCAACACTTTGGGAGGCCGAGGCGGGTGGATCATGAGGTCAGGAATTCAAGGCCAGCCTGGCCAAGATGGTGAAACCCGTCTCTACTAAAAATACAAAAATTAGCCAGGTGTAGTGGCAGGCATCTGTAATCCTACCTACTTGGGAGGCTGAGGCAGAGAATTGCTTGAACCCGGGAGGCAGAGGTGGCAGTGAGCCGAGATTGCGCCACTGCACTCCAGCCTGGGTGACAGAGCAAGACTCCATCTCAAAAAAAAAAAAAAAGAAGAAGAAGCCAGGCACGGTGACTCATACCTGTAATCCCAGGACTTTGGGAGGCCGAGGCGTGTGGATCACGAGGTCAGGAGTTCAAGACCAGCCTGGCTTATGGTGAAACCCCATCTCTACTAAAAATACAAAAATTAGCTGGGTGTGGTGGCAGGCGCCTGTAATCCCAGCTACTCGGGAGGCTGAGGCAGAAGAATCACTTGAACCCAGGAGGCGGAGGTTGCAGTGAGCCGAGATCGCACCACTGTACTCCAGTCTGGGTGACAGAGCAAGACTCTATCTCAAAAAAAAAAAAAAAAAAAAAAAAAACCCTGAGAGTGGGTAATTTACAAAGAAAGGAGATTGGCCAGGCGCGGTGGCTCATGCCTGTAATTCCAGCACTTTGGGAGGCCGAGGCGGGTGGATCACGAGGTCAGGAGATGGAGACCATCCTGGCTAAAATGGTGAAACCCCGTCTCTACTAAAAAAAAATACAAAAAATTACCCGGGTGTGGTGGCGGTTGCGTGTAGTCCCAGCTACTCCGGAGGCTGAGGCAGGAAAATGGCATGAACCCGGGAGGCGGAGCTTGCAGTGAGCCAAGATTGCACCACTGCAGTCCGGCCTGGGCGAAAGAGCGGAAATCCGTCTCAAAAAAAAAAAAAAGAAAGAAAAGAAAAGAAAAGAAAGGAGGTTTAATTGGCTCATGGTTCTGCAGGCTTCACAGGAATCCTGGTGGCTTCTGCTTCTGGGGAGGCCTCAGGAAGCTTCCAATCACGGCGGAAGGCAAAGGGGGTGCGAGGTGTCTCACATAGTGGGAGCAAGAGCAAGAGAGAGCTAGAGAGGAGGTGATGTACACTTTTAAAAAACCTAATCTCACAAGCACTCACTCACTATCACGGGAACAGCACCAAAGGAACAGCACCAAGGCGATGATGCGAAACCATTCATGAGAAATCCGCCCCCATGATCCAATCACCTCCCCGCCAGGCCCCACCTCCAACACTGGGGACTACAATTCCACATGGATTTGATGGGAACACACACCCAAGCCATGTCTGATGGACACATAGTTTATTTTCTTTTGTGACTCTGCATAGGCCATTCTTGCCACTGGGACCCCTTCCCTCCCAATCCTCCTGGCTTTCCCTGCCTGTCAGCAAACTCCTGCTCCTTTTTCAAGCATCAACTCGGATTTACCCTCTGCTGTGATGTCTTCTGTGACTCACATGCAGATTTAGGCACCTGTTTATTGTGTTCTCAATATATCTTACCCATACTATAGAAATATTTGTTGTTTTTTATCTACCTAGTGTTAAATTAAATAAGCACGAGGCCATTGGCCAGAGGCCCTCTCCATATTTTGAGTTTCTGTGGAACAAACAGCAACCTAATAGTATGTAAACAAACTGAAACCTAATTTAGGAGTATATTTTTGTAACATATAGCCTGGTTTCAGCCAATCACAGAGAAGCTTCAGCCAATAATAAGCATCCAATTGATGAGACCACGCCCAATAAGGCAGATGCCTAGCTGTTGCCGATCAAGTGGTTTCTCTACATTGCTTTTGTGTTCACCCTAGAAAAGCTCATTGCTCACACTGCCAAGTGGAGTTTTCTGAACCTCTTCTGGTTCTGAGTGCTGCCTGATTCATGAATCATTCTTTGCCCAAATAAACTCTGTTAAATTTAATTTGTCTAAACTGTTTCTTTTAACACTAGCTTCTATTCCGCCTTCTCTGACAAGCGTTCAGGAACCCACCCCACCCCCACCCCGTACTTTGGGTGTAGCCCATGTGATTTAAGTCTAGCCAATCAGAGCACTAAGGAGCTACAGTTCAGAGGTGATCATGAGACCCAGGTTCATCGAACTAGAGTGAATCCTGGGACTGAGCATGAGCGGCTGGGAAGAAACACACAAGTTTTTGTTGCAAGTCTGGAGCTGCTAGCAGACTTCACATACTGCCTGAGCATGAAGCAAAAATAAAGAGAGTGAAAAGAATGAGAGAGAATGGGAAAGAGTCTGCTGGTGACATTATTTGATCCTCTGAATGATGCCTCACTTAAATTCAAGATATATTCTTGGATTTTGTGCATTAACAAATTCCCTTTTTGAGCTTAAGCCTGCTTGATTTATCTATCATTTGCAACCAAAGGAACATTAACCAATAAATACATTTCACTGTATATCTGTGTCTATATATCTATATGTATTTCATTTTACCAAGGTGTCTCCCTACTAACCATAATTCTTTGAGGGCAGTAGATGCTCAATATTTGTCAAATGAATTCAGCTGAAGGGTGTTTTGAAGGAGACTGACCTTAGAGGAGGGACATTTTAGGAAGGCTAATGGACTTAGTGTGAGATGTGATCAAGGGACTCAACCAAGTTGAAGAGTAGGATTGAAAGGGAAGGGACAAATACCAAAGAAAGATTTAACAAGGCAGTGATACAGAGTGGGGTGGAGCAATAGTTAGATTAAAGCCTGAGTGCTACCCTGTTCTGCGTATTTGTTTCTTTTGGTGTCTCTTTAGCAGCCAGCCTAAATTAAAAGTTTATTGTACTGGCTGATTATTGCCTGTCTAAATCACCCGTCTCTGTTAGTTTATCACAAGTGAAAAAATTAATGATAGAGAATCAGAGACTCACATATAAGCAAATAAGCATGATTATTATAAGAAAGAGCTTTTATTAAACAATACTTTCAGGTCTTCATAAGAATAGGGGTAGAATTTCAGAGACCCACATAACTCAGTGTGCAGTAAATGCTGCTCCTGGGCAACTTAATGGAGCATAAACTGCCAGCAACGGTCCCAATTGAAATGGAGACTGGAAGGTGAAGTTGTCCTTCCTTTCTGTAACCACCAGGCAAGAGGACACTTGTAAGGTGTGAGTAGCAGCACCCAAAAACCAGCTGCAGGACTCAGTGGAAGGGAGGAATAAGGTCACTCTTAAAATCCTATCACCTCACATAGAAAAATAGCTAAGTCCTAATTAAGCTCAACATCGCCACTCTCAGCTTATCCCTGAGACAGGTCAGGAGAAGAGGGACCATTTGCTTTGCTCTGGGATTGTTGCACTTCTGCAATCTGACTTTGTAAAAAAAAAAAAAATTAATTTAAACAGTTGCTACCATATGGGATAGTGTAGCTCGATGGTTTCTTTCTCTCTCTCGTCCCTCTCCTGCTCTGCCTTCTATGTATTTACCACCCCTCTTGCAGAAATGCTCTCGTGGAATGTGGCTTTTTTTTTTTTTTTTTTGAGATGGACTCTCACTCTTGTCACTCAGGCTGGAGTGCAGTGGCACTATCTCGGCTCACTGCAACCTCCGTCTCCCGGGTTCAAGCGATTCTCCTGTCTCAGCCTCTCAAGTAACTGGGATTACAGGTGCCCACCACCATGCCCAGCTAATTTTTATATTTTTAGTAGAGACAGGGTCTCACCATGTTGGCCAGGCTGGTCTCGAACTCCTGACCTCACGTGATCCACCCACCTCGGCCGCTTAAAGTGCTGGGATTATGGATGCGAGCCACCGTGCTCAGCCGGCTTTCCATTTTTTTTTTTTTTAAGAGATGGGGGTCTTACTCTGTTACCCAAGCAGTGGCTTGATCATAGCTCCCTGTAGCCTTGAACTCCTGGGCTCAAGCAATCCTCCCACCTCAGCCTCCAGAATAGCTGGGATTACATGTGTAAGCCACTGCACTCGGCTAATTCTTTAGTGTTTTGTAGAGATGAGGGTCTTGCTCTGTTTTGGTCTTGAATTCCTAGGGTCTCCCTATGTTGCCCAGGTTGGTCTCAAATCCCTGGGCTCAAGTGATCCTACCACTTCAGCCTCCCAAAGTGCTGGGATTACAGGTGTAAACCACTGTACTGGCCAACTTCCTGTGTTTTAAAAATCCTCCCAGTTGGGGCCAGTGCCCTAACCTAATGGATGCACAATGAGCCAGTTGAATGTGGCCTCTTTTAGTCAAAAGGAAAGATTCTTTTTTTTTTTCCAAGTATTTCTTTATTTATATTACTAGGCTTAAGTTACATGAAGAAAGACAACTAAGCAGTTCTGCCCATTTCAGAAAAAGTTTCCAATCATCACCAATTATGTGACAACAAATAACTAGGAATGGTGACAGCTTTGGGTCAAGACCAACAAGGAAGAATGGGCTCTGGTGCTACAGTTCATTTCCAACAAGAATATGGCACACCAGCCAGCACAGCCATGCTAACACTGGGCCTTCAGTGCCAAGCACAGATTCAGATCTATTCTCTGAAGTTAGCAAATCAAGTGAAATAACTGGAATTTTTTTTAAGTTTAAAATGAAGCCCAAGTAAGTTTAAAACCATACTCTTGTCATATTTTCCTTTCAAAATTCACATAAAACACACTTTTCATGCCAATAGCCCAGATATTTTTTCTTACATAACCCACTATGTAGCTGCAGACAGACTCTTCTACCTCAAGATGTAAACACAGGGGAAAAAATTAATGGCCATCTGTCTAATATTCTCTCTATACACTGCTGTTGGATGGAAAATACAAAATTTTGTTTTAAAGGTTCCATCTTAGATTCTCGCAACCTGCAGGTCATACATCTGACTCTGATGCTAAGGTGACAGTGAATGTCACCTGATGTTTGTTTTCAGTAAGGGGGATCTGGGAAGGATGAATTTATCTCTTTTTCTTCAAGAATTATCAGATGATACATGCTCCTCAGAGCCTTCACTCTCTTGAACTTCAGCACTTTCCAGGATCACACAGCCTTCCTTATAACATGGCTATCTCCAGTGGCAAATTCATAAATCCACCCCGGTTTGCTATTGCAACTTTTGCAGCTCACATCTTGAACCCTGTGGCTGCCAGTGAGCATGACCAGATCTTAAAGTTCACTGCACAGCAGGTTAACGACCTTGTTAAAAGGCCAGGGCGCCTGTGAACTGAGTGGAGATGAGTTCTGGGCGGTTGGTCAGGATCATGTCAGTTTGCACAGGAACACAGACAGGTACCACCGATATGATCAAGGAAAATTCTGCCCATTTTTATAGCTGAAGTTCTAAAATCTCTGAGTGGCGATGAGATCCATGGCTGCCAGATCTCCTCGCCTGGGATGAAGGCCCCAGGATTCTTGACAGTTAATTAAAACCAGAATTCATACTGAAGCAGGAAATTTTCCCTGACCCCTCACAGGAGGGGGAGTGCAGGTGAGTGGGTGCAGGAATTGGGGCGAGTGCTTTGGGGCGCTGGCAGGAGCAAAACTCCATGAGGCCCTGCAGCACGGTCTAGTGGGGTACCCATGACTCCTGAAGCCCCAGAAAGAGTGTTACAGTGCTCTTTTAGCGTTGCCATCTGTGGACAGCTTAAGTGTTAATAACTCAGTGGAAAGTCAGTGTGACAGCCTTTTGCACTCGCACCCAAGTTCTCGTTCGACATCTAGGAGGAATGAGGTCACACAACAAATTGGAGGTGGTATATGTGGGGGATTTTATTGCCAGTGAAAGTGGCTCTCTGCAGAAAGGGGAGCTGAAAAAGGGACAGAGCAGGAAGGTAATCTTCCCCTGAAGTCCAGCCGTCCCTGCTGGACTCCTCTCGAAAGCTACAACGTCAAGCCGTCCGGTGTCCTTATAAGAAAACAGCCTTGCTGGTTGCGGTGGCTCACGCCTGTAATCCCAGCACTTTGGGAGGCAGAGCAAGAGAGAGCTAAGGTGGAGGTGCTGCACACTTTTAAGTCAAGCTGCTTCTCCTCTCTGCCGGCTGAGTTCTGGGGTTACTATAGACACAAGATGGGGGCAGGGCAGGCTGTGGGTGGTTTTGGAAAAGGCAACATTCCAGCAGGAAAACAGGGATGTAAGTTTTCACTTTGGGCCGCGGTATTACGCTTTTCACCTTGAGGCCGGGGCCGTCGCTGGGGACCCACCCTCTTCTGCCCAGAATTTTTCTGCATCCTGTCCCTGTCAATACGGAATAAAATGGTACACTGCCATTTCGCGTTATTCATTTTTTTAAAAATACATATCCTTTAAGCTGGTTATTTACCTCTTTTTAAAAGGAAACTGTAAGGTCTTCCAGGGCAGGGAGTATGTCTGTAAAGCCTTCTAGAGCTGGGCTCCTTGCTTCCTGATCTCACTCTCTCACTGTCTGTAGGCTCTTGGGCAGGTTATTTAATTTCTTAGTGTCTCAATTTCCTCCTCTATAAAACAGAGATAATAGTATTTAGCCCAGAGGGTTGTGGTGAAGTGTGAATCATTTCTCCATGTAAAACACATAGGACAGGCTGGGCATGGTGGCTCACGCCTGTAATCCCAGCACTTTAGGAGGCCTAGGCGGGTGGATCACCTGAGGTCAGGAGTTCAAGACCAGCCTGGGCAACATGGAGAAACCCCATCTCTACTGAAAATACAAAAATTAGCTGTGCGTGATGGCGCACACCTGTAATCCCAGTTACTCGGGAGACTGAGGCAGGAGAATCACTTGAACCCGGGAGCGGAGGTTGCGGTGAGCCGAGATCGTGCCATTGCACTTAAGCCTGGGTTACAAGAGCGAAACTCTGTCTCAAAACAAAACACACATAGGACAGAGCTCAGCACAGAGTAGACATTAAGGATTATATCCTTTGCTTGGCACAATACCTTGCACAGGGCAGGCACGCAACAGATGTCTCTGGAATGAAGGAATGAATGAGTGAATGACTGGGTTAAGCATGTTGCCACCAGGTGGCAGAAGAGCCTCACTATCAAGGCAGAACCCAAACACGAGACTCATGAGAACTCCCTCCTGAAGTCCAGATACACATTGAAAAAAAATAAAAAAAGCACTGAACCCCATTTAGGCCTTGAAGTGAAGTTCCTCTTCTCTCTTGCCCTTCCTTTCTCTCCCATCTCTGCTCACTCTCTGCTGTAATGAACCATTTCTTTCTTTCCCACTTAATACATATTAGTCAGTTTGGGCTGCCACAGCAAAATACTACAGACTCAGTAGTTTAAACAACAGATATTTAATGCATCACAGTTCTGGAGGTTGGAAGTCCATGATCAAAGTGCCATACGGGCTGGTTTCTGGTGAGGCTTCTCTTCCTGGCTTGTAGCTGTCCACCTTCCCACTGTTATTCTCACAGGGCCTCTTCTCTGTGCCACACAGAGAGAGGAAGGAGAGGGAGTGGGAGATGGAGAGATGTCAGATTCACACAATGAAGCCCTAACCGCCATTTTGACTGTATTTGCAAATAGGGTTTTTTTGGTTTGTTTTTTGAGACGGAGTCTTGCTCTGTCGCCCAGGCTGGAGTGCAGTCGTGCAATCTCGGCTCACTGCAACCTCCGCCTCCTGGGTTCACGCCATTGTCCTGTCTCAGCCTCCCAAGTAGCTGGGACTGCAGGCACCCGCCACCACACTCAGCAAATTATTTTGTAATTTAGTAGAGATGGGTTTTCACCATGTTGGTCAGGCTGGTCTCAAACTCCTGACCTCGTGATCCGCCCGCCTTGGCCTCCCAAAGTGCTGGGATTGCAGGTGTGAGCCACTGCACCGACCTGCAGATAGGGTTTTTAGGGAGGGAGAGAGAGAGGGAGATCTGGAGCGTCTTCTTATAAGGACACCAGTCCTATGGGATTAGGCCCCACCCAAGTTACCTCATTTAATCTTAATTACCTCCCTAAAGACCCTGTCTCCAAGTACAGTCAAACCAGGGGTTAGGGCTTCATTGTGTGAATCTGGAGGGGACACTCTTCAGTTTATAACACGTACCTTTCATTTTTTAATTCCTAATTCTCACACTTCCTACCAATGTGGTTTTTCATTCTTACTCTCTTGTTATTCCCACTCTTCCCCCGACCCCCATCCGCCATCCCTCAATCTTTATATGGCTTTTCTAGGGCTAGTTGTATTTATTGTAAACTGAAAACTCCAGGGGGCACCATTCATGCCATAGTCAGCATAGGTTTGCATATGTATTATGACAATGTTGAGGCTGATGGCAGCAACATGTCTTGAGGAAGGGGAGTCTTTTTCTCATTCACACAAAGGTGCTGGCCCCTTCGTTTTCCTCTGTTGTTTTCCTGTCCTCCTCCCCATCATTCTCTTTCTTCAGCCTTTCTCTCTCTTTCCTTACTCTCCTCTTCAGGCTGAACCTGCTCCATGTCCGTAAAGAGATGATTTAATTCATCGCACCACACATTCATCCAGTAATTTTGGTGGGCCAGGCCCTTTGTGGGTGCCAGATGGTTCACCCTATTCTTGCACCTTTAAAGGAATCGGTCCATTTACACCCTAGAGGTCAATACCCAATGGAATGTGCCTCCAACATCCTTGGATCATTCATGGTCTTCATTTACCTTGGAGCAGACATTAAGACTCAAGCATTGGCCGGGTGCGGTGGCTCACGTCTGTAATACCAGCACTTTGGGAGGCCGATGTGGGTGGATCACAAGGTCAGGAGTTCAAGACCAGCCTGGCCAACATGGTGAAACCCCATCTCTACTAAAAATACAAAAATTAGCTGGGCATGGTGGCACGTGCCTGTAATCCCAGCTACTCGAGAGGCTGAGGCAGGAGAATTGCTTGAACTGGGACCTGGGAGGCGGAGGTAGCAGTGAGCTAGATCGCGCCATTGCACTCCAGCCTGGGCTACAGAATGAGACTCTGTCTCAAACACAAAAACAAACAAACAAAAAACAACAAAAAGACAAGACTCAAGCATGGAGGAGAAGAGAAGAGAATATAATCCAATAACATAAACTAATGTTTATTGAACACTTGTGTGCTGCACACAGTTCTCATCTCTCTCTATGCATGACATTTAATCATCAAAACTGCCTTCTCATTTTGTAGATGAGAAAACTAAGCTGCAGAGAACGTGGCAGAGACTCCTCCTGGTTTCCTAACTTCCATTTTCTTTTCCTTTATTTAAATAACAGGAGCTCATGAGTTTTGGCTGGGCACATGGCTGCCCAAGGAGAGCCGACATTTCCCAGCCTCCCTTGCAGTTTGATGTGGCCATATAACTGCATTCTAGACACCTGAGGTGTGAGTGGAAATGATGTCTGCAATTTCAGAGTTCCATCCTTAAAGGGAAGCTGCTTGCCTCTATGTCCTCTTTTCCTTGTCCCCAGGCTGGGACAGGGTTAGGGGAGTAGTGAGGCAGCTTTGACAGGAGGGTGAGGACAGGAAGCTGGGGAAGAGCAGAGCAACCACTGGAAGGAAGCTTCACACTCACTCCCCACCCACTCACTACTCACCCAGAGCAACTTCCCATCCTGCAAACTCCAATCACGGGAAGTATCCTATAGAGGGGTATCCTTTTTAAAGAAAAAAAACCTTTGATACCATATTTTTACTGTACTTTTTCTACGTTTGTATATGTTTAGATATACAAATACCATTGTGTTGCAATTACCTACAGTATTCAGTACAGTAACGTGCTGTTCAGGTTTGCAGCCTAGAGCAATAGGCTACACCATATAGCCTAGGTGTATAGTAGGCTATACCATCTAGGTTTGTGTAAGTACTGAACACTCCATGATGTTTGCACAACGGTCAAATTGACAAGTGACACATATCTTGGAACATATCCCTGTTGTTAAGTGACACTTGACTGTATTTCTATTTGGGGGAACAGAGCATTGGGAAAGAAAACAGAAGGACCCATTGCCTTGAAGGAAGGATGGTAGACGGAATAATGTCCACCCTGGCCTCCCAAAGACGTCCAAGTCCTAATTCCTGGAAATATGAGTATGTTACTTTACTTGGCAAACGGGACTTTGCAGATGTGCTTCAAGTCAGGAAGTTGAGATGGGGAGATTGTCCTGGATGATTTGGGTGGACCCCATCAAATCTCAGGGGGCTCTCTAAGGGAAAGATGAAGGTGGGAGCGTGAGAGCCAGATAAGACACTGTGATGATGGAAGCAGAGGAGAGAGAGAAGATGCTACACTGTGGGCCTTAAAGAGAGAAGAAGGGGCCCTGATCCGAAGAATGCAGCTTCTAGAAGCTGGAAAAGGCAAGGAAATGGAATCTGCCCTAGAACCTCACTAGGAATGAATCGCAGCTGACACCTTGCTTTTAGCTAAGTTAAACCCATTTTGGACTTCTGACCTCCAGACCTATAAAATACTACACTTGTGTTTTTTTAAGCCATCAAATGTGTAGTAATTTGTTAGAGAAGCAATAGGAAATAATAGAGAGTGTGATAGGGTCCCTATGGGGAACGAGTGGCGCACATATAGGACATAACTGACCAAAGTTTAATGAGACACTGTGTTTTACAGAGGCTTGGCCAGGGTTAAAGGCGAACAAACAGGATGAGAAATCACCAAGGCATTAGCAGCAGCAACGAGCCAGCACCTCCCTGAGGCTTGAAGGGCAACGGGAAAGGAAAGGTGTTACTAGAGACCAGTGAGAGGAGTCATGGCAGAGGCCACCCAACAGAAGTAGTGGCCACAAAGGTGGGACTGTGGGTTGAACAGATCCCCAGAGGTGTCTGTTATGCACAGTAAGCTCCAACAGTGAAAAATCATTTATAAAGGGCCGAGGACAGTGGCTTGCACCTGCAATCCCAGCACTTTGGGAGGTCATGGTGGGCAGATTGCTTAAGCCCAGGAGTTCCAGACCAGCCTGGGCAACATGGCAAAACACCATCTCTACTAAAAATTTAAAAACTTAGTTAGGTGTGGTGGCTGGCACCTGTAGTCGCAGCTACTTGGGAGGGTGAGGTAGGCGGATCACTTGAACCTGGGAGGTTGAAGCTGCAGTGAGCTGTAATCATGCCACTGCACTCCAGCCTGGATGACAGAGCAAGACCCTGTCTCAAAAAAAAGAAAAAATTATCAAGGACTTTTGCCTCTAATAAAATATTCACAGTGGTTTCCTTACTTAATTTCTGAGGTCAAACCAGAAAATATTAGCAGCTGACTTAATTCAAGAAGGAGGAGCTTGAGTATACGTACTTGTTGGTGTGTCTTCAACTCTTGTTCTAGATTTTACTTTGTTTTAAATATGTAAAAATGCTTTTAGTGATTACAACTTATGCTTCTTATTTCAACAGATATTTTAAAGGGAAAAATATATAATTGGATCACAGGATATAAAAAGAAATGCAGTTATCTATATGTGCAAAAGCCTAGCTAATTGATAAAAGCTATAAGTTGAGTCCTGCCACTCACCTTGGGGCAATGATTTTTTATTTATTTATTTTATTTTATTATTATTATTTTTTTAGACAGAGTTGCCCAGGCTGGAGTGCAGTGGTGCGATCTGGGCTCACTGCAACCTCCACCTCCCGGGTTCAAGCAATTCTCTGCCTCAGCCTCCCAAGTAGCTGGGATTACAGGGTGCACCACCACACCCAGCTAATTTTTGTATTTATAGTAGACATGGAGTTTCACCATCTTGGCCAGGATGGTTCCGAACTCCTGACCTCGTGATCCACCACTCGGCCTCCCAAAATGCTGGGATTACAAGCATAAGCCACTGCACCACGCCCGGCCAATGACCCATTTTTTTCAGGCAAAGTAGCAATGGGAAAATATAAAGTTTCTCTAGTTTTAATATAGAAGTGGTTAACCTAATCACACAAGCCATACACAGGGTCATTTGGGAGAATGTGCAAGGAGGATTGCGTATTTTTATCTTTTCATAGTTTTCTTCTTGATAAATAAGCTTCTATTTTCAAGCCAAATCTCATCTTGCAATTTCCTGCCAACTTCACTTCTCTACAAAGTTTACCTTTGCTTTTCCCATCTCTGCCCTCAGGCATTTAACAAACACTGTGCCTTTTCATTTTTCCAGATTTAAGTGAAACATTTTGCAGAAATGAGGAATGTGATAACAGCCCCTGAAGCCCTACCTGACAGCATGACATTAATTTGGGCCTGTTTTCTCTCATACTTTTCAATTGCTCCCCAATTTATATTTAATTTGCCACAGGATATAAAAAGAAATATTTCTTTAATTTATATTAAATACATCTACATTAGGAGAGCTAGAGGTTATCTAAGTGAAACTAGCTCGATTATCTAAAAAAAGTCAGAATAAAATAATTATAAGCAAATTGGAAGAACAGCCAACGTTGTTACCAATAATTTCTTAGAGTTTGTTCAATTATTGTTTGTTATACTCTGTTTCCACTTCTTTAGCCAAAATAAGCTCTAAGCAAATTCAAATCTATTTGTATAGATGAAGTCTATGAATTTAACATGATAACTTGAAAAAATGTAAAACTTTGGCTGGGTGTGGTGGCTCACACCTGTAATCCCAGCACTGTGGGAGGCTGTGGCGGGCGGATCACCTAAGGTCGGGAGCTCCAGACCAGCCTGGCCAACATTGTGAAACCCCATCTCTACTAAAAATACAAGCATTAGCGAGGCATGGTGGTGGGCACCTGTAATCCCAGCTACTCAGGAGGCTGAGGCAGGAGAATCGCTTGAACCCAGGAGGCGGAGGTTGCAGTGAGCCAAGATCGTACCATTGCATTCCAGCCTGGGCAACAAGAGCAAAACTCCGTCTCAAAAAAAAAAAAAATTAAAACCCAAATAAATTCATGTGGATCTTACCCATATTTCCCATGATTTAGATAGGAGTTGGTTTTAAGTTTATTTTTCCACTCAATGGGGGAAAGGATTTACTAGGAAAATAATGTAAACAATCTATTTAAGAAGTCAAATGGCTTTTAAGCACTTAAAAAGCTTTGATATTAGCAATTTACCCATAAATATTTTGTTAATTACATAATTTTTTTCTTTTTAGGAAATATTTCTTCTTTTCTTCTTCTTTTGGCTAAGCCTCAGCAGCCAAATTTTTTATTTTACTTTATTTTAGTTTACTTTTTAGAGACAGGGCCTCCCTCTGTCACACACGCTGGAGTGCAGTGGTATGATCATAGCTCACTATAACCACAAACTCCTGGGCTCAAGCCATCCTCCCTCCTCAGCCTCCCGAGTAGGTGGGACTACAGGTGTGCACCACTACACCCAGCTAATTTTTGTAGTTTTTGTAGAGACGGGGTCTTGTCATGTTACCCAGGCTGGCCTCGAACTCCTGGGCTCAAGCAATCCTCCTTCCTCAGCCTCCCAAAATGCTGGGATTATAGGCGTGAGCCACAGCACCAGCCTACCAGGTATGCTTTTAATACATATATATTGAATAAATAAACAAATTAAAGATCATCTGACAGAACCTTCACTGGATAATATTATTTTTTCTTTTCCTTTTTTTAAAAAATAAGGCAGGGTCTCACCGTGTTGCCCAGGCTTGTCTTGAACTTCTGGGCTCAAGTGATCCTCCTGCTTCGGCCTCTCAAAGTGCTGAGATTACAGGACTGAGCCACCACAACCAGCCTTCATTGGATAACATGTTATTTGACATTTCTTCTATCATTGTACATTGATGACTGTTGGTTGCCTGCCCAGCAGCCATTGCCCCCATTACTCCTGTTAGAATAACCCTGATTTTGTGTTTGTCATTTTATTTTATTTTATAGACAAGGTCTCACTCCATCACCCAGGCTGCAATGCAATGTAGTGATCATAGCTCACTGCAACCTGGAACGTCTGGGCTCAAGTGATCCTCCCACTTCAGACTCCTGAGTAGCTGGGACTACAGGTGTGCACCACCATGCCAGGCTAATTATTTTATTTTTTGCAGAGATGGAATCTCACTTCATTTCCCAGGCTGGTCTTGAACTCCTGGACTCAAGCCATCCTCCCGTTTCAGCCCCTCAAGCACTGGGATTACAGGAGTGAGCCCACCACACCTGGCAGCGTCCATCTTTTAAAAACTTGATTCAGGGAAGGGGGCATCCTATTCCTGCTAGAGGGCAAAATCGTGGTTGATGTAAGGTAGTGATTTTCAACTGGAGGTAATTCGGCAATATTTTGCAGTTTTTGTTGCCACAGAGGTAAGCATATTGTGCTACTGGCATCTAGCGGGTAGAGGGCAGGGGTGCGGCTAAACATTCTTCAATGCACAGGACAGCCCCCACAACAAAGAGAACCATCCAGTCCAAAATGTCAATGGTGCTGAGGTTGAGAACCCTGACCTAAACCAGTCCTGGTGGTCTCATTCCCTAGCTGTTAGTGGTTTAGATCCCATGATGTTAAGTAATTCTGACCAATGAGACGTGAGCAGAAATTGACAAGAGGAGTATGGCAGAGAATGTTAATTTCTCCCTACATTCACTTTACCTTTCTTTTCAGCAGAAGTTACATTCAGTGTTAGCTAGGCGCATGCCCAATTACAGACTATAATTCCCAGCCTCCATCGTTGCAAGGTGTGGCCAAGTTTTGGCTAATGGGATGTGAGAAAAAAATAATGAGTCTAATTTCTAGACCATGTTTTTAAGAAGGAGAATGCTTGTTCTTTACTTTCTCTCTTAATCCCTTTCTGCACACTGGGTGGTACTGCTAATCCAGCTTCAAGCAAGCACATGACTCCAGAGAATGGCAGAGCAAGACAGAAAGACTTACATACATTGGGACTGATACATGAAAAGAAAATAAATTGCTTTCTTCTTTGAACCATCGTATTTTTTAGTTTTTTTGTTTTAGCAGTTTAAGCTGTATGTATATGAGGTACTCCTGGGGAAGGTTTTTTCCTCTGTGATCACACACACACATACACACACACACACACACACACACACGGAGGGAATATTCATCTAAAGGATGTTGTAGGATTTGTGTGAGATGGCTGGAACCATGGCTGCTATCTTGTGACCATGAGGGGAGGTACCTGGTGGTTCAAAACTGCCCTGCTAAGTGAGAACGGAATAGGAAGGTTGTAAACAGCCCAAATCTTTCTTAACCTTGTTAAGCCATTGAGTTGACGAACTTTGCATCTGTCCTGTCTCAGGACTTCTTGTTAAGCAAGATGGTATATTTTTCATATCGTTTAAATATTTGGCCTTTAAATTTTCAGTAATAGTCCTTACAGTGATGGCTTTCAGACAGAAAATTAAAAATTTTAAAAAGTGCTATCCTAACTGATTCTCTCAATGTATTCAAGTGTAAAGAAATTACATGTCTAACCTCTCATGGAATTAGAGGGAAAAAATTTCATGTTATTTTAAGTATGTTCAGTTCTTTTATTAACTCATATTGGTTTCCCCCCTACTCCTTACCCTTGCAACCAAGATAATTTGCATCTAAGAGGTTTTATTCTGTTTCCACTGATATGTTTAGAAATTACTATATCTGAGGTGGGTATATTGGGAAAACATACACTACCACTCCTTTGCAGAAATGAGGGCTTATTGCAGCAGCTACTCGCCCTTGCAATGCTTCCTGCTTGGAAACTCGAAGGACTACATTGAGCAGGTGGAATAAAGTTGAATCGAAGGTTCAACTTACAAGCAGTCAGGAGGAGGTCTGCCCTGAAGCACTGTGCAGACTGGGACCTGCAGCAGGGCTGGGAGGGGGAGTGTCGAGGAAATGCCTTTTGCATGTCAATGGAGCCCCGTTGCTGTTCTGTGCTGCACAGCCACATGAGGTCATCCCAGATTAGAGGGTGCCCATGTCCAGGATCTTAAACCAATTACTTCCATCTCCATTGCTTCCTCTAAAGCCTCACTCTTAGTTCTACACAGTAATACTGCCTGGAAACTCCCCAAGGCCACCAAGCTCATACTAACAGGTTTGTGATGTGGGCAAACTCCTTACATGATCTCAAAATGAAAGAAGAGGCTGTTCACTGGAGGCAATAGCAAATCCCCTTTGTTCCTCTCTTGGCAGATGAGGGCCTTCGCTCTCTCCCTAAGGGTTCCGCCTGTCACCATCTGTGCACCCACTGTGGAAGGGCCAGCGCTAAGGTGAATTTCCATTTACTTCCTGCCAGCAGATGGCTCCTCCTTTTGGTCTCATCTTGAATTGTTTGCCAGACCAGCCAATTAGTCTCCTCACCCTTCCTGAAGCGTCCCAGGGAAGCAATATCATCACCAGCAGCCTATCATTATACCACGTCTTCTAAGCACCGTGATTCTAAATGCCTGCCGTGGAACAGAAGCTCATTCGCACATGGCTCTTTAACCCTTCCTTGAAAGACCTCAATTCAACATTCTCTCTCTCGCTCACACACACACACACACACACACAAATGCACACTCACACACAGTACCTACAACCTGATCCAAGATAGGAAACAAAATGACAGTATGCGGCATTCAATAATAAATTTAAAAATAAGACATAATTTCAGACAGAATGCAGAAGGAAAAACACAGTAACTATATTTTCTGATCCCCACTGAGGACACAATAAAAACTTTTTTTTAGGCCAGGCACGGTGGCTCACGTGTGTAACCCCAGCACTGTGGGAGGCCGAGGCGGGCGGATCACGAGGTCAGGAGGTTGAGACCATCCTGACTAACATGGTGAAACCCTGTCTCTACTAAAAATACAAAAATTAGCCTGACGTAGTGGCGTGTGCCTGTAATCCCAGCTACTTGGGAGGCTGAGGCAGGAGAATCTCTTGAACCAGGGAGTTAGAGGTTGAAATGAGCCGAGATCGCACCACTGCACTCCAGCCTGGCGACAGAGCAAGACTCCATCACAAAAAAAATAATGATACAAAAAAATTAATTAAATAAATAAAAATTAAAAATAAAAAAAAGTGGAGGGTTTTTTTTTTTTTTTTTTTTTGACAGAGTCTTGCTCTGTCGCCAGGCTGGAGTGCAGTGGCGCAATCTCGGCTCACTGCAACCTCCAACTCTCTGGTTCAAGAGATTCTCCTGCCTCAGCCTCCCGAGTAGCTGGGATTACAGGCACACACTACCACGTCCTGCTAATTTTTGTATTTTTAGTAGAGTCGGGTTTTACCATGTTGGCCAGGCTGGTCTTGATCTCCTGACCTCGTGATCCTCCCACCTCAGCCTCCTAAAGTTCTGGGATTACGGGAATGAGCCACTGCATCCGGCCAAAACTTTTTTTTTTTTTACCTTGTGGATTTGTTCATATGAAAGAAATCTTTTAAGGATATAAAATCAAATTGCACTGAGTTACATTTAACAAAGTATCTTTATCAGAAAAGAGTATATAGAATGACACTGGCAGGATTCTTCATCCCCGCAACCCAGGATGAATGATGACTTTCCAGGCTAGGCCAAGGAGATTCTCCCAGCGCTATTCTTAGAAACATCAACAAGGCCCTTGTGCACTTGTTTTAGGGTTTTTCATCTTCAGACATTCCTGCCTGATGCCTAAAGAAGACATATTATTCAGGGCATCCCATTTGAATACTGTATCTGCTCTGATGCTTGAGCAAAGTGTCTGTAAAGCTAGACAGAGGGGACAACTGCTTCCATCCATGGGGCAAGGGAGCAATGATGAGATGATGGAGGTTAAAGATATTTGTGAGGCAGACACAGCATCTGTGCAGAGGGGTAGAGGTATTTGTTTTTCCACTTTTCTGCTCTTGTTACCCTAACTTCCTTGTGTTCTGTGATTATTGCACATGAGCTGGAGTAGCAGGGGAGGTTCAGTTCCTTTTGGTGGTTGAGGTGGCAGGTAAGGAGGCATGGACACAGGACGAACCCCACTTTTGGGCAACCGCCACCCTGAGGCAAGGGTGGGAAAAGCTCACTTTCCCATAAATAATCACTGGGCTGTTGTCCTTCAGTATAAGTGAATATAAGCAAAGCCCCAAGAACAGTGCCTGGCACATAAAATGCAGTAGCTCAGGGTGGGCTATAACCACTTGCATCTTCTACAGCAGTGCCTTGTGCCAGCATGCCCTCAATAAACATTTGTTCAGTGAAGGACTGTACAGCTCTGTGCCACCTGGCAGCTCCAACTGTCCCAGTGGATCTTCCTCTTCCTTTGTTCTTTTCCTTGCAAACTTTGCAATAAAGGGGGCATTGGCCCAACAGTTAACTCCCAAATCTTGAACAAAGAGGATTACCCCTGCAACTCTGTTCCAAACTGGGAAGCTTCTGGCTTTGTGGTGAGCTAGGGACTGCTGAAAACAACTAGAGATTAAAAGAAGCTGGAACCAGCTGGAGAATAAAGAAAACTGCTGCAAGCAAGTCACTGCAGGAAGTACCAGTGGTCTCCAAAAATGCAGTTGCACCAGATTTTACATACAATAAGGAGGATTGGTCTCTCTAGACAGGAGAGAGTCAAGTGTTCCTCTGAGAAGGAACCAACTCCTGTAAATCAGGAAATCTCAGGCTCTCACTGGCCAAGGGGCAATGGGACACCTCCCCAAGGTGATTCATCGGCTCCCTCTGAACCCAGAAGCTCAAGCCCATTGTGCTCCTTTTTGTAGACTCTTCTCTTACCCTAGTCCCCAAGAATGTGCTCTGTGAGCAGGTTACACCCTTCACAAGACCCTTTCATGCCCTGTGACTCCCTTCCCCATTGTTTGCATAGTCTGGCAGCTTCTGCCACTTTCCCTGGTAAGCCCTGCCTTAAAGTGAACCCTCTTCTGTCAATCACCAGGGACTCATTTCATGCACACACCTGTCTTTCTGGAGCCGTTTAATCTATAGCCTTCAATCCTATAAACCAGTGAGAGATCTGCAATTAGGTTTGGAAACCAGTCTTGTCCACTGACTCAACTCAAGAATTGCTCTTTCCATTTCTCTCATTCCCCTCACTTCAGCCTCACAAGGGGCAGTTTGAGGGAGCCTCTCTATTTCTAAAGAGACAAATTTGAAATTAAATTTGCTTAATTAAAAATGTGAAAATTTAAAATTAAATTTAAATTGCTGACAGCCAACTGCTTCATGGGTACAGGGTTTTCTCTAGGGGCGAAGAAAATGCTTTGTAACCACATAGAGGTGGAAGTTGCACAATACTGTGAATGTACCAAATGCCACTGAATTGTACACTTTAAAATGGTTAATTTGGCCAGGCACGGTGGCTCACGCCTGTAATCCTAGCACTTTGGGAAGCCAAGGCGGGCAGATTGCTTGAGGTCAGGAGTTCAAGACCAGACTGGCCAACATGGTGAAACCCCATGTCTACTAAAAATACAAAAATTAGCCTGGCATGGTGGCACGTGCCTGTAATCCCAGCTACTCGGGAGGCTGAGGCAGGAGAATCACTGGAAACCAGGAGGCAGTGAGCTGAGATTGCACCACTGCACTCCAGCCTGGGCAACAGAGTGAGTGAGACTCTGTCTCAGAAAAAAAAAAAATAAGGTTAATTTTATGTTATGTGAATTTCACCTCAATTAAAAAAATTAAATCACTTTCCCCACCAAATATTTGCCCAGATGCTCAGCAAACAGGTTCAGGGAAATGCTCTGAATGGTGGAATGAGGAAATACCAAGGAGGAGCTGATGGGGTTTGGTCTCCTCACAGCCCCATTGCAGAGGCTGAGAGGGCAACAAGGAAGGGAGAGGAAGAACAGCCCGAGCCACCCACCTAGCAACAGATTCTGAACAGGAGAGAAAGTGTGTGGACTGGGGTGGGCTTCATCAGCTTGCCATTGAGAATAGAACTATCTGACATTTACCTATTACAGAACAACAACATTACTTTTTTTGCGGAGTCCCTTTGGTTGGGTTGATGACAACTGGCCATTCAGTTTCCCTGCATTAAGACGTTCATCCCATAAGCAAACAATGCTTTGAGTCTGGCAGCCAGCCCCTAGAAGAGTTCAAAGACTAGTGAATAAGACGTCAGCATTCACAGCGGGTTTCCTTTCACCTCTGCCTTCAGTAGAAACTTCTGGAGGCAGGCAAGGCACGATGGCTCACGCCTGTAATCCCAGCACTTTGGGAGGCTGAGGCAGGCAGATCACGAGGTCAAGAGATCGAGACCATCCTGGCCAACACAGTGAAACCCCATGTCTACTAAAAATACAAAAAAAATTAGCTGGGTGTAATGGTGCGCGCCTGTAGTCCCAGCTACTCGGGAGGCTGAGGCAGGAGAATTCCTTGAACCCGGGAGGCAGAGGTTGCAGTGAGCTAAGATCAAGTCACTCCAGCCTGGTGACAGAGCGAGACTCTGTCTCAAAAAAAAAAAAAAAAGAAAAGATAAAGAAACTTCCGGAGGCATTCTGTACCTGGGGTGGGGTAGTCAGAGAAAATAGATGATGCTTTGTTAAATGTAAGTTTTAGATAAAGAACAAGTACTTTTGAAAATAAATTGTAATTGACCAGTAAAAATGTATATATTTATGGTGTACAACTTGATATTTTGAAATATGTATACATTGTGGAAAGGATAAATTGAGATAACATATACATTACCTCACATACTTTTTTTTGTGGTGAGAACACTGAAAATCTATTCTCTTAGTGATTTTTAAGTATATAATATATTGTTATCAATTATAGTCATTGTTTGTACAATAGATCTCTTGGACTTATTCCTTTTATTGAACTCAAATTTTGTATCCTTTGGCCAACATCTCCCCAAACCCATTCTTTGGTAACCACCATTCAACTCTGTTTTAATGAGTTGGGCTGTTTTAGATTCCACACAGAAGTGAGATCACGTGGTTTTGGTCTTGCTGTGCCTGGCTTATTTTACTTAGCACAATGTCCTCCAGGTTCATTCGTGTTGTCACAAGTGACATAATTTTCCTCTTTTTATTTTAAGGCTGAATAGTATTCCATTGTATATATACATTTTCTTTATCCATACATCCATGATGGACACTTACTTTAATTCCATATCTTGGTTACTGTGAATAATGCTGCAATGAACATGAGACACAGATATCTCTTTGACATACTGACTTCATTTCCTTTGGATATACAATCAGTAGTGGGTAGCTGGATTGCACGTGCCTTCATCCATTTGTCCTGCTACCACAAAATACCTGACACTGGGTAATTGATTAAGAACAGAAATGTATTTTCTCTTTCTTTTCTTTCTTTTTCTTTTTTTTTTTTTTTTGAGATGGAGTCTCGCTCAGTCGCCCAGGCTGGAGTGCAGTGGTGCAATCTCTGCTCACTGCAAGCTCCACGTCCCGGGTTCATGCCATTCTCCTGCCTCAGCCTCCTGAGTAGCTAGGACTACAGGCGCCCGCCACCACGCCCAGCTAATTTTTTTTTTTTTTTTTTTTTTTTTTTTTTAGTGGAGACGGGGTTTCACTGTGTTAGCCAGAATGGTCTCGATCTCCTGACCTCGTGATCCACCTGCCTCAGACTCCCAAGGTGCTGGGATTACAGGCGTGAGCCACCGCTCCTGGCCAGAAATGTATTTTCTCACAGTTGAAGAAGCTCAGAAGTCCAAGATCAAGGCTCCAGCATTTGGTATCTGATGAGGACTGCTCTCTGCTTCCACAATCACGTCTTGTTGCTGTGTCCTTGTGGCAGAAGGAAGATGAGAGTAAAGCCTCCCCCTCAAGCCCTTTTATAATGGCCTGAATCTCATCCATGAAGGTGGGGCCCTCATGACTTAATCACTCCCCAAATGGTCCCACCTCTTGATATCACCACCATGGGGATGAAGTTTCAACATGAATTTTGGAGGGGACATATTCAAACCATAGCAATATGCCAGTTCCATTTTTAATTTTTTGAGACACCTCCATACTCATTTCCATAGTGGCTATACTAATTTACATTCTCACCAACATCATACAAGGAAGAACAAATACTTTGTAAGCATAAGTATGTCCTCCAATGCAATGTTTGGGACATAGTTATCCTTAAAAAAAAAAGTGTTCCTCCTTTATTTTAAATTCAAACTTAATGGAACACCCTGAATTTTGATTAGCCAAATCTGGCATCTCTGAAATTTTAGAAATTTCTACTGATGGATTTTCAGACTTTGTGGGTTTGGAGAACACTTTGTGTCCTCTGGGACATGCACCGCCCCACCAGCCTTTTCCTCTGTGGAATACTCAGTTTCCCAAATGACTGTGCAGCTTCAAATACCACAAGCCTCAAGTTTGTAACAAATGGCCTCAGGCCTGGTTTTATTTGCTGATACCCTGCTGGTGGCAGCGGTAGCCCCTGCAATTTACACCAGGTGGGAAACGGGCTGCAGCATCCAACCTTCCTAATGGAAACAGGCTGTGATCCAATGGAGTGTGAAAGGTGCTGAGCTCCACCCACTCCTCAGCAACCCGGTTCCTTAGGAAGAGCTCTCTGCGGGCAGGACCTGGTTCTGGGAGAAAACTTCCCGGAGTTGCTCAGAAGTTGGCCCTTCTGGATTTTGACATTTCCTCCCACCTTTGTTCTCCTGGGTTTTCTCAGGCCAAGGAGGGCTATGTGAGGAAGGAGTCAGCCCACAGCAGGGAGATCTTTTATAAACGGGAACCCAACAAGGCCAGATTATATGCCCATGGTGCCAAACTGGACTTTTAAATTATTATTATTATTATTATTATTAGAGACAGTGTCTTGTTCTGTCACCCAGGCTGGAGTGCAGTGGTGACATGATGGCTCATTGCAGCCTCAACTTCTTGGGCTCAAGCGATCCTCCCACCTCAGCCTCCTGAGTAGCTGGTACTACAGACTCGTGCCACCACACCTGCATGATTTTTAAATTTTTTGGAGAGATAGGGTCTTGCTATGTTGTCCAGGCTGATCTTGAACTCTTGGGCTCAAGTGATCCTCCTGCCTCAGCCTCCCAAAGCATTGGCATTACAGGTGTAAGCCACTGCGCCTGGCCTGGACAACTATTATTAATGCCCACTTGCCTCTGTTAAGACTTAAACTCAAATACTGGACGAAAGGAAGAAAAGAACTCTCTGTTGACTTCTAACCCTGGGAAATGACTGGCAAGAATGGTAATAAACAGCCCCTTTCCACTCCTCAAGTCCACCAGTCAGTTCCTTTGCTTCATTTACTTAAAGATGTAAAGGAGTTGGGGGGAAAAAAAAAGAGGGGGGGCTTGATCCTCATGGTGAGAACCACACACCCACACCCATCCTACCCTGCGAAGTTCAAACAACTGTGCTATAGGCTGGGACGGCAGGCTCGTTATGCATGTCTCCCTGGGCGGAGGCAGTCTGCCAGACCCCCGAAACACACAATACTTTGGCTCTTGGTCAAAAACACCAACATTCATTGCTGACAATATCCCCACCTACCACCGGTCCCTAGCCACCCCTTCCTGGAAAATGTGATGGAGGAGGGAGAGTCGGCCAACTCCAACACCACCTGGCCCTCAGCAGCAGACCTGGACGCTGGCCCGGAAGCAGCCCTGGCCCGTCCGTGGACAGCTCCTCGGGGGTGTGCATGGAGCAGCATATCCTTCTTCTCACAGCTTCAGCTTCCTGCAAGGCTGCGGAGTCACCTCTGTTGGCTTGGACCTCTCTGACCTCAGATGACATGGGAAACGGAGGCCAGTGGGTGAAATTGGGAGGCTGAGCTGTGATGTGCCACTATCCGGCATAGGGTGGGACACATTGTCCCTGAAAAGGGAGGCTAACTTCCCACCCCACCCAGCCACAGCACAGCCTTTCCAGGGGGAACCAACCCACCCCCTCTCCCCGTCTGGCTCTGAAAATGTGTGCCACATACTGTAGCCCAGTTGCTGTCGGAGGCAATTTGAACTCAACCAAGGAGCTGACACTCAGTTCTTTGTCTACTGCTTTAGGAAGTCTTAACTCCCTTTAGAATAGCTGGGTTTTGGAGGCTTTTTGGGGAGGGGACTGATAGATATAAAAGCATACTTTCAGAGGTTTGCTTACTAAACAATGTCATGCTGAAAACTCACAGTGATCCCAGCAGCCGCTAACTGAAATCATACACTCGAATCAATTTTTGCTAATCCAGAAATCTGGCAGACTTGTCCAGATCCCAAAGGAATAAGAATATAAATGTAATTTGGCTCATTCAACATGGTCCTTAAAAAGACTAAACAAAACAACCACTTATGTAGTAGGAGAACCTAATAATAAGACAGGCCTTCCTTCTTTGGTAGACTCAGTAACTGAATTTTCCTCTTGCACACAACTGTTTGGGACCATTAAGATTACCAAAGTGACAGAGAGAGACTCTATTTCTTCTCAGCTTTTCTGAGAACCTTTTTGGAGGGTCTCTTATGTATTAATATACCTCTGTCAAATTTCTCCTCAGCCTGGGGCCCCCTTCGGTGTTGCTCTCCCCCCGAGGAACACTCCAGGCTTCAGCTTAAATGTTCCTTCCTCAGAGAAACTTTTCCTGACCACCCCCTTCAACCATGGCTTAGCTTCTCCTGTTACGATTTTTTTTTTTAGATGGAGTCTCGCTCTGTCACCTAGGCTGGAGTGTAGTGGTACAAACTCAGCTCACTGCAACCTCTGCCTCCCGGGTTCAAGAGATTCTCCTGCCTCAGCCTCCTGAGTAGCTGGGATTACAGGCACGCACCACCACGCCCGGCTAATTTTTGTATTTTTAGTAGAGACGAGGTTTCACCATGTTGGTCAGGGTGGTCTCAAACTCCTGACCTCATGATCCACCCACCTTGGATTCCTAAAGTGTTGGAATTACAGGCCTGAGCCACCACGCCCAGCCTTCCTTTTTTTTCTTTTCTTTTTTTTTTTTTTTTTTGAGATAGAGTCTCACTATGTCACCCAGACTGGAGAGCAGTGGCACGATCTTGACTCACTGCAGCCTCAGCCTCCTGGGCTCAAGTGATTCTCTCATCTCAGCCTCAGTAGCATGGACTACAGACGCACTCCACCATGCCCAGCTAATTTCTGTATTTTCTGTAGACTCAGGATATCGCCATATTGCCTAGGTTGGTCTCGAATTCCCAAGCTCAGGAGATCCACCTGCCTCGGCCTCCCAAAGTGCTGGGATTACAAACACGAGCCACCACGTCCAGTCCACCTGTTACGATTTCTTGTTGTTCTTGTTACTGTTGGAGCACTTAACTACTAATGACATTTTCATCTTTAATTGTGTGATGATGCATTTAATGTATGCCTCCTTTCTAGACTATAAGCTCCATAAGAGCAATGTTATGGGTCAAGTTATTCCCCCAGCCTCCAAAAAAGATGTTAAAATCCTAACCCCTGGTACCTCAGAACATAACCATAGTTGGAAGTAGGGCCATTGCAAATGTAATTAGTTCAGATGAGGTCATACAGCAGAAGAGTGAGCACCTAGCCCAATATGACCAGTGTCTTTATAAGAAGACAGCCTTGCTGGGCACAGTGGCTCACACCTGTAATCCCAGCACTTTGGGAGGCCGAGGCAGGTGGATCACCTGAGGTCAAGAGTTCGAGACCTGCCTGACCAACATGGTGAAACCCTGTCTCTACTAAAAATACAAAAATTAGCTGGGCGTGGTGGTGTGCACCTGTAATCTTAGCTACTCAGGAGGCTGAGGCAGGAGAATCGCTTGAACCCGGGAGGTGGAGTCTGCAGTGAGCCAAGATCGCGCCACTGCACTCCAGCCTGGGCAACAAGAACGAAACTCCATCTCAGGAAAACAAACAAACAAACAAACAAACAAAAAAACCGACAGACTTGTGAAGATGCAGACATGTAGGGAGAATGCCATGTCATGACAAAGACAGAGACTGGAGTTACATAGTTGCAAGACAAGAAAAAGCAACAAAAGTTAGGAAGAGGCAGGAAAGATTCTCCTATGGCTTTCAGTGGGAGCATGGCACTGCCAACACCTTAGTCTTGTATTTCTACTCTCCAGAACTGTGAGACAATACATTTCTGTTGTTTTAAGCCACCCAGTTTATGGTACTTTGTTATAGCAGCTCTAGGAAATTAGAAAAAGCAAGGATGGTGTCTATTTTGTTCACTGCTGTACCCTCAGCATCTAACCCAGTGCCTAGCATGCAGTAGGTGCTCAATAAATATTTGTGAATGAATGAACAACAGCCTTGAGGATTCACCTTTGGAAAAACAAATCATTTCACCTTGGTTGCTGACTGTTCCTATGAGCCATTCACATGGTCTTGGTTTTTTTTGTTTTGTTTTGTTTTGTTTTTTTGAGACGGAGTCTTGCTCTTTCGCCCAGGCTGGAGTGCAGTGGCACGACCTCGGCTCACTGCAACCTCTGCCTCCCAGGTTCAAGCGATTCTCCTGCCTCAGCCTCCTGAGTAGCTGGGATTACAGGTGCACACCACCATACCTGGCTAATTTTTCTGTTTTTAGTAGAGACAGGGTTTCACCATGTTGGTCAGGCTGGTCTTGAACTCCTTACCTCGTGATCTGCCCACCTCAGCCTCCCACAGTGCTGGGATTACAGGCATGAGCCACCGCACCCAGCCTGTCTTGTTTTGTATTTGTTGGGGCCAAGGGAAGTTCCCCTTCACCCTCAGAAGTTTCACTGAAAATTCAGCTCACAAAAAAGGCAGATTAATAAGAGGAAAGACTTTACAAATTTATTACTACGGAGTACACAGGGAGAATCACAGAGTGTTTGCCCAATATCCCAAAAGGTACAGATGCTTATATGTCCTACTTCTTAGGGGAAAGGGAGATGGGGAACTGTGGTTGACTTTGGGGTATGGTTAATGCTTTTTGGGGGGAATTCAATGGGCTTGAAAAATGTGCAAAGGTCTGGGGCAAAGTCTATTGGACTCATAGAGCAGATAATGGTTTATAACGAAAGTCTGTCCAGGTTTGTTGACAGACTTCCTGTGATATGGGTTGTTAATGAAAACTCAGGGAAGGGACTGGAGGTAATTGTTTTCTTCTTTGGTAGGTCCGGACTTTAGGCAGATAAGGGAACTTCAGCCTGTGCTTTGGAGAGGTAGGGGATTGAGAGACAGGAAGCGGGGAGGAAAAACAATTGTTCTCCTTGGTGGGTCTGTCCAGTCTTTATGTAGATAGGGGGAAAGTCTCTTCTGGCATCTGTGATCTTTGAGAGCCTTTAACTCAAAAATACTCATTGGCCAAGTGCAGTGGCTCACACCTGTAATCCCAGCACTCTGGGAGGCTAAGGTGGCAGGAATGCTCGAGCCCAGGAGTTCAAAACCAGTCTGGACAACATAGGGAGGCCTCATTTCTACAAAAAATTAAAAAGTTAGGCCAGGCATGGTGGCTCATGTCTATAATCCCAGCACTTTGGGAGGCCAAGGCGGGCAGATCACCTGAGGTCAGAAGTTCAAGGCCAGCCTGGCCAACATGGTGAAACCCCATCTCTACCAAAATTGGCCAGGCATGGTGGTGGACGCCTGTAATCCCAGCTATTCAGGAGGCTGAGGCAGGAGAATCGCTTGAACCTGGGAGGCGGAGGTTGCAGCGAGCCGAGATTGCGCCATTACACTCCAGCCTGGACTACAAGAGTGAGACTCCGTCTCAAAAAAAAAAAAAAAAAATAGCTGGGTGGTAGAGGCTGCAGTGAGCTGTGATCAAGCCACCATACTACAGCTTAGGTGACAGAGCAAGACCCTGTCTCAACAAAAAAAATACTCGTTATCCCACGGAGCCATATGTTGTGGTAAGGTTCCCTGCACTCCTTTACATTCCTCAGTGATATCATAACATCAGCAACAAGCAAAAAAACCAGCAGAACTTCCCTTGCTTTCCTTCCCCTGACACCTATCCATGGGAGGAACACTGCAACTCTTGGAGGAATCCAGCTAGGAGTTGAACAGAACTTTACCTGAAGGTTAACATGTGTCAAGTGTGTGCTTCGTGAGCAAGTGGGTGAGCGGGTGGGTCTGTGTCAGCAGCATTTATTAGGAAACATCCAGGACAAGCCATGAGTTAGTGTTGGTGGTCAGAGTGTTATAAGGAATACCCTCTTTATCCTCAAGGAGCTCATGCAGCTGAGAGGTATGTAGGTTGCCAGTATTAGCAAAGAAATGACTCTCACGTTGTACAGAATCCATTCAGCACACACAAATGGTGCCTGCTCTTGTTTAGTATAATTTAATGTATAATTAGTGGCATGGAACCACAGGTGTGAGAACAACAACCCCTTCCTGAGGGAGGCAGTGATGTTTTTACAGAGAAGGTTGTCAGAGGTGTTTGAACCAGAGTAACTCCATCTTGAATAGGGGCTGGGTAAAATAAGGCTGAGACCTACTGGGCTGCATTCCTAGCAGGTTAGTCATTCTTAGTCACAGGATGAGATAGGAAGTTGGCACAAGATACAGGTCACAAAGACCCTGCTGATAAAACAGGATGCAGTAAAGAAGTCGACCAAAACCCACCAAAACCAACATGGCGAAAAACGTTACCTATGATCATCTTCACTGCTCATTACACGCTAACTGTAATGGATTCACATACTAAAAGACACTCCGACCAGCACCATGACGGTTTACAAATGCCGTGGCAACATCTGGAAGTTACCTTATACAGTCTAAAAAGGGGAGGAACCCTCAGTTCTGGGAAATCAATGCCCCTTTCCCAGAAAACTCATGAATAACTCATCCCTTGTTTAGCATATAATCAAGAAATAACTATAAATGTACTCAGTTGAGCAGGCCATGCCGCTGCTCTGTCTATGGAGCAGCCATCGTTTTATTTCTTTACTTTCTTAATAAACTTGCTTTGCTTTACTTTATGGACTTGCCCCAAATTCTTTCTTGTGTGAGGTCTAAGAACCCTCTCTTGGGGTCTGGATCGGGCCTACTTTCTGGTAACAAGGTGACTTTTGAACCAGTGTATGGTGGCACCTTATCTGTCACCCTTAGTACAAGCAGATTCAGTCAAATGGGAAGGGTGGAAACCAAATGGTAACAACCTGAGAAAGTATTTAGTAAGGGTAAATTATACTTTCCAGCAATTTGGCTTTATAGGAAAAGAAAAAAACGAGATAAATGCTCTTTCCTCAGTCTAAATCTCATTAGTTGGAATATGTGGTCACACCAAACAACTCCAGGGTCTCAGTGGCTCGCTAAAAGAAAGGTCTTAGACAAATTAAATTCAATGGAGTTTAATTGAGCAAAGAATGATTCAAGAATCAGGCAGCCCCTAAATCAGACACTTGAGCAGCAAGGAATCATGGAAACTATGCCTACATTTTCAGATAATTCAGCCCCCTCCCTTCTCCCCCGCTGCTGCCACCGCCATAATCCTAACTTCGTGGACTTTCATTAGTTTTACAAAGGCAGCTTTTGTCCCTGAGCAAGGAGGGGATTTGTTTAAGGGGATTCGTTTTAAGGAAGGACTATTACCATCCTTGCTTTAAAGTTAAACCATGAACTAAATTCTTCCCATGTTTAGCTTGACTTATGCCCAGGAATGAGTGAAGACAGCCTTTGCAACCTCCGCCTCCCGGGTTCAAACCACCCTCCCACCTCAGCCTCCCAAGTAGCTGGGACTACAGTCCATGCCATCACACCCAGCTAATTTTTGATTTCTGTATTTTTAGTAGAGACAGGATTTTGCCATGTTGCCCAGGCTGAGCTCAAGTGATCCACCCATCTCAGCCTCCCAAAGTGCTGGGATTACAGGCCTGAGCTACCATGCCCAGCCCAGCCTTCTTAACTGCTGCTTCCAGCAACTGATGCAAGAATAGCAGATGCTGACTTTCCTGGTATCCCTCCTGCCAATGAAACAGAAGAAAGTTAAGTCTTCTGGTATGTTTTGATGAAGACTTTTGCTTTCCTTGCAAAGGAAGTAGACACTGTTGTTCTCTTGTTTCCTTCTTTCTACCTTGACTGCTGTGACCTTCTTGTGACCATGAGTGACAAGCGTTATGGCATAAAGTCAAGATGCACAGATAACAGAGCAAAAATAGAGAAAGAGCCTGGGTCCTTGATGACAATTGCTGCCAGAAACCACCTACCTTTGCACTTTATGTCATGTGAGAAAAGTTTAAGCCATGGCTAGGATGGCTTCATGCAACTCAAAGCACTCTTTTTCTTTTTTTGAGATGGAGTTTCGCTCTTGTTGCCCAGGCTGGAGTGCGATAGCATGATCTCGGCTCGCTGCAACCTCCACCCCCTGGGTTCAAGTGATTCTCCTGTCTCAGCCTCCCGAGTAGCTGGGATTACGGGCGCATGCCACCACGCCCAGCTAATTTTTGTATTTTTAGTAGAGATGGGGTTTCATCATATTGGTCAGCCTGGTCTCGCCTGCCTGACCTCGATCTCCTGGTCTCTTTCTGCCCGCCTTGGCCTCCCAAAGTGCTGGGATTACAGGTGTGAGCTACTGCGCCCAGCCCTAGCATTCTTAACTGATATTTCTTCATATCTTCTCCTTCTAAAGATAAAGTTCAATAAGACAGAGACCTTACCTATTTTTTTTACATTAATAGATATACATTTATTATAAGGAATTGGTTCATGCAATTATGAAGGCTCAGAAGTCCCAAGATCCATAGTTGGGAAGTTGGAGATACAGGAGAACTGGCGGTGTAGTTCCAGGCCAGTCCAAAGGCCTGAGAGTCAGGAAAACTGGTGGTGTAAGTTTCAGTTCAAGGTCAGAAAAACTTGATTCCAGCTCAAGCAGTCAGACAGAAAAAGTTCCTTCTTACTCAGTCTTTTTGTTCAATTCAGGTCCTCAGTTGACTGGAAGAGACTCACCCACATTAGGGAGGGCAATCTGCTTTACTCATTCTACTGATATGAATATTAATCTCATCTAGAAACACCCTCACCCAGACACAATACCCAGAATAATGTTTGACCAAAGTCTGGGCACCCCATGGCCCAGTTAAGTTGATACACAAAATTAACCATTATAAATGGTATCATAAAAGGGGAAGGGGATGAGATCCCATGCTCTGGTAGAGGCATATGTTAGATAATGAGAGAAGAAAATCAAATGGGACTCCAAATTTCTTTAATCAGGGTACCTTTGAGAATCAGGCAGTTGGGTTATGAAGCCTCTCACCAGAAAAAAGTATATATAATGGGTTGGATGTGTGTCCCTGATATGGTTTGGCTCTGTGTGTCCACGCAAATCTCATCTTGAATTGTAATTCCCACATGTCAAGGGAGCAAACTGGTGAGAGGTGATTGGATCATAGGTTTGGTTTCCTCCATGCTGTTCTCATGATAGTGAGGGAGTTCTCATGAGATCTGATGGTTTAAAAGTGGCAGCTTCTCTTGCTCTCTCTCTCTCTCCTGCCATCATGTAAGATGTGCCTTGCTTCCCCTTTCCCTTCCACCATGATTGTAAGTTTCTTGAGGCCTCTCCAGCCATGTGCAACTGTGAGTCAATTAAGTCTCCTTTCTTTATAAATTACCCAGTCTCAGGTGGTATCTTTATAGGAGTGTGAGAATGAACAAATACAGAGAATTGGTACCAGGAGTGGGGGCCTGCTATAAAGATAACCTGAAAATGTGGAAGTGACTGTGGAACTGGGTAACAGGCAGAGGTTGGAACAGTTGGGAGGGCTCAGAAGAAGACAGAAAGATGTGGGAAAGTTTGGAACTTCCTAGAGACTTGTTGAATGGTTTTGAGCAAAATGCTGATAATGATATGGACAATGAAGTCCAGGCTGAGGTGGTCTCAGCTGGAGATGAGGAATTTATTGGGAACAGAAGCAAAGTTTACTCTTGCTATGCTTTAGCAAAACAGCTGGTGGTATTTTGCCCCTGCCCTAGAGATCTGTGAAACTTTGAACTTGAGAGAGATGATTTAGGTTATCTGGTAGAATAATTTTTTTTTTTTTTTTTTTAAGACAGAGTTTTGCTCTTGTTGTCCAGGCTGGAGTGCAATGGCGCAATCTCGGCTCACTGCAACCTCCACCTGGTGGAAGAAATTTCTAAGCAGAAAAGCATTCAAGAGGTAACCTGGCTGATTCTTTTTTTTTTTTTTTTTTTTTTTGAGACGGAGTCTCGCTCTGTCGCCCAGGCTGGAGTGCAGTGGCGGGATCTCGGCTCACTGCAAGCTCCGCCTCCCGGGTTCACGCCATTCTCCTGCCTCAGCCTCCCAAGTAGCTGGGACTACAGGCGCCCGCCACTACGCCCGGCTAATTTTTTGTATTTTTAATAGAGACGGGGTTTCACCGTTTTAGCCGGGATGGTCTCGATCTCCTGACCTCGTGATCCGCCCGCCTCGGCCTCCCAAAGTGCTGGGATTACAGGCGTGAGCCACCGCGCCCGGCCCTGGCTGATTCTTAAAGTGTTCAGTCATATGCATTCACAAAGAGATGGCTTGAAACTAGAACTTAGGTTTAAAAGGGAAGCAGAGCAAAAAGGTTTGGAAAATTTGCAGCCTGACCACATAGTAGAAAAGAAAAACCCATCTTCTAAGGAGGAATTAAAACTGGCTGCAGAAATTTGCATAAGTAATGAGGAGCCGGATGTTAATAGGCAAGACAATGAAGAGAATGGCTCCAGGGCATGTCAGAGATCTGCATGGCAGCCCCTCCCAACACAGGCCCAGAGGCCTAGGAGGAAAACACAGTTTTGTGGGCCAGGACCAGGGTCTTGCTACCATGTGCAGCCTTGGAACATGGCACCCTGCATCCCAGCCACTCCAGCTCCAGCAGTGGCTAAAAGGGGCCAAGGTACAGCTCAGATCATTGTTTCAGAGGGTGCAAGCCCCAAGCTTTGGTGGCTTCCACGTGTGTTGGGCCTGCAGGTACACGGAAGTCAAGAATTGGGGTTTGGGAACCTCTGCCTAGATTTCAGAGGATGTATGGAAATGCCTGGATGTCCAGGCAGAAGTCTGCTGCGGGAGCAAAGACCTCATGGAGAACCTCTGCTAGGGCAGTGTGGAAGGCAAATGTGGGGTTGGATCCCCAACACAGAGTCCCCACAGGGGCACTGCCTAGTGGAGCTATGAGAAGAGGGCCACTGTCCTCTAGATCCCAGAATGGTAGATCCATCAACAGCTAGCACTGTGCACCTGAAAAAGCTACAGGCACTCAATGCCAGCCCTTGAAAGCAGCCACAGGAGCTGTACCCTGCAGAGCCAGAGGGGCAGAGCTGCCCAAGGCCTTGGGAGCTCACCTCTTGCATCAGTGTGCCTTGGATGTGAGACACAGAGTCAAAGGAGATTTTGGAGCTTTAAGATTTAATGGCTGCCTGGCTGGGTTTCAGACTTGCATGGGGCCTCTGTCTCCTTGGTTTTGGCCAATTTCTCCAATTTGGAATGGGAACATTTCCCCAATGTCTGTATCCCCATTGTATCTTGGGAGTAACTAACTTGTTTTTGATTTCACAGTCTCATAGGCAGAAGGGACTTGCCTTGTCTCAGATGAGACTTTGGACTTGGACTTTTGAGTTAATGCTGGAATGAGTTAAGACTTTGGGGGACTGTTGGGAAGGCATAATTGGTTTTGAAATGTGAAAAGAACATGAGATTTGAAGGGACCAGTGGTGGAATAATATGGTTTCGCCCTATGTCCCCTCCCAAATCTCGTCTCCAATTATAATCCCCACATGTCGAGGGACGGACCTGGTAGAGATGATTGGATCATGGGGGTGGTTTCCCTCATGCTGTTCTCATGATAGTGAGTTCTCAAGAGATCTGATGATTTAAAAGTGGGAGTCTCCCCTGCTCTCTCTCTCTCTCTTTCTCTCTCTCTCTCCTGCTGTCATGTAAGATGTGCCTTGCTTCCCCTTCACCTTTCACCATGATTATAAGTTTCCTGAGGCCTCCCCAGCCAAGTGGAACTGTGAGTCAATTAAACCTCCTTTCTTTATAAATTACCCAATCTCAGGCAGTATCTTTATAGCAGTGTGAGAACAGACTAATACAGACTTGGCCCAAATCTTATATTGAATTGTAATCTCCAATGTTGGAGATGGGGCCTGGTGGAAGGTGATTGGATCATGGGGGCAGATTTCCCCTTTTGGTGCTGTTCCCGTGACAGAGTTCTCTTGAGATTTGGTTGTTTAAATGTATGTGGTACCTCTCCCATTCTCTCTTCCTCCTGCTCTGGCCATGTAAAGTGCCAGCTTTCCCTTCATCTTCTGCCATGATTGTAAGTTTCCTGAGGCCTCCCCAACCATGTTTCCTGTACAACCTGTGGAAACACTAGCCAATTAAACCTCTTTTCTTTATAAATTACCCAGTCTCAGGTATTTCTTTATAGTAATGCAAGAACAGACTAATACATATATCCACATATATATAGTCAGCTCAGGCTGCTATAACAAATACCATATACAGGTGGCTTAAACAGCAGGCTCTTCCTTCCTTCCTTCCTTTCTTCCTTCCTTTCTTTCTTCCTTCCTTCCCTTCCCTTCTATCCTTCCTTCCTTCTTCTTTCTTTCTCTCTCTCTCTCTTTCTTTTCCTTCTTTCTTTCTTTCTTTCTCTTTCTTTTTTTTTGATGGAGTCTAGCTCTGTCACCAGGCTGGAGTGCAGTGGTGCGATCTCAGCTCACTGCAACTTCCGCCTCCGGGTTCAAGTGATTCTCCTGCCTCAGCCTCCTGAGTAGCTGGAATTACAGGCACACGCTGCCATGCCCAGCTAATTTTTGTATTTTTTGTAGAAATAGGGTTTCACCATGTTGGCCAGGATGGTCTCGATCTCCTAACCTTGTGATCCGCCCACCTCAGCCTCCCAAAGTGCTGGGATTACAGGCGTAAGCCACCGCACCTGGCCCCTTCCTTCCTTCCTTTCTTCCTTCCTTCCTTCCTTCCATCTCTTTCTTTCCTTCCTTCTCCTTCCTTCCTTCCTTTCTCTCCTTCTTTCTTTCTCTTTCTCCCTGTCTGTCTTTCTCTCTTTCTTCCGAAACAGGGTCTTACTCTATCACCCAGGCTGGAGTGTAGTGGTATGATCCTAGCTCACTGTAACCTTAAACTCCTGGGCTCAAGTGATCCTCCTGCCTCAGCCTCCTGAGTATCTAAGACTACAGGCACATATCACCATGTCCAGCTGATTTTTGTTGCTGTTGTTGTTGTTGTTGTTGCAGAGATGAGGTCTCATTATGTTGCCCAGGGTGTTCTCAAACTTTTGTCCTCCTCCCTCCTCAGCATCCCAAAGTGCTGGGATTATAGACGTGAACCACCTTGTATAGCCAGACATTTATTTCTCATGGCATTTGTTTCTCATGGTTCTGGAGGCTTGGAAGTCCAAGAACAAGGTGCCTGATCTGGCTCTCTGGGAGAAGCTCCTTGTAGTCCCTGTCTGCTATCTAAGAGGCTCTTCCTTGACGGTTATTCTCCACAGCCACCTATAAGCCTTTGAGGTGGGTGTTGGGAGCCCATGGTCTTTGAAGGCTGCACAGCTTTTGAAGCCCACTCCCTGCTTGTGCAAATTTGGGGACTCAAGGATTGGTTCAAGGTTCTAACTGTCAAAAGTCTTTTAAATGTAGACTCATTTTTTTCTTTGGCAATATAATTTCCCAGAAACTTAGCAACTGATATGGTTTGTCTGTGTCCCCACCCAAATCTCATCTTGAATTGTAGGTTCCATAATATCCACATGTCATGGGAGGGACCCGATGGAAGCTAGTTGAATCATGGGGGCCAGTCTTTCCCATGCTGTTCTCATGATAGTGAATAAGTCTCACGAGATCTGATGGTTTTATAAAGGGCAGTTCCCCTGCTCATGCTGTCTTGCCTGCTGCCATGTAAGACATGCCTTTGCTCCTCCTTCACCTTCACCATGATTATGAGGCCTCATTAGCCATGTGGAACTGTGAGTCCATTAAATCTCTTTTTCTTTATAAATTACCCAGTCTTGGCTATTTCTTCACAGAAGTATGAAAATGGACTAATACAGAAAGCTTCTGATCTTTGCTTCCCATCAGTTCCATAAGCAATGATCATGCCCAAAGTTCTTTCCTAGACATCATTTATAGTCAGTCCACTGCAGGGATCTTCCACATAGTAATTCAGAGCCTCAGGCTACTGCCATCGTGCGTTCTGCCATGCCCTAGGGCATGGATGTCTGGCTCCCTCTCTTGAGTTAACAGCAGCTAGCTTGAGCTTTCTGAAACAACAGGCACGGATGGTGCAAAAGACTAAATGTGTCCCCCAAAATTCATATGTTGAAATTTTAACCCCTAAGGTGATAGAATTAGGAAGTGGAGCCTTGAAGAGGTGATTAGGTCATGAGGATGGGACCCTCATGAGTGGGATAAGTTCATTCTTTTCATGAGGCCCTTATAAAAGAGGCCTCAGAGAGCTTTCTCATTTTCTTTCTGTGGTGTGAGGACACTGTGAGAAGATGGAAATCTGTAACCCAGAAGAGAACCTTCTCCAGCCCCTGACCATGCTAGCACTCAGATCTCAAACTTCCAGCCTCTTGAACTATGAGAAATAAATTTCTGTTGTTTTCTAGCTATCTGGTCTATGGTAATTTGTTATAGCAGCCAGAATGGACTAAGAGAGATGGGAAGTTCACATTCTTAATCAGATCTTTAATAGTATTAATACATGTTAGTCATAAAGGGCCTTTGTGTTTCAATAATATTTTGTTGCTCTTTGAGGTCCAGAAGTGGTGGGCCTTTATAACCCTTGAGGCCCTGTGTTTCTGGGCCCTCTCTAGACTCTTTCACTTCTGTTTGCAAACAAATCTTTCCTATAAATTTCATCTGTCTTATAATGTCTAGCTAAAAACAGGGTGGCAAAAGAGACTGCCTCCTTACTTTTGTATCCTAGGTGCCTCACTCACCTCACCCTTGTCTCTGCCCTGTGAAACGTCTATATATCCTATTACTCTGATTCTTTCCAACCACTTTCCCGAGAACTACAGGCTTAGTAGGATGCTATCTGTCATCGAAGGAAATACTTTACTACATGTCTTGCCACTTTACAAATTAGGTTTCCTTTTTCCAGCTTCTTATATTACTTTTCTCACCAACTACCACTCCACTGCTAAGCCAATGCCATATTACTTTAGGTTTTTGTTATTGCAGCACACCACTTCTAGATACCAATTTTTGTATTGATTGACATGACACCAGATACTATGACTAACCCTGGAATTTCAGTAGCTTAACCCAATAAAAGTTATTTCTTCTCACAGTCAATTCACAGCAGGCATCTTCCACATGGTGATTCAGGGCTTCAGGCTGCTGCCACCTTGTGTCTGCCATGCCGTAGAGCATGGAGTCTTTTGCTTCCAGGCAGCAGATCACTAAGGACATGGAGGATTACCCATGGGAGGTTTTTAATGTCAAGGCCTGGAAGTGGTGGACATCAGCTCTGTTCACATTCCACTGGCTAGAACCCAGACATGATCACACCTAATGCAAAGGAGGCTGAGGGATATAATGTAGTTATGTGCTCAGTGAGAAGGGCGAACGGGCTTTGGTGAACACATGACAACCTCTCTGATGAACTTATACAGCACCAAGAAAACTGGGCCACAAACCAGTGAGTCCTTTGTGTCTTCATAGCATTGTGGTCTTCATAAGGTAGTATTCTTCCTTATGAAGTCTAAGCAATCACATCTGGGAGTGAGAGTAGGCCTTTGTTGTTAAATGGTGGGTTACTGCAACTGTTTCCTTGGGGGATAATTTCTGTAAGGATAGCAGCAAACCTAGGATTAAACTCCACATGTACCCCACCCATCACCCCCAATTCTTTGCCTCTGCCAATAACCCAAGAATTCCTATCACCTCCCCACCACCTCAATCATTGACATATCTGGTGCTGACAGACCACAGGAAAGGTGTGTCATGATGGGAGGCATGTAGGACTTTGTCAGCCTAAGGGGCTAGACAGCCATTTCTTCGGGAAGGTTGAGTGACAATAGTTCCCTCCCAAGCAGGACTTGAGTTCTGGGAAGTGATCCCAGAACACCCAAGTAAGGAAGTAGGAGAAGTAAGTTAGGGAAAGAGAAAAGCTGAAAGCAGATTACTCTCAGGGGCAACAAAGACTCAATCCCAGTACAGACTGAGAAACCATGTGGAACATGCCTCAGAACTGTCCCTCTAGAAGCCAGGGAGACTGGGGCATTTTTCCAACAACTCCATCCAAATTGGTTGAGAATCGGCCCCAGGAACATTGACACCCTCTCCCTCAACTATGGGTTGCACTTATAAGTAGCCTATCAGGCTTCTGTACCAGACAAAGAAAGAAGGCCTATGCAGGCACTTGGGATGAAAGCCATCAGTCTGCCTGTGCCAGGAACTGCCCACAGCTTCAGGGGCACTCAGGTGGGTCCAGGAAACATGGGGAACCTGCTACAGATAGGAAGAGGCACAGGCAGTGAAAAGTAAGGACCTAGACATGTCACGGGCTCTCAAAGTCACCTAGCTAAAATCACACGGTATAGCTCTCATCTGGAGTGGAACTGACTCTGCCTTCCTTGTGTGTGAACTGGTATTAGCAGCCAGTATGGATTGAACATTCGCTATATGCCAAGAACTGTACTAAGAAGTTTATAGAAACTATCTTATTTAATACTTATTGACCATGTTTCATATACCATGGGAAACGCAAGAAATAAGTAAGACTTACTCCCTGCCTTTAAACAATTTAAACTCCAGCAGAAGGGATAAGATAAGCAAACCAAGATTTTATACAGCAAAGGCTGTGATGAGGGCCATAAGAGTTACAAATACTTAAAAGGCCTTAGAGGTATGAGACTGACTTCGGGATGGTGGATCAGGCTTCATTGAGCAAGGAGGGGGCATTTGAATCTATCCTTGAAGAACCAGTAGGATTTTGACAGGCATATTAGAGCAAGTACATATGTGGATAAAGCTATGGAGTGTTGAAAAGCGGGGAGGGGAGGGACACAGGATAGAAGGCAGGAAGGAGGTCAAGTTGGGTGTTGCTAGGAAGCTGTCACAATTTCATCATGCCTGGGGGTGAGACAAAATTCATAATGTGAAGTCAAGGTTGGAAGAAGCCAGGTCGAGCTTCAAATTGGGAAATGAAGAATGTATACAGTGGAAAGCAACAAGCATGTGGGACAGAACAAGTTTGGCAAGGAGTGAGGTACAGAGGAGCAGAGGCCAGGCGTTCAGGACTAATGCCATGATTGCTGGGTGTCTGTAGCAATTCATTCAGTCAGTCACTCAATACATATCCCTTGTTCACTGTTTTCATTCATTCAACAAATATTTATTGAACGCTCACCTTGTGCCAAGCACTCATTTACATAATAGGGATATAGTAGAAGACAAACAGGAAAAATCAGTGACCTCATGGAGTGGACACAGACAACATCATAAATAAAATATCTAGTATGTCAGACAATAAGCGTATGGAGAAAAATAAGCAGGGAGAGGTGAGAAGGAGTGCTGTCTGGGGAGAGGAAGGTCGTTATTTTAAAGAGAGTGGTCAGGGAAGGCTTCTCTGAGAAAAGAATGTTTGAGCAAAGACCTGAAGGCGGAGGGAGTGAGCCACGTGGCTCCCTGAGGGAATCCTGCAATTGCAAAGACTCCAGACAGGAAGGTGACTTACTGGTCCAAAACAGCAGGGAAGCAGGTGTGGCTGGAGCAGAGTGAGTGAACTGCCTGAGGGCTGGTGTTTAGTTTAGAGAGAGGAAGCCAGCCCAGATGGTAAAGGGCAGTGGTTTTCAATGGGGTGGTGCCATCTGATAGTGGGTGTTTGTGAAATTCACGGAGATGTTTTTGTCTTCTACTGTAGTTGTGCCTGAATGTTTACATATTAAAATGCATCTCTTATTGTGGGCTTTCTTTTTATTTCTGCTTTGTATTTTAGATATGACTCTTAAAAATTGTGCATGGAGGGAGGTCATATTATCTCTGAATTCCAATTCTGGATTGCAAAGGCGGTGTTATACCATGTTGCTACTAACAGCTGCTAACTTGCATCTAACAAAGCTGAGACTCCAGAGAGGGACCATAAAGGTCATTGTGAGAACTCTAAATTTCACTCTTTAAGCTGAGTTGTTTGAGTAGAGTTGAGCAGAGGAGTGGTGGGGTCAGACTTAGGATTTAAACAGCTCTTCATGCCTGCCGTATGGAGAACAGAATGCAGGGGCCAGGGGAGAAGCCTGGAGACCAGGTAGGAGGCTGCGGCACTAATGGCGAAAGATGGAGGTGGCAGTGGAGGAGTGAAAAGTGGTCTGATTCTGTGATATATTTCAGAAGGCGGGAGCTATAAGGTTTTCTGAAAAAGATTTGTAGGGTGTGAGAGAAAGAGAGGTGTTGAGAATGACTCCATATTTTTGACCTGAGCATTGAAGGATGTAGATACCATCAACTGAAATGGAAAGCCTATAGGTAGAGTTGGTTTGGGGAAAACACCAGAATTTACTGGACACCAAACTATAAACTATATGCCAGGAACTATTTTAGGCACCAGGAACTTTCATAGGTCTGATACAGAGCATTATGTAAAGGAGTTCATCAGGCCAGAAGCTGAGGCCAGCAAGGACCAGCCTGTTTGACATGTAGGATTCCAGCTAGACTCTAAGCCTTCTGGGGTCAGTGAGCATGGTATGGTGTCTTGATCAACTCTGTGACCCACTTAGGACATGTTTGATAACTATCTATGGAATGAATGATGACTCTCTGCCTCTCATTCTCTGAGTGATTCAAATCATGACGGCATGAAAGTGTATCCTTATGTACAACCATAAAATTATTAGAATAACTGTTCTGGGTTTAGGCAAGGATTTCTTTTGGCTCATTTTGGATATTCTTATAAGATTGTAGCACCTCTAGAACAAAGATAGTGTATTTAATCTTTGAATCTGCAGGGCCTAGCGCCTAGCAGGTATTTGTTGAATGAAAACATTTCAGTGTATTTCCTCAGACTTTTTAAAATCAGGTATATTTTTATGGCCTTGTGATCATAATACCCATTTTATTTGTTTCCTAATTTTTACTTACTCCTTTGTTAAAATTATTTTTCCATATATAGATTCTTCATTAACTACTATTTTTATGACTGCACAATAATTTATTGCATATGGATAAACCATAATTCCATTACTCATTTCCTCATTATCCAATAAGATTCTTTTGGGCTATCAAAATAATAAATAAAACATCAATGAATATTTTCCTTAATGAGGCCTTTTATGTACTTTAGGTTATTTTAGTAGAGTGGTAAGATTTCTTGGTCAAGGACTATAGCAGACATTATTAGTATTTACCAACATCTGTGTTTCTCTGCTCCTTTTGGGCATGCAGAAAGGAGGCTTCACTTCTCAGCCTCCTTGCCATTGGGTAGGGTCATATGAATAGCTCTGGACAATGAAGCACACTTCATTGTGAATGGAAGTGATGTGTGAATTTCCTGGATGTGGCTATAGAAAGCCTATGCATGATTTGCCAATCTCTCCTGTTTTCTGCAAGGGTGACCAATGACATTCCAGATGGTAGAGTCCCTGAGTGACACAGAACAACCCTCCCTGTTCACCAACCTGAGGTGGGTATGTTGGAACTTTTGTTACAGTAAACTACTAGGATTCTGGGGTTAATTTGTTACCACTGGTAACCTAGTCTTTCCTGACTAATACAGAGACTCTGAGCCTTATGACACATTAGAGTATATATTGGCAAATTGCACAGTGTATATATAGTAGGTACCCAATAAATATCTCTTAAATGAATTAATGAGACTGGCCACCAAAATTACATGAAAATACCAATTTCAATGCTTATCAACAGCAATGGATTTATTACTTGATAGTTCTTGCCAACTTAATAGGCAAAAATATTGTCTTGGCTATATTTTAATTTGTATTTCTTTGCTTATTGGAAAAACTGAACATTTTTCATCTGTTGTTAGCTATTTCCTCTTTCGTATATTATTTGCTCTAAAGCTTTCATTCACTTTCAGTAACTATATGTTGAATGCCTTCACTGTTCTAGATATTGGGGCTGTACTAGTGAATAATTTTGCTGTCGTGAACTTTCATTCAGGAGGGGAGAAAAATGACGTGTACACAAATACTTAAATATTTTAGGTAATGGTAAGTGCTATGAAAATAAAGCAAGGTATGAGACTTAAAGATTGGCTGGGTGTGTTTTCACGCTGACTGGTCATGCAGGGCCTTTCTGATAATGTCATTTTTGAACAAAGGGGATGAGCCCAGCGGATATTGGAAAGAAAGGTGTTCAGGCCAAGGGAACAGCACATACAAAGGCCTTAAGGCAGGGGCATGCTGGATATTTTTGGGGATCTAGCAAGAAGCCAGTCTGGCTGAAGCAGAGTGAGCAAGATGGGAGTAGTAGGAGATGAGAGTGGAGAGGTAACAGGCCACAGCATGAAGAGTCTTGCTTTTTGCTTTTTGCTTTTCTTTGGATTGATATGAGAGTCACTGAGGGCCTTTGAGCTTAGGAGTGACATGGTATGACTTACTATTTAAAAGGATTACTTTGGCTTCTCTGTAGATAAGAGACAGTAGTGGTTAAGTGAGAAGGGATCAGATTCTAGATATTTTTTGTGGTAGAGCTAATTGATTTTGATGATAGGTTGGATATGGGAGTGGAATGTGAGAAATAAAGGAGTCAAGAATGATTTCAAGATTTTTTTTTTTTTAATTGAGACGGAGTTTCACTTTTGTTGTCCAAGCATGATCTCAGCTCACTGCACCTCCGCCTCCGGCGTTCAAGCGATTCTCCTGCCTCAGCCTCCCAAGTAGCTAGAATTACAGGTGTGCGCCGCCACTCCCGGCTAATTTTTGTATTTTTACACAATACAAAATACGTGGGGTTTCACCATGTTGACCAGGCTGTTCTTGAAATCCTGACATCAGGTGATCCACCCACCTTGGCCTCCCAAAGTGTTGGGATTACAGGCGTGAGCCACCACACCCTGCCTGATTTCAAGATTCTGACTTGAGCAATTGGGAAAATGTAGTTGCCATTTACTTTATTGCTCCATTAAACTATATTTGGTATTTTTAATGACTCCAGAAAATTCCATGTCAGAAATCAAATAAACAGTATACTGTGGTGGATAAAGTACTTGATTTCCAGGCCAGGGGTAGGTCTTGATTGACTTCAACCAGTTATGGTCCACTGGGTGCCATGGCTGCAGTAACTGGTTCAGGGATGGTCCTATGACCTTAGATTATCCAATCGGAGGCCCAGGACTTTCATTTAACAATCTGGGAGAGATGCTGCTGCTTCTGCTAGAAATGAACAAGGAAGCATGCTCCCTGAGGCTTCTGGTAGCCCTCTTGCTCCTTTGAGAGAAATCACCCTTAAGATGAACTTGACATGGAAAGCAGAGGAAAGAGTTAAAAAGAAAGCCAGGTGTTTTGTGACATGGTTGAGTCACTGCATCCATCCTCACCTGAAATCTATCCAGAGACTGTTCAGCTACATGAGCCAGTACACTTTCCTTTATTGTTTATGCCATTTGGGGCTGTATTTTCTTTTTCTTTTTTCTTTTTTTTTTTTTTGAGACAGAGTTTCACTCTTGTTGCCCAGGCTGGAGTGCAATGTCACAATCTTGGCTCACCGCAACCTCCGCCTCCCGGGTTCAAGTGATTCTCCTGCCTCAGCCTCCCGAGTAGCTGGGATTACAGGCATGCACCACCATGCCTGGCTAATTTTGTATTTTCAGTACAGACGGGGTTTCTCCATGTTGGTCAGGCTGGTTTTGAACTCGTGATCTCAGGTGATCTGCCCGCCTCAGCCTCCCAAGGTGCGGGAATTACAGGCGTGAGCCACCGTGCCCGGCCTTGGGCTATATTTTCTATTACTTGCCACTAAGCATGTCCTGACCCACATAAGCAGCTTTCACATAAATGCTATCCACAGTTCTCAGGCAGAATGCTCTCACCACCTGTGATCTTGGAACACAGGAAATAGTCACCCTAGAAAATCTGCAACCTATTTGAGCCTGAGGATTGGAGGGTTACATCATGCTGTGTAAGAGAAGAGGCCACCTTCAGAACATATGCTGTCCAAAATCCTGGAGGAATGGATCCCAGGAACTGTCAGCGCAGCAGACATCACCTGGCATCACAGGATCTCAGCTGCTCCCCCAGCAACGAGGGCCAGTCCTTCTCCCTGAAACAGAGTATCATTGGCAAGTAGCTTCTGGAGTGTTTACAGTCATCCTCATCAATTTCTGGAAGCATGGGGTAGAAACTGATTCTGAAGGCAAAGTCTCCAAGAATAGCAACACCCTTCTTCAGCATTTGTTCCTGAAAATCCTTTACCAATGTGTGCTCTTTGGGAGACAGTTTAAGGTCACGGAGAGCAGGACAGACAGTGGAATCAGACTACCTGGACTTCCCTCCTGGCTCCTCCAGGACTACTAAACCCAAAAGAGGGGTCTCAGGGCTGAGGGCAGTGGGCAGATATGGCCCCTGCATCCCAGTCTTAGCAAATCCTCTGCACAGGGTTGGCGGTTGAGATTTTAGGGATTGTGGTACGGTGGGCTTCCTGGAGCCTGTGCTCTCTAATTGTCTTAGTGGCTAAGAGCATCAGGAGTTTGCAGCCACACTGCTGGGATTTGAGCCTTAGATCTACCACCTACAGACTGCACAAGTTATTTAACCTTTCTATGCCTCAGTTTCCTTCCCTGTAAAATTAAAATAATAAAAAGGTATTTATCTCCTAGAGTTGCTTAGAAGATAAATGAGTTACTACATGTAGTCTGAGAATGATGCCTGGGACTCTGTTAGTCAGTTTGGGTTGCCATAACAAAGACCATGGACTGGGTGGCTGAAGCTACAGAACTTTATTTCTCACAGTTCTAGGTGCTGGAAAGTCCAAGATCCAGACACCGTCAGATCCCATGAATGGTGAGTGTTGCTTCCTGTTTTGTAGATGGCTGTATTCTCGTTGTATCCTCACACAGCAGAGAGCCGACAGAGCTCTCTGGGATCCCTTTTAAAAGGGCATTAATCCCATTCATGAAGGCTCTATTCTCAGGACCTAATCACCTCCCAAGGGTCCCAGCTCCTAATGCCATTACATTGGGGGTTAGGATTTGAACATACGAATTTGGGGCTGGGAGACACAAACATTCAGGTCTATAATGGGCACGTAATAAATGTTTACTGAGTATTAGCTTTTGGGTTGCCTGTAACTTGCTAAGAAATAATGTTACAAAAAAAAAAAAAAAAAAAAGCACCAAAGGCAAAAATGAATGGAAAGAAAGGAAGAGAAGTGCATATACAAAGCAGATACCACTTAATGTCTGACAGAAAAAGGAATGGCTGTTGTGCCTTTCAGTAAGGTTCAATCTTTTTCCTCCAGCCAGGGTGTAGTTTCTGGGCTGGAACCAGAGAGCAGGAAGAGGAAGCCCAGCGTCCCCTTCCTGTTGCCACCAGCCTTTGCAGCTGGCTGCTGGTGTGTGTTTTTATGTTTGTGTTTTTGAGATGGAGTCTCGCGCAGTTGCCCAGGCTGGAGTGCAGTAGCGTGATCTCGGCTCATTGCAACCTCTGTCTCCCGGGTTCAAGTGATTCTCCTGCCTCAGCCTCCCAAGTAGCTGGGGTTATAAGCATGTGCCACCACGCCTGGCTAATTTTTGTAATTTTACAGGGTTTCTCCATGTTGGCCAGGCTGGTCTCGAACTACTGACCTCAAGTGATCTGCCTGTCTCGGCCTCCCAAAGCGCTGGGATTACAGGCGTGAGTCACCACGCCTGGCCTTTTTTTTTTTTCTTTTTTCAATGCTGCATAATCCTCTTCCTAATTACAATAAACACTCCTCACTATAAAATTTTGCTTTATGTTTTCATAGCCCTTTCCCATCTCTTCCCTTCCTATCTGATCCCCACAACAGAATCGGGTAGAGCCTATTGTTTTCCCACTTCACAGATGGGGAAGAGTAGGGCTTGGGCTTGCCATCCAGCTCAGATAAGATCCAAAGGCATGCCAAGATCGTCGGTTCTTTTTTCTTCTTCTTCTTCTTTTTTCTTTTTTTTTTTTTGAGACGGAGTCTTGCTCTGTTGCCCAGGCTGGAGTGCAATGGCACGATCTTGGCTCACTGCAACCTCTGCCTCCCAGGTTCAAGTGATTCTCCTGCCTCAGCCTCCTGAGTAGCTGGGATTACAGACACGCACCACCATGCCTGGCTTATTTTTGTATTTTTAGTAGAGACAGAGTTTCACCATGTTGGCAGGCTGGTCTCGAACTCCTGACCTAGTCATCTGCCCGTCTTAGCCTCTCCAAGTGTTGGGATTACAGGCATGAGCCACCGCACCCGGCCTCCTTTTCTTCTTCATATATATATATATATATATATATATATATATATATATATATAAAAATATATATATATATAAATATATATATATATAAAAATATATATATATATAAATATATATATATATAAAAATATATATATATATAAATATATATATATATAAATATATATATATAAATATATATATATATAAATATATATATATATAAATATATATATATATAAATATATATATATATATTTCCAAATGTTCTTTTCTGTTTGTTTTTTGAGACAGAGTCTGGCTCTGTCGCTCAGGCTAGAATGCAGTGGCATGATCTTGGCTTACTGCAGCCCCCCAGGTTCAAGCGATTCAAGGTTCTCAGCTCACTGCAGTCCCCCAGGTTCAAATAATTCTCCTGGCCTAGCCTCCCGAGTAGCTAGGATTACAGGCATGCAACACCATGCCTGACTAACTTTTGTATTTTTAGTACAGGCAGTATTTTTCGAACTCCTGACCTCAAGTGATCTACCTGCCTCAGCCTCCCAAAGTACTGGGATTACAGGCACGTGCCACCACATCCAGCTCAAAATGTTCTTAAATTTTAAAATGTATTGCTAACTTTCCTTATGTTTTAATAGTAAGGAGTAACTCATATTAAGCATCACATGTACCAGGCATTACTTTAAGAGCTGTATCTGTATTGTCATTTACTTCTCACAACAGCCCAATTAGATAGCTGTTATTATTTTTCTCCTTTTACAGATGACATCACTGAGTTACAGTGACCTACCACTATTAAGTTTAAACTCAGGTAGTTTGGTTCTAGAACAAACACACTTAACTATTATACTAGTTTACATGTTCATGGTAGAATTTATTTTTATTTTTTTAGAGACAGGGTCTTGCTATGTTGCCCAGGCTGGAGTGCAGTGGCTATTCACCGACACTATCCCACTAGTGATCAGCATGGGAGTTTTGACATGCTCTGTTTCTGATCTGGGCTGATTCACCCCTCCTTAGGCAACCTGGTGGTCCCCTGCTCCCAGGAGATTACCATATTTATGCTGAACTTAGTGCGGATAACTGATTGGCATAGCACACTTTAGCCCAGAATTTCTGGCCTCAAGCAATCCTCCCTGCTCAGCCTCCTGAGTAGCTGGGACTACAGGCAAGTGCCACCACGTCTAGCCATGGTAGAATTTTTAAACACCAGCAAAGCAAAAAAAAAAAAAAAAGAAGAACAAGAAAAAGAAAAGTTTTAAAATCATTATAATCCCAATACTCAGATATAACTACTGTTAACATTTGATATATGTGGATAAATTAGACATGAGATGTGGAGTGAAAGGGAAGAACATATTTCAGAATTACTTGGGGGAGCTTTTGAAATATGTATATACTTGAAGTACTTTACTCAAGGAGGAAGGACAGGCATGAGGATTTGGGGTGAAACATTTAGTGGATGCTAATAAACAGCCTCCACTTTTCTCTTCTACTCCCCAATTGCCTCACTGCCACCCCAGTCGAATGTCACCCGTGTATCTTTCCAGTCTTTCTTCCAGGCATAGCTACATATGCATACACATAAATACACACTTGTAAATGGCAAACCAAACACTAATTAATGGTAGTTTAAAAAAAAAAAAACCAGCTGGGTGTGGTGGCTCATGTCTGTAATCCCAGCACTTTGGGAGGCCAAGGTGGGCGGATCACCTGAGGTCAGGAGTTTGAGACCAGCCTGGCCAACATGGCGAAACCCTGCCCCTACCAAAAATATAAAAAGAATTAGCCAAGCATGGTGGCAGGTGCCTGTAGTCCCAGCTACTGGAGAGGCTGAGGCAGGAGAATCGCTTGAACCCAAGAGGCGGAGATTGCCGTGAGCCGAGATGGCGCCACTGCACTCCAGCCTCGGCAATAGAGCACAACTCCGTCTCAAAAAATAAAAAAATAAAATAAAAACCAAGGCAGGCAGGAGCTGCTGGCACATTTTATGATCACATTCTTAATTGCTGTGGATTCTTGCTGCACCTCAAGGGCACACTCATCTGACAAATACAAGATTCCAGGCTGGAACCTGACGGGTTTTTGGCATCAACATCCCTTGCTGTGAATTTGTTGTTTTGCTGTTTGGTAAGTGGAAGTGACCAAGCTATTCCCCTGCCCGTGTTCTCCCAGGGGCCCTCTACTTCCGGCTGATATGTACTGTACAGTCTTCCAGACACAGCCTCGAGCCAGGGCGCTGGAAAACTGCCTGTGCCCATGTTATTCCCCATTCAGGCTGGCTCCAGGGCCTGGGGAGAAGAGGCCTAGGGCAAACCCAACAGGATGCCTGGTGCGCTCAGGAAGGAGTAGAACCTGAGCCACAGAAGGGAGAAGTAGAACAAGGTGTTTCCTCTCTCTGATCTCCGCCATAGCCCACTCTGGCACTTGTCACACCACTCCCCAGGTACTCATGTACTCCTCTGTCCCTCATAGTGGTCTGTGTGCTCTTTATGGGCAGGTATCAGACTTGGTTCATTTTTCTTTCTTCCTTTTTGCATCCTGATTGCTTGGAATGGCACCTGGAACGGAGGGAGCAGTAGATTCCTATTGGGATGAGGCCAGGCATGGTAGCTTACGCCTGTAATCCCAGTACTTTGGGAGGCCAAGGTGGACAGATCGCCTGAGGTGAGGAGTTCGAGACCAGCCTGGCCAACATGGTGAAACCTCGTCTCTATTAAAAATACAAAAAAAAAAAAAAAAAAAATTAGCCAGGCGTGGTGGTGCACGCCGATAGTCCCAACTACTCAGGAGGCTGAGGCAGGAGAATTGCTTGAACCCAGGAGGTGGAGGTTGCAGTTAGCCGAGATCACATCTGCCATTGCACATCAGCCTCCAGTCTAGGCAACAGGGCAAGACTCCATCTAAATATATATATATATATATATACACACACACACACATACACACATATATATATACACACACACACACACACATATATACACACATATATGTATACACATATATATACACACATATATATACACACACACACACACACACACATATATATATATATTCCCTTTGGGATGAATAACAGGCATAACCATAGCTAACACTGATTGAGGGCCTCTCTGTGCTCAAAGGCAGATAAATAAGACAGAACTTTCTCTTCTAATCTTTCCAACAACCCCATAAGGTAGAATCCAGATTCTATTATTATCTTCTTTGTAGAGTGAAGGAAATTAGGCAGAGAGACACTAATTAATTTGTCCAAGGTGGCAGAGATCAGTGGCTGGCTGCAACCCAAACCAGGAAGTTTAGTTCCAAAATTCCAGTTCTTAGTCCTTCCTCTATCCCACTTCTCCCACCCACTCTCTCCTGCAAGTCAGTGACCATAGTGGTCACCTTAGGGTTTCACTTTATTATGTCATTCCCCTGATCAAGAACCTTCCAGGCCAGGCTCCCCAGCACAGCATGGAGGCTGTCTAGGGTTGTCCCCAGCCTCCTGAGCAGTGACCTCCTCTTTCAGAGGCAATAGGAGCTTGGTCCCAACTCTACCATCTACCACTGTGTGACTGTGGCCATGGGACTTAACCTCTTTCCACCTCGGGCTCCTCCACTGTAGAATGAGAAGTACTGGGGCTGACTTCACATGGCTTATGACGGCTTGAGAGTCATCAGTGTGGGCACTGCTTAGAACAGGGGTTGGAAAACGTTTTCTAAAAAGGGCCAGATGGTAAGTATTTTTGGCTTTGTGGGCCATATGGTCTCTGCAACAACTGCTCAACTCCGCCATTGTAGTCCAAAAGTAGAAGCTATAGGCCTGGTGCAGTGGCTCACGCCTGTAATCCTAGCACTGTGGGAGGCTGAGGCGGGCGGATCACCTGAGGTCAGGAGTTCAAGACCAGCCTGGCCAACATGGCAAAACCCTATCTCTACTAAAAATATAAAAATCAGCCGGGCGTGGTGATGCACACCTGTAATCCCAGCTACTTGGGAGGCTGAGGCAGGAGAATCGCTTGAACCCGGGAGGCGAGGTTGCAGTGAGCCGAGATCGCACCACTGCCCTCCGGCCTGGGTGACACAGCAAGACTCTGCCTCAAAAAAAAAAAAAAAAAAAAAAAGCAGAGGATATGGTCTGAATGTTTTGTGTCCCCCCAAATTCGCATGTTGAAATCCTAACCCCCAGGGTGATAGTATCAGGAGATGGGGCTTTGGGGAGGGGATTAGGCTATGAGGGTAAAGCCTTCAAGACTGCGACTAATGCCCTTGTAAAAGAGGCCCCAGAGAGCTAGCTAGCCTCTCCCATTATGTGAGGACACAGGGAGAAGGTATCATCTAGAAATGAATTAGAAATGAATTTTCTACAAACTAGAAAGCCCTCACCCAACACTGAATCTGCTGGGGCCTTGATCTTGGGCTTCCCCACTCCTAGAACTGTGTGACATAAATGTCTGTTGTTTATAAGGCGCTATTTTGTTGTAGCAGCCCAAAGAGACAAGCAGCCATGGACAAGATGAAAAATAATTTGTATGGCTATATATCAATAAAAGTTTATTTATGGCTGAGTGCAGTGGCTCAGGCCTATAATCTCAGCACTTCAGGAGGTAGAGGCAGGAGGACCACTTCAGCCCAGGAGTTCAAGACCAGCCTAGGCAATATAGCTAAACCCCATCTCTGCAAAAAAAGTTTAAAATAAGCCTGGCGTGGTGGCGCACGGGTAGTACCAGCTACTCGGGAGGCTGAGGTGGGAGCATGGCTTAAGCCCCGGATGTCAAGGCTGCAGTGAGCCATGATCACACCACTACACGCCAGCCTAGGCAACAGAGTGAGAAGCTGTCTCGAAAAAAAAAAAAAGTTTATTTATGGGCACTAAAATTTGAATTTCAAATAATTCTTATGTGGCATGAAATATTATTTCTAGTTTTTTCCTAACCATTTAAAAATGTGAAAACCTTTCTTAGCTCATGGACATTATATACAAAAACAGGTGTGGGGCTAGATTTGGTTCACAGGCTGTAGTCTGCTGACACCTAGTTTAGAGCAGTATCTGGTACAAAGGAAGAGCTTAATACATCTGAGACAGACAGTGTGAAGTAAGGTAACAAGTAGGAGGTTTTATAAGGTGCCGAGGGCCCTGGCTTGGTGGGGACATGTGGCTGGAATAGATGTGTTAAATATAGGAGACAGAGATGAGAACCCAACATCTGCTGAGTGCTGACTGTGGCCATGCACCACACTTTCCACATTTCCTCCCATTGAGTCCTCACACTGACCTTGTACCTTACACCTGTTTACAGAGATGATGAGTGAGGCTCAGAGAGGTTAAGTAATACGCCCAGAGTTACACAGCTTTTAAGTGACAGAGTCAGGATCTGAACCCAGGTTTTATAGAACACCAAAGACTGGGCTTTTTCTATGAGACTGTCATTTGCTGAACATGTATTTTATTGAAAACAGATGTACAAGGTGCTATGCCAGGTTTGGGAACACAGTGGTGTAAAAGATGTACACCCCATGGAGTGTATAGTCTGGTAGGAGAGACCAGGCATCCAAACGAGCAATTATAACTCAGGGTGACATCTCCAGGATGAAAATGAACAAGGGAGCTCAGAATGTACAGTTCTTACCCATGTATGGAAAATCAGAGAAGGCTTCCTGAAGGAAGCAATGTCTAACCAGATGGAAGGTCAAGAAGGAAAGACCCAGGAAGGCACGAAACAGGGGCTAATGATACTAAACTACAATTTGTTTTCTTGCATATGCAGGTTGTGGCTGGTGCCCCTACCTCTCAGATTTGCTGCCCTTGATAGTCCAATCTCTTCTTAGGAGGGTGCCTGCGTCTTTTTTTTTTTTTTCCTTTTTTTTTTTTTGAGACAGAGTCTCACTCTGTTGCCCAGGCTGGAGTGCAATGGCATGATCTCAGCTCATTACAGCCTCTGCTTCCTGGGTTCAAGCAATTCTCTGCCTCAGCCTCCCGAGTAGCTGGGATTACAGGTGCCTGCCACTACACCCGGCTATTGTATTTTTAGTATAGATGGTGTTTCACCATGTTGGCCAGGTTGGTCTTGAACTCCTGGCCTTGTGATCCACCTGCCTCGGCCTACCAAAGTGTCCCAACAGTTTGGATTACAGGCGTAAGCCAGCACGCCCAGCCCGGGGTCCTGTGTCTTTTGTCCTTAGCTGTCCTTTGCCTCCATCCCCTCTCATTCTGAAATGCTACTATGGTTTTGTTTCAGAGCTCCCCAGAGACACAACTCAGCCCCTCTCTGCTTTCCTCATTACTTCAAGTGTTCCATGAATTCAGTAAACCTGATTCAAGATTTTGGTGGAGGGTGGGGATGGGAGTGCGGTATCCATGGGGAGGGGTCATTCCTGGAGCACTGGGCTTCCGCCCTCTCCTGGCCCCCCACTTCCTCCCTGGAGTTGCAAACAAAATCCTCCCTTTGTCTTGTTGGGAGCGTTCCCTCCCACCTCCGGCCAGAAGGATCTCGGTTCCTACTTGAACTTAGCAAAGTATTTTCTCAACAAAGACAGCTCTACCTTCCTAAGAGGAATTCTGATACATAAAAAGTTCTCTTTACACCTCTGTTGTTTCATTCAACCCTCCAAGCAAATCGCTGGAATAGCGATCATCGTCCCCATTTTACAGATGGGGAAACTGAGTAACAAACCCATGTGATGGTGCCGGGAGTTAAAGGCAGGACTGCCAGAATCCAAAGCCTCCTTCCCCAGCCACTGGCTATTCCACTTTCCAACACCACTGTGATGGGGTCTGGGGAAGGCAGGGGAGGGGACAGCCTAGTTGGGCTAGCAGGGAAGATGAAGGCCAGGAACTGGGACCATAGAAGTATAGTTTCACCAGAGACACTCGTTTCCCATTACTTAAACCTCCACAATCTTCCAGTGAATGTTTCTTACTGCCGTTTTTCCAGAATGAGAGAATTGGACAAGACAGGCTTCAGTCACAGACACCCCAAGCAGACCAGGATCCTTCCTAAGAGGAACACAATTCCCCTCATGGGTTGGGGTTTGGATGTTTGGTTCAGGAAGAGCCTAGGACCTGGCTGCGGTCACCCAGGGCGCCCAGCACTCGACCCGAGAACATTTCTGAAAGTAGCACTGCAGTTCCTCGATAACTGAGCAGACTCCAAGGAGACAAGGAGAAAACAGAAAATAAGAAAGGAGGTAACAAAGAGACCATTCTAAATTCAAAAAAGCAATTTTAGAATCAAAGTGAATTCGGCTATTGAAGCCAGAAACTACAGAAGTTCACACGGTGAGGTCTTGGCCTTAGCTCTTCAGCGAGCTGGGTTCCACGTCGGGGAAATGAAGTTACCGTGAAATCAAAGCCTCAGAGGGTGAATCAAGGAGCCGGCATGTAAGCACCTTGGTTAAGCCTGTGCCCAGAGGAAGGCCAAAGAACAGCAGACAACAGGAACCCCGCCTTCAGGAAGCCTTCAGCAGGAGCAGCAAAAATCTGCTTCCTCTCCAACCCTAAGGTCACTGCAGGCTGACAAACCCTTCCCCCACGCCCTGCCACTTGAGCAGCTCAGCTCCCTGCAACCCACCCGTCCTAACCCCCACCCCCAGCTGAATCACAGAGGCCACTTTTTTTTTTTTTTTTTTTTGGGACGGAGGCTTGCTCTGTCACCCAGGCTGGAGTGCACTGGCGTTGAGAGGTGACAGCGTGCTGGCAGTCCTCACAGCCCTCGCTCAATCTCGGCGCCTCCTCTGCCTGGGCTCCCACTTTGGCGGCCCTTGAGGAGCCCTTCAGCCCGCCGCTGCACTGTGGGAGCCCCTTTCTGGGCTGGCCAAGGCCAGAGCCGGCTCCCTCAGCTTGCAGGGAGGTGTGGAGGGAGAGGCGCGGGCGGGAACCGGGGCTGCGCGCGGTGCTTGCGGGCCAGCGCGAGTTCCGGGTGGGCGTGGGCTCCGCGGACCCCGCACTCGGAGCGGCCGGCCGGCCCCACCGGCCCCGGGTACTGAGGGGTTTAGCACCTGGGCCAGCAGCTGCTGTGCTCAATTTCTCGCCGGGCCTTAGCTGCCTTCCGGCGGAGCAGGGCTCGGGACCTGCAGCCTGCCATGCCTGAGCCTCCCCCACGCTCCGTGGGCTCCTGTGCGGCCTGAGCCTCCCCGACGAGCGCCACCCCCTGCTCCAGGGCGCCCAGGCCCATCCACCACCCAAGGGCTGAGAAGTGCGGGCGCACGGCCCAGGACTGGCAAGCAGCTCCACCTGCAGCCCCGGTGCGGGATCCATTGAGTGAAGCCAGCTGGGCTCCTGACTGTGGTGGGGACGTGGAGAACCTTTATGTCTAGCTAAGGGATTGTAAATACACCAATCAGCACTCTGTATCTAGCTCAAGGTTTGTAAACACACCAATCAGCACCCTGTGTCTAGCTCAGGGTTTGTGAATGCACCAGTCGACACTCTGTATCTAGCTACTCTGATGGGGACTTGGAGAACCTTTGTGTCGACACTGTATCTAGCTAATCTGGTGGGGACGTGGAGAAACTTTGTGTCTAGCTCAGGGATTGTAAATACACCAATCGGCACTCTGTATCTAGCTCAAGGTTTGTAAACACACCAATCAGCACCCTGTGTCTAGCTCAGGGTTTGTGAATGCACCAATCGACAATCTGTATCTAGCTACTCTGGTGGGGACTTGGAGAACCTTTGTGTCCACACTCAGTTTCTAGCTAATCTAGTGGGGATGTGGTGAACCTTTGTGTCTAGCTCCGGGATTGTAAAAGCACCAATCAGCACCCTGTCAAAACAGACCACTCGGCTCTCTGTAAAATGGACCAATCAGCAGGATGTGGGTGGGGCCAGATAAGAGAATAAAAGCAGGCTGCCGGAGCCAGCAGTGGCAACTCGGTAGGGTCCCCTTCCACGCTGTGGAAGCTTCGTTCTTTTTCTCTTTGCAATAAATTTTGTTGCTGCTCACTGTTTGGGTCCACACTGTCTTTATGAGCTGTAACACTCATTGCGAAGGTCTGCAGGTTCACTCCTGAAGCCAGCGAGACCACGAACCCACCAGGAGGAACAAACAACTCCAGACCAGCCGCCTTAAGAGCTGTAACACTCACTGTGAAGGTCTGTAGCTTCACTCTTAAGCCAGCGAGACCACGAACCCACCAGAAGGAAAAAACTTTAAACACTTCCGAATATCAGAAGGAACAAACTCCGGACACGCCACCTTTAAGAACTGTAACACTCACCGCGAGGGTCCGCGGCTTCATCCTTGAAGTCAGTGAGACCAAGAATCCACCAATTCCGGACACAGCGTGATCTCGGCTCATTGCAAGCTCCGCCTCCCAGGTTCACGTCATTCTCCTGCCTCAGCCTCCCCAGCAGATGGGACTACAGGCGCATGCTGCCACGCCCGGCTAAATTTTTTTTTGTTTTTAGTAGAGATGGGGTTTCACCATGTTTGTCAGGATGGTCTGACCTCCTGACCTTGTGATCCGCCCGCCTCGGTCTCCCAAAGTGCCCGGATTACAGGCGTGAGCCACTGCGCCTGGCCTCTTTTTTTTTTTTCTTCGAGATGGAGTCTCACTCTGTCGCCCAGGCTGGCAGCGTGATGGCGCGATCTCGGCTCCCTGCAACCTCTGCCTCCTGGGTTCCAGTGATTCTCTTGCCTCAGCCTCCCGAGTAGCTGGGAATGCAGGTGCCCGCCATCATGCCTGGCTAATTTTTGTATTTTTAGTAGAGACAGGGTTTTACCATTTTGGCCAGGCTGGTCTCGAACTCCTGACCTCAGGTGATCTGCCCATCTCAGCCTCCCAAAGTGCTGGGATTACAGGCGTGGGCCACCACACCCAGCCACAGAGGCTACTTTCTGCCCACCTCTCCCAGGCTGGGCTCTCTAGCCTTGCACTTCTGCTCATGAAGACTAAGGGTTGCCAATGTCACAATGGCAGACACTGGCGGGTCCCAGTAGGTCTGCTTCTGCTTCATGGGGGTAGCCGTGGATAGCACAGTGGGCAGCCCTGGAAACAAAATCCCCTTTGACATCCAAAATGAAGCTTGCCTAGAGCAGTGTCCGGTCCATGGTAAGTTCTGTAGAGCTGTTAGCTGTTATCATCTACCCTGGCTTCAGCCCCTAGTTATGCTAAAGTGGGTGAGTGAATGAAGGAGGTGGGAATTGATGACAGTCTTTTGAAGGTTAAGCATTTGAACGAATTCTTAACCTTCAAGCAAGGCTGGATGGAGCACGTGTCTGTAAAGATTTAGGAATAGTGATGATCGAGGTGTCTTGCAGAGATGTAAGTGGAGCAGATGGAATAGGGTGAAGATTAAAGTAAGTAGTGGGAGCAGGTCTGTGGGAGTTAGATTGTTTAGAGCCTGGGATGCTAGGCTAAGGTTTTTTTTTTGTTTTTTTTTTAATTGCAGTGGCGTGATCTCAGCTCACTGCAACCTCCTCCTCTCGGGTTCAAACAATTCCCGTGCCTCAGCCTCCCCAGTAGCTGGGATTACAGGCGTGTACCACCTTGCCCAGCTAATTTTTGTATCTTTAATAGAGACGGGTTTCACCATGTTGACCAGGCTGGTCTCAAACTCCTGACTTCAAGTGAGCCGCCTGCCTTGGCCTACCAAAGTGCTGGGGTTACAGGCATGAGCTTACCACACCTGGCCCCGACAACTTGGATTTGAATGCAGACATCATTTTGCTATCATAGATTAAGACTTGGTATAGTTGAACTCTGACTTTGCATTTGGGTTCTGTGCCATTTCTTTCTCTCCTTCCCTCGATATCCCTCCCTCCCTTCCTTCCTTCCTTCTTCCTTCCTTCCTTCCTTTCCTCCCTCGTTCTATACCTCCCTCCCTCCTTTCCTTTTTTCTTCCCTCTCTCCCTTCCTCCCTTCCTTCCTTCTTTCCCTCTTTATATTTCCCTGTGCATTTTCCCAATTCTAACATTCTGTGCATTTTATCTTTCATGCTGTTGGCAACTAATTATCATTTCCTGAGAATCTTCACAGCAATTCGTGAGAAGGTTGAAAATGTGACAAGTTCTTCTCCTTTTTTTGTTTAAATGGGATTAGCCAGCTAACTGCACATTCTATGCAGAAGCAAAGTGTCTAATTTCTCACTTCTGAAGTTGTCATCTCCTGCCCTGGTCTACCAGACTTAATTTATACTGTAAGGGTTACCATGGGAGATTCCATATGAAGCTCTAACTTGGGTACCTGTGGGTCCCAGTGTTTCTAAGTCTAATAGTCAGACCAATGGTCCTCCATCAGAGTCAAATTTGCCCCTCGGGACATTTGGCAATGTCAGGAAACATTTCTGATTGTCAAACCTGAGGAGGGAGAAGTGCTACTGGTATCCAGTGGGTAGAGGCCAGAGATGCTGCTAAATATCTTACAATACAATGCACAGGACAGCCCCCCAACTAAGAATTATCCAGCCGAAAATGTCAGTAGTGCTGACACTGAGAAACCTTGGTCTAGACTGAGACCTCTGACCAAGAAAAGATGGTGAAGTGAACTGAGTATCTGCACAGATAGGATTGGAATGGGGTGGGATGATGGACCTGAGGAAGAGGTCTGCTGGAAGCAACTGGAAAGCATTTGGTATCAGAAGGAAAAACCAGAACCTTTATGAGCAAATGATTTGCCAATTTTTAATTAGCTCCCTTGTGCAGATATTGATATTTCAGTATATTGCCCCAGTGATACTTATCACCAGAAGTCATGGCTTCTCCAGTTTCTAATGAAACCTGATGTGTTCATTGGTTCTGAAAGCCTACAGCTGTGTTTGGCTTTGCAGCCCTAACTGATAATAGCGTTTGAAGTCCCTTGTCGTTCTGACTTTCAGGAAATACAAGTAATATTGTTGGAAGGCAGCAGGCACCAGACATCCATTTGTGTGGGGGAAAATGTATCACAAAAGCGTTTCCTGGTCCAGAAAGTAAACCATTGAACTTGATCCGACTGGTAAGTGAGTGATCAATTATTAACTAAGTTTGGAGAAGTGGGAATTCCCTCTAATCCCTGTGGTTTGCTGGATTAAATAATGTTGCACACAGATCTAATCGTTTTGGCTCTACAGTGAGCTCTGCCAGCCAGGCTCCATCCTCAACCCTGTCCTCTCCTCTGTCCAAACTCACTCCGTACTGTTCTCATCCAGTCCTAAGGCTTCAGATAGTCTTCATATACCAACGGCCCTTCAGGCTAATGGATAATCCCATTACATTTCCGTGATCCTATTACTCTCCCACTTTCCCAAAGGACGATCTCATGCTTTCCCTTTCCTCAAACCATCAATACATCCTTCCCCAATGTGCTGCACTAAGAACCTCACTTCCTATTTTCTGGAGAAAACAGGAGCAATCAGAAAAAACTTGCACCTGCTTCCAGCACATCTAGCAGTTCCTGTGTCCTTCTATGCTACTTTCCCTCCAGTGACCATGGTCCAGCGGTTCCTGTGCCTTTCCAAGGTCAGTTCCTTCACTTGGAGAGTAGATTCCAACTCTTCTACCTACCCAGGAATGTCACTTGCCTCTTTTCTCCTGAATTCATCCTTTCCCACCCTATCAACTTATTTACAATAAATTCCGTTAAAAAAAGTCTTCCTTGGGGCCAGGCGCAGTGGCTCACGCCTGTAATCCCAGCACTTTGGGAGGAAGGCTGGTGGATCACTCAAGATCAGGAGTTCGAAACCAGCCTGGCTAACATAGTGAAACCCCATCTCTACTAGAAATACAAAAAATTAGCCTGGTGTGGTGGCAGGTGCCTGTAATCCCAGCTACTTGGGAGGCTGAGGCAGGAGAATTGCTGGAACCTGGAAGGTGGAGGTTGTAGTGAGCTGAGTTCGCACCACTGCACTCCAGTCTGGGTGACAGAGCAAGACTCTGTCTCAAAACAAACAAACAAAAAACTTACTTGACCCCACATCTCCCTTCAGCTATTGTCCCACTTTCCTGCTCCTCTAATGGCAAAAAGACTTGCCTCCTTATCCTCTCCTGTTCTTCTCTCATGTATCCTTTTTATTTACACCTTCATTTCATCAAACCATCAACACCAGCTCTTGTCAAGGTCACTATGACCTTCACTTGGCCAAATGCAGTGGTTAATTTTCAGCTCTTATCAGACATTCAGCAGCACCAACTCCATTGCTCACTCCCCTCAACACTCCTTCCCAGGGAGGACAGGGAATTTCCGTAATAGCTAAATGTCTTCAACCCAGGGAAGATTTAGAATTAAATATAAAGGTGATGGAGTATGTCAAATCTGTAGGGTTAAGTCTTTTAAAAATATACATAAATTTTGAAAATAATCCATATGTTTGATATTTTAAGCACTTAAATGTTTAAATGAATTTGGCATATTGAACAACTTGATATACTGAGGGTTCTTTTTTTGTTTTTTTGTTTTTTGAGACGGAGTCTCACTCTGTCACCCAGGCTGGAATGCAGTGGCATGATCTTGGCTCACTGCAAGCTCCACCTCCTGGGTTCATGCCATTCTCCCGCCTCAGCCTCCCAAGTAGCTGGGACTACAGGCGCCTGCCACCATGCCTGGCTAATTTTTTGTGTGTGTGTTTTTAGTAGAGACGGGGTTTCACTGTGTTAGCCAGGATGGTCTCGATCTCCTGACCTTGTGATCCACCCGCCTCGGCCTCCCAAAGTGCTGGGATTACAGGCATGAGCCACTGTGCCCGGTCAAGAAATTTTTGTAAGAGAATTACAAAAGAATCTGTAGGCCAAGTGGGGTGGCTCATGCCTATAAACCCAACACTTTGGGAGGCCAAGCTGGGAGGATTGCCTGAGGCCAGGAGTTGGAGACCAGCCTGAGCAACATAGCAAGACCCTGTCTCTATAAAAAATATTAAACAGCAGAAATACACACACAAAAATAAAAATAAAAAGTAAGTTTTGGAATATATAAAATAATTTGAACCTTTTATGCTATATTTATAAGTATAATATTAGTTTTACGAAAATGACTAAGGAGTCAGGGTTTTTTCTTTTTAGTTAATTTGTAGTCAGCTTCTTAATGTAAAAGGTAAGCACGCAAACCTGGAATCTGGGGCACAGTCTGTTTTATTGGAGGATTTGCTTAAGGGTTGGTTCCACTCAGACTTAGTTAATTAAACAACTTCAAGGGTTTTTAACTGTGTTTATAAATTTAATATATTTTATTTGGTTTTCAGTGACAGCTAGTTCAAAAAGTAGCCCACATATTATTAGCTATATGACTGTGAGAATTATTCTGTATACCTCAGTTTCCCTGTATATGCAACGGAGATGATAATAATATAAGATATTCGCTAGAAGTGATACGAGAATTAAAGGAGTTAATGGTGTAAATTTTTTTTTTTTTTTTTTTTTTTTTTTTTTTTAAGATGGAGTCTAGCTCTGTCACCCAGGCTGCAGTGGTGCGATCTTGGCTCACTGCAACCTCCACCTCCCAGGTTCAAGCAATTCTCCTGCCTCAGCCTCCTGAGTTGCTGGGATTACAGGCCATGCCACCACACCTAGCTAATTTTCGTATTTTTAGTAGAGACGGGGTTTTACCATGTTGGCCAGGCTGGTCCCGAACTCCTGACCTCAGGTAATCTGCCTGCCTCGGCCTCCCAGGGTGCTGGGATTATAGGTGTGAGCCACCACACCCAGCCAGTTTAGGACAGTGTCTGCCCATGGTAGGGGCTGTAACTGTTAGGTATCACTGAAACACAAATCAAATAAATTTACAAATGCAGTTTAAAACGCTTACAGTTGTTTCATTAAGTCTGAGTGGAATCAACCCTTAAGCAAAGCCTCCCATAAAACAGGCTAGTAAAATTTTCTCTAGAAATAGCCCAAAAAGTTTTATAAAAGTGACTTAAAAGGTTGAAGGAAAACCTTGGATTGTAAATTTGTTATTCCAATAAGTGAAATATTGCTTAGGGAAAAAAAGTGGTGCATAGTAATTTTTTGTTTGTTTGTTTGTTTGTATACCAAAGTTGTTCTCTGGACATTAGAAAATCCACAAAAACAAAATTAATTTCCGAGGAGCCCTGGCATGTCTTAGTTTCTGGGACTTCTGAGAGGACCATGGGTGTAGCATGGGGGAGCTTGCTTAATGGATGTGGCCCTGAGCCCAAGTCCCCTCCCACCTACCAGTGAACCTTAGCAACTCCACTTAGATCAGTTTTCTATATTGGATTTCAACCTAAGATTATAGCTTTTGGAGGGTTGTAGTCCAGTAAAGTTTCAAAAATCTTGTTTTATTTGGATGACTGTATAATTTTTAGTTTTTTTTTTTTTTTTTACTTTGAGCATCATTATTTCAAAGGTAGTATATCTTATTAATTTTTTTTGTTGTTGAGACAGGGTCTCACTCTGTTGCTCGGGCTGAAGTGCAGTGGCACAATCACTGCTTTCTCACTGCAGCCTCAACTTCCTGGGCTAAAGTGATCCTCCCACCTCAGCCTCCCAAGTAGCTGGGACTACAGGCATGTGCAACCATACCCGGTTAATTTTTTTTTTTTTCCCCCCATAGGGACAGGGTTTCGCCATGTTGCCCAGGCTGGTCTGGAACCTCCTGAGCTCAAGCAATCCACTTCAGCCTCCCAAAGTGTTGGGATTACAGGTGTCAGCCACCGTGCCTGGCCAGTAGCATGTCATTTAACCAAAGCTCACAATATTTAACTCCGTACAGGACAAGAATAGGAAAGTCAGCATACGAATTACAATGATGATGCTCTGATACAGACCCAAGTGCCAGACCAGAATGGGGCTCTCTCTTACCACACAAGTGATTATTGCAAACTAGGAAGCACTCATTTCTCTGCAGGGATGAGAGCAGAGCGTCAAATTAAATCAAATAGTCATTGAGCAGCATTCACCGGTGTCTGGCATTTAGAAGGAGCTCCTTGATTATTTGATTTGATTTGATGCTGAATTCTCATCAGTTCCTAAACTTTGCCTTCTTAAGAGCAGGGGTGGGCCAGGTGCTGTGGTTCATGACTGTAATCCCAGCACTTTGGGAGGCCTAGGTGGGTGGATTACTTGCGGTCAGGAGTTCGAGACCAGCCTGGCCAACATGACAAAACCTAAAAACACAAAAATACAAAAATTAGCTGGGTGTGGTGGTGGGCGCCTGTCATCCCAGCTACTGGGGAGGCTGAGGCAGGAGAATTGCTTGAACCAGTGAGGCACGGAAGTTGCAGTGAGCCAAGATCATGCCATTGCACTCCAGCCTGGGCAACAGAGCAAGACTCCGTCTCAAAAAAAAAAAAAAAACAGAGGTGGGCAAACTTTTCCTGTAAAGGACCAGGTAGTGAATATTTTAGGCTTTGCAGGTCATGAGGTCTCTATTGCAACTACTCAATCCTGCTATTGTATCACAAAAGCAGCCATACATAAATAAACGGGCCAGGCTGGGTTTCAGTAAAACTTTATATATAAAAAAAAAAAAAGTGGTGGGTTCAATTTGCCCTGCAGGCACTAGTTTGCTGACTGCTGCTTTAGAGCAATGCTTCTCAAACTCTTTTGACTAGGAATATATTAGATTATTGCTCAACAGATCGTTGTTTTGTATCTAACTGATGTTGGGCTCAGTCGTGTGACTGGCTTTGATCAATGAGACTGTGGGAGTGAACTTCTCTGACCTTGTCATTCAGCCAATAGGATGTTAGCAGACAGGAGACAAGCAGAGACTTCAAACGTGCTTAGAGGATTAAGTTTGCCCTTTTGTGCCTTTAACATCATGATAAGAGCTTCCCCCAGGAAGCTGCTACCCCTTAGACTAGGCCCAAATAGAAGACATGTGGAGCAGAACCAAGTCCAGTGATGGGGAGCCAAGCTTGGCAAGACCTGAAGCTTGAAGCAGACCTGCTCAGCCAAGCCCAGCCTAGATTAGCTGATTATCAGCTGATCCACAGAGGAGTGAGTGAGCCCAGATGAGATCAGTGGAGCTGCCCAGCCACCCCCAAACTCATGGGAAATAAATGCTTCACACTTTGGGAGGCCGAGGCAGGCGGATCACGAGGTCAAGAGTTGGAGACCATCTGGCCAACATGGTGAAACCCCATCTCTACTAAAAATACAAAAATTAGCTGGGCATGGTGGCTCGCAGCTGTAGTCTCAGCTACTCAGGAGGCTGAGGCAGGAGAATCACTTGAACCTGGGTGGCAGAGGTTGCAGTGAGCTGAGATCGCGCCACTGCACTCCAGCCTAGTGACAAAGCAAGACTCCGTCTCAAAAAAAAAAAAAAAAAAAAAAAAAGTAAATGCCTCATGCTGTGTGCCACTAAGATTTTTGATTGTTATGTGGCATTATTTTAGCAATCTACTGTTACAAACGTGGTCAATAAGAAACAAATCATGCCTTGTGATTCAGATTCATAAACATTATTTTCTTCACAATGGCAGAAACTGAGCAAAAACTTTTTGTAGAAATTGTATAGCAAAATACTTACAAGGTGTTTATCACCTGCCAGGCATTGTTTTAAGTGCTTTTTAGCTTTACTTATTTGTGAGACAGGATTTGGCTCTGTCGCTCAGGCTGGAGTGTCATGGCATGATCTCGGCTCACTGCAACCTCCACCTCCAGGGCTCAAGCAATCCTCCCACCTCAGCCTCCTGAGTAGTTGAGACTACCGGTGCATACTACCATGGCTGGCTAATTTTTGTGTTTTTTATAGAGATGGGGTTTTGCCATGTTGTCCAGGCTGGTTTTGAACTCCTGAGCTTAAGTGATCCCCCTGCCTCAGCCTTCCAAAGTGCTGGGATTACAGGCATGAGCCACCACACCTGAGCTTAAGTGCTTTACATATACCAACCCATTTAATTTTTTTAACCCACTTAATATTTACAATAGCTCTATGAAGAACACATTATTCAGGTGTAAAAACTGAGGCACAGAGAAGTGATTTGCCAAAGGCCACATAGCTAGTAAGTGGTCACACTGTGGAGGTTCAGTACAGCAGGTCTGGCTTTAGAGTCCATGGTTAACTATACTTTGATGTTGTCTATTCTAATATAATCTATTACATTGTTTAAATGGGGGAATAGAAAGTGATGTGGCTAAGAATGCCAAGACAGTTCAATGGGGGAAAGAATAGTCCTTCACAAAAGGATCTGGGACAATTGGATATCCACATGTGAAAGAATGAAGTTGGACCCTTATCTCATATCATATTCACACATTAACTCAAAACAAATCATAGACCTCCATGTGAAAACCAAAATTATAAAATTCTTAGAAGAAAATATAGGAGTAAGTTTCCATAACGTTGGGTTAAGCAAAGCTTTCTTAGGTATGACATCAAAAACATACACAACAGAAGAAAAAATGGATAATTGGACTTAATAAAAATTAGAAATGTTTGCGTCAGTGGACACCATCAAAAGTGAAAGGACAACCCACAGAATGGGAGAAAATACTTGCAAATCATATGTCCGATAAGGGTCTACTCTCCACGATATATAAAGAACTCATGACTCAACGACAAAAAGAAAACAACCCGATTTAAAAATGGGTCAATAGGCCAGGCGCGGTGGCTCATGCCTGTAATCCATGCACTTTGGGAGGCCGAGCCAGGTGGATCACTTGAGGTCAAGAGTTCAAGACCAGCTTGGCCAACATGGTGAAACCCCACCTCTACTTAAAATACAAAAATTAACTGGGCGTGGTAGTGGGCAGCTGTAGTCTCAGCTACTTGGGAGGCTGAGGCAGGAGAACCACTTGAACCCGGGAAGCAGAGGTTGCAGTGAGCCAAGATCGTGCTGCTGCACTCTAGCCTGGCAACAGAGCAAGACTCTGTCTCAAAAAAAAGAAGAAAAAAAATGGATTAAGGATCTGAACAAATATTTCGAGAAAGATACACAAAATGTCCAATAAGCACAACAAAAGATGTATAACGAGGGAAATTCAAATAAAAACCACAAGGAGATACCATTTCACACCCGCTAGAATGACTATTTTTAAAAAGACAAATAATAATTGTTGATGAGGGTGTAGAGAAGTTGGAACCCTGATACTCTGTATTGCTAGTGGGAATATAAAATGGTTTAACCACCCTGGAAAAGAGTCTGTCTGTCCTCAAAATGTTAACCATAGAGTTATCACAGGATCCAGCAGTTCTTATCCTAGGTGTTTACCTAAGAGAATTGAAGACATGTCTACACAAAAACTTACACACAAGTGTTCACGCAACATCATTCATAATAGCCAAAACATGGAAAAAATCCAAATGTCCATCAATTGATAAATGGATAAATAAAGTGTGGAATACCAATACAATGGAATATCATTCAGCCAAATGAATAAAATTCGGATATATGCTACAATATGAATGAGCCTCAGAAATACTATGCTAAGTAAGAGAAGCCAGGCACAAAAGCCTGTATATGGTATTGCATTTAGAAGGAATATACGAATAAGCAAATCTATAAAGATAGAAAATAGATTAGTGGTAGCCTAGGGCTTGGGGTTGAGGAGTGTTGGGTAAATAAGAAGGATGTTAATGGGTACAGAGTTTCTTTTCAGTGATGAAAATGTTCTAAAATTTATTGTGCTGGTTGCACAACTCTGTAAATATACTAAAAATCATTGAATTGCATACTTTACATGGGTGATATTGTATGGTATGTGAATGATACCTCAATAAAGCTGTTATAAAGAAAAAGATGGAAGAGGAGGGGTGGGGAGGAGAGGGAAGGGAGAAAGGCAGAGAGACAAAAGGGGGAGGGAGGGAAGGAAAGAAGGAAGGGAGGGAGAGAGGAAGGGAGAAAGTTAGGCAGACAAAAGGGGGAGGGAGGGAGGGAGAGAGGCTAAAGCGCAGACTGGCCTGGGACTGGGTTGTGGGGGATGTGTGGTTAGCAGAAGCAGAAGCAGTGGCCACACTGTGGGAGGTCTCCTAGGCCGCAGTATAGAGTGTGCCTTTTGTTGTCATGGCCATGGGCAGCCACTGGAGGATTTTAAGCAGAAGTGTGATATGATCTTATTATAAACAGCTCTGGCCCTTCTGTGGAGACTGGGCTGGGGGTAGGGGCAAGCCTTGTCTGGGGAACTCTTAAGTATCACAAAGGTTCACATGAGAGATTCTGTGTCTTGTACTCGGTCACAGCAGTGAGGAATGACATGTCATGGTCCACAAGCAGGCTCCATCCTTCTCTTCACCTTTGACCCATCCTCAACTCCTCCCCACCCCCTCCAGCTTCATTTCCAAGGGAAGGGGATTACACTAGCCAAGATCATCTTTAAAATTCAGCCTATTTCCTTTGCTGGGTTTAGAAATGGAACTGCCTTACTCCATTCAACATCTCATGTGGTGGAGCAGAGAAGCATGAAAGGGGCATGTGGGAGATAAGACAGTGACTTTCCCAGACCACAGTCAGTGCACCCAATGCAACTAGACTGTAGCCAACTGAGGTTTTGAGGCCAGAAAGGCCAAAAGTGAAAGCTCTTTTCTTGACCTTTCAGTTACCGTTAGGAAGTAACTGCACATTCATGATATTTGGAAAGAGAGCTGCAAGGAATCAAAAGGAAACACCACATTCACTTTCATTACCCCCTGGAGATGAATCACTAATCCTTGTGCAAGGCACCCGGACCTGTGCATCAACTGATTCTCCACGGATGCTGGAGTTCCTGCTTCTGGGGGCCGATTAATGACATTGCCCAGAAAGTGTCACTCAACATGGCCAGTCAGTGTTCAGCTAAAACACTAACAAAAAAGTGTTCTCACTGAAGTGGGTGTAAACTCTCTCCTGGGGGAAAATTCAGCTGTTGTGGGTGTCACGGCTTACCCAATTTCAGAGAGGCTCCTTAAGGAAAAGAGTACAAAATTACAAGTACAAGCTTAGGTATGAAATGAGTATTGACAAATTTTTAAAAAGCTGACAAATACCACAAACACCACAAAATCCATTAAAATAACATAATATTTTCTCTGCTAATTAACTACCTGAGTCACCTCAAGAACACTGTTTTTTCCTACAGTTTTGACTGCATTCCGTCTTACCTGTTCACATAACAACAATGTTGTAAAATAGTTATTTTAGAGAATAGAAAGGTAATCCTGGCTTTCCTCTTGCATGTTTTTTTTTTCTCCTAATGTTGATTTTTTATTTTTATTTTTATTCTTTTTTTTTTTTTTGAGACTGAGTTTTGCTCTTGTTGCCCAGGCCGGAGCGCAGTGGTGCGATCTCGGCTCACTGCAACCTCCGCCTCCCGTGTTCAAGTGATCCTCCTGCCTCAGCCTCCCGAATAGCTGAGATTACAGGTTCTCACCACCATGCCTGGCTAATTTTTCGTATTTTTAGTAGAGACGGGGTTTCACCATGTTGGTCAGGCTGGTCTTGAACTCCTGACCTCAGGTGATCCACCCGCCTTGGCCTCCCAAAGTGCTGGGATTACAGGCGTAAGCCACCTTGCCTGGCCAATGTTGGTAGTTTAGAAAAGTTTCTTTGTGCTTCAGAATTCTTTGTTGGCAATGCTCCTCCTCCAACATCCTCTATGGTTTCTTGCTCAGTGTATTTTGTTTAGAGACAGGGTCTCGTTCTGTGGCCCAGGCTGGAGTACAGTGGCATGATCATAGCTCCCTGCAGCTTCAAACTCCTGGGCTCAAGAGATCCTCCCGCCTCAGCCTCCAGAGTAGTTGGGGCTACAAGCATGCACCACCACACCCGGCCAATCAAACAGTGTCTTTGACAGCAGCCGGTCCAGCTCAGCCAGCTCCTTGCCACTCCATGTTCCGGCTAGTCCTGGGGTGGCCATGAAACCTGGCTGTAGTAGCCTCTGAGCAGGGAACAGAGCGGCATCTCGTTCAAACCTTCCTTCTTAGGATCAGAGATAGCACTAGAAGCCTCCTGGAGGTCCACCAACAGCAGGTGGGCACTGGGTGGCTGTGCATATGATGCAAAAAGCCTATCCACCCTGCCTGCAGCCCCAGGACTGGCCCCATGGTCTTTGCAATCCTGGCAGGGAATGCTTGGAGCTTTAGAATGGGCCCAACCAAATGAAAGGCCGTGAAGGTTAAACTTCATTCACTACTCAGTAAATCCACTTCTCCAAGCCCCCACTGCCATGAGCAGAGATGACTGTGGCCATCAGAGAGGAGGATAAATTACAGCCTTGTCCACAGCAAGGAGAAGCCAGAGGTGATGGCTCCAGTGAGACAGACAGCTATATCTAAACTTCTATTGCTATTGTTCAAACTTCCTTTAGAAATCAATTTACAAAGAGACGATGCTGTACTATTTCAGATACTACCTGGAGGATGCACATAAACCAAGATTAGGATTCGTTAATAAGGCATTCCAGGCAAAAGTAGACCTTTTTTTCCCCTTTTTGAATTTTAGAGCCAGGGCTTTGCTGGATCACCCAGGCTGGAGTGCAGTGGTGCAATCATAGCTCATTGTAACTTTAAACTCCTGGGCCAAGTGATCCTTTTGCCTCAGCCTTCTGAGTAGCTGGGATTTCGAGTGCACACCACCATGCCCAGCTAATGCTTTTGGTTTTTGCAGAGACAGTGTCTTGCTATTTTGCCCAGGCTGGTCTTGAACTCCTAGGCTCAAGTGATCCTCCTGCCTTGGCCTCCCAAAGTGTGGGATTACAGGCATGAATCATCATGCCCAGCCAGAAGTAAACATTTTTGACTAGATGTCTTGAATAAGACCACGTCTGATACGTACAAATAGATCAAGAAAAGTCTAGAATTATTCCATTAGCCACATTTCTATAGCATCATTACTGGCTAATTAGTGTAACTAATAATAATAGTAGTAGTTAATATTTATTCAGTGCTTGGTATGTGCCAGGCACTAATGTCTGGTTCTAAGCGTCTTACCTGTATGATCTCAGGTCATCCTCATGGTCCCTGCTTTGTACAGATGGGGCAACCTGGACACTCAGAGGTTAAGTAACTTGCCCCTGGTCATTTAGCTGGTCTGTCTGGTTCCAGAACTTGTGCTCTTTGCCACCTCACTGGAGGTTCATTATCATTCACTCTATAGCCTTTAGAACATTCTATATAAAAAATAAAATGGGCCCAGCGTGGTGGCTCATGCCTGTAATCCCAGCACTTTGGGAGGCCAAGGCAGGCAGATCATGAGGTCAAGAGATCGAGACCATCCTGGCTAACACGGTGAAATCCTATCTCTACTAAAAATACAAAAAATTAGCCGGGCATGGTGGTGGGCGCCTGTAGTCCCAGCTACTCGGGAGGCTGAGGCAGTGAGCTGAGATTGTGCCACTGCACTCCATCCTGGGTGACAGAGCGACACTCTGTCTCAAAAAAATAAAATGAGTTGTATATACTTCACATTGCAGAGTGTGGGATGAGTTCTTTACAACCAGTTCTGCAGTGATCCTCTAAATCCCTAGTTAATAAATCTCTCAAGTGTTTGTATGAGTGTGTGTATTGTCTGTCTGTCTGTCTGTGTATCTATCTATCTATCTATCTATCTATCTATCTATCTGGAACAACATATATTTTTTCTACTGTATGAAAAAACACCTAAATTAGGGCCAGGCACAGTGGCTCATGCCTGTAGTCCCAGCATTTTGGGAGGCTAAGGTGGGAGGATGACTTGAGCCCAGAGTTAAAGACCAGCCTGGGCAACATGGCAAGACCCCCGTCTCTACAAAAAATAAATTTTTTAAAAAAAGGAAAAAACATGTAAATTACTAAAGTTAAGGTTCCAGTGCCCAAAGCGTTAGGATATTAGTTAGGATACTAGTTTGGCTACTGTTGGAAAGGTCAGAATAACAGTAGCTTAAACAAGTGGAAGTTTATCTTCTGTCCTGTAATTCAGTCAGAGCATCAACAGTCCAAGGCTAATGCGGGGGCTCCACAATCACGGAAATTCAAATTTCTTCCACCTTGATTTTCCATTATCCTCAACAGAAGTCTTCCACCTCATGGTTGAAGATTGCTGCTCCAGGTCCTGCCATCATAGCTGTATCCCAGCCTGCAGAAAGGGGAGAAGGAAGAAGTGAGGGTGTTATCCTTTTCCTTTAAGGTCATGGACCAGAAGTGGTACTTATCACTTTTGCCCAGATCACGTCGCCTACATCAGTTCAAATGTATTTCTAACCTCAACCAAGTGCAAGGGAGGCTAGAAAATAGTTTTTAGTGGAACAGTCATGGATCTGGCTAAGATTCAGAGGCTATGTTATTAAACGAAGAAGTGAAGATCAGCTGTTAGGGGATAACCTGCTCTATTGCCACTGGGACAAAATCAAGTAAAAAGACCTTGTGTAGAATTCTGCCTTGATAAGGCTTATTGCTCTTTGAATGTGAGCCATTTTGTATCCACATTAAAAATTTTACAATTTTCTATGCCTTTTAAGAACACAAGGGATCTAGTGGTTATTGGTGTTTACAATATGAACATTTGCAGGGGAACATTGTTTAACAAAGAAGCTAAACACTTAATGGATGATGATGCCAATCTATGCTCCAGTTCCCACTTAGGTTGTCCACATAAAAAAGTTAAAATCGATGCACAAGAGAGTCCCAGGAAGCACACAAGCTTGATGCCCCTGCAGCATAGGACATAAGGTTTTAATGGATTTAGTCCTTTTTGATCAGCAATTCAGCAAATTCACTTGAATATGGAATAGATTGATTTCTGTACAATGCTAGAAACAGCAGGATCACATCTTTTGCAACCCCCCACCTGCCACATTCAAACTCAGATGTTTGGCTTCAACATTTATACGATAATATATTCTTGATACAAAGAGCACACTCTTGGAGCAAATTGAAAGCCTGGAACTATTTCTTTTTTTTTTTTTTTTTTTTTGGAGATGGAGTCTCACCCTGTCATCCAGGCTGGAGTGCAGTGGTGCGATCTCGGCTCACTGCAAGCTCCACCTCCCGGGTTCACACCATTCTCCTGCCTCAGCCTCCCAAGTAGCTGAGACTACAGGCACCCGCTGCCATGCCCGGCTAATTTTTTGTATATTTAGTAGAGATGGGGTTTCAGCATGTTAGGATGGTCTCGATCTCCTGACCTCGTGATCCACCCACCCCAGCCTCCCAAAGGCCTGGAACTATTTCTTCACCTTTTTTACTCTGGTCTGAATGACTGGTTCAGATTACATCAGAGTGAGTATCAGTCAATTTTTGCACTGCTATAAAGAACTACCTGAGACTGGGTAATTTATAAAGAAAAGAGGTTTAATCAGCTCACAGTTCTGCAGGCTGTCCAGGCTTCTGCTTCTGGGGAGGCCTCATGAAACTTACAATCATGGTGGAAGGCAAAGTTGAAGCAGACAGATCTTCATATGTCAGGAGAGAGAGAGAGAGAACAAAGGGGGAAGTGCTGCACACTTTCTTTTTCCTTTTTCTTTTTTTTTCTTTTTTTTTTTTTTTTTTTGAGATGGAGTCTCCCTCTGTTGCCCAGGCTGGAGTGCAGTGGCACAATCTCGGCTCACTGCAACCTCCACCTCCAGGGTTCAAACGATTCTCCTGCTTCTGCCTCCCAAGTAGCTGAGACTACAGGCATGCGTCACCAAGCCTGGCTAATTTTTGTATTTTTAGTAGAGATGAGGTTTTGCCATGTTGACCAGCCTTGTCTCAAACTCCTGGCCTCAAGGGATCCGCCCACCTCGGCCTCCCAAAGTGCTGGGATTACAGGCATGAGCCACCAGCCACCATGCCTGGCCCCAACACTTTCAAACAACCAGATAGTGAGAGCTCATTTACCATCATGGGTACAGCAAGGGGGAAATCCGCTCCCATGATCCAATCACCTCCCACCAGGACCCTCCCCAGCAACAGTGGGGATTACATACAATTCAACATGAGATTTGGACAGGGACACAGAGCCAAACCATATCAAGTGCATATTGGTATCAGCATTCAAGAATCTACTGGCTCATAAAACTGAGCTATTTAATATTAAGATCAATACAAGGTCTACTTGATGACCCACAAGCATAATGTAGTTTATAGGTTCATGTCCAAGTTCTGTGGAGTAAAATGAATGTTATAAAATTATAGGCTTGTCAACATGACCCTAAAACAACCGGTCAATTTAATAAACGAATAGATGAAAATCTATCAAATAAGTTGTTAGAAAATTACCTTGTATAAGGCCATACAGCAAAACAACTGAATTTTTCACTCATCAGCTAGTTAATTGGGCCTTGTGAAGACATAGGCAGAAAGAACGATAAAACTAGGGGCCCAGGAAGTTATGTCCAGTCTCCTGTCTGTGGTCAGGTCAATACTTCATGTATAAAAATACACGAAAGTTGCTAAAAAGCAAACTTGAGTAAAGGGAATTGAACCATCTTCCTCTGAAGTCTGTTCCAGGTTCCAATTAGGAATGCTTTCTTATTCATAACCATCCTTGTGCTGCAATCACAGCCTATTTCCTATAATTTGCTCCTCCATGGAGATGGAAAACAGCTGGCCATTTTTCTCTTTGTGATAATCTTTCTCATGCTCAAATCAAGGCACACTTAATCTTCTCTTTTCCACGTTGAATAACTCAAACTCTTTTATCTGTTTTCAGAAGATCTTTTTATTTTCCAGCGATTGTTCTGGCTTTTCTGTGGATTTCTCCATGTCTCTTCTTAAAATGCAGGGCCTTACACTGAAGACTTTAAAACGGCCTCGTTGGGTCTGAGGAATACTGAAAGATTCATTCTCAACCTTTGTCTCTCATTATCTAGACCACGGGCCATGTTTATGTTTTAGTCTCTGGTGGCCATCAGGTCATTCCTATGACCCTAACGTCTCAACCAGTTTTTCCCCAATAAGAATTTCATTCTGCTCTTGGAAAACCACTTCTCTTGTTTGTCGAGGTAACTTAGGACATGATTTCCTACCTCCAGTTTACTAACAAGTCATCCCAACTTGGTGTCCTCTGCGACCAATAAACATATTCTGAATGAATTACTCCAGCCTCAGACAGGGATTGTTAACACCCCTAAGCTAACATCTGAATCAACAACGAATATTTCTCCTTACCTATTGCTTCAGATCATGAACAACTCCACATATGCAGTTGGGTCCACTTGGCTTATTGACAGATACTGTGGGAATGTATTAGTCTGTTTTCATGCTGCTGATAAAGACATACCTGAGACTGGGTAATTTATAAAGAAAAAGAGGTTTAATGGACTCACAGTTCCACGTGGCTGGGGAGGTGTCACAATCATGGCCGAAGGCAAAAGGCACGTCTTTTTTTTGAAACGGAGTCTCGCTTTGTTGCATAGTCTGGATTGGCTCACAGCAACCTCTGCCTCCCAGGTTGAAGCGATTCTCCTGCCTCAGCCTCCCGAGTAGCTGGGATTACAGGCATGCGCCACCACACCTGGCTAATTTTTGTATTTTTAATAGCGACACAGTTTCACCATATTAGCCATGCTGGTTACGAACTCCTAACCTCAGGCAATCAGCCTGCCTCGGCCTCCCAAAGTGTTAGGATTACAGGCCTGAGCCACCGCACCCAGCCAAAAGGCATGTCTTAACATGGCAGCAGACAAGAGAGAATGAGAGCCCCAAGGGAAAAGGGAAACCCCTTATACAATAATCAGATCTCATGAGACTTATTCACTACCATGAGAACAGAATGGGGGAAACCACCCCCATGATTCAATTATCTCGCACTGGGTCCCTCCCACAACACGTGGGAATTATGGGAGCTACAATTCAAGATGAGATTTGGGTGGGGACACAGACAAACCATATCAGGGAAGAACAACAAAAACTCTGCTTTGGGCCAAACCAGGGTTTCTTAGCTCTGACACTATTGAAATTTAGAGCCAGATAATTCTTTATTGTAGAAGGCGGTCCCGCACATTGTAGGATGTTTAGCAGCATCTGTGGACTTTATCCACTAGATGCCAGTAGCAACTACCCCCAAGTTGTCACAAAAATGTCTCTAGACATTGCCATATGTCCCCTGGGGGAGAAAATCACCCCCAGTTGAGAACAACCATCCCAGATGCATGATTTCCCTCTGATCTTGTCTCTCCAGACAGAAATTAAATTGGTTCAAGAAAATTTGCTCATCACAGAGCTTCATTCTTCACTACCCAGCATCCCAGGAACTGTTGGACTTGGCATGTATAATACTGAGGAGCCCTGTCTGTGCTGTGCAGCTTCATCCTTTGAGATCAGCCTTATTGCCCCCATTTGATAGGCAGAGAGTGGATGAGCTATGAATTCAGCACCACATAGCTACCAAAGGGCATATATGAACCTAGGTCAGCTAGGATCTCAAGCCTGTGCTCTCTCCATCATCAAATGCAGCCTTTTCTCTAGATGCACAGTAGATTTGTAATTACTTGAGTCATCCTTTCCCCATTGATGAGATGGAGATTTCACCTTGTAAGAACTCTGCAGTCTTCTTTAAATAAAATCTAACTCTGGTCCTCTGAGGTGACCAAGAGGGAAACCCCCAGTGGAGAATCCCCTGACAAGGTCCACCTTGAAAAATCTGCATTTATCAGGTGATGGATACGCTAAAAGCCCTGACTTGACCACTACACAATCTATGCATGTAAATAATATTGCACATGCAACCCATAAATTTGTACAAATAGAAAAGAAAGAAAAATCCTGGTTCGTGTTATTAATGCAGATGGTAGTTCCCTTGTGCAGCTTTAAAAAACTGTTCCTTGTTTTCCACCAGCCTTCAGAGCTTCACCCTGCTGGGCGGACTCACCATCTTCCTGTCTAGTCCCACACGGCTCTTTTGAGCTGAGTGCAGGGGCTGTTAGAATGTTCTTTACCAGTTCCCACCATTGTCAGTGTCAGTGGCTTAGAGCTGCTTAAGGCTTTGCCATTCCCAAAGCACTTTCCCATGTGCTGTCACATTTGATTCCTGTTACACCTGCAAGAGAGCCTGGCTGGTGGATTATGGAGGTGAAGAAAACCAACGTGTAGGCCAGGCATGGTGGTGCACGACTATAATCCCAGCACTCGGGGAGGCCGAGGCAGGAGGATCGCTTGAGCCCAGGAGTTTGAGGCTGCAGCATGCCACCGCACTCCAGCCTGGGTAGCAAAGCAAGACCGTCTCAAAAAACAGACAAACAACAACAACAACAACAAAAAGGTATCGGGAGGCTGTAGATCACTCAGTTGGTAAATAGTGGAGAAAGGCCTGTAAGTAGTGGTAAGCCTACTGGCCTCACCTCCAGAGCTTCATCAAGAGGGATTTCTGCTCTGTTCAGATGGTCCTGGACTTCTTTTCATAAAATGTCTGTGCTTTTGTGTCAACATTTTCTGGAGAAAGCTGGCTCCCGAGGTCCTCTCTTTTGATCTTACAAACTGAAGACTGGCTTTTTTTCCTTTTTGTCTCACAAACTTTTTGCTAATACCATCATTTTCTTCTTTCAATGATCCCTATCCATAAAGATAAGTTGATTTCTGTCTACAGGCACTCCCAGGTCTAAGGAAACCTGTTTCAGCTGCGCTTTTCCCACGCAAATGATCTCTCCTGCAGGCACCGTGAGACTCTCCGTTCTCTGGTTCCCCTGCTGGCCACAGCCACTGGGATATCTTTTCCCTTCTTTCTTGAGGTGCCTGTCGGGCCCCACCCTAGCTCAGTGCCAGCTCCTCCTGGAGTCCCCGAAGCCTCTGCTCACCCACCCAATCTCACCCCTGCCTAACTCACTGGACCGCAGTGGGATTTGGAAGAAACATTCAATGTGAGCGACACCACCCTGTACACGAGAAGGGTAGCATGACAAATTTAGCATAGGATGTGAAAAGGGCATCCTGTTCACTCAGAACCTTTGTCCCTCAGATTTCGTTCGCATTGGCTTTTTCTTGCCAAAACCCTGAGTTCATGAAAGTCTACCTTCCTGCAGCCCATTTTTCTTTATCTTGCTGATTTCTCTCCTTCCTTCCTTAGAACCCTGAATGTTATCATTTTGTGGTCATTTCCACCGAAGTTCTTGGGCACTTTTCTTCAAAGATGAGAGAAACGTGGATATGTTTATGGTCTGGACAGGACCCAGGAGAGAGGGTAAAGTTGAAAATACAGGAGACAGAAAGGGTTATTGAAAGAGCAAAGTCCTAGGAGAGATAAGAGAAGACGAGATCCCGGGAACAGAAGCAAGAACCTTCTGAGATAAGAGGGACAGAAATGAGATGAATGTGATTGTAGACAAAGTGGAGGTGAAGCGGCATCGCTCATCTGGGGTAATACCCAAGGTTCGTTGTCCCACAGCCATGGAAAACTAGGATGCGGACACACCAGAGTGAGGTTAAGAGTGGAAGTTTAATAGGCGAAAGAAAGAGAAGAGCACCCTGCAGAGAGGGGTCCCAGAAAAAATGGGTTGCCGGTTCCATGGTGAAATGCAGGAAATTTTACAGATGAGCTTGAGGAGGTGGTACCTGATTTACATAGAGCATGAAAGATTGGTCAGACCAGGTGTGCTATTTGCATAGCATGGGAAGAACTGGTTAGGACTAGTTATGCCGTTTGCACAGCACGTGAAAAAGCTGGCTGCCCACCCCAATCTTTTATTATGCAGACAGGTTCTCTACCTGGCCAGCAACATGTTGCCTGCTTCTTTACTGTACATGTGGTGACAAAGAAAAGGGAAGATGGAGCCTCCATGTCAGGTAGCCCTTTTCTATTGGCACAGCTGCCAGCATTCACCTGTGCAAGCTTCCAGCTTGCTTATCTATTCTGAAGCTCGATTTTTCAGGCTGCTCTTTGTTAAAAAGGAAATGATTTGGGAGTTGCTTTTTGTTAAGAGGGAAAGCTTGCTGAAGGCTCTGTTGCCCTTACTATCTGCCTAAATAATTTCTAGCTCCTGTATCAGAGGCAGGGTCAAGGGAGCATTTTAAGATCTGAATCTCAGTGCAGGAGCAGACTTAGTGATGCTGGACATGGAGGCATTGGTTGGCTCCGCTGTGCTTGGTGACCAAGTGTTAGGTGAGAAGGCAGTTATCGTGTGAGTGAAGGTTGAAGGTTTGGAGGCAGGTGTTGGAAGGGAACTCTGAAGGAGCAGAGCACACGAGTGCAAACTGATAACCAGTGGAATCCAGGCTGAACAGGAAGATAGTTCATGAAGCAATGGGGGTTAGTAGACGTGGTTCAAATCCTCGACAAGAAAGCAGAAAGGCTACACATCTGTGGTCTGAAGGCTCGAGATTAGAGTTTGATTTTTGATGTTCACATAAAATGGGTAAAACCTCAAAAGCCTTGTCCCAGGAATAAGACGTGGACGACCTGAGCCATAGCCTGCCCCACATCCTGTCTCCACGAACCCTCCCAGCCATCGATTTCACCAGCTTCACCTTTGCTTGCCTCCTTCCTCAGATTTCCTGCATGCTTTTTATTTCACTCTCAAGTAATGGCTTTGACTGGGCCCCACAACGATTCCACCTTTCCATCCGAATACGACATCTTCAGATTCTCTCAGGTGAGTCCTCCTCCCCAGCACCCTCCTTCTTGGACACCACCCCAGAGTAGGTTGCTTTCACCCAGCTGGCCTTGGCTTCAGGTGGGATGTGGACAGCCCTCATGGGCATAAGCTCACCCAGAGGATGGCAGCCATCTGGGTGGAGAGGAGGATTGAAAGGCAGGTTCTCCGTGAATGTGAGGAGCTGAAAGTGTGTAATTTTTTCCCCACCTTTTACTCAAATTCCTATAGGAGGCCGGGTATGGTGGCTCACACCTGTAATACCAGCACTTTGGGAGGCTGAGACGAGCAGATCACTTGAGGTCAGGAGTTGAAGACCAATCTGGCCAACATGGTGAAACCCTGTTTCTACTAAAAAAAAAAAAAAAAAAAAAAAAAAAAAAAATTCGCTGGACATGGTGGCAGGCGCCTGTAATCCTAGCTACTCAGGAGGCTGAGGCAAGGCAGGGGAATCACTCAAACCCGGGAGGTGGAGGTTGCAGTGAGCTGAGATCGTGCCACCGCACTCCAGCCGGGGTGACAAAGCAAGACTTGGTCTCCAAAAAACTAAAAAAATTAAGAAAAATTTCTACAGGAGCCAGGGAGGTAGAAAAACAAGTGATACCACCCAGTGCCATATGCTGGAGACCAAGGCCACCTGGTGGACACATGTCCCATCTATGTGGAGCAAGAGCTGCTCAGCCCCTAAATTGCTGCCATACAGGAATGTGCCAGAGCTTTTCATCATTTAACAGAAGCTGGAAATCTAGGTTTATACATAAAATCTCCTGGTTTTCAAATGATGACAACTCATTCAAAAGAAAACATCTTTTTGAAGCACCTTGTTGACCAAATTACCTCTGATGGTTGAATTGTTCCTGAGGGCTGCCAGTTTGCCTGAGTAACGGTATGGACATGCAGAGGGAAACTAGGAGAAAGTTCCCCAAAACTGGGAAGCGGGAATGAGGCTGGGGTATGCCAGTGGGATGACTTCCTAGGAAGGGCATACTTTTTTCACCCACTTGGATTCAATAAACAGTTAACAAATTTTAAGGTTTTATTCTTCTCATGGTTTTTTGCCATGTTGTCTAGGTTCATCTCGAGTGCCTGGACACAAGCAATCCTCCTGCCTCCACCCTGCAAAGTGCTGGAATTACAGGTGTGAGCCATGGGGCACCCCTTTTTTTCTTTTCTTTTTCTTCCTTTTTTTTTTTTTTTTTGAGATGGAGTTTTGCTCTGGTTGCCCAGGCTGGAGTGCAATGGTGCAATCTCGGCTCATTGCAACCTCCACCTCGTGGGTTCAAGCAATTCTCCTGCCTCAGCCTCCCGAGTAGCTGGGATTACAGGCATGTACCACCACACCCAGCTAATTTTGTATTTTTAGTAAAGACAGGGTTTCACCATGTTGGTTAGGCTGATCTCGAACTCCTGACCTCAGGTGATCCGCCTGCCTTGGCCTCCCAACGTGCTGGGATTACAGGAGTGAGCCACCATGCCCAGCTACTCTTAACCCTTTGGGAAAGTCTGTTAAGCATGCACAGTCTTGTTTGGTGCTATTTTGGAAAATTGAGAGATAAGCAATAGAAGAAAGTAAAACTTCCCTGATTGAGCCCCCCGTGGGAGTTAGCATGGTGCAGCTGCCCTACACCGAGGGGTTGCAGACCTGCACAGCCAGCAAGGGAGCAGCAGGCATGCAAGCAGGCACAGCTGGGAGAGTGAGAAGCAGCAGCTGAGAAATGGAAAGCATCTGCCGAAACAGGGGCTACCCCTACTGAGACCCAAAGTGAATCCTCAGAGAGGGTGACCATGATCCCTGAAGGTGTTGGAGACAGACAAGTGGGAAGCACTTTGCCATAATTTGCTAGGTGAAAAGGCAGGTCATAAGAAACTATTACAGAGGAATCCTTTCTCTGAGAAATAAATGCTTTTATGACTACATCTGCATGAGGAAAGATCAGAAGAAGATATGTGAAATATTAAAGGCGGCTCTTATGAAGTGGTAGATCGTGGGTGAGTTGGTGACACTGGCACGACACACAGAGGTGGCTTTTGTGGTCTAGGATAAGCAGAGGTAACACTGTGCCTGCCACTTTTCTAACACTTTGATGCAGATTAATTGATTCGATCTCCATTACAACCTTGTGAAGTTGGTATGATTATTATTCCCCGTATGATTATGGATGAGGAAAGGCATGAGGAAGTTTAACAACTTGCCTTAGGTCAGACAGTAAATGGCACAGCCCTTTCTGGAGTCATATTTTATAATGTGACAATTGCTGCTTTTTAAAAACAAAGGTATTGGCTGGGCACGGTGGTTCACGCCTGTAATCCCACCACTTTGGGTGACCAAGGCGGGTGGATCACTAGGTCAAGAGATCGAGACCATCCTGGCCAACATGGTGAAACCCCGTCTCTACTAAAAATATAAAAAATTAGCTGGGCGTGGTGGCGGGCGCCTGTAGTCCCAGCTACTTGGGAGGCTGAGGCAGGAGAATCACTTGAGCCTGGGAGACAGAGGTTGCAGTGAGCTGAGATTGTGCCACTGCACTCCAGCCTGGCAACAGAGCGAGACTCCATCTCAAAATAAATAAATAAATAAAATAAAATAAAAAATAAAAACAAAGGTATTGTCTCCACATGTGAACATTTATTTGAAAATCTATGTCATGTGGCCGGCCACGGTGGCTCACGCCTGTAATCCCAGCACTTTGGGAGGCCAAGGCGGGTGGATCATGAGGTCAAAAGATCGAGACCATCCTGGCCAATATGGTGAAACCCTGTCTCTACTAAAAATACAAAAATTAGCTGGACATGGTGGCGTGTGCCTATAATCCCAGCTACTCGGGAGGCTGAGGCAGGAGAATCACTTGAACTAGGGAGGCAGATGTTGCAGTGAGCTGAGATCACACCACTGCGCTCCAGCCTGGTGACAGAGTGAGACTCTGTCTCAAAAAAGAAAAAAGAAAAGAAAATCTATGTCACACGAGTGTCTCCTTTTTCCTGGTGGTAGTTTGGGGGCTCAAAATTTCTCACTTCATCCTGACCCAACTCAAACCAAACATTTCCTTGGTGAAAGTATTCCAGATGACTTCATCTGCTTTCTTCTCTGAGACTGATGGTACAAACTATTCTTTTTTGTTTTTTTAAAGGGAGGGTCTTTCTCTGTCACCCAAGCTGGAGTGCAGTGGTGCAATCATAGCTCATTATAACCTCAAACTTCTGGGCTCAAGCAACCCTCCTGTCTTAGCCTCCCAAGTAGCTGGGACTACAGGAGAGCACCACCAAACCTGGCTAATTTTTTTGTATTTTTTGTAGAGATGGGGTCTCACTATGTTGCCCAGGCTGGTCTCAAACTCTTGACCTCAAATGGTTCTCCCACCTTGGCCTCCCAAAGTGCTGGGATTACAGTTGTGAGTCACTGTGCCTGGCCCAGACTCTATTTTTAGTCTTCACATCTTCCCTATTCATTCATTCAATACATTTTTATGATACATACAAAATCAGTGTTGACTACTCTCCTACTTCTTTTAGTCTTTCTGGTTTCTCCCCAGTACATACTTTGTTATGAAAAAGAATAGGTAAAGATTGAGCTTTGACTCTGTACTAGGCATTAGATCAAGCATCTCTCAGACTAGATCTTATTTAATTCTCACAATCACCCTATCAGTTAGGTGCTCTGATTAGCCTATAGATGAACACTGTGTGGCACCAAGAGATTAAGTTACTTGCCCAAAATCACCCAGCAAGTAAATCGAGGAGCCAGGATTTGAAGGCCAGGCTGTCCAATTCCAGATCCTGTGCCTTTGAACACTTAGTCTATGCCTAGCTGTGCTCATTGGCCAACATGGTAAGGGAACAAACAAGACTCCTTTGTCCTGGACCTCAGAGTATGCACGGACATCCTGGAGGCATAAGGCTGCCTCCTTTCCCTGCCTGGCTCTATTACTTTTGGCTAAAAAGCATGGCAACCTGGAATAACCCAGGCCCCCCCAGCCCGCATTCTTGGCATGTTTGCCAGACCACTCTGTCTCACTTATGCTGATTACATCATTACCCTGGTCCTGAGTGGAGAAGTCAGACTCGCCTTCTCTTCACATTTATGTGTGAACCTTTTTAGTCAGTCAGTCTGTCAACATGAGTTTTCCTTTTGCTTTCTTCCCCCTTCACTCCCACTCTGGCCCTGCTCTAACTTTCCATGTCTCTTCTCGAGCTTGGTTTCCCTTTGGGCTTGGAAAACTCAGGACTGCCTTTGACTTGAAACCCTCCACTCACTTGGCCCGCCAGCCTGCTCCTGCAGACACTCTTCTCTTTCTCTGGGACACAGGACCTTTTTTCTGAGATCACATGCCTATTGAGAAATTGAAGACATTCTCTTCCAAACCACTTGTATGGGGAGACTTGGAGGACATGGCTACCTCTTCTCTGTCCTCCTCAAAGATCTAACATTCTTCCTGGTTAACACTGGTCAGTATCACTTAGGCACATGTAGGGCAGAAGCCAGTTCATATTCTGGATAAATACGCTGTCATAACATGGAGCTAGATACTCAGATTCATTGAGTGATGAGATGACTCATTTTACCCCCAAACCCTCCGGTTTTTTGTTCCTCTTCTCTGGCAGGAAAAGGCTCATGCTGTTAAAAGGCTCCTTTTAATGTACCAGTAACCTTCCTTCTGAGCCACACTGTTCCAGATCCTAAAGACTTCATCTCTAAGCTGAGAACAACTTGATGCAGTGGGAAGAGTAATGAGCAGGAGACCAAGGTTGTAGACCTGGTTCTGCTGCTTATCTGTGTGTTTTGTACAGTCACTTAAGCCTGCTGAGCCTGAATTTCTTTTAAAGTTAAATGCCAGTGATACTCTAATGTTGCAAGGTAGAGTGATTTAGACAGCAGCAATGACAATGCAGATGTAACGCCGTATTATTTTACCAAGTTTCCAATCTTGGAGGCTCACACCATAAAACCATCAACATTGATACCTTGGATTGGGCCCAGTAGCTCTTGCCTGTAATCCCAGTGCTTTGGAAGGCTGAAGTGAGAGGATTGCTTGATGCCAGGAGTTCAAGACCAGCCTGGGCAATTTAGCAAGACCCCATCTTGCCAAAAAATTTAAAAATTAGCCAGGAGTGGTAGCTTGTGCCTGTAGTCCTACCTACCTGGGAGGCAGAAGGATCACTTGAGCCCAGGATTTGACGCTGAAGTAAGCAATGATCACACCACTGTACACCAGCATGGGTAACAAAGTGAGACCCTGTTTCTCACTAATAATAATAATAATAATTTATGAAGAAAAAAAGATTGAGAAGCACTTAGTTATCCTTATCATTGGATAGGGGAGTAAAAAAGAAATCATTTATGGAAAAAAAAAAGATTGAAAAGCATTTAGTATTCAGTTGACTTTATCACAGGATAGGGAGGAGTGAAGGCAGGTCCACGCAGGAGCCCGGGCTGGAGAACAGTGGCACAATCATAGCTCACTGCAGCTTTAAATACTGGGCTCAAGCTACCCTTAAGCCTCAGCCTCCTGAGTAGCTGAGACTACAGACATGCACCACCACGCCCAGCTCATTTTTTATTTTTTGTAGAGACAGGGTCTCACCATGTTGTCCAGGCTGATCTCAAATTCCTGGGCTCAAGCCATCCTCCTGCCTTGACCTCCCAAAGTGCTGGGATTACAAGCATGAGCCACTGCACCCAGCCCTCAATCTGAAAAGTACAGAGCAGTTTCAAGACCCCACCCTCACTTCCCACTTAATTGCCACTTTTAAGTCCCTTCTGTATAGAAATTCTAAAACTACACCAGATGGGAGTCTATTAAATTGTAATGTGAAAAAGATTTGAAGTTAGATAACATATTAATATATATCAAAGAGATTTATATGAATAGTCATAGTATTCTTTCAAGTAGCTATTCATAATGATCACTTGATAAGAAGTAGCTATAAACAGTGGAGAGTTTATAACGAAGCACAGTGAATGTTTAGGCTCTTCCTCAGACCTACTCTCACGTCGACCCCCAGTAGAACCCCTCCTCTTAGGCCGTAGAAGCATCTCTAGTGTGACAAAGCAAAGGAGTCAGAGTTAAGATCAAAAGGAGTGGTTCTTTGCAGGTCTCACAGGTAGGAATGCTTTTGACTACAAGGAACAGTAAATTCAACAAAATGACTTAGGCCATATGGACACTCATCCCTCACTTAAGAAATCCAGAGTTGATTTATGTGCTTCAAAAATGCCATCAAGGCTGGGCATGGTGGCTCACACCTGTAATCCCAGCACTTTGGCAGGCCAAGGCAGGCAGATCACTTGAGGTCAAGAGTTTGAGACCAGCTTGGCCAATGTGGTGAAACCTCATCTCTACTAAAAATACAAAAATTAGCCGGGCATGGTTGAGTGTGCCTGTAATCCCAGCTACTCAGGAGGCTGAGGCGGGAGAATCCCTTGGACCTGGGAGGCAGAGGTTGCAGTGAGCCGAGATCACGCCATTGCACTCCAGCCTGGGTGACAGCAAGACTCCGTCTCAAAAAAAAAAAAAAAAAAAAAGAAAGAGAAAAAAAAAAGTCATCAAGAACCCATTTCTTTATTTAAAAAATTTTTTTAGTTTTTTTATTTGAATCGGTTTTTGGGGAACAGGTGGTATTTGGCTACATGAATAAGTTCTTTAGTGGTGATTTCTGATATTTTTGTGTACCCATCATCCGAGCAGGGTACACTGTACCCAGTGTGTAGTCTTTCAGCCCTCACCACCCCCACCCTTTCCCTCAACTCCCCCAAAGTCCATTGTATCATTCTTATGCCTTTACATCCTCATAGATTAGCTCCCACATATGAGCGAGAACATGCGATATTTGGTTTTCCATTCCTGAGTTACTTCACTTAGAATGGTCTCCAATTCCATCCAGGATCCTGCAAATGCCATTATTCCATTCTTTTTCTATGGCTGAGTAGTATTCCATGGTATATATATATATACCACATTTTCTTTATTCACTCATTGATTGATGGGCATTTGGGCTGGTTCCATATTTTCACAATTGCAAATTGTGCTGCTATAAACATCCATGTGCAAGTATCTTTTTCATATAATGACTTATTTTCCTCTGGGTAGATACCCAGTAGTGGGATTGCTGGATCGAATGGTAGATCACTTTTAGTTCTTTAAGGAATCTCCACACTGTTTTCCATAGTGGTTGTACTAGTTTTTATTCCCACCAGCAGTGTAGAAGTATTCCCTTTTCACCACATCCATGCCAACATCTATTTTTTTTTTTATTATGGCCATTCTTGCAGGAGTGAGGTGGTATCACACTGTAGTTTTGATTTGCATTTCCCTGATCATTAGTGATGTTGAGCATTTTTTCATATGTTTGTTGGCCATTTGTATATCTTCTTTTGAGAATTGTCTATTTACATCCTTAGTGCACATTTTGATGGGATTGTTTTTTTCTTGCTGATTTGTTTGTGTTCTTTGTAGATTCTGGATATTAGTCCTTTGTCAGATGTATAGATTGTGAAGATTTTCCCCCATGGGTTGTCTGTTTACTCAGCTGATTATTTCTTTTGTTGTGCAGAAGCTTTTTAGTTTAATTAAGTCCAAAAACCCAGATCTTTATATTCTTCCACCTCAGCCATCCTCTGCATGTTGGCTTTTGTTCCCATGTTTATTACTTCACATTTGCCACAGCTCCAAATATCATATCCTCACATGCAGGCAACCCCATCAAGAATGAAGGAAGAGGAAGGGGTAGTTACAAAAACCCCTTCTCTCCATATGATTCTCTCATCGGGGAGGAAAGTCCTTCCAGAAGCCCTCAGCAGACTGTCCATGATTTCTCATATCCCAGAGCTGGGTTACATCTTACCTCTAATCTAACCATGGGCAAAGGAGTAAGAGGCTTCCCTTATGATTCATCCCTGGGGCTTAGTGAGTGGCAGCCCCAAGAGGCCCTTGGGTAGACAGTGAAGAGCATCAGCCACAATGAAGTCATCCAAATGTGGGTTTACAGAAAACAAGGAATTTGGGTTAAGTGAAAACATACCTTTTTCAAATGTAAAGTAGTCGTATGTTTTATTCATGAGCTAGAAAATAAGAAACAAATGTATTAAAAGATGTAGTGGGATATGCTAGGCAGGGAGTGCTTGGATCACGTCAGCAGGCCCTGAGCATGCCTGTCTTCTTTGAGCAGCTACTGGGGAGGCTGAGGTGGGAGGATGTGAGTTCAAGCCCAGCCTGGGCAAAATAGGGAGACCTTTTAAGTAGGTGAGTCCCATTTAGGTGGAACTCATGGAGACAAGAAAACTGAGTCCATGGACACATTTTACAGAGATTTATCTAGGGAGCAGAATTGCTATATCCAACGGACAGGTATCTAAGAAAAGTGACCACTATGCTGGAAGGCAGTGGACATCTGCCTGGTAGCCATTTCTTTGATCTACCGCCTACCTTCCATGTGAGGCTGTGCTCTGCAGCCCCTCCCAAGACTCCAACCTCATGGCCTCTAGAGTGGGCACATGATGCTCATCTGGGCCAACTAATTCTCTATTCTAGGCATGTAAACCTGGAGCAGAAACACAGAGGGACAAGTGCAGTTAGTTAAGTCATGGCATGGCAACGCCTAAAAAGATGGTCCAGGAGTTCCTGCCACTGCTCTTGCTTATCTCCAATCATTTCCAGGGCTTAACATTTCAGCTCTTCCTTTCTACTCATTTAGTCATCCCACAAATAATTCTGAGCGTACCATGTGTGCTGGGCACTGTCCTAAGTCTGGTGATAAAGCAATGAGCAAGAATGACAATGTCCCTGCCTGCATGGAGTATGTAGTCTAAGGAGGAAGACTGATAACAAACAAGTGAACAAGGCAGTTTCAGACTACACAAGAGCTGTGAAAGAAATCAGCAAGGTAGGTGATGGAGCCCAGCTGGGGAGGCCACACCAGACAGGGTGGTTAGGGAAATCCTCCATGAGCTGCCCATAATCTTCACAAGAATCCTCCTTCTTGCTTTAAGCAGCCAGTTATTTTCTGTTGCTTGCCATCGAGCCCTCCTAACAGACACATAGAACAAAAGGAATTCATCAGGCCTGATCACAACCTGGAAACAATAGCCTCTGGATCATGAGGCCTTCGTGTTCTGAATCTGTATGTCCATACAATATCTTGATAACTCATTTGACTTACCCAGAGGAAAAAAGATCTAGAGAGTATATGAACAGGCATATACCATTAATCTAGGGAAAAGGTGTTCTGGAAAGCATATGAAAGTTTTCCTGCTACTGCATACTAATGAAAGAGCTTTCTGGAACAAATCTGACTTGTCCGAGTCTAGGCAGTATGAGTCAGTTCTCCCAGGGTCTGAGGTCATCCCTGGATGAGATAACAGCTCCGGACAGACAGAACTGGGAGGTCAGTTAGTACCGGGGAAATGCACCAAGGTTCCACAGCCCATGGAGTCTGGCTTGGTGAGTTTGCACATCTTATGCATCCTCCTTTAATGCTGGAGGGTAATCCTGAAGTCATCTAAGCCTCATGGTATTAATGAGGAAAGCTAGGCCTGAAGAAGTGAGGTGACCCACAGGACTGACCACAGCTCACACAGTTAGTATTTGGGATCCTTTGTAGGACCCAGATTGACAACTCAGGGTAGCCATGCCTCTGCATTTACCCGGTCAAGAACCAGTGTGTTTTCATTTTGGGGCCCTGGCAATAAACTCCAGCTACTACAAGCATGGGACAAAACATTAAGACAAACCAAACCATTTTTTTTATTCAATGCATGGTGGCCAAGGATCTAGCATATGATGGGAGATGGGGCTCGAAAAGTAAATTTGAACCAGGTGGTGAAAGGCCTTGAATGTCTTGTTGTAGGACGTGGACTTGCCCTTAGGAGCTAGGAACCTTGAAGATTTTTAAGCAAGGGAAATGATGCGATCATATCTGTGTTTTAGAGAACCAAATCTGATGGGAAAGGGGAGGAGCAGAAGGTGCCAAAGCAGGATTAGAATGTATATAAACAGTTCAGGTGAGGATGATGAAGGCTTGAACTAGGGCAATGGAAGGAGAGAGGAAGGAAAACATTTAAAAAACACTGCAGGCCGGTCACAGTGGCTCACGCCTGTAATCCCAGCACTTTGGGAGGCTGAGGTAGGCAGATTACAGGTTCAGGAGTTCGAGACCAGCCTGACCAACATGGTGAAACCCCATCCCTACTAAAAATAAAAAAAATTAGCCGTGTGTGGTGGTGTGCACCTGTAATCCCAGCTACTCAGGAGGCTGAGGCAGGAGAATTGCTTAAAGCCTGGAGGCAGAGGTTGCAGTGAGCTGAGATCACGCCACTGCACTCCAGCCTGAGCAACAGAGCGAGACTCTATCTCAAAAAAACACAAAGAAACAAAACAAAACACTCCAGTTCGGGCACAGTGGTGCACGTCTGTAGTCCCAGCTACTGGGGAGGCTGAGGCAGAAGGATGTGCGTTCAAGCCCAGCCTGGGCAAAATAGGGAGACTTTTGACTTCAAAAAACATTCAAGTTAAAAAAATAAAAAGACACTGTAGTAATATCAATCAATAGGCCTTGGGGAAGGAGAAGAGAGAGGGATCTAGTCTGGCTCTACCAAGTAGATGAGGCAAAGGAGGACCAAAGAAGTCGTAGCGGGAGTAAGAGGAATCTGGACAGGCTGACGGATTTAGTTTTAGCCTAGTTTAGTCCCAGTTGTCAGTGGAGCATTCACTGAGATGTGTAACTCCTGGACCTACTGTACAATTTGTAAAGCAGCCTCTGATACTACACACAGGGAGGAGGGGCTGTTTCTCAAAACCCTGTTAAGAATAAATGGTAGAAATTAAGGAAATGGGATAAAAGTGGTTTCAATAAAGAGGAAATTGGGCTGGGTGTGGTGGCTCACACCTGTAATTCCAGTGCTTTGGGAAGCCAAAATGGGAGGATCGCTTGAGGCCAGAAGTATGAGACCAGCCTGGGCAACATAGGGAGACTTTCTCTCTACAAAAAAAAAGTGAAAAATTAGGTGGGCATGGTGACTGAAATGGGACGATCGCTTGAACCCAGAAGTCAAAGCTGCAGTGCACTATGATCATGCCACCGGACTACAGCCTGGGTGATAGAGCAAGACTTCGTCTGTAACATAAATAAATAAAGAGAAATTGATTGGGGGATAACTAGGGCAGAGCAGAAAGAGGAAGGATGCACCAAGGACCGCAGGGGAGAACAGGTCAAAGCAAGTCAGAGACAGACAAGAGGCAGGAGTAACCAAACAGGAAGGAAGAACAAAGGCAAGAAAATGGGGAGGGAGAGACCAGAGTGGGAAAGGGCAGACTTGAGTGTTGAAAGTACATCTCTGTTGGGAGGGTACAACTCTTTTCAAGGTTTCTTTCCCCCACCTCTCTCTTGGAACTGCTTGCCTTCGTTATATCTGTGCAAAAGGGATGTATGCAAAGGAGCCTGCTGGATGGTGGTGGTGGGCTGTCTCCTGGCTCACTTGGAGTTTGTTCATCAATAGTCTTTAGGAAGACTGCTTCTGCCTTAAAAAAATGTTGGGAAAATGTGGAATGTGTATAAGAGGCACACATATCCAACCTCCCCCTGGTATTTTTCTTTATCATCTTCCTCCTCACCTTCCTTTCAGTTTCCCAAGTCAAAAGGGCAGAACTTCCTGTCTGAATTTTAAAGCCTCTGTTGCCTTGATTTTGTTCCTGACTCAATGGAGATGAATTCCGAGTTGAAGACAAACAATTGTGCCTTGTGAACAGTCGCCACGTCGAAAAGACTCAAGAGTACTTTTGCGGAAACCTGTCTCAGGAAAAATTCCCAGTGTGGGAGGGAAGGAGGGTGAACTCCATCCTGGAAGGAGGAATTCCAGTTGCTCTGAAAATGTAATTTTCTAAGTAAATTCATTAAAGTTGAAATGTCTAATAAGAAAGGGGAAGCAAAGTTGGTTGCAAAGGGAGAAATTGCATACTGCAAAGCCACAAATTCCTAAGCAGCAAAATTTCTTTCTTTTTTTAATTTTTTCCAGAGACTAGCTTGAGTGCAATGGTGCAATCATAGCTCACTGCAGCCTTGAACTCCTATACTCAAGTGATTCTCCCACCTCACCCTGCCTAGTAGCTGTGGCTATAGATGTGAGCCACCACACCCGGCTTAAAATTTCTTGGTACTAGAAAAATTGCTCTCATACTGGCAATTTCACCCAGGATCATTGATCTCTTCTGAATGGTGAAAATTGACACCGAAGAGCTTTCTGTGTAAATTGCTGCACAGGGTATGCAGGTATACTGCATGCCCAGCCTTGTGCTTCTTGCCTGGTTGCAAAACCACTTGTATTTCCACCCTCTTGATTCCTAAATTACTACACAAAAACAGAGTTCCTGAGTCTAGGAAGGGGGGAAAAATCCCCTGAAATTCTGTTCTCAGGGTAGAGTTTACCTCTCCTAATATAAAGATTGACACTCAGTAAGAAACATTCAAAGTAGCAGTCATGTTGGGACCAGCCTTTGTGATTGTTTTGCCAGCTCTGCAGAAATTATTTTTTAGGAAGAGTGATGCTCTCTTCTTCGTTCCTGCCCACAACAGCCACAAAATACAATATTCATTATCAACAACAAATATTTATTGCCTATTGTGTGCCATCCACTTGTGCTAGCCACTGGTGTTTTTATTTTTTTTTAAAGTGAAAGTGATTTGAAATGAATTTTCTTCCCGATATTTGAAGTCCTCTAGAAATATTATAAGTTCAAAATTAGATGTCATTGTCCCAGGATGAGATTTCTTTTGAATATGATAAATACTTCTTAAAGTAAAAATGTTTTAAGGATCCCTCTCCACAATATTTTTTTTAGAATCCTCTGATAAAATATTTATTTATGTAATGTCTTCTGGATTATGGTAAAAAAAATTGTTTTTAATATATTTAATTCAGTCAACAAATATTTGAAGGGTACACTATGTATCAGGCACTAATCTGTATGCTGAATAATTCAGTGGTAAGCACTAATAATTATAGTCATAGATATTGAGAGCATTTCATGTACTCATTGTATTAAACATTATGTTAAGGGTTTTATATGTACAGTACTCATTAATTTATTCCTAAAACTCTATAATGTAGATGCCATTAATATTTATATAAATTACATATCATATATCAATATAAACATTTTCTAAATGAGGAAATTAGGGCACAGAGAGGTTAAGGTACTTTCCCCAAGTCACACAGCTAGTTAATGATGGAGCTCAGATTTGAATCTAGCCACCTAGGTCCAGAGCTCCAGCTCTTAAAAAACTGGAAACCCCCACCCTCGTGTAATTTACATTTCTCATAATTCAAGCATATGCTGGTACAGATTCCTTTGCAAGCACACCATGGCCTCGGAGGAGTCTACAGCCCCCAGATTGAAGAAACCAATAGAATTGTAAAAATAAGCACTACACTTAGAGTTGGTCCAAAGACTTGAACTCAAAACCTCTACATATCGGCCAGGCACGGTGGCTCCCATCTATAATCCCAGCACTTCAGGAGGCCAAGGTGGGCAGATCACTTGAGGTCAGGAGTTTGAGACCAGCCTAGCCAATATGGTGAAATCCCGTCTCTACTAAAAATACAAAAATTAGCTGGGTGTGGTGGTGCACACCTGTAATCCCTGCTACTCGGGAGGCTGAGGAATGGGAATTGCTTGAAGCCAGGAGGCGAGATTATGGTGATCCAAGATCACACCTCTGCACTCCAGCCTGGGTGACAGAGTGACTCTGTCTTAAAAAAAAAAAAAAGTCTACAAATCATTTAGCCTTTTTGAGATTTAGCTTTCTCATCTCTAAGTTGCGGATCATACCCCTAAGTGAAGTATACTTGAGTTGATGTATGTGAATTTTCCATATACCTAAAGGTCTTGCTGTGCCTTTAATTGCTTCTGTGTTTGAGGGTGACCCATAATGCTGTTTATTGGCCTGGATGAACCACCGCTGAGTTGGTAAAGCTCCACAAGGAGCTAGAGTACCCTGAGTAGCCCCAGCTCTCTGTGATCGCCATGCTGAGAGCCTCCAGTCCTCCTTCATCCAAGCTTCAGCCATGTGACTCTAGGAGACTTTCAGCAAATACCATACTCTGCTCACACAGGATTGCTTTTCAGTGGGAAGAGATGCTAGGTTCCAAGATGCTCAACATTTAATATAATTAGAGCCGAACTATCAGCTTCACCCTAGTTAACACTCATGTTAATAAGAAATGGTCCATAGATCAGTACAAAATTGAGTGAAGTTTTAGACAGTATCCACATAGGACTTGGAAATGTTTTTATCACTATTAACAGCCTGACAGTCACTGTAGATGATAGAATACCCCTTGTCACCTATTAATATGGACTTGGAAGGTAGAGGACTTTTTTAAAAAGTCTACAAACCTTTATTTTTATGAAACTAGTCATATTTCAAAATGGAATTATATCAAGAGTGTTTTGCCATCCTTCTACAGTCTTAAAAATTATTTTGATGCCAGGAAAGACTGAGTAATGTCATTGTTAAGGTCAGACAGACTGGTCTTGATTCCTTGTTCTCCATTTTCTAGTTGTGTGTGTCAGACAAGTTACACACCTCCATGAGCCTCAGCTTCCTCCTCTGTGAAATGGGGAAATAATATTTACATTGCAAAGTTAGGAGGATTTGAAATGACACAGATAAAGAACCCAGTGCTGGCCAGGTGCAGTGGCTCACGCCTATAATCCCGGCACTTTGGGAGGCCAAGGTGGTTGAATCACTTGAGGTCAGGAGTTGGAGACCAGCCTGGCCAACATGGTGATACCCCATCTCTACTAAAAATACAAAAATTAGCTAGGTGTGGTGGCGGACGCCTGTAATCCCAGCTACTTGGGAGGCTGAGGCAGGAGAATTGCTTGAACCTGGGAGGCGGAGATGGCAGTGAGCTGAGATCGCACCACTGCACTCCAGCCTGGCTGACAGAGCGAGACTCGGTCTCAAAAAATAGAAGAAGAAAAAAAGAACTCAGTGCTGTGACTGGTAAGCACTCAATAAATAATGACTATTTCCAGCTTTAGGGGAAAAAGATCAAGATTTTCCTTTTTTTCCCAGATACCCCTAATTATATCTAGACTGCTTCTGTTAGGTTCCTGCTACAAGCAGTTCATACTCTGTTTCATAGCATGACACTCGCATTTCATACACTTGAGTAATGCCTGGGCATATTTTAAAGGAAAAGAAAAGGCATTTAAGGGTTGGTTTAAATTACATGTTGCCCAAACGTACGTAAACATAAAATTAGACCTAAACTCCTATGCAACTATAAAACCAAACTGGGCAGGGCGCGGTGGCTCACGCCTATAATCCCAACATCTTGGGAGGCCGAGGTGGGCGGATCACCTGAGGTCAGGAGTTTGAGACCAGCCTGACCAACAGAGAGAAACCCCGTCCCTACTAAAAATACAAAAATTAGCTGGGCATGGTGGCAGGTGCCTCTAATCCCAGCTACTCAGGAGGCTGAGGCAGGAGAATCGCTTGAACCCGGGAGGCGGAGGTTGTGGTCAACCGAGATCACACCATTGCACTCCAGCCTGGGCAACGAGCAAACCTCCGTCTCAAAAAAAAAAAAAAAAAAAAAAAAAAACTGAATTTAATAAAACAAAACAAAAACCTATGCATAACAAGCACAAATCAGAACAACAGCATTGACGTGAGAAATGGCGTTTGCATTAATGGTGACCACAAGGAGAGTATGCTGTGACCTCCCTGGTGCCCCTAACTTTTCTTGTTTGTACAGCGCTCCATGATGTCATTTGGCATTCACAGGCATCATGTGTGAATCACTTAGGAATTAAGTCCACCCATGTACCTTTCTCATTAGCTCGAGATAACTACAGTGGCACCACTTTGTGCCAATAGGACAGTGAATTGAAACAGAGACTTCGACCTGAAAATCTCACACTGTACCTGCTTATGGGATATGTGATCATAGGTGAGCCAGCATGTGCAAATATTAACTTTTTAAGGCTATCATTGAAATGAATACAAAAAATCACAAAATTTAAAAATTACCTTGGCCAACTCTTAGACCTACAGGGATCTACAGGCCTTGGTTTAGGAACATGGTTGTGACCATTAGGCCTGTGAGCTTTGCCATCAATCTGGGTTCAAATCCAGTGCTATCGTGTGGACTCTGTGTGATCTTGGAGGGATTCACTTAGTCATTCAACAAACATGTAGTGGGCACCTACTATGTTCCAGGCGCTTTTCTAGGCACTGGGAATACAACTGGATACAAGACAGGCAAGGTTACTGCCCTCACAGAGGTTGCATTCTAAAATCTACTGAGATAAATCATTTAAACTCCTCCCCAAGCCTAAGCCTCTGTAGCTATAAAATGGGGATAATTGGACCTCACTGGAGGACCGCTGGAAAAATAGATGGAATGAGGCATGTTTAGAAGGTGTGCTGGATTTTCCTGTTTGTCCTTCTGGTTCTTTATCCATCCCTCAGGTGCAGGGAGGGAATCACTTCAGCTGCTGCTCGCTTAGGCTTCCCCCTCATCTCTTGCTGGTTCACCTTAACCCTGCCCACATCTTTGCAAATGGTCCCATGAATCCCTCTCCAGTCACTCCATTTGAGCATGCCATCAATTTCCTGCTGGGACTCTGCTTCTGAATCACACATAAAACAGGAATTTTATTTCACAAACTTCAAGGTGCAAGAAGGGTCACGTCATCTGTTTTTGTTGAATAAAATTAAATTTACCTCCAGTTTCCCATTCCATTGGGTTGGTGGGAAATACTGACCCCATTCTCTTGTCTAGGGTATTGCTAGAATAGGGAATGGTACTATTTTACCTAGAGCAACTCGCTGCTGCTGCCAATTTCCTCATGGTCCAAGCCCATATGCAGGTCAAGCTGCATGCCACACAACAGCATCTCCTCTACAGGGACACCATTCACAGCAGAGAACTAGACTGGGGTTGATGGGAGGGTACTGGTGGGCACGGAGGTCCCAGGCCTCTCACCCCATGTCCTAGAGCAGCGAGGTACACACAGCTATGCATACACTCAGTAAAGTACATGCGCACACACACTTGCAGGATACGGGACTATGCCCTGCCCCACCTCGCTTCAGCGGTCATGTCCTTTTTCCCCATTCACAGCTTTTAGAGACCTCATTCCCATGTGTCCCTCCCTCTAAACCTGAAAGGGCCTCTTTACCTACCAGTATCACATGTCCAGGTATACACTTTGCGTGTGAATAGGAGAGCATCTCAGCTCAAAAGCATGGGATCAGGGCTGCATCCCTGCAAAGGTTCTGGAGAGACCCCCCCCCGACCCCCACCACCCCGCCGTGGGACCTGTTCCAATTGTATGGTAATTATATTAGTTTCCTTGGGCTCCTGCAACAAAGCACCACAGACTGGGTGGCTTAAACAACAGAAATTTATTTTCTCACAGTTCTGGAGTTTGGAAGTCCAAGATCAAGCACTAACAGAGTTGCTTTCCTCTGGGGCTTCTCCCCTGGTCTTGCAGATGGCAGCCTCTTTGCTGCTTCTTCACAAGGTCATTCTTCCATGCATGCGTGTCCCTGATGTCTCCCTGTGATTCCAAATTTCCTCCTCTTACAAGCACACCAGTGAGACTGGATTAGGGCCCATATTAATGGCCTTATTTTAACTTTTTTTTTTTTTTTTTTTTTTTTTGAGGTGGAGTCTTGCTCTGTCACCCAGGCTGGAGTGCAGTGGCATGATCTTGGCTCACTGCAACCTCCACCTCCTGGGGTCAAGCGATTCTCTTGCCTTAGCCTCCCAGGTAGCTGGGATTACAGGCATGCGCCACTACACCTGGCACATTTTTAGTATTTTTAGTAGAGATGGAGTTTCGCCATGTTGCCCAACTGGTCTCGAACTCCTGGCCTCAAGGGATCCACCCGTCTCGGCCTCCAAAGTGCTGGGATTACAGGCATGAGCCACCATGACTGGCCTTATTTTAACTTAATTACCTCTTCAAAGGCCCCATCTCCAAACACAGTCACAGTCTAAGGTACTGGGGGCTAGGGCTTCAACATATGAATTTTGGGAAAATGTAATTCAGCCCATATCAGAAATATACTAACCTAACAATAAATTATTTAAATAAGGAAGAGGGTACCTATTTCTAATTAGCACAAAGACACCATATGGGCTAGTGTGGCCCAGCTGGTGGCCCCTTAAACTCAGCCACTCCAGGGCTTCTGTGTCATGCTCAGGACAAATAATCCTCTACACGGGCTGGAAACGCAGGGCCTGAGCCCAGACTCCCCGGGGGCAGCAACAAACATTCCCTTCTGGGAATCTCACTGGGAGCTCAGCTGCAAAGGAGTGGGGCAGATATTCTCTCCACTACCAAAAGGACGTTCTGACCCTTGCCCCCTTTTAAGCCAGGGGAGTTTGCCCCATTCTCCCTCTCTCATGCTTTCCCCCATCCCCACCACGAGGCCCAGCACAATCCATGAGTTTAGCTTTCTTAGAAAAGACAAGGCAGATAAGTTGTTTTCAGTCGACTTTGGCTTTTGGCTCTGCAACACCAACCTCTCCTTACACAGGGACCGATGGCCTCAGACATCTTGGATTTTGAGATTGGGAGAGGAAAAATGCAATGAGAAAATTAGCTTCTCAGTGGTTCAACCTGCCAGACACAGAAAGGCTTTAGCACAGTGCCAGGCAGCGTGAGAGCTCAATAACATGGCCCATGACAATTAACATAATTATTACTCTCATTGTAATTACATAGGAAGCAGTGCTCAGAGTCTACGGTCTGAGGAAAAGGCACCAAGAAGCTGGTGTGTCCAATAGCCCTGTCCAACAGAACTTCCTGATGGGAAGGGGAAGTTCTCTACCTGTACTCTCCCACAAGGTAGCCGTTAGCCACATGTGGCTATTGAGCACTTTAAATGTGGCTAATGCAATCAAGGAACTAAATTTTAAATTTTATTTAATTTTAGTTCATTTAAACTGAGGCCAGGCACGGTGGCTCACACCTGTAATTCCAGCCATTTGGGAGGCAGCAGCAGGAAGATTGCTTGCGGCCAGGAGTTCGAGACCAGTCTGGGCAGCAAAGCAAGACCTCGTCTCTGCAGAAAGTTTTTTCTTAAATTAGCCAGGCATGGGGGCATATGCCTGTGGTCCCAGCTACTCGGGAGACTGAGACAGGAGGATCACTTGAGCCCAGGATTTTGAGGTTACAGTGAACTATGATCACACCATTGCACTTCAGTCTGGGGGACAGAGTAAGACTCTGTCTCTTAAAAAAAAAAAGTTTAAATAACAGCAGAGCTATTGATATGAAAAAAAGTTTAAACAACAGCAGAGCTATTGATATAAAAAAAGTTTAAATAATAGCAGAGCTATTGATATGATTATTGGGCAGCATAGAGTTATAAGATTTTTGTAGCAGCTGACAATAGGGAATAAGTGAACATTCTAACTCCAAATAATACAATTCCCACCTCATTTCCTAGCCATGCCCTGGGCCCAGACTTGTTCCTATATCCACGACGAAGACCAAGGCTGCCCCCTTACAATTTCTACAAGCAAGCCAAAAGCCAACAACTTTTGGAAATCTTGCGTGAATTTTCCCAAGTCAAAATCTTGATAATCCCCATTCATTCTGGACGGAAGAAACATCACAGAGTAATGCCACCTTCTTGTGACTTTAGTTCGCAGCACTCCCTTTACCAAGTTTTATGTGTCATCTATATCAAAGTGGAATTAAAATCAACATTGTTTTTCTGCGTTGGTGCAGACTTTCATACCACCATCCCCCGATACCCTCCCAGCCGCAGCGAGGCTCCACTCAACCAGGCCTGGGAACTGCAGGTTCCACGCCTCTATTCAAGCTGCCAAACTCTGTGAAAGTCCTTTGAGCACAATTAGGATTTTTTACTAGATGCCTTAATGGTGTGCCCACAGGAAATGTGTACCTTGGCCCAGCCACCTTCTCACTGCAACTGGAATTGGCATTGCAGCCCCTGGAAAATGGGCACCTCTCATCTTTACAGTCGGCATGAATCGCCCCGTTCTGTGCAGGAGTGGGGCTTGCCTGCCTGAGACGCCTGCAGACATAACACGTGGGCCGCCTTTCCCATGTCGAACTTTCCCTAGGGGCTGGAAGCCAGCAGAGAAACCCTTCTCGGGCCGGTGTAATTTTTCCTCTCCTCATTCTCTGCCCTTTCCAAATTATATTATTTCCTTGGAGCCACATGTTTTTAACGTCTCTCATTCACACACCTTCACAGATATTACCCAGTAACATGTGTCTGTGGATTTTTTTTTTTTTTTTTTTTTTTTTTTTTTTTTTTTTTTTTTTTTTTTTTTTTTTTGAGACGGAGTCTCGCTCTGTCGCCCAGGCTGGAGTGCAGTGGCGCGATCTCGGCTCACTGCAAGCTCCGCCTCCCGGGTTCACGCCATTCTCCTGCCTCAGCCTCCCGAGTAGCTGGGACTACAGGCGCCCGCTACCACGCCCGGCTAATTTTTTGTATTTTTAGTAGAGACGGGGTTTCACCGTGTTAGCCAGGATGGTCTCGATCTCCTGACCTCGTGATCCGCCCGCCTCGGCCTCCCAAAGTGCTGGGATTACAGGCGTGAGCCACCGCGCCCGGCCGTGTCTGTGGATTTTAAAGGCAGGCTTGGTGAGTGTGTGGGGTTTGATGAAATCTGCTGGTCTCTCCCTGTTTGAAGCCCTTCTCTGAGTCCCCATCACTTATGAGATACAGCACAAGCTTGTCTTCATAATTAACGAGGCCCATTATGATCTAGGTTCCGCCTACATTGTCAGTCTCACCCTCCTCCCTTGTAACATTTGCGGCAGCAACACCGAGTGGCCAGTGGCCCCTCGAAACATGCTGTTTCATTCCTCCATGTATCTGCCTGCGCTGTTCCCGCCTGCTCGAGATGCCCTTCTCTCTCCGTCCACCAGAGAACTGTCCCTCCCCTAACACCCAGGCCAGCAGGCACCTGCTTCGGGTAGCTTTCTCCTCTTCCCTGTCTCCCGTGCTGTTTCAGCGCCCTCCCTCTTACAGATTTCTGTGTTTCACTCGTCTCCCTGTATTGCATTTTGTCTCCTTGCCTGTCTTTCTCCGTTAGGGCACTGTGAGATGGTTGAGGACTAGGGCTGTGTTTTTTCATCTGAACTGCCAGAACCAATCACAGTGCGGGGCTCATAACCACCAATCAAAGCCCATTGTTGAATTGAAACGCGTAGAAAGAGCATCTGATGTGGCGCCGGGCATTTCCCACACTACACATTCTCTTCTCAACAAAGTTTTGTCGAACTGACCTGAATCTTCCTGGCATTGGATGTAATTATGATTGGTGCATTTAAAGAAAAAGATGTAAGGCCAAGCGCCATGGCTTATGTCTGTAATACCAGCACTTTGGGAGGCCAAGGCAGGAGGATGACTTAAGGCCTTGTCTCTATAAAAAATAAATTAGTTGGGTGTGGTGGAGTGTGCCTATAGTCACAGCTACTCAAGAGGGTGAGGTGGGAGGATCGCTTGAGCCCAGGGGGTCAAGGCTACAGTGAGCAGTGTTCATGACACAGCATTCCAGCCTGGGTGACAGAGTGACACCCTGTCTAAAAAAAAAAAGAGAGAGAGACAAAGGTGTAGATTACCTAAGAAATACCTTGTGCCAAAGCTCTATAAATGAAATGCAGCAAGGAGGTAGCAAGGGAGGAAAGGAAGAAAAGGAAACACACATGGAAACATTTATTGAGGGCCTGTCCTGTGGGCTCCAACTCGAAAAGACAACCTGAATCTGCCGTCGTCTCTCTCCTCAGTTCCACTCAGCTTGGACCAGTCTCTCCCATCTCTCACCTGGACCTGCAGCAGCCTCCTCTCAGTTTCCATCCTCCCTGTCATGGACTGAATGTTTGTGTCCCCCTGAAATTCCATTTTCTTTTTTTTTTGAGACGGATTCTTGCACTGTTGCCCAGGCTGGAGTGCAGTGGTGTGATCTCGGCTTACTGCAAGCTCTGCCTCCCGGGTTCACGCCATTCTCCTGCCTCAGCCTCCCGAGTAGCTGGGACTACAGGCGCCCGCCACCACACCCGGCTAATTTTTTGTACTTTTAGTAGAGATGGGGTTTCACCGTGTTAGCCAGGATGGTCTTGATCTCCTGACCTTGTGATCCGCCCGCCTCAGCCTCCCAAAGTGCTGGGATAACAGGCGTGAGCCACTGCACCTGGCCTGTGTCCCCTTGAAATTCCTATGTTGAAGCCCTAACCCCTAATGTGATGGCATCAGGAGGAGGGGCCTTTGGAAGGGGAGTAAGCTTAGATGAGGTCATGAATTGGTGTCCTTATAAGAAGAAAGAGAGAGGCCGGCCGTGGTGGCTCACACCTGTAATCCCAGCACTTTGGGAGGCTAAGGAGGGCGGATCACTTGAGGTCAGGAGTTTGAGACCAGCCTGGCTAACATAGTGAATGAAACCCCATCTCCACTAAAAATATAAAATTAGCAGGGCGTCGTGGTGGGCGCCTGCAGTCCCAGCTACTCGGGAGGCTGAGGCAGGAGAATCGCTTGAACCTGGGAGTCGGAGGTTGCAGTGAGCCAAGATCGTGCCACTGCATTCCGCCTGGGTGACAGGAGCAAAACTCTGTCTCAAAAGAAGAAGAAGAAAGAGAGACCAGAGCTCCCTCTCCATGTGTTTATTCAAGGAGGTCCTGTTGAGCACACAGCATGATGACACTTGACTGCAGGCCAGGAAGAAAACCCTCACCAAGAACTCAATCTGCCAGTGCTGTGGTCCTGGACTCCCCAGGCTCCAGAACTGTGAGAAATAAATGTCTGTGGTTTAAGACCCCCAGTGGATGGTATTTTGTGATCCCCACCAGGGCTGACCGAGACATACTCCCTTACACTTTGCTCTCCTCTCAGGAGCCAGAGTCAGCTTTTACAAATGCAAGTGAGATCAAGCCATTCTGCCTTAACTTCCCCATTGATTTCCCTTGAATATAACCCACCCTCCTTTCTTCAGCCTACAAAGACCTTCCGTGATCTGGCCGTCAGTCTCATTTTCAGAATTCTGTCTTAGTCTCTCTGTCTCTTGCTCAAATTCCACTCACATACACCTTCTTTCAGTCCTTTACAAGCTAAGACCTTATGCACCATTGTCCAAATGATATTCCTGCAGCCCTTTGGATGACTGGCCCTTAAAAGACACCTCCTCATTGAGGCCTTCCTTGACTGTTGTATCTAAAGTCACTCCACAGCCACTTTCCATCATGCCACCAGTTTTATTTTCTCCATAGCACTTTTCAGGACCCAATACACCTTCTTGTCTATTTACTCATTCAGTCTCCATCTCCCCCAACTAGGCTCCTTGAGAACAGGAACCTCACTTGTGTCGTTCACTACTCTATTCCCAGCACCTACAACAGAACCTGGCTCAGGTGGTGTTTAGAAATGAGTGGTTCTTGAGTGACTAGACGCGCCTGGCACTGGCTAGACATGTTCACAGGCAGTATTTTTACACCATCATGTCCAGAAAGGTTTTCTGTAGAGAACTGTCGATGATTTCCAGGGTTTTGACATCCGTGGGGTGAATTCATTCATAATTAGTTTCTTTGAAGTAAAAGTGAATCAGTGTGTGACTTCATACCCAAGTCCACATCAAAGTGTTTATGGATGAATGCAAGGGCAGTGGAATTAATGCAACCTTAAAATGGGAGGTGTAGGAAGCTGCTACGTGAAGGGACGTGGTGGGTGGTGACAGGCCCCTGTCGAGGTCTGCATTCCAGCACTTGCCAGTCAATTGTGCTAAGGTTTAGCCACCTTAAAACCAGGGTCAGGCCTATCTGCCCACCCACTTTAAAGCCTGAAATGACGAATGAAATTTCTGAAACCCTGAGCTTCTCAGAAGCAAAGTTTAGCATGAAGGTTAAGGTGTGCTTTTAGGAGTGCATTGTCAAAGGGAATCTGAAATGTTCTTTGGCTTTGAAAAGAGCACTGGACTTGGAATCGGAGACCTAGGTTTCAGCCCAGATTCTAGTGCTCAGGCACTGTGTGACTTTGGGCAGGTCCCTTAACCTCACCTAATCTCTCTTCTCCTCTGTAAAAAGTAATGCTTCCTCTTTCCCCTCAGAAGGTTGTCCTAAAAGTCAGAATTAGGATGATTCTCTGCAGGAAAGTGTAGAACTATAAGGCACCGTATATTGTAGTTGGTTACTGTAATTATTATCAAGATCTGCTCCTTGGCTGGGCGTGGTGACTCCTGCCTATAATCCTAGAACTTTGGGAGGCTGAGGCAGGCAGATCACCTGAGGTTAGGAGTTCAAGACCAGCCTGGCCATCATGGTGAAACCCCCTCTCTACTAAAAATACAAAAATTAGCTGGGCGTGGTGGCGTGCACCTGTAATCCCAGCTACTTGGGAGGCTGAGGGAGGATAATCGCTTGAACCCGGGAGGCAGAGGTTGCAGTGAGCAGAGATTGCACTACTGCACTCCAGCCTGGGTGACAGAGCAAGACCCTGTCTCAAAAAACAAAAACAAACCAACAAACAAAACAAACAAACAAAAAACAAAAACCAGATCTGCTCCTGGAATCAAAACAGAAACTATTAATTATTAAAAATGATTAATCCAAACCCCTTTGTGTGATGTGATGTGATGTGATGTGTGTGTGTGTGTGTGTGTGTGTGTGTGTGTTATTACTCGTATTATAAGGCTCCTGCTTTGGGTTGCTGCCCATTTACTTGAGGTAAGAATTGCCATACAACGTGAAAAGCTAACAACAGAATGAAGGACCAAGAGTCTTTTGAATAAAATGCTGTAGGAGGGGATGGTGGCCTGATGTATTGCAATAATCTCCTAACCAGCTTTCCTGCCTCGCTGGGCTCTCTCTTTCCCAAGCCACCCCATGTAGTGGCACCAGAGACCAAGCCTCCAACAAAAGGTAATGTAGCTAAGTGGTTAAAGAGGCAGACTTTGGAGCCAGATGATTGGGTACAAGACCCAACTATGCTGCCCAACTAGACAGTTATTTCTTTGTAAAATTAGGAAAGTGCCAGTTCCTTCCCCTGAGGGTTGCATGGAGGATTAAAAGAATTGGTCTGTATTAACTATATTTTATATGTATAGCTTATATATTTTATATATAAACACAAGCTATATTTTATACCTAGCTAATTAAGCTAAATATAAAAGTATACTTAGCACCCTGTCTGGCCCTTTATAAACATTGGCTATTATCATTAAGTTGCTCTTCTGGTCCTACGACTGGTCTACGCAACATTTTTTCATGAAGTCTCATTCCCTACCAAAGTAGGAAAAGCCCTAGCAAGTTGTCAAGCTCTCCCCGACTCCATCTTAGCAGCTCTGTCTGTTCCTCCCCTTCACTGCAGGCAAACAGAATGATCTGCTTTTCTTGACACTTTTTTTTGCCTTCAAGGCTCAACTCTGCTTCCCAAAGTTGGAAGTGCCTTCTCTTATCTTTGAACCCACATAGGGCTTTGTTGCTGTGTACAGCACTTCTCATTCTAGTTTGTGAGGTGGTTTTATCCTCCCCTGATGGACTGTAAGCTCTTGGATGGCAAAGATTGTAATTTATTTGACTTGCATACTTTTTGCAAACAGGCCTTTTACCCATAACAGGTATTTAGTAAATGTTTGTTGAATGCATGGTGTGGTCAGAAATGGCATCACAAAAGTGAGAGTTGAACTGTGCCTTGAAGGAAGAACAGGCTTTAAAAAATCATCATGCTCTCCCTCTCCCCCTCCCCCTCCCCTCCCCCTCCCCCTCCCTCTCCCCACGGTCTCCCTCTGATGCCGAGCCGAGGCTGGACGGTACTGCTGCCATCTCGGCTCACTGCAGCCTCCCTGCCTGGTTCTCCTGCCTCAACTTGCCGAGTGAGGAGCGTCTCCGCCCGGCAGCCACCTCGTCCGGGAGGGAGGTGGGGGGGTCAGCCCCCCGCCCGGCCAGCCGCCCCATCCGGGAAGTGAGGGGCGCCTCTGCCCGGCCGCCCCTACTGGGAAGTGAGGAGCCCCTCTGCCCGGCCACCACCCCGTCTGGGAGGTGTACCCAACAGCTCATTGAGAACGGGCCATGATGACAATGGCGGTTTTGTAGAATAGAAAGGGGGGAAAGGTGGGGAAAAGATTGAGAAATCGGATGGTTGCCGTGTCTGTGTAGAAAGAGGTAGACATGGGAGACTTTTCATTTTGTTCTGTACTAAGAAAAATTCTTCTCCCTTGGGATCCTGTTGATCGGTGACCTTACCCCCAACCCTGTGCTCTCTGAAACATGTGCTGTATCCACTCAGGGTTGAATGGATTAAGGGCGGTGCAAGATGTGCTTTGTTAAACAGATGCTTGAAGGCAGCATGCTCCTTAAGAGTCATCACCACTCCCTAATCTCAAGTACCCAGGGACATAAACACTGCGGAAGGCCGCAGGGTCCTCTGCCTAGGAAAACCAGAGACCTTTGTTCACTTGTTTATCTGCTGACCTTCCCTCCACTATTGTCCTGTGACCCTGCCAAATCCCCCTCTTCGAGAAACACCCAAGAATGACCAATAAAAAAAAAAATAAAATAATAATAATAATAAAATTAAATTAAATAAAAAAAAAATCATCATTATTATTGGCCGGGCACAGTGGCTCACGCCTGTAATCCCAGCACTTTGGGAGGCCAAGGCAGGCAGATCACCTGAGGTCGGGAATTTGAGACCAGCCTGACCAACATGGAGAAATCCAGTCTCTAGTAAAAATACAAAATTAGCTGGGTGTGGTGGCGCATGCCCATAATCCCAGCTACTCGGGAGGCTGAGGCATGAGAATTGCTTGAACCCAGGAAGCGGAGATTGCAGTGAGCCGAGATCGTGCCATTGCACTCCAGCCTGGGCAACAAGAGCAAAACTCCGTCTAGAAAAAAAAAAAAAAAAAGAATCAGTATTATTTAGATTGTAGTGCAGTGACTAAGAGCACGCATCATGTAGCTAAACTAACTGGGTTCAAATCCCGAGTCTGACACTTCGTAGCTCTGTGACTTGGGACAAATTACTTAACCTCTCTGTTCTTCCATTTTCTCTTCATTAAATAGGGATGATAAAAAACAAAAAACAAAAACAAACAAGCAAACAAAAAAAACCCTTCTTCCTGGTGTTACATTGTGAAGATTGTCACATGAACTTAGCGGCATCCTTGGCACTTCGTAAGTGCTCAATGAACAATAGCCATTACTACTACTATCACACAGATAATGAATGCTTCTTATAAGAAGTCCAGCAAGACACTAGAAAGTGGAAGAGTTCCTCCCTGCACCCCGGCAATCTTACCCCCATAGACAGAGCCACTACTATGGGCTTAGTGAATATCCTTCCAGAAGTTTTATGAATATAATATATATTTAGTAACATAAACAGAGTCATACCACATATACCATTCAATTATGAAAGCCACTGAGGGATGCAGGCTGATGGAACTGTTGCCCTCTCCAACTGCACCGGCCATTAAATGCTTCAGCCTGCAAGTGATACACTTCACTGGCTTTCACAACTCATTGGCCAGAACTAGTCACTTAACCCCAACCAACCCCCCAAGGTGGGCGAGAGGTGTAACCCTGTCATATGCCAAAAGGAAGGGCACATCTAAAATCTAAATCTAAATCTAAAATCATCTAAAATATTCTGAGAAAAACCCACAATAACTAAGAGAGAGAAGGGCCAAATGTTGTTGTAGCCAATGTTGCTTCAAAATATTGGGCTAAAGGCAGGGTTTGAATGTGCTTGGAAGCAGCCTGGTTCAATGGGTCAGGGCATTTTGATAAGGGTTACAGGTAAGGTAGAATGTGGTGGAATAGTGTGAAAAGCTTTCAAAAACAGTGAAAATCTGTCCAAGAAAATCTGCATAGGAGCTTTACTCTCCTTCTACTTCTTCTCAATTTTATTTTCCCTGGGTCCTTAGACCTTCTTTGGGGCTCATGTAAAGTGCATTCAGGCTCTAACAGATTCCCTATTCAAGAGGTTTCCCAGGGCAGAAAACAATAACAATGGTGACCATAATAATAATGATGGCAAACTCTCTGGCAGTACCTTCTATGTGACAGTGTTTTCTGTATATGAACTCACCTATCCTCACACCAACCCTATAAGGTAGGCATTTTCACTACTTTCTTTCTTTCTTTTCTTTTTCTTTCTTTCTTTCTTTCTTTCTTTCTTTCTTTCTTTCTTTCTTTCTTTCTTTCTTTCTTTCTTTCTCTTTCTTTCTTCTTTTTCTTTTTCTTTCTTTCCTTCTTTCTTTCTTTCTTCTTTTTCTTTCTTTTCTTTCTTTTTTTTTTTTTTGAGACAGAGTTTCACTCTTGTTGCCCAGGCTGGAGTGCAATGGAGAGATCTTGGCTCACGGCAACCTCCGCCTCCTGGGTTCAAGCAATTCTCCTGTCTCAGCCTCCCGAGTAGCTGGGATTACAGGCATGCACCACCATGCCTGGCTAATTTTGTATTTTTAGTAGAGACGGGGTTTCTCCATGTTGGTCAGGCTGGTCTCGAACTCCCAACCTCGGGTTATCTGCCCGCCTCGGCCTCCCAAAGTGCTGTGATTACAGGTGTGAGCCACTGTGCCCGGTTGGCATTTTCACTATTTTCATTTGACAAATGAGGACATTAAGGCACAAAAAGGTTAAATCACTTGTTCCAAGTTTACCTGGGATTAGAAGCCAGGCATTAAGATTCCAAAGATGGATATAATTGCTAGGGCAATTGGTAGAAGAAATGTTCCAGGACCTTCCCCTCCCCTCAACCTTAAACCCCTAGCTACCATAATTTACCACAAAAGCCTCTCATTTTAATAAAAATTTTCCAGCCCTATCCTATGCCCCATTAATTTTAGCCAGTATTCAATGCAGAGAAATAGCACTGCAATGAAAGCTCATGGGCCCAGCTGTTCCTTTAATAGACTTGACCTGAAGACCTGACGTAAAAATCAGTCCTGCTGTCACCTGGTTGAGGCCCTGCTTTGTTTCTGCTAACTAGTCTGATTTCATTGTCACTCATAATCTCTCAATGTTTGTGTCTTTTCTTTTTTTCAACTCTAAATACTTTTATAATTTCACCATGAAAAATCTCCTTTCATGGTGCATTCCCCCCAGATAGTGGTAACCTTTGAAACACACACTGACAACATTCCTAGACCTTCGAATATAGTTAATACTCACTTCAGGCTGAAAGGAATTTCTTATCAAATTAGGGTCTGTGATGACGGTGACCGTTTCTGCACTTTTATAATAGCTTTCATCTGAGGCCTATAGGACACTGTGTAATGTTAATTAGGCCCCTGTGAAGCAGAGAAGGGCACGGGGAAGGTGCAAGGATGGAAATTAACACTGTGCCAAGTACATAACATAAGCCAGAAGTGATACTTCCTTTTCATGTTTTCCATTTTCATCTTCTTAGTGTTGACATGCCCAGAGGACATTAGCATTGGTGACTGATCTGGTTTCCTTGCCCTCTTTCTTCTCTGGTTTAAAGTCTCAGCTATGGCCACTTGCCCTCCAGGCCCATTCCTGTGGTCCTCTGGGTCTCACCTCTAGGCTGCAGAAGAAGTTATTTCCTCTCCCACCACCCTTCCTCTAGTGAAGAGAAGGGTGAGTTTGTCCCCAGGATGGTCTAACCATACCAGTCATGGGAGGAAAGAGAATAAGGAAGGGATTCCATGTGACGAGAGGGGATCCCAGCCAGTGGCTGGCCCAAGCTGGTCCCATTAATGTAATACCTTGACTCATCCCAGGCAAAACCCTTCTCCATCTGGTGCTTATGGTGTGATCCTGAGGATGCCATGTTACCTGTGATCCACTTCATGTTAGGCAAAATGAGGGAGGTTGTGGTTTGAGGGTTTCATGGAGGTTAGGAACCTCCAGGTATGTAGGGTGGCTGAGACATTGAGACACCCCAGTAAAGAAGGGGAGATAAAGCCTGCTACACACCTGGCCTGGGAGCTGGGGAGGGCATGGTTTATGATGAGGGGTGTGAGAACCAGGAAAACCAAGCAAGTACCCAAGATCAGGGTCAAGGTCAAGGTTAGGTCAGAGACTAGAAATGCAACACAGAGTAGAATCACCCAAATAGACCACTGGACTAGCTCTGTGGGAAATAGTTCAAAGTTTTTCAACATGGAAGAGCAATGTAGCACTCTGTAGAAGGCCAGAGGATCATATAATAAGGAGAGTTTGGTGTGGGAGCAGAGCTTGACCATTGTTATTCTTTGAGGAAAATCTTGAGCTGGTTCCATTTGCCTTCAATTGTAGACTCAGAAACTTTTCCTTCTATGGCACTACCTTGCCACGTACACAAAGGCCCCATCCTCCTTCTTGGGGGCTTACAAGCACCATGAGATATTGCATATTAGGTTGACCGCATGGAATCAGTCTTCTTAACTGCAACATAGCCAGGTTTGGAGGCAAAGACAGTTGTTATTCCTGCTAAATGGTCAGTGAGGAAAATGCCAACAGCCCTCCTAGGAAGTCCTCACTGGATGCCAAAGGACAAGACAACCAGTGCAGCCCCGATGCACCGGTGGTGCACAGGCTCATGTGAGTGGATACTGCGTTGTCCATGGATGCTGGGTCTGCTCATGCCCCTGGAGTTTCTTCAGATCTGACCTTCTCGCCCCAGTCCCCATCAGTTCTCCTCCCCACTGGATATCCACAATCCTTGAAGCTCAGGTGGTAGGACTAGTAAGGAATTTGGTTCTCACTCACAATACTTCTGCCCAGTGTTTAATCCTTTCTGAGTCTTTTCCATTTCTCTAATGAACTAAGCTTTTGAAACTCCAAAGTCAGGAAGTCTTTTCCCGGTTCTGTTTTCCACTGTAACATCCTTTCTCTGAGGCAGTCAGTGCAGAAGAGCCCAACTGCTTCAAAGGGCACAGGGACCTGGGCAAGCACCAAGGAGAGAAAGGAAACATTGGGGTTGAAGGAAAGCATTGGTTCATACAATACAAGGAGGTTAAAATATTTTTCTCCCACAGATCTCATTTCTGAGAGGCTGATTTTAAGTTGGTTGTCTCACTTGCGTGGAAACACTCTTTCTATCTACGTGGCTTTTGGCCCGTCTATTGACATCCATATTTAGAACATCAGTTGGGTACCCAAGGATGAGCATGAGTGGGGCAGAGGCGGGTGGCTCCCATCAAATACAGCCCAGGGGGTCAAGAAGCAGGGAGCTCTGGGAGCACAGATACCTCATGGGTCCCCTAGGACCCACAGGGAGGAAGGAGTCTGGAACATTTTGTCCTGCCTGCAAATATCCTCACACAACACAAGAACCACAGGCAGCCACCATGGTTGCAGTGGGTGTGAGGAGCTGGAGTTCCTAAACAAGATGGGGCAGGAGCATGACCTCTTTGGTCTTAGTCAGGACCCTGGATTGAGGATAATGTGACCTGGGAAAACCAGGACCCCACTAGGGTGGAATCAAAATGCTGTTTCTGCTTCTTGTGCTCTTGAGGGTAGTTGGAAATGGATTGTTTCAGGGCTCCATCTAGCAACTGCCCAGTTTCTGAGTCTAAGCTCCAACACGAAGTGTTGACATTGAGTAGGAAGGTCCTTCTGTTTATGGAATACTGTGGTTTATGTAATTCCTATGTTTAAGCTTTTTCTCTAGGTAGTAAAATGATTGATCCCCTCAAAATAGAATCATCTGGGGTTGTTTTTAGATGAAATAAAGCATCTAGACAGACCCTGATTTTTGTTCAAATTGGCTGAATTGGCTGAACTGGGTTAAGTGGAAAATACTAGGTCAACCACAAGCCCACTATGAGTCTTGAGAAATGGACTTAGCTTCTGTCTGGATCCTGTATTACCCTGCCTGAAACATATGCTCTAAGGCAGCTGTGAAAGGGAACTGTTTTGATTTATGTGAGACCCTGAGCGAAGGATTTCAGTTCTCTGAGTGTCCACGCCATTGATGGTACATGCAAACTACACACACTACACACAAACACACACCACATTCACACACACTACACACACACACACACACACCACATTCACACACACTACACACACACACCGCATTCACACACACCACACACACACACCACATTCACACACACACCACATTCACACACACTACACACACACACACCACATTCACACACACTACACACACACCACATTCACACACACTACACACACCGCATTCACACACACTACACACACACACCACATTCACACACACTACACACACACACCACATTCACACACACTACACACACACAGCACATCCACACACACTACACACATGCACCGCATTCACACACACTAAACACACACACACCACATTCACACACACACACACCACATTCACACACACTACACACACACACACACACCACATTCACACAAACTTGTTGGAGTCAGTCAAGCCCCACAGCCCTAAAAGGCACTTCACAAAAGGGTGAATGAGAAGAGAAAGCAAACCTGAGATTCTGTGGGGCAATTGACACCAATCCCCCGTCCCAAACATCCCCATTTAAATGTGATTAATTTGCAATTCTGAAAGATGTCATTTGTGTCAATCCAGGAACGCATTCATTTTGGGGTGAGCGGAAATGTCCCCAATTTCTGGTGGTAGCGGATACATCTGAAAAATGGAATCGAATCAATTTTGCTCCCGAGAGGGACAGGTGGAGGACTCCTATTTCCTGCCAATTCAGTTGGAAACAATGAGGAGAGAGGAAAAAAAATGGAGCCCTCCCTTCTCTTTCTGGCCTTAGACATGAACTCCTGATAAGATCCTGGAAAACAGGCAGCGTTTTTAACAGCCGGTTGCCCTCTTCAGCTGAGAAAACAGCACGAGCCAAAACTAGGAACCGGGGCCACCTCTATTGTGAATGTGGCCAGGCTGACTTATTGTCGCCAAACAGCAAATCATGAAATGACTGAGATAAGGAATATAATCACATTTTCACATGAACCTTACATTCTTACCTCTTCTATAGGAAAGGATATCCCTGCAGGAAGGAGGAAGGTGGGGCCTGCCCATGTTCTGCAGCAGGGCTGGGACTGCATTGTCCAGGCTTTTGTAGGGACACAGGAAGAGGGTACGGAAGTTTCTACAGGAAAACAGAGAAAAGTTCAAACATAAACAGCATCCAAAAAAATTTACCAACAGCAAACTAGATTTCCTCTTTGGGCCTCCCATGCTTCCATGCACCCCTGGACTGGCAGATTTTAATCTTGGATTCTGTTCACCTTGGTAACCTCCAGCGCGTGTGATTATGCTGTTTCCCTACTTATTAAGTTAAAAGGATGTGTTTTCTATGGCAATGGAGACAAAAACAATCTCTTTCCAGAGACTGTATCCTGGCCTGGCCGGAGACTGTTCTGTCTTTTCCATTTGTCATTTCTGGGGAGGGCATGAGCTTTCCTGAAGTTCCGTGTGTGATAGGGCGGCTCCCTTTCAGGAGCATTTGAACAAAAGCTGAAAGTGGCTACATCATTGCTTCCCACGAGGCAGGGGTTTGGTTCGGCTCCCTGGTTTCAGCCAGAGATGAGCTTTGAGAAACTCAACCATAAGGGACACAAGAAATGTATCCTCACTCCACCCCCAAGTAACTAGTGAGGGCTGGAGTTGTCCCTTTCCACCCCGCTTGCCGTCTGTCCTCCCACCCCCCAGGGCTCAGAAGAAGCTGCCACAGGAATCTCGGCTGCCCACCCTGAGGCCGCACAGCTCTGGTTTTAGGGTTATGAAAACCACGGCTCTAACAGGGAGAATTCCATCACTAAATCTGAAAGAAGAGGGCCTAGATGAAACCAGGGAGCAGCTTTGGGGACTCACGCCACCTTATGCCTCGGCCTTGTGTTTTAAACCAAGTCGTTCCTTTCTGCCTCTGGTTACATAGATAGGTGACAAAAAAAAAATTATAGAAAAATGTTATCAGATTCCCTGGTTTTGGGAAGAGGGGCGTGAGGGAAAAGGCCTTCTCAAGGGCAAACTTTGAAATGTAAGAAGTTTCTCTCCACTCTTCTTCCTGACTGAAAGGCTTCACATTGGCTAGGGATCACAGAAGTCACTTCCACACTCGCTGTAATGGGGACTGCCAGGCACTAAAAGGAGCATCCGTCACCTCTCAGATGGGGCCAATCACACATTTCAGGAGCAAACAGTTACAGTTAGTAGACAGATTTCCTAGACACTTGCCCTTATGGGAAATTAAAGTACCCCCTACCCCCCTCAAAATAGCTCATAAGTCTAAGGATCTTCCCCAGCCCATCAGAGGATGGAGTTCTGAGTGGACTGTGCTAGATTTTTAGGGGATATCTTTTTCTGAATTGCTTTTTCCAGAACGAATGACTTCCATTATGTTCAGCCAGGGACCAATTTTTCACTTAAGTATGTAAAGCAAAATATGACTTTTTCCCTGGATATGTTACAACAGAAAGCTTTCCTGACAGCTGCCAGGCAGGTGATTAAAGCGTATTATATAAAAGCCCAGGTACAAGTAAGAGGGTGACCTTGAGTTCTCAAACCAGTGTAAAATGCTATTTAAGATGGATTCAGAGAGCTCTGCTGTGTGTAAGGAATGCCTGCATTTTCAGAAAACAGCAGATGAAGACTCATTCATGCAACACACACGTATTGAACAGCTGTTGCCCTCCAGCCCTACATTCATTCATTCATTCATTCATTAATGCATTCATTCATTCATGTGTTCATTCATTTATAGAAGGTGCCAGGCACTGAGTTACATTTGAAGAACAATCAGGGGTGATTTTCAACACATGTAACAGGAAGGCTTTCACCCTAACTCACCAGTTTTGTTTTTCAGGGTTTCAGGAGGACTTTGGAGATATTGCTGGGCCTGTGCTGGAGGCCCTTTGCTCCTGTGTCAGGTGTTAACCCTTGAGTCACTTGGTGCATTTTGATATTTTAGTAACCACTACAGCTTGCCAGCTGGCTCAGTCCTGAATACAGTAATATACAAGTCCTTGATCTCTGGAAGCCAGCATTTTAGAGTCTGCTACATTTCCAGAAAAATAAGCCTGAGTCCCAAGCTGACCTGAGCCCAAAGTCCTGCATGGGCTTCAGGAGGTTCTCAACTCCCATGAAAAGGAGGCAGCAAGGGCCCTTCTAATCCAAGGCTGAGCATCAGATGGAGCTTGAGCGAGCCAGGGAGTCCTGCTAAGGATGATGAACCAGGAGAGGGACTCCCCTGGCTCTCCAAGCTCTGTTTCTCACAGGACCCAGTAGGGCTGTGGCCTCCACCTGTGGAATCAGGCCTGCCACACTCCAAGACCAGCAGGCCTCTGAGCAGGGGGTCTCTAAAATAGCCCAGCAGATGACTCAGTTCCAAGCTTCCACTTTGATGGTAGGGCTTCTCACCTGTTGCTTTTCTTACAGCCAGCTCTCTTCATACATTTAGGTTACCTGCCTGGCCCCTATGGACATGTGATTCCTCAGCTACCCTCTTCCTAAACACAGGTTTCATTTAGAGTCAAAGTTAGAAGCATATTAACCTAGGCCTGAGCCTGTCTTAACTTATTTTACCCGTAATGAGGGTGAACAGTCATCATTATTGCTCTGATAAAACATGTACAGGAAGTCTAGAAGTATGCAAGGGGCTCACCTCTCTGGTGAATTGTCAGCAAGTATCAGGTTAAAGGAAAACAGTGAGAAGAGAAAGCAATAATGGGCAAATTTAAAGTAACTATTGGAGAAAGCTTATAACAATTGGGAAGAAAATCTTGGATTCCAACAGCCCCAAATCATGTAAGACCTACAATTTCTACATGAGTACCAAACAATCAAGTTATTAGGTTATTAAATGAAATTCACTATGATTACAAATAGTTTCCTGTAAAAGTCCAATATTGTATAAAATATTACTATAAACCAACATTATTGTCTTTAAAACTCATTTACTGGAAACTTTGCATTCAGATACCGGCCATCACCATCTAACTGGTCCCCTTGGAAGACCTGCTCCTTTTCCCATGACACCCCTACAGAAAACATTTTAGAACTCCTTGTCCCAAATCCTTGTGTGGGCTAATCCTCAAAGCCAATTTATAAGTCACTTAGAAAAAGACTCTTATATTGTTTTATATTCATATATTTTGTTTGTTTCTTTGTTTTTTGAGATGGAGTCTCGTTCTGTCGCCCAGGCTGGAGTGCAATGACACCATCTCGCCTCACTGCAACCTACACCTCCAGGTTCAAGTGATTCTCCTGCCTCAGCCTCCCCAGTAGCTGGGATTACAGGCATGTGACACCACACCTGGCTGATTTTTGTATTTTAGTAGAGACGGGGTTTCCCTATGTTGACCAGGCTAGTCTTGAACTCCTGATCTCGGGTGATCTGCCCACCTTGGCCTTTCAAGTGTTGGAATTACAGGCGTGGGCCACCACGCCTGGCCATGTATCTTATTTTTGATCCAAAATAGTAACATCTACTTTTTTCACCATTATCTAGATATTATTTCTGTTCCAAAATGAAGTCTATCAAATAATGAACATTTATTCATACTGAAATTGAAAGAGGCTGGGTGCAGTGGATTACGCCTGTGATCCTAGCACTTTGGGAGAATTGCTTGAGGCCAGGAGTTTGAGACCAGCCTGGGCAACAAAGAGAGACCCTGTCTCTACAAAAAATAAAATAATTAGCCTGGTGTCATGGCATGTGCCTGCAGCCCCAGATGCTCAGTACTACCTGGGTTAGTCACAAAGTATATGGTGTTGAGCAAAAGAGATGTACAGCTAGAATTTGTGCAAAGAATCAGACAAATTACTTCATGGGAAGTTTTTTTTTAAACATTAAGCAAAGATGGTCTTTGTTTCCTGACAACCATGTAGCCCCTGCCTAGTAGATGAGTCGATATAGAATGGGTGGATGCCAGGCAGAAGAAAGAGGTCATTGCTCAGCTTTGAGGGTCACACTCAATTTTTAAATCCATAAGACAGGCTGGGTATGGTGGCTCACACCTGCAGTAATCCCAGAGTTTTGGGAGGCCAAGGCAGGAGGATAGCTTGAGGCCAGGGGTTCGAGACCAACCTGGGCAAAAAAGCGAGACCCCCCCCCCCCATCTCTATAATTGATATATCCATGAGACAATAATCTTAAAAGGCAGGTTTGGTCGGGGAGTGGATGAAGAAAAAGTGGTAGGTGGCAGGGAGGGCAGTGGTTTGCCTTTACCTGCAAGAGGCAAACCTACCGCACAGCTTCACACTGCCTACACTATAGTGTGAGTCAACGGAGACCATGCCACAGAGTCATTCCCACCAGCCAGGAAGGGTGGGAGAAAAGGGAGGAGGACGAAGTGGGAGTAAGAAGAGTGTCTTTGCATTCAGGCCCCTTTGCCATGAGCAAACGTTAGAGCAGGGATGTTGAATGGCCCAGGTGGTGGAGAGGAAGCTGGCTCAGAGAAGGCAGAGCTTTGCTTTCTGCTTGGAACTCAGAGGAAATTGTCTAGCATGGCATCCATGAACTGTGAGGGCAGCCACAGCAGGGGCGAAATGGTGGTGTTGGGCGTGTTTTCAGGGAAAGGAGCCTGTGATTGCTCCCCGTTTCCTCTTGACCTGTGTGTAGCCTGTAGGGAACATCGAAGTTCCCCAAGACATACTCCCAAGACAGCTGAGAATGCAGGCTCGTGAGCTGGCGGGCAGGGGATGATGCCACGGCAAGCCCAGATGTGGCCAAGGGCTGGAGGGCAGAGCTGCCCCCACACAGCCCAGGTGTAGATGCAATGGTGGCTCCCATGAGGGGGTCTTATCCCATGATAGCCCCCCTGGGCCCTGCCCAACACCCTGAGGGCCTCTGACCCACCCCTCCCTGCAGCCGGACCCTGTATTGAGGAGGATGGGCAGGGAAAGCATGCTTTAGAGAAAAGGAAGCAATCCTGATAGGAAGTTTCAACTTAGAATTAACTGATTATTTGGGCGAAACAGATTGTTTTAAGCCGGAAGAGGCAGTTACTTTTCATTGGTAAGTGTAAATTTCTTTTCCCCTCCACTATCAGCAGGAGTGGGAACAGATGAGACCAGTTATAAAAATAAATGTAAACGACATTTTTCAAACAAAAAAACCTGAGCCGTAGTGTGTATATGTCCACACCCTGCTGGTAAGTATGTGATTATAATTAACCATGAGTCCTGTGAAGAGAAAGTCTCTAGTGCTTTGAATGCATTTAATCAGGGCACATAACATAGACTGGCAGGCGGCCCTCGGGGACAGTCACTAGAAGGAAGTGATATTAGAGCAGAGACTGGCTGGAGGGTTAGATAGGCAGGAGAACACGACAAGGGCTGCAGGAGGAAAGAGGCTGGTCCGGGGGGAGAAGGGAGAAGGTTTGCTGAGCTAGAGGGCCAGGAAGGGCCTGCGAAGAGTTGCAGGAGACGAGGGGCGAATGCCAAGTGCCCTTTTAGCTCTTCTTAAGTTTCTAGTTCACTCAACTCAGTATAATCTATTTAAAATGCTCCTCTATTTTTCCAGGGGAAAACAACAACAACTATAACAAACAGTGTGCTTTAGCATTCAGAGATCTTCCGAGAATAAGTAAAGACAGAGGCAACAAGCTTCGAGCCAGGGAGTGGGCCGTGCAGCTCAGGCAGCTGCTGAGAGCTTAGACCGCTGCTGCTGCTGCCCACACTTGCCAGATTCTACAGCCCTCTTGGCCTTCAGACAATCCCATGCCCTGCCAATCTCTCCAACCCTCTGGAGGGCTGGCTCAGAAGCAGGGCTGTCCCAGTCTGGGTGTGGGGGCTCACGCCTGTAATCCTAGCATTTTGGGAGGCCAAGACAGGTGGATCACTTTAGGTCAGGAGTTTGAGACCAGCCTAGCCAACCTGTTGAAACCCCGTCTCTACTAAAAATACAAAAATTAGCTGGGCGCGGAGGTGGGCACTTGTAATCCCAGCTACTTGGGAGGCTGAGGCAGGAGAATCACTTGAACCCGGGAGGCAGAGGTTGCAGTGAGCCAAGATTGTGCCACTGTGCTCCAGTCTGGGCAACAGAGTCAGACTCCATCTCAAAAAAAAAAAAAAAAGAAGCAGGGCTGTCCCTCCTATGGGGCTGAACCAGAACACAAGAGACCATGGAGATAGAGACAAGAGGACCAAGGGCTCCTGGCTAAACCTGGTGTCCCTCTTTCTCGGCATCTGGATTTCTCACGGGCACCAGGGATGCGGTGGCATCACTGAGAATTTTCCTGGCCAGACTAATGGGTCGGAATGGTAGTAAGAGCAGACAGAATCAAGCCTCATGTGGATATAGAACAGCCAACCTGCTCTAAGCCACCGGTACACTGGCCTAGGCTACTATAACACTCTTTTAACTGGTCTTTCTGCTCCCACTCAGTCCACTCTACATTCTTTTTAAAGAGCTATTTTTACAAAATAAATCAGATCATGTCTCTCCTCTGCACAAAACCCTTTAATGGCTCCCCATTTTGCTTTTAATAAAAATTAAAAGTGCTTACATGCCTCCAAGCCCCCACGATTGGTTCTGCTTACCTCCCCTGTGTCAGCTTGTCCCACTTGCTCGTTCCATGCCGTGCACATGATGCTCCTTTGGTGTCTCCAATGTTCCTGTTTTTTTCCTGGAATCTCCTCTGGACCTTCTAGAGCCCAGTTCCTTCTTTTTTTTTTGAGACAGGGTCTCACTTTGTCACCCAGACTGGAGTGTGGTGGTACAATCACAGCTCACTGCAGCCTCAACCTCCTGGGCTCAAGCGATCCTACCACGTCGGCCTTTCAGAGTGCTAGGATTATAGGCATGAGCCACCACACCTGGCCTAGAGCCAGGTTCCTTCTGCCACTCAAGTCTCAGTCCAAACTCCTTCAGGGAGGCTGATCCTGAACAATGTTATCTAAAGTGGCACCTTCCCATTCTCATTCTGTCTTACCACCCTGTTGATGCCTTTCATAGCTTGTATCAATCTAGTATTTTCTTGCTTATTTATTTGCTTATTTATTGTCCATGTCCATTACTAGAATTTGAATTCCTTCAGGGCAGGGACTTTGCCTTGAGCAATTCCTGGCACAAAGGAGGAATTCAATTAGTACTTGTTAGATAAGTACATGAACGAATGAATGAATGTCCTCTTACCAAGGAGAAGCCAAGGTAATGGAATGAGTCTGGACTACAAACACTTCCATTATGTGATTGGCACTGGGGGTGTTGGTGGAAAAAAGACAAATAAAATGTGGGGGCGGAGATGGGAAGTTGGGTTGCCCATAAAATTCGCCCACAATCTCATGACCGAGACAAGAGCAGTTGACTAACCCTAATAGAAACTCTAGAAGAAGTGTTATGGTCGGAACAAAATGTGCTACTTTTGACTGCGGAGTTGAAAATAGTTCACAGATCCAAATGTAGTTCAACAATGCAATGAACAGTAAACTTGGGCATTTACTGTTGTGCAAAACATGGAGCATTTCAAGATGAACAAGACTTGATCCCTGCCCTCAGGGAGCAGACAGTCGCAGGGAGCACACGAAGAGCCAGCCACAGAAAAAACTAATTTGTCTTTAAGGTGATTAAGTATGGAAGTAGCCAGGGGGAAATACACAGAGGGGTTCAGAGGAGGAAGGGATGGGCTCCACCTGAAGAGGGTGGGCAGACTTCAAAAGGTGAACAGGATTTTAGCAGGCTGAAAGGGCTAGGGTAAATGATGGCAGAACTAAAAATACCAGCAAGGAGGTTTGAATGTCCAGTGCGTGGTTCTGCACAGGTTGATGACAGCATCCTATAGGGAACTGGAAATACGGACTAGGAAACAAGTTTGGAAATCCTCAGCAGGTGTTGAAGCCATGGAGCTTGGGAGAGCTCCCAGGAAAAGCATATTAAACCAAGCATGCCTGAAGCAGGAGAACTGGCTGAGATCACCAACAGATGGAAAGGAAAGAAGACAGAGCTATGAGGACAAGCCCTTGGTGAATGCCAGGATTTAAAGGGCACATGGAGGAAAAGGAATCGTCAAAGGAGTGGTCAGAGAAATAGGAACCAGAATTTGGAGAGTTTCAACTCCCAGAATCCAAGAGACGCCTTCTCTGAGGGCTTCTCCACCTCCCTATTCATAACCCCCATCCTATTGGCTGCCACTTATTCAATGTCCATTTCACTAGACAAGAAATAAGGTCCACGAGCATAAGAAATGTTTCTGACTTGTTTATTGCTGTATCTCCTATACCTAAACCAGGTCTTGTCACTTAGTAGAATAGACATATGGACAATTGAATGAATATGTATTCTCAAATTATAAGGAGAGTTGAAAAAAACTAAAAGTTGTGAAACCTTGGATTTGGCAATTTGACATAAACATGATGTTTGACAGACCAATTTTAGGAATGGTGAAAGCCATAAAACTTATGTCACAAGGTTATTTGAATTAAATGAGCTAATATATATAAATGCCTAGCCTAGTGTCTGGATGTAGTTTGAACTCAATAGATGTTAGATAATTAATATTACTCCCTCTAGCCTTCACTTTCAGAAGCTGTTCTGGTGAACTAATTTGATTTGGTTTTTTGTTTGTTTGTTTTGTTTTGTTTTTGAGACAGGGTCTCACTCAGTCTCCCAGGCTGGAGTGAAATGGCGTGATCTTGGCTCATTGCAACCTCTGCCTTCTAGGCTCAAGCGATTCTCCTGCTTCAGCTTCCTGAGTAGCTGGGACTAGAGGCGTGTACCACCACACCTGGCTAATTTTTTGTATTTTTTTGTAGAGATGGAATTTCGTCATGTTGCCCAGGCTGATCTCGAATTTCTGAGCTCAAGTAATCCACCCACCTCGGCCTCCCAAAGTGCTGGGATTACAAGCATGAGCCACTGCACCCAGCCTGGTGAACTAATTCTTTACAGTGGTATTGTATCTAACAGATTTTGTCACTACCCTTCCAAGATATACTAGAGATGTATTGCCTTAAAAATGACAACTACAAAGCACTGCTTTAATTGATATATAATAGATGTACATAGTTTTGGGGTACATGTGATAATTGAATACATTCATATAATTTGTAGAAACCAAATCAGCATACTTGAGCTACCCATCACCTTAAATATTTGTCTATTTTTTATGTTACGACCATTCAAATTCTGTTCTAGCTATTTTGATCTCGAACTCCTGGCTTCTGGTGATCCATCCGCCTCGGCCTCCCAAAGTGCTGGGATTACAGGTGTGAACCACTGCACCCAGCCCTTTTCTAGCTATTTTGAAATACACAATAGATTACTGGAAACTATAGTCACCCTACTGATCTATTAATATCTAATACTAGGTCTTATGTATTCTGTCAAACCATATATTTGTACCCATTAATCAACTTCTCTTCATCTCCCCTCACCCAACCCTTCCTGGCCTCCAGTAACCACCAATCTACTCTCTATCTTCATAAGATTTGCTTTTTTAGCTCCCACACTAAAAAGTATGGGCATGTGACATTTGTGTTTCTGTGCTTGGTTTATTTCACTTAACACAGTGACCTCCGGTTCCATCTGAATTGCTGCAAGCGACAGGGTTTCATCCTTTTTATGGCAGAATAATATTCCATCGTGTATATGTATTACATTTTCTTTATGCATTCATCTGCTGGTGAGCACTTAGGTTGATTCCCTATTTTGGCAATTGTGAATAGTGCTGCAATACATACAGGAGTGCATATATCTCTTCAATATATTGATTTCCTTTCTTTTAGATATATACCCAGTAGTAGAAATGCTGGATCATATGATAGTTCTATTTTTAGTTTTTTGAGTAATCTCCATACTGTTCTCGATAGTAACTGTATTAATTTACATTCCCACCAGCAGTGTATGAGAGGTCCTCTTTCTCCACATCCCCACCAACATCTGTTATTTCCTGGTTCTTTGATAAAAGCCATTTTTAAATTTTTTTTTTAAATTTTTTGTAGAGATGTGGTCTTACCATGTTGCTCAAGCTGATCTTGAACTCCTGGGCTCAAGTGATCCTCCCACCTCAGCCTCCCGAGTAGCTGGGACTACAGGCATGTGCCACCATGCCTGGCTAATTTTTTACTTTTTTTTTTTTTAGAGACAGAGTCTCACCATGTTGCCCAGGCTGGTCTCCAACTCCTGAACTCAAGGGATCCTCCTGCCGTGACCTTTCAAAGTGCTGGAGATCACAGGCATGAGCCACCAGACTGGCCAAAAAAAGCCATTTTAACTGGGGTGACATGGTATCTCGTCGTTTTGATTTGTATTTCTCTGATGATTAGTGACATTGAACATTTCTTCTTATACAAAGCACTATTTTATGAAATACCTTTTAAAAATCCAGCAAAAGGAGATTTGTCTGTCCAATCTAGCTATGGCCTGGGAGCCTAATAGACTCCCAAGGGACCAGAAGATGAAATGGAATCTCCTTTCCTGTTAGGGAGATTCATAGAACTAAGGCAGCTGTGGCCAGCCTTGGAAATAGGGCTTTGGTATTCTGTTCCTAAAGCCATATCAGTCTAAAGAATGGCTCTGACAAGTGGAGTGGCTCAAAAGACTGGCTCTGTCACTAGGTTTGGGTAAAGAAGAAAGAGGCTGCAGGTAGAAAATGTCCTTGAAGGTGTGAAAACATTGGACTGACAAGCAGGAGGCATAGGTTCCCATTCTGGATGTGCCACTAACTCTATGAACTTGACCAAGGCACTTAACTTATTTGTGTATCAGACTCCTCATTTCAAGAATGATAGGCCTGGACAGGCGTGGTGGCTCACACCTGTAATCCTAGCACTTTAGGAGGCCAAGGCAGATGAATTATTTGAGCCTGGGAGTTCAAGAACAGCCTGGCCAGCATGGCAAAACCCTGTCTCCACAAAAAATACAAAAATTAGCCAGGCATGGTGGTGTGCACCTGTAGTCCCGGATACTTGTGGGCACATGAGATGGGGGGATTGCTTGAGCCTAGAAGGTCAAGGCTGCAGTGAGCTGTGTTCATGCCACTGCACACTGGCCTAGGAGACAGAGTAAGACCTTGTCTCAAAAAAAAAGAATGAGAGGACTGCATGAGCATCAAGGTCTTGGCAGTAGGTTGACTATAAAGAGGGCCACAACTTCTCCCATCGCTGCATGTTTGCTCCCTTTGCGGCATACTTTTGCTTTTTCTCCTATTAAGAAGTAGAATCTATTTCCTGTCTCCTTGAATCTGGGCTAGCCCTGTAACTTGCTTTGACCTACAGATTGTAGTAGAAGTAACATTATGTTTGAGTCTGAGCATTAAGAGATCTTGCAGCTTCCACTGTCATTCCTGCAATGATGCTGTACCCATGTGAACAAGCCTAAACTAGCTTCCTTAAGGATGAAAGATAATGTGGAAAGAGAGGCTCAGCCAACAGCCAGCACCAACCACCAGACATGTGAGTGAGGCCATCTCAGATCATCCAACCCCAGTTGAGTTGCCAGATGACCATAGTCACATGTGTGATTCCTGTAAGACCAGCAGAAGAACCGCTTAGCTGAACTCAACCAAATCACAGACCCATAGAGTTGTGAGCAAATAATATGGTTTCTGCTTTAACCCATTAAGTGGTGATTTGTTACATAGGAATAGGTAACTGATACAGCCCCTTTTATATCTGGTACTCTAGAAACTGATTTTATTACTTTTAAGGTATCAGGCTATATGATCTTTTAGTTGGATAGTAGGGTTTGCTGCAGATAACTGGAACAAAGGTTAAGTGACTGTTTCATTTCCTCCCCTCCTACCTCCAGCTTTGACTTTGAAGGCCTTCTCCTTGCAGTGCTGTTATGTGTGGACTTACTAGAGCTAGAGCTCTGCTGCCTTCCCACCCTGTCAGGACTTGGCTTGGAGTACACTGAGAAAACAAGAAGTGGCTTGCGTGACTCAGTGGTCCTTCCTACTGAGTCATTGAGTTTTCAGTTTCCACTCTCTGCTGGTTCCAGGGGATGTTCATTTGTTCATTTAGTCAGTATCTCTGAGCAGCTGTGGTGAGCATGAGGAAGGGTGTGGTGAGGGGAAGGTCTGGCTTGGAGTGAATGGGTGTCAAGGATCTGAGTAGTAGTTTTGCTCAGAGAGGGGCAAACCCACTGCTCCCTTCTAAGCTTTCCTGTAGCATCTCACACACACACTTCTGGGCTTCCTCAGAGGCGGCTCATTCTTAAGGCACAGAATTTCAGAGCTGAGGGAACTTTTAAGGCCAAGTTAGTCCAATCATTTTTTTAAAAATATGTATGAAAAAACTAAGTTCTGAGAAGTTAAAGAACAGAGGTAGCTTGTGGTAAAATTAGGCCCAGAATTCAGACCTATTAGCTCCAAATTTGGAGCTCTTTTTTTTTTCTTTTCTTTTTTTTTTAGATGGAGTCTCGCACTGCACACCTAGGCTGGAGTGCAGTGGCATGATCTCAGCTCACTGCAACCTCCACCTCCCAGGTTCAAGTGATTCCACTGCCTCAGCCTCCCAAGTAGCTGGGACTACAGGCACATGCTGCCACTCCCAGCTAATTTTCGCATTTTTAGTAGAGACAGGGTCTCAGCATGTTGGCCAGGCTGGTCTTGAACTCCTGGCCTCAGGTGATCTGCCCACCTTGGCCTACCAAAGTGTTGGAATTACAGGCGTGAGCCACTGCACCTGGCCTGGAGTTCTTTCTATTGCATTAAAAGACTCCATCAGGCCAGTCATGGGGCTTACACCTGTTATCTCAGCACTTTGGGAGTCTGAGGCAGGAGGATCGCTTGAGTCCAAAGTTTGAGACCAACCTGGGCAACATAGTAAAACCTCCTCTCTATAAAAAAAAAAATAAAAAAAATTAGCCAGAAATGGTGGCACAGCTGCTTGGGAGGCTGAGGTGAGAGGCTCGCTTGAGCCTGGGAGGTCATGGCTGCAGTGAGCCATGTTTGTGCCACTGCACTCCAGCCTGGGCAACTGAGTGAGACCCTGTCTCAAAAGGAAAAACAAAAACAAAAACAAAAACAAAACTCCCTCCAGGGCCCACACCGTCCTTCCTCCTACTAGTCCTTCCCAGCTTTGTATTTCAGGCATGCAACTAGTTTCCTCTTCTGGTTCAAAGTACAGATATAACCTGAGGAATCTTTCCTTAGATAAATTCCAACCACCAAATGATAGTAGGAATAATAACAACAATATACATTCAAAAAATATTTATCGGCCGGACATGATGGCTCATGCCTGTAATCCTAGCACTTTGAGGCCTAGGCGGGTGGATCACCTGAGGTCAAGAGTTCGAGACCAGCCTGGCCAACATGGTGAAACCCCATCTCTACTAAAAATATGAAAAGTTAGTGGGGCATAGTGGCGTGTGCCTGTAATCCCAGCTACTCGGGAGGCTGAGACAGGGGAATCACTGGAACCCAGGAGGCAGAGGCTGCAGTGAGATGAGATTGTGCCACTGCACTCCAGCCTGGGTGACAAAGCGAGACTCCGTCTCAAAAAAAAAAAAAAAAAAAGAAAAAAAAATTATCAAGCCCCTATTATTTGCCAGGCTCTACCTTAGCTTTTGGCAGAAGAGGAGAGACAAGGAATGAACCTGTGGAGAATATATCTTCTTGAGGAAGGTGGGGCAGACAACACACAAGGAAACAAGATAACCAGAGGTTGCTGTTATAATAAGTAAACAGGAGGATGGGATAGAGATGACTGGGCTGAGGAATGTATGATGAGGAAAGGCCTCTGGAGAAATGACATTTGAGCCGAGCCCCTACTGGCGAGGAACCAATCACTTTTCAAGAAAGGAAGAGCTGGCCGGCCGCGGCAGCTCACGCCTGTAATCTCAGCACTTTGTGAGGCTGAGGCGGGTGGATTACCTGAGGTCAGGAGTTTGAGACCAGCCTGGCCAACCTAGTGAAACCACGTCTCTATTAAAAATACAAAAATTAGTTGGGTGCGGTGGCGGGCACCTGTAATCCCAGCTACTTGGAAGGCTGAGGCAGGAGAATGGCATGAACCCAGGAGGCGGAGGTTGCAGTGAGCCGAGATGGTGCCATTGCACTACAGCCTGGGTGACAGAGCGAGACTCCGTCTCAAAAAAAAAAAAAAAAGAAAAGGAAAAAAAAAGAAAGGAAGAGCTCAAAGGCCCTGGACAAGAACAAACTTATCTTCAACAGGGGAGGCATGTGCTCTCCCTACTATGTATTTGAATGGGCGCATGGAGGGTTCTAAGTGATATGACAGCTTTACATTCTTGAAAATATCAATCAGCTGCTTGGATAGAAAATGGATGTTGAGGGTTGAGAGTGAAATTGAGAAGGTGGTTTATTGAATACCAACTACATGTGGGGTATTTTGTATGATTCAGCTCTACTCCTCTCAACACTCCAAAGTGGATCTTTTATGCCCGTTGTTTTATGAACAAGGAAGTGGAAACTAGAAGGGATCAAGGAACTCGCCCAAGACCAAAGAGCCGAGTCTGAACCTAAGACCATCTGACCCTTCCCCATGTAGCTCACAGCCTCCCTAAGATGATCATCCCACCCCTGTGCTAATACATTTTCTGTTTATCATCATTTTTTTTTAGATGGAATCTTGCTCTGTTACCCAGGCTGGAGTGCAGCGGCACAATCTTGGGTCACTGCAACCTCTGCCTCCCAGGTTCAAGCGATTCTCCTGCCTCAGCCTCCCAAGTAGCTGGGATTACAAGCATGTGCCACCACACCTGACTAATTTTTGTACTTTTAGTAGAGATAGGGTTTTACTATGTTGACCAGGCTGGTCTTGAGCTCCTGGCCTCGAGTAATCCACATGCCTCAGCCTCCCAAAGTGCTGGCATTACAGGTGTGAGCCACCGTGCCCAGCCTATCATCATATTTTGAATCATGACATTTTATATCTGAAAGCTATAGATTAGCAGTTCCTTGAAGGCAAGATTCATGTCTACTAATCTTGCCTGTGGCACGGTCCCTTACACATAGTAGGTGCTAAGGCAATATGTGATGAATGCATGAATGAATAAGTGAATGGGTTTCAGTCATGAGAGATTTTCTGAACCACCCCTTGCCTCGGGCCTACTATTTTCAAGAGAGTAGGTGAAGTGTTTTTCCCAAAATCACACGGCAGGGTTTGAACAAGAGCCTAAGATAGTGAATCTGTGCTTCTCTTCATCATACCACTCTGCTCCAAATTATATGTTTAAGGCAGATTTCTTGTTTCCATGTTAGTTTGGTAAACTCAAAGTCAGGCATGGTGTCTATTTTGTACCACGTCATGTTGGTTGTATGTGGAGCCTACAGGGAGGTTCAACCTGGGGGCTTGGAAGCAAGTTTTCTCTCTGAAAATGAAATTAAACAAATTGAGTCTGTATGTGATGGGAAAAAACAGATGCCTTTTAGGTCTCCTGGAATAGCTACTTCACTGGAGTTTAATTTCTGAAGAAAGAACATTTGGATAGAATAGGCATGGTCAGGAAAGAAGGACAAAGAGAAAGGCCATCTTCGGCTTAATTGTCCGACAGAATGAAAAATGGGGGGTGGGAGCTTTCTGCTTTTCAGAGAGGACCCTCTCAGATGGGGCAGGACCGGTTGGTTCATTAAGCCTCATTATAGTCTGAAAGAAACAGCCCTTAAGATGCTCACCTCAAGGTGCTTTCATTGTTGATCATTGTATTAGTCCATTTTCATGCTGCTGATAAAGACATACCTGAGACTGGGTAAATGATAAAGAAAAAGAGATTTAATGGACTCACAGTTCCACGTGGCTGAAGAGGCCTCAGAATCATGGCAGAAGGTGAAAGGCACATCTTACATGGCAGCAGGCAAGAGAAAATGAGAGCCAAGTGAAAGGGGTTTCCCCTTATAAGACCGTCAGATCTCATGAGACTTATACATTACCACGAGAACAGCATGGGGAAAATCGCTTCCATGATTCAATTATCTCCCACCTGGTTCCTCCCATAACATGTGGGAATTATGAGAACTACAATTCAAGATGAGATTTGGGTGGGGACACAGACAAACCATGTCAATCATGAAGGAACAAATTCTCCAAGGTTAGGCTGGGTTCCTGGTTACCTTGGAGGATCCTCTGAACAGGACAGGAGCTGCAGGCATTTCAGTCACTTTGAGAAAGAAACGTTTTCCTTTTACTCCGGAGTGAATTCACTTGCAGATGTTCTAAGAAAATTGTGTCACTGGCTGGGCGCGGTGGCTCACACCTGTAATCTCAGCACTTTGGGAGGCCAAGGCTGGTGGATCACGAGATCAGGAGATCAAGACCATCCTGGCCAACATGGTGAAACCCCGTCTCTACTAAAAATACAAAAATTAGCTGGGTGTGGTGAAGCGTGCCTGTAATCCCAGCTATTCAGGAGGCTGAGGCAGGAGAATCGCTTGAACCAGGGAGTTGGAAGTTGCAGGGAGCTGAGATTGAGCCACTGCAATCCAGCCTGGTGACAGAGTGAGACTCTGTCTCAAAAAAATAAAAAAGAAAGAAAACTGTGTCACCAAGAATCTGGTCTTCCTTGGGTGGGCCTTCTCAAAGTTGAGAAAGGCTCAGGTCTCTGCCGTGTTTGGTGTATATCAAAAATTGAACAAGTGCTAAAAGATGGTTTTAAAATTTGTGATGTATTTTCAGTGTTTATCTTGAACCAATGGATGCATTTAACATGCAAAATGCAATGTGATATTATTGTGCTAGTGACAATATAATTGCAGGACCTACAAAAATATTAGTGAATTTCAAGCAGTGTGATTGGAGGATGGTATGTAAGTTTAAAGATGTGTGATGAAAGCCTTCTAGTAATAGTCTTATTTAAATTTATTTATTTTATTATTTTTTTCTGTGGCATGATCACAGCTCACTGCAGCCTTCACACCCCAAGCTGAAGCGATCCTCCCAGATAGATACTCCCTCAGGCTCCCGAGTAGCTGAGACTACAGGCATGCACCACCATGCCTGGTTAGTTTTTTGTTTTTTGTAGAGATGAATCTTGCTATGCTGCCCAGGCTGGTCCTCATCTAGGCTTAAGCAAGCCTCAGCATCCCAAAATGCTGGGATTACAGGCATGAACCACCAAACCCAGCTTGCCTTCTACTTTCAATCTTGCCAGGCAATCTCTGTAACTGCATGAACGAGACCATTTGGAGACGGCTTCAGAGATAAATAAGAGGCCTTGTGTGGTAAGGCCCAAGGCCAAGTGACCATGCTCAGAGGTACTGGTCCATTCAACTTTCTGAACCAGTAAGCTAGGGCTCAGACTGTCACCAAGGTGATGCTATCCACGGGCCATCAGTCAAATCAGGCTTCCCTCGGTGACACCCCGACCTTGTTGCATGACCCCTTCGAAAGATCACACCCTCTTGAATCTGGCTGTTAATTACACAGAAAAAATAAAAAGATCACAGCCCACCCTGTTATGTGTAGCAGCCAGCTATGGACACAGGGAGCGCTGCTCAAGGAACTTATTGCCTGAGTGGCTGATAAGTCAAGACAGTGATAAAGTATCTTTTGAACATTCTTAGCTACAGAAGACAGAAGTGAGAACCTTCCCGGTGAGATGGTAGATGATGTGAAAGTGTTGGGCATATTAGGAAGGACACTGAATCACACACAGCAGTCACCTCCTCTTCCTTTTCTCCCATTCAGCCTCATCTGGCTTCTGGGATCCCCCGTCTTCCCAGGACTTCTCCCACCACTACTCTTCAATTTCTAGCTTGTCAAATTGTGGCTCTTAAACCATTTGTGGGTTACGAAATCAAATTGGTGTGTTGCAACCAACATTTTCTAAACAAATGAAATAGAATAGAAAGTACTCAAATTGTAAATGTTTTCTGTTAAAAACAAAGTTTTAAAACTGTTTTGTTTTGTTTATTTGAGATGGAGTCTCACTCTGTCGCCCAGGCTGGAGTGCAGTGGTGCGATCTTGGCTCCCTGCAACCACGGTTCAAGTGATTCTTGTGCCTCAGCCTCCAGAGTAGCTGGGATTACAGATGCGCGCCAGCATGCCCAGCTAATTTTTGTAGAGACGGGGTTTTCACCATGTTGGCTAGGCTGATCTCAAACTCCTGACCTCAAGTGATCCACCCACCGCAGCCTCCCAAAGTGCTGGAATTACAGGCGTCAGCCACTGCGCCCGGACTTGTTTTCTTAATATTAGTTGTTTTTTGTTTGTTTGTTTTAACTAATAAAACACATAGTATATGTTTCAAAAAAAAAAAAAAAAGGAAATGGCTGATTGCAGTGGCTTAGTGCACCTGTAATCCCAGCACTCTGGGAGGCCAAGGCGCAAGGATTGTCTGAGCCCAGGAGTTCACGGCCAGCCTGGGCAACATAGCGATACCTCGTCTCTATTTTTAAAAAATATATTAGCTGAGCATGATGGCACATGCCTGTAGTCCCAGCTACTTGGGAGGCTGAAGCAGGAGCATTGCTTGAGCCTAGGAGTTCGAGGCTGTAGTGAGCCGAGATCGAGCCACTAAACTCACTCTGCACTGTGACAGAGTGAGACCCTCTCTCAAAAAAACAACACAAAAGAGTAAAAAACAAAACAAAACAAAACAAAAAAACCAAACTATTATTTTGTGTAACTTGTTCCAGTTCCACATATGTGTGCATTGGGTTTAGATGTAAACTTCATTTCCTACTGTGAGTTGCAGATAACCTTTTCAATCCACTGCTGTAGATGGCTGATTAAAATGCCCCAGCCTTCTGCAAAGCCTATTCTGTGACCACGTGCTTCCTAAGCAGAACTGCTATGAATAACTGTGACAGGAGGTGACTACTATTGAGAGGTGAAGCCAGCTGGACTTCCTGGGTCCAGTGGAGACTTGGAGAACTTTTCTGTCTTACAGCAGGATTGTAAAATGCACCAATCTGTGCTCTGTAAAAATGCACCAATCAGCACTCCGTAGCTAGCAAGAGGATTGTAAAATGCACCAGTCAGCACTCTGTAAAATGCACCAATCAGCGCTCTGTAAAACACACCAATCAGCAGGATCTTAAAGGTAGTCAGTTGCAGGCAGGATTGAAAAAAGGGCACTCTGGCACTCTGATAGGACAAAAACTGAATGTGGGAGGGGACAAATAAGGGAATAAAAGCTAGCCACCTCAGCCAGCAGCGGCAACCCACTAGGGTCCCCTCCCACACTGTGGAAGCTTTGTTCTGTCACTCTTTACAATAAATCTTCCTGCTGCTCACTCTTTGGGTCCATGCCACCTTTAAGAGCTATAACACTCACTGCGAAGGTCCGCAGCTTCATTCTTGAAGTCAGCGAGACCACGAACCCACTGGTAGGAACCAACTCTGAACACACTGGCATCTGAATGTTTGTGTTCCCCAAAAATTCATATGTTGAAATTCTAACCCCCAAGGTGATGGTATTGGGAGAGAGGTTTTCAGGGGTGATTAGGTTATGAGAATAAAGCCCTCATGAATGGGGTTAGTACCTTAGGAAAGGGGCCTAGACCCCTCACTCCTTCTGCCGTGTGAGGACACAGCAGGAAGGTGCCATCTATGAACCAGAAATTGGGCCTCCACCAGACACCAAGTCTGTCAGCACCTTGATCTTGGACTTCCTAGACTCCAGAACCATAAGAAACAAATGTCTGGTGTTGAATTAAGCCACCCAGTTTATGGTATTTTGTGATAGCAGCCCCAACAGACTAAGACAGCGACCTAAAGCAGAGAACCACCCAGGACCTTCTCAGCATGTCAGAGTCTTAGACACACTCTAGTCCAAGCCCTCAGCACACAGTTTTATAGGCAAAGAGGCTGAATCTCAGGTGATTCAAGTTCATGGTAGAACCAGGAGTCCGATCCAGTTTCCCTGACTCTGCTTTCTGAGTGCTTCTCTTTATTTTCTTGTGGTCCTCTATTGTCATACAGCAAAGAATAGCGGAAAGGATTTGGATTTAGATCAGAAAACCTGGATTTTAGTTCCAACTCCATCACTTGTTAACCGTGTGACCTTGAGCCCATAAATCTCTTAACATCTCTGTTCGTCACTTGTATCAAACATAAAACGGGATTAATAATATCAGGGATCAATGGCTTAATCTATTTAATGGCACTTTTTTAGACTGTGGCATTATATGTATTTTCTAATAATTATTTTTTCTCCTTAAGTATCCATGGCATTTATTCAAGAAATGTGTATTGCTGTGGAGAGAAAGGGGTATGAGTGGATTACCAAGTCTCACCCTCCTAAGAGTATCCAGTGTCATGATGCTTCCAGGAAGAGATGCTTCCAGGGAGAGGATGCTTCTTTTCCTTTCACCCCAGTACCTGCTTCTAACCTCAGTACCCTCACAGTGGCCTACAGAAGTCACTCAATTTAAAGCGAATTCAATAGCATGACAGATTTTACCTCCAAACCACCATGTATGGCTCCCAAAAACAGCCTGCAGAACAGCGTTTCTCTTCTCTCCCATCTTGGGTTACATTGGTAGCTAAATCGGCCTGTGGGTACACATGAGGCCCTAAGACCACAGATGCCCCAGTTAGGACATTGTTCAATCTCTCCCTGCTCATATGGAAATTCAATACCCACTCCTTACCATCAACACTCTTCTCCAGTTGTTTCTCAAGAGTGCCAAGGTGGGGTCTCACACGACCTGGCTGGGGTTTTAGGAGCCCAATAAATGGTTTCCCTCTTCCCTGTCCAATTTCAGAATCAATTGAGAGGTATACCCAGGAGCCAGACTGATGGAGATCAAAATGATAGTCTTATGAGACAAAAGCTAAATTGGATGATACCCTTCCAACTGCAGGCACAATGGGTTCGTTTGTCATTTTGCCCCCAAGACCGAGTTTGCCTACCTAGGCTAAGCCAAAAGACTGCAGGCATCCCCCTAGCAGGGAGAACTGAGACCATGTGTTCCTGAGACAAGCTGGCTCCGAAAGAGGAGAGAGGAGGAAGCTGAGCCAAGCATGCCAGTTTCTTCTCCTAAACTTGCCAGTTAGAGAACCTACCTCTGCCGTTCCTACTGGAAATGCCTCCAGACAGAGACAGGAGGGAATAAGGGGTCAGGGGGCTGGGGAATCCTACATTTCCAGAACATGTTTGTTCATATTCTGTGCTTTCTGGCTTCCTCATTTGGGGCCCCCCCTCATGCCTGCAGGGACCATCAGGTTCCATGCCAATGTGGAGAAAATGCCCTCTTCATCTCTGTGCTGGCCCCCAAAGGGAAGACATGCCTGTGTTCAGAATTTCCTGAAGTTTCACAGGAAACAGCTTCTTTTTCTTGATTTTTTACCGCAACTCCCCTTTGGCTCCAGCCTTCCCAGACAAAGCCTATCAACCCATGCAAATAGATTCTTGAGGAGAAGGAATTTTACGCTTGTGCCTTGGAGCTTCTACTTGTTCTGAAGACCCTACTCTACAATCATCCTTGCACTTAGTGTCATGGTCCTGGTCTTCCCTTTGCTGCTCTCAAATTATTTTTAGGGATTTTTAAAAAATGTGATCATGAATCTCCAATGACTTAGCTTTTTCCACCCTTAAGGAGTTGGTCTTGAAAGGCCCGACCACCTCTTCCCCATCTTTGCCATCAATGCACAGCGTGACATCCTGCCCTTCACAGTATTTCCTGAGCTTCCTGTAACTGTCTGATGCTGCCCGATTTAAAAAAAAAAAAGACTGCAGTTTCCTACAAAGCCTTGTCCAACACCTTCTAGGATCAAAACAAAAGATAAAATACTTGATTTTCTTGATCTACACGTTTAAAATCCAAAACAGTTGTTTGCACAGGAACTCTGGGCATCATTGAAAGGGAAAGGGCCAAAGACCATTTGTACCTTTCTGAGCATGTCAGATTTATAGCATGTACGAAGTGATTTTGACCGGCAGCTGGTTGGTACACATTCTCATTTGTATTCATCCTGAAAACTATGGCAATGTCTCACCGTTTCAGGAGTTGTGACACTTTACCACTACATATTTACCCTCCCTTCCTTTCTAAAGGTACGATGTGGATTCAGGGTGGGTGTGAGGGTACAGGGTGTTACTGAATTTCGATCATTTTTTAAATTTAAAACTCTGAAGCTTGGAATCAGTTTTAATTCCCCCCGAATGTCATTAATTCTTCTTCTTCATGATTGTTCACATATCTCAATTAGTATGGTATAACATCATTTACAAAACTGTATTTTACATCATTTCTTCTATTATGGACTGATTGATTCAACAAAAATTTTTAGCACTTTCTTGGCAGGTGTTAGGGATATAGAGACGGGAATGCATAGTGGAGCGAGTCATAGAAATAAGTCTAAGCTGTAAAGTTCAAACACGGTTCTGTGGGGGATGTAGGAGAAATGGGCCATACATTTCATCTGGTGAATCTTGGAAGACTTCTTGGAGGAGCTGAGGTTTAAGCCATGTCTAAAGAATGAGTAAGACATTTACAAGGGTTTCATGAAGAGAGAGGGTGTCTGGATGGAAATATGGAGACATAGAGTTTCCTGGGCTCAACCTCAGACTCCAAGAGGTGAGGTCCTGGAGCACATGGTTCTGATGTGTAACCAGGGTTGGGAACCAGCAGACAAAGGCTCAAGTCTGTTCAGAGACCAGATTGCAGAGAAAATCTTGAAATGCCATCTCAGTGTCTGGGACAGTGAGCACCAGCTATTCTCCACCTCTTTGGAAGACCGAATAAGGGGAATTAAATGAAGCATGAGCGTTTGGTTTTCTTTGAAGCTGAGGTTCCTGGACGTGAAGTGCATTAAAGACACGTAAGATTTTTACGTGATGTGGCAAGCAAGGGCCTTGTCTGGAATGAGAAAGAAAATGCAGTTAAAAATCCAAACCAAAAAACAGCACAGAATCTCTTTTGCCTACACCAGCAGTTGACAAACTTTTTCTATAAAGAGCCAGAAAGTAAATATCTTCAGCTTTATGGGCCATATGGTCTCTGTCACAACTACTCAAGCATGCTGTTATAGTGCAAAAACAGTGTTAGACAATATGTAAATAAATGAATGTGGCTGTGTTCCAATAAAACTTTACTTAGGGACACTAAATTTGGATTTCACATAATTTTCACATGTTACAAAATATTATCCTTCTTTTGGCTTGTTTTCAAACATTTAAAAATGTAGATTCTTATTACTCACAATGGCCAAGAGGTAGAAGCAACCCAAATGTCCAAAACAAATGAATGGATAAATAAAATGTGGTATGCACAAACAATGGGATAGTATCTAGTTCTAAAAAGGAAGGAAGGCCAGGTGCAGTGGCTCATGCCTGTAATCCCAGCACTTAGGGAGGATGAGGTGGGAGGATTGCTTGTGTCTAAGAGTTCAAGACCAGCCTGGGCAACATAGCAAGATGCCATCTCTACAAAAAATAAAAAATTAGCCAGGTGTGGTGGTGGGCACCTGTAGTCCCATTTACTTGGGAGGTGGAGGAGGGACGATCACTTGAGCCTGGGAGGTCGAGGCTGCAGTGAGCTGTGATCATGCCACTGCAGTACTGCCTGGGTGACAGAGCAAGACCCTGTCTCAATAATAATAATAATAATCATAATAAAATAAAAAGAAAGGAAATCCTGTCGCATGATCAATACGGATGATCACTGAGGACATTATGCTAAGTGAAATAAGCCAGTCACAAAAAGATAAATATTGTACAATTCCATTTATGCAAAGTATCTAGTCAAACTCATAGAAACAAAAAGTAGAATGATGGTTGCCAAGGGCTGGGGAAGGGAAAGATGGGGGCTCGTGTTTAATGGGGATAGAGTTTCAGTTTCATAAGATGAAAAAATTCTGGAGGTGAGCTTCACAACCACATGAATCTACTTAACGCTACAGAATTAATTATACACTTAAAAATAGGACGGTAAATTTGATTTTTTTTAACCACAATTAAAAATAAAAAAGAAAAGGCAAATACTTCTTCACTCAAAAGTCATACAGAAACAGGCAGTGGGTTCTGTGGACTGACTGCAGTTTGCCAAGCTCTGCCCCATGAGTGGCCTGTGTGAGGGCAAAAAAGACGGTCCAAGTCAATATTTCTCAAATGTCCCTCTGAAATACCTCTAACAACACAAAAGGGAGACCGCAGACTCCAACAGGGGGCTGCCTACAAGTCTATACAACTCTTTTAAATACGCTTTTAAATGAACATTTAAGAATCTTAGTCCATAACACGTTATTTTAATGTAAAATTGGCATTCAGTGGAAACATCAGTAAAAACTGACACTTGTTCCAGCCCAGAGAAGGTGAGTGATTTAGTCAAGGTCCCATAGTTAGAACAAGTCAGGTATGGGACTGGATTCCCAAATTCCTGATTCCAAATGTACACATTCCACCAGAGTGGGCTGTCTTACCATCAGGCTTTGGCTGTTCATTCCCAGCCCTACCTCCTAGCCCCCCAGTATTGAAGCAGTCTTCGAAGGTAGTGATGGCAAACCCTTTTGAGCTTCTATCAGAAATTCAGCAATTCATAAGCTTCGAACATTATTTATTCCGCTTGGTTTACTGTAAATTTTAGTTTGGTTTATTGTAAAACTAATTTTCTTCTCCCGCTCTGTTTTCTCATCCATCTGTAATTTTTTTCTTTACTTTTGATAGCATCCCATTCTGTTATACGTTGTAGGATGTTGAAGTGTAGAAGTGGGAGTGTGTCAGTCCTAAGCAGAGGTTTTAAGAAGCATCACGTTTCCACTCACCCCCACTTGAGCTCCAACTCTCCTTGAGAACCACGTCTGAAGTGGTGTCTGTTCCTTTAGCCTGGTCCTAGAAATGAGAAGCCGACATGCATTCAGCCTGCAGACTGGAGCCAAGCCCAGCCAAGCCCAGCCAACCTAGACTCACTTGTTGCCATAAGCTACTAAGTTTTGGAGTTGTTTGTTACGTGATATTATCCCAGCAGAAGCTGACTAAAACACCCCTTCTTTTGGAACCAGGCTTTGATGAATATTATTATTTTTTGAGACTTAGCCCTCTTCCATTCTTCATACTGCCTCTCCCTGACCCTGCCTGTGTACCTTCCAGAACATCACTATCTCTCATTCCTCAAACACACAGATTTTGCGTATCATCTCTGGTGGAATCTCAGCTGTTCTTTTTAAAGCTGAGAGAGTCTCACTTGTTTCTTGGCCAGCCAAAATATATGACCCTGGGCTCTGTCACTTGCTATAAAGGGCTCCTAAAGAACTCTTACTTGAAATCTTCTCAGTCCTAACTCCTCGCTGTTTTAAAACAAAAGCATAGAAAGCGGAGTGTGGATCATGCAATAGCAGATACCACATCTTTTGGCTGCTTTTTTTTTTTTTTTTTTTTTTTCTTGAGACAGGGTCTCGCTCTGTTGCCCAGGCTGGAATGCAGTGGTGTGACCACGGCTCACTGCAGCCTAGACCTCCTGAGCTCTGGTGATCCTCCCACCTCAGCTTCCTGAGTAGCTGGGGTAGTTGGGGTCACAGACATGCACCACCATGCCTGGCTGATTTTTGTATTTTTTTGTAGAGAGATGGAGTTTCGCCATGTTGCCCAGGCGGGTCTTGAACTCCTGGGTTCAAGTGATTCGCCTGCTGCGGCCTCCCAAAATGCTGGGATTATAGGCATGAGCCACCTCCCCTGGCCTTGGCTGCTTTTTGATAGTGGGAAGGAAAGCATGGAAAACAAATAGCAGCTTTCTCTTAGAATGCAAAGAACAGAAGCTGCCGACACCTGAAAATAAAAGCTATGCCCTGTGCTTTGAGGAAGACCAGAGTCAGCTCTGAATCACCCATGCATGTGAGGAGCTGAGAGTAGTCGTGTGGACAATCCAAAATACCAGAGAAACTTATCAGGATTTCATATGGGCTGGGAAACCCTAAAGCTGCCCAAAAGTGTGTCAGAAGTGTTTTAGATGAGGTATTTCTTCAAAACAATAAAACTGGTTGACAAAAACATGCTCCCTTACATGTTAGGATTCTACAAAGATTTATTGTGCAAAAATAAAAGCATAAAAATCACTGAATTAAAATGTTTGGCTTTGAATATACTTTTTTTAAAAAACAGACTTCATATACTTCATATGTTTGTGTATGTATTTTTTATTTTTTTAAGAAACAGGGTTGAACAGGTGCGCTGGCTCACACATGTAATCCCAGCACTTTGGGAGGCCGAGGTGGGCAGATCACGAGGTCAGGGGTTCGAGACCAGCCTGACCAACATGGTGAAACCCCGTCTCTACTAAAAATACAAAAATTAGCCAGGCATGGTGGTGCGTGTCTGTAATCCGAGCTACTCAGGAGGCTGAGGCAGGAGAATTGCTTGAACCCGGGAGGTGGAGGTTGCAGTGAGCAGAGATCGCACCATTGTGCTCCAGCCTGGGTGACAGAGTGAGATTCTGTCTCAAAAAAAAAAAAAAAAAAAAAAGAGAAAAAGAAACAGGGTCTCACTTTGTTGCCCAGGCTGGAGTGTGAACTCTTGGGCTCAAGCGATCCTCCTGCCTTGGCCTCCTGAGTAGCTGGTATTATAGGTGAGAGTAGTATCACCACACCTGGCCCCTAGACTATTTTTCACTATTTTTTTTAAGTGATTTATTTTTTTAAATTTTTTTGAGACACAATTTCACTCTGTCACCCAGGCTGGAGTGCAGTGGCTTGATCTTGGCTCACTGCAAACTCCACATCCCAGGTTCAAGCAATTCTCGTGCCTCAGCCTCCTGAGTAGCTGGAATTACAGGCATCTGCCACCATACCTGGCTAAGTTTTGTATTATTAGTAGAGATGGGGGTTCACCATGTTGACCAGGCTGGTCTCGAACTTCTGACCTCAGGTGATCCATCCACCTCGGCCTCCCAAAGTGTTGGGATTACAGGCGTGAGCCACTATGCCCAACCCTAAAGTGATTTTAGACTCACAGCAAAACTGAGAAGGAGGCACAGCGGTTTCCCATATACCTCCTGCCCTGACACGTGTACAGCTTCCCCAATCATCAACATCCCCCACCAGAGTGGTACCTTTGTTGTAATTGAATCTACATTGACACATCACTATCACCCAAAGTCCATGGTTTACATTAGAGTTCATTCTTGGTGTTGTATATTCTGTGGGTCTTAACAAATGTGTCCACCATTATAGTATCATACCGAGTAGTAGTTTCCTTGCCCTCTGTGCTCCTCCTGTCCACCCCTCCCTCCCTGCTAACCCCTGACAACCACTGATCTTTTGTACTATCTCCATAGTGCCTTTTACAAAATGTCATATAGTTTGGAATCATACAGAACATAGCCTTTTCAGACCGGTTTCTTTCAGGCATATATCTCCTAAAGCAAAGCAACATGAGTTCTTAACTGTGTGGATTTTTTTTTTTTCCCTGAGGATAATAAGTTTACATTCTCTCAGTCCAACAGCTGGATCATATAGGGACACCATAGGTGTTCTACTGAGTGACAGAAGAAGATGACTGGGGATTAAAACAATAATACCCTAATTGGAAAATTAGCTGTGGGAAATCAGGGGTTGATAAGCAGCCCTCTTTTCCATATCTTCTCCTTCTGCCCCACTCTCCTACCGTGCCCCCACCCTACACCCCACGGGTTTCCCACTCCTTCTCAGAGGTCTGGAGGGCATTCTCCCACCCTTTCCAGTGGACTACCCACAGGAGCCCTGAAGCAAATGCCCGAAGGAAATTCCTATCACCTGTGTGCTCTGATAGGCACTTGGAGCTGGGATGTGGTACTAATCAGTAAAACATACCCCGTGCCCTTTAGCAGCTCACAGTTGATGGCAGTGAGAAATTTGTAAACAAAATAATCTTTCAGGAGAGACTGCAAAACTAGAAACAAACGTAGTGGAGGAACTCTTAGAATGTGGTCCTTTTGAAAGGACTCACACCCGGCCCCCAGAGAATCTGACTTAATTGGCCTGGGTTGAGTATATTGTTGGAGAGTGTCAAAACACTCCCCAGGTGATTCTGACATTAGCCGGGGCCCGGAACCACCCCCGACCTACTGAATCTGGGACTCCAGGAGAGGCCCAGCCACTAGTGGTTTAACAAGCCCCTTGGGTCAAGTTTGAAAACCAGGGGTCTGGGCTGCTAAGTGGCGGCATGGGAATGGAAGGTTCTGGAAGGTGAGCAGTGAGGTTGGGGCGCAGGCCTGGGAAGGGAGAGGCTCTTCAACAGCCATCCCCCCCAACCTTGTCTCAGCCTAGGGCAATGGGCAGGCTCTCCCATCAGAGCCTGGCCTGAGCCCTCAGAGGCAGGACCTCCTTGAGGGATGTGGAGGTGTGAAGACCAGTTCTGAGACCACAGAGGCTCCCTTCAAGCCTCAGTCTCTGACCCTGCGGGCATTATTTCCATGACTTCCAGTGTTGTGGCTCCTTATCCTTTCCCCACAGGCTCGCCCCCCAACTGAGGGCTGGCTTTTTTATTTTTTTGAGACGGAGTTTCGCTGGTTGCCCAGGTTGGAGTGCAATGGGGCGATCTCAGCTCACTGCAACCTCTGCCTCCCAGGTTCAAGCGATTCTCTCGCCTCAGCCTGCCAAGTAGCTGGGATTATAGGGACCCACCACCACACCTGGCTGTTTTTGTTGTTGTTGTTTTGGTATTTTTAGTACAGACGGGGATTCGCCGTGTTGGCCAGGCTGGTCTCGAACTCCTGACCTTAGGTGATCCATCCGCCTTGGCCTCCCAAAGTGCTCAGATTACAGGCGTGAGCCAGCACGCCCGGCCGAGGGCTGGCTTTTAAAACACCGAAAACCCAGACAGGAACGGTGTCCATCTCCAACCCCAGACGGAAACTGTGCCCGCACCCACAAGAAAAGCAGTCCTTTGCCCAGAGCAACCAAACCCTGAACCCCACTCTCGATTCCCCTCTGCCCCCCAACTCTTCCATCCCAGCGGATGGGAAACAGCGAGTCCAGCCGCCTCCCCACCTCGGGACCCCCCTCCCGGGCCAACTGCGCAGGGCACGACCCCGTCGTGGTGCCCCGCGCGCTCGACCCCCAGGGGTTGAGGTGAGGAGGGATCCCCGGTGTCCCGGGAAGCGCGGCGGCTTCTGCGGGTTGCGGGCGGACCCCCCTCCCCGTGGGGAGGGGCTGCGGCCGCGCGGAGTCGCCGCGGGTCGGAGGCTCCTCCCCGGGGTGGCCGCGCAGGAAGCGGGGCGGGTGGGGGCGGTGCGGGGCGCGCACGGGGCCGGGGCGGCGGGGGAGGCGCGGGCCTGGGCGGCCAGCCCCGGCGCACAGCCGCGGCCGGGGCGCGCGGCGCGGGGCGGAAAAGCCTGTTTACACAGACTGCACACCGCCTGGGGAATAATGCAGTAAAGGAAGTGAGCCGGCTCGGCCTGACTGCTCCAACTTCCTGCTCTCACACACACCAGAGGGGAAAAAAAAAGAGGAGCGAGAGAAAGAAAAAAAGGGGGAAAAATCAGGATCTCATTACAAGAGCCACAGACCGTCTGCAGACGCCTGTCAGCATGGAAAGTCGGGGGCTTTCGCCCGGGTCCTCCTAGAAATTCCCCCCGAAGAAGACTCCCCCACATCTGGGTAGGTAACAGGGCTTCTGCCTGTTGCTCGGACACTTAAAAAGTTTGTTTGGGGGTGTTTTCTTTTTTTCTTTCTTTTCTTGGGCGCGGTGGGGGTGGGGCGGGGGGCGCCGCGGGGTGGGCTGCGGGCCGGGGTGGGGGTGGCGGTGCGTCCGCGCGGGAGGGCCGGCCGCGGGGAGGGGGCGCCGCGGATGCTCCTGCGCCCGCGTCGCTGCCACCGCCGTCGCCCGAGCTCGCGCCGGGCCCGGGGCTGCGGGGACCCTGCGCCCGCGGCTCCCCTCCCTGGGGCTGCGCTGCGACCCCAGAGGAAGGGGCGCCGGGCGTGCAACCCTGGGAGCTCGCCCAGGGCCCCGCTGCAGGCAGCGCGGGGAGCGGGGGACGGCGAGACTTCGGGTCCCTGGGAAGAACCGTGGCAGGAGCAGGCTGAGTGCCTGGAGGCTGGACCACCGCCGACCTTCCAGCTGGGACCGCAGTCAGGCTCCCCTCGAGTGGGCAAAGTGCACTGGTGCTCGGATCCAGGGAGGAAGACAGGGATGGAGAGGGCGGTGGAGGACATGGGTCGCGAAGGTGTGGGGCTGGGGGCTGCGTCCACTCTCGCTTGGCAGGTGACCCCCGCCCAGGTCACCGCCCCAGGCGCACGCCCCATCGGACATTTAAAAGCCGGTGGTCTCTATTGGGCATGGTTTTGGAGAAGGACCAGGCAAGAAATGATCTTGGGGCCCCTTCCACTCCCCATCCCTGTTTACCTTCGAACTCAACGTTGGCCTGTGACGCTACTGTAACTTTTGGGGAGGCGGGATTAAGATTTTGGAGTAGTTAAAAAGCAAAAATAAAAGGTCTTGGTTTTGTTATCTTTTCTGAACCGAATCATCCTAGGGACAAGCTGCAGTTAGGCGGCGGGTGGAGGTGGAAGCAAGAAATGTTATTTCAGAAACTGCAAAAGGGGCTTTTTAGAAAGAAAAAAAAACGAGTGTCGGGAGAGTTTCTGGCTTGTCTGGAAACGGCAAGACTAATTGCCATGCGCTTCCGCTTTGAAACTGGCAGCAGACAGCATCTTGAAAATGACTCACTAGAGGAGCTCACAAAGAAACTGTGGTTTGCTCCTTCTTAGGTTTATGTATTTGTGCCTTTTACAGTTTCCTTTGTAGTGTTCGAGGGGTCCCCCGCCCCTTCCCCGCCAGCCCCCTCCCACCCTCCCTCATTTGAAAGCCCCTGGCCGGTCTTTAACTACCCCCACCCCAGTCCTCCAGCCTGGGGGTGGCGGGGAAAGGGGAGGCTGAGTTGTTTTTGGAGTTGGCTGCGGAGAGGGTTAAAGGGATTCTGCTGCTGCAGGGGGAAAAAGTTCCTTGAATTTTCCACTGGCTGCTGCAGGAAGAGAGAGCCCCCTTAGTCATTGCTAAGTAATGTCTGCACACACACCAACTAATCTCATTAGGAGTTTCCGCTGCTCGGCACAGGAGGGGTTTTGTGCAGCCACTGTCAGCCTGGGAGCCCGGCGCTGGGGAAGGAGACAAGTTATGGCTTTATTTACTTAGGGGTGCAGCCGCCCAACGAGCCTTTTCAGGACATGTCTTGAAAACTTTGAAGTCACTTTGGCCATTTTGGATTTCAGATTTGCAGGTTTTTCTTTCCCGCGTGTGTATGTGTGTTGAGAGGTGGGGGGAGATAAGCAGCTCACACACACCCATCTTCTCCATCTGTGCTTGTCTTTGGGGGTGGGGGGGGTGTGGAGCATGTTCCAGGCATCTATTCATGAGCCGAAATCGATTTGTGAGCCTTACAAAATACCCTCTGATCTCTTTTTCTTTCTCTCTCGCCATGGCACCCATTTATTTGGAAAAGGTCAGTTAGGAGTTTCAATTTATGAGGATGATAAAATTACAAATTGTGTTAGGAGGGCACATGGGTCAGGCAGTTAAGGAGACTGTCCATAAGTGTTCTTAGAGTTTCCAGTAATGATCCTGCCTAGAAACCCCCCTGAGTTTGAAAAGTGATGGCCTTTCTATGCCAAATATAGCAAAGGCCTTCTGCCCTCTAAAAGTGTTTTTTTTTTTTTTTTTTTTTAATTTAAATGTTGCGTAGAAATGTGTGGCGTTACTAAAAAGGGTCAAAAGGAACCTGATTGGAATGATGGGGCCCCTTTATTGACAAAGACATGTTGCTTTTAAGGTGTTGGCAGTTCTTTTACGGTGGCAAAGTTGTCCTAAAAACAGCCCAAACAGCCCGACCGGGGTATGAGTCAGTGGACATGAGTACAGGATGTCCCTAATGCTATGCCTTCACAGAGTAGGTGCTCAATAAATTGTAGCATTGAAAGCTGTGAGTAGGCTAACAAAACTTATAATAGGTAAGAAAAAAGACTTACGAGATCTCATACATTTTGCATGAGTGTTCCTTAAGAATGGAGGTTGTAAACTCTCTCCAGAGTACATTTCCTTTAAATAAAAAAGGGAGTATTTAGAATTCCTCCTTCTAAGTAATTATTTGGGACACATAGGTTCATTTACGTTAGTGGTTCACAACTAGGAGTAATTTTACCTCCCAGGAGACATTTGGCAATGTCTGGAGATGTTTTTGGTTGTTATAACTAAGGGGGTGCATTGGCTTCTGGAGGGTAGACGCCAGGGGTGCTGCTAACCAGTCAACAATGCACAAGAAAGAATTTTTTTTGCCCAAAATGTCTATAGTGGATTGAGAAAAATCTTATTTACTTTAATGATGATGAAGATGATGAAAGCTCTTTAACACGCATTCAGTCAACAAATAGGACATTTAAAAGTCATCATCTGTAATTTTGGCCACATACGTAACATAGCATTCATGAATTTTCTCTTTCTCTTTTTGGTCAGTAACATGCAATAATAGAGTGACATACGGATGGTGACCTTGTGATGGTGTACCCTTTATGTCCTGAATTAGGCCATCCATCTCTGAAACTCTGCAAGTATAGCATCTTCATGCACTTGGTACCAATGCTGTTGAGACCAGAATGGCAGTAGTCCAGATAGGGGAGAGCAGTGATTTGCCAGCTCCATTTGAGTTTTGAAGTTAACCTAAACATTTATTAAAGACCTCCTCTTTTTCTTATATAAAAAATTAAATAAGTCAAAAGTGCTAATATACAGTACATGTAACTCTGAGGTCATATATTAAAATTTATATTTGTAATAACTTTTTGGAACTTGAATCTTTTCCTGAAATTGGTTTTAAAGGACTTCCAGGCAGTGTATGTAAATTAAAATATTCCCTTCTTAGCTGTCAGATATTGGATTTTGTGTGTTCTGTGGGACCCAATTATATTTATATATCTATCTGATTCAGAAGACCAGTATGGTGCTGTGAAATGTTGCAAAACATGACCTGATGACAACCCAAAACACTTCATAGAAAACTATCCAAGAATGTGACTTCCTGGAGTAGAGTCTTTTTTCACTGAGGGTGAGTTGCTGCTTACTAATCGTTAGTTTTGTTGCCTTCCAATTCTAAGGAATGACTCAGTCATCTCCATGTTTCCCAGACCTGGACTTCCTCATGAAACTTTATTTTTTTAATTGTTTATGTTGCCAGGGCTGGCCTTGCACTCCTGGGCTCAAGTGATGCTCCCACCTCAGCCTCCGCAGTAGCTGGGGTTACAGGTGTGAACCTCTGTACCAGCTGTCTCATTAAAGTTTAAAAGAAATGGGCTGTCTGTCCATTCTGGCTTTGTTCTGGCTGTAGAGCCCAGATGACTGTCTTCTGACCCTTTCCTAAGGTTCTGTACATAAATACGCAGATGAGAGGGGAAGGGGACTCCATTTTTGTTAGATTTTCTTGTATGTTTCAGGCAAAAGTTTTTTATGTCCTGGTTATCTTTAATTCCTCTTTGCCTGTATAGATCGACTTATAACACACTTTGAGACCATGCTAGCAGAATAGTATCTTCTAAAGGTTGGTTGTTTTTTTTCCTATTGTAAAAAATATTAATGTGAATTGCCTTACAAAGATACAGAAAACTGCTATAAAAAAATAGACATCTCCCATAATTCCACTGTTTACCTTTTGATGTGTAATTGTTCAGTTTTTTAAAAAAATGCATATGTGTGTCTATGTATATCCACACATGCACATACCATTTTTAATTGAAAGCACACTGTACTTACTGTTTTATAACTTTTTTCACTTAACATGTAACACATTTTAATAATTAGTACCGAGACCGAAATTATCACATAGAGCTTCTATTTATTGATCTAATAAATGTGTTGGCTCAACCATGGATTGACATAATTTCTTCATAGACTTGTTCAGTGTTTTTTGTCCTCTGTGGTTCAAGTAATGTTCTAAGAATGCTGCCCTCTTGAAAGACTGAGTTCCTATGTGCTGTGAAATTTTGGATTTTGATGAGTTTCTCTGTGATTTAAGGATGAGTCATGATTTGCAGTAGAATATCAAGATGTAGTAACAGGAAGTACAGGGCACTACACATGAAAATAGAATGTTAAATGATGAAGAGAAACCAGGTTAAACTGAAAATATACCTTGAAATTATCCAACTATGAAGGGAGAGGAAGGTGTGTTTTGTACATTTTAACAACTCCTATTACTGTTTCATTTTCTATCAGTGGAGTTTCCAAACTTTGAAGTTGGTGTTTTAAATTGATTTTTAGCTCAAGATTGCTGTTGTTCATAGCCACTTTGAATTGAGGTCATTCAGCCTTTTGATTGAAACCATGGCAGTGAGACCATGAAAACTCTAGTTTTGCCACTTATAGAGCAGCCCCAGTAAATAAAATTAGCTGTGTGTGTGTGTGTGTGTGTGTGTGTGTGTGTGACCTTCTGTGAAATTCTAAATGTCTTCAAAAATGGTAGATTACTCAGTCTTTTAAATAACTATTCTGTGCAGAAATTCAACTCCCCATGGTTCCTGCCTGAAACCAAAATAAAAATTGCCTTTCATCCATTACTGGAGATTTACATATATGTCAGCAGTTTTAAAGTAAACTTTGAACTAGTCATTTCAATAAATTGTGATTTGGTTTGAATTCCCACTAGGAATAAAGTCATTGACTACTTTATTGCTATGTATTAATTTACATTTCCTGGAAAGTACTACTTTTTTCTAAGAATTAAATAAGATTATAACATGGCTTTACTTGTATATTTTTAAAGAAATTTAGACAATGTTATATTAGTGTATTCTAATTTGAATTAGACTGAAATGAATTTACTCACACACTCTAAAACAAGGATCTATTTATGACACATAGTGTCATAAATATGCTTAAAGTTTCTATAGCTAAGAACAATTTCTGAATATCCATGTGTAATATGGGAGTGATGGGATAGGTATAAAACACTTATCTAGATACCTTCTCTTTTTATTTTTTAAATTGATATAAATGTACATATTTATGGGGTACATAGTGATTTTTTACATATATATCATGTATAGTAATTAGATCGAGGTAATTAGATCCATCATCTCAAATGTTTATGATTTATTTGTGTTGGGAACATCCATTATCTTCCTTCTAGTTAATTGAAACTATATAGTATTATAGGCATCCTGCAGTGCTATAGAACACGAGAACTTACTCCTCCTGTTGGAGACCTTCTCTTAAGACTGATGAAGCTAGGGCTCCTGTACTCCAAGCAATAGAGTAAAGAAAACGAGGCTCTTGGTATCTTCCCCTCTCTCTTTTTTTTAAGTTGAGGTATGATTTACATATATTAAAATGCGCAGATCTTAAGTGTTATTGTATACATACATGTAACCCTACCCAAAGAGACAATATTTCCATGTCCCCAAGTGTTTTTTGGCTTATGTATTTAGAGACAGAGCCTGGTTCTGTCACCCAGGCTGGAGTGCACTGGCACTGTCATAGCTCAGTGCAGCCTCAAACTCCAGGGCTCAGGTGATCCTCCTGCCTCAGTCTCCCAAGCAGATAGGACTGCAGGTGTGCACCACCACACCTGGCTAATTTTTTTTTTCTTTTTGAGACAGTGTCTGGCTCTGTTGCCCAGGCTGGAGTGCAGTGGTGCAAGCTTGGCGCACTGCAACCTCCGCCTCCTGTGTCTAAGCAATTCTCATGCCTCAGCCTCCCAAGTAGCTGGTATCATAGGCATATGCCACCATGCCTGGCTAATTTTTGTATTTTTAATAGAGACGGGCTTTTGCCATATTGGCCAGGCTGGTCTCAAACTCCTGGCCTCAAGAGATCTGCCTGTCTCCACCTCCAAAGGGCTGGGATTAACAGGAGTGAGCCACCATGCCTGGCCTCTGGCTAATTTTTTTATTTTTTGTAGAAATGGGGTCTCATTATCCCTGGCCATTTACAAAATTCTGTTACGGCAATTTCATGATTCTACCATATAGATTCTTAAACTTCAGAATACCTTGATAAAATATTGTGGTATTTTATTTAATCTGCTTAGTTAAAAATAAATCAGAATGTGTAGATTTCCTCATCATACAGTAAGAGGAAAAAGAAAAATCCTTTCTGTATTACCTGATATCCGCAAAATATTTAACCAAAAGTAATATGTGTGCTTTAGGAAAAATGTATTACCTGAAGACTAATTGGGATGAGAGGATATTAGTAAATCTTCCCAGACCTCAGTTTCTTTAGCCTGATGGTAAAGTAGTTGAAGTGGAGGCTGGGTGCAGTGGCTCACATGTGTCATCCCAGCATTTTGGGAGGCTGAAGCAGGCAGATCACTTGAGCCCAGGAGTCTGAGATCAACCTGGGCAACATAGTGAGACCCCATCTCTGCCAAAAATTAGCTAGACGTGGTGGTGCGTGCCAGTAGTCCCAGCTACCCGGGAGGTCAAGGCTGCAGTGAACCATGATTGCGCCACTACACTCCAGCCTGGGTAACAGAGTGAAACCCTGTCTCAAAAAAAAAAAAAAAAAAAAAAGGGATTGAAGTGGAGAAGCTGAGATATACTCCCTTTCAAGTCGGAAGCCCTATTTGTGTACTGCTATATTTGGAGGAAAGGTCTTGACTCCTAAGAGTTGTGAAAGTGTGATATGAACTTCTTGCTGTCATCTCCAGACATCTGACTTATAGACATATGCAGGAATTTAAACAAACAGCTATTTTGTGGTGGAAAAGGGGGATCTCCATAAGTTTCCCCTTGAATTCCATTTTGGCCCCTTATTGAATAAGGAACACTCCAGTGGAAGGCCAGTATTAGCTGCCATGCTTCCTTTCCTCCTAGTCTTTTGAGGTTTGTGACAGGCAGCACTGATTTCTAATGACCCACAGCCACCTCATTCTTGGGGACATCAGTGACTGTCTGAGTTGGTGCTCTGTAGCACCAGATAAGAGTTTGGTCACCTGGTGAAATTCCTCCTCCTTCCTTCTGATAGTCTTTGAAAGTGCTGTCTGCCCCCACTGCTGTATCTTGAGGGTTCTTACATTCCTCTGCACCCGCTCTGATCCCTTCTCTCCCCAGGAGCTAGAACAATCCTTTCAAAACACAGATCTGACCAGGTCATTCTTCTACTGAAAAATCTTCTAGTGACTTCAGCTTAGGATAAAGACCAAAACCCCTAACTCAAGCTGCAAGATGTGATTTGGGCCAGCAAACTGACTTTTCCTCAGTTCCTCAAATGCTTAAGGTGTCCTCTGCCCTCTGTCCACTGGGTCTTTGTCAATACTGACAGAATTTTCCCCCCGACCCCTCTATTTTTCAGACTCCATGCCTAACCAATTTGTAGGCGTCTTTTAGTTCACACTCAGCTCCACCATGTTTTATTGGGGAAGCCTTTCCTGTCACCTAGAGTAGATCTCCCTCAGTCATCTGCTCCTGGCCTTCAGAGCCCTTACCACAAGCTTTTTTTTTTTTTTTTTTTGAGAGATGGAGTCTTAGCCTGTTGCCCAGGCTGGAGTGCAGTGGCACCATCTTGGGTCACTGCAACCTCCACCATGTGGGTTCAAGAGATTCTACTGCCTCAACCTCCCAAGTAGCTGGAATTACAGGCTTGTGCCACCACACCTTGCTAATTTTTGTGTTTTTATTAGAGACAGGGTTTCGCCATGTTGGCCAGGCTGATCTCAAACTCCTGGCCTCAACTGATCCGCCTGCCTCGGCCTCCCAAAGTGCTGGGATTACAAGTGTGAGCCACCATGCCTGGCCACCACAGGCTTTATTTACAGGTTGCCTCATTACCTGAATTCTCTCTCTCCAAATTCTTGTTACCCAAACACAGGAACATGAGATGGAGTCTCGCTCCGTCGCCCAGTCTGGAGTGCAGTGATCTCAGCTCACTGCAACCTCTGCCTCCTGGGTTCAAGTGATTCTTCTGCCTCAGCCTCCCAAGTAGCTGGGACTACAGGCATGCGCCACCCCACCTGGCTAATTTTTGTATTTTTAGTAGAGACGGGGTTTCACCATGCTGGCCAGGCTGGTCTCGAACTCCTGACCTCGTGATCCACCCGCCTCAGCTTCCCAAAGTGCTGGGATTACAGGCATGAGCCACCATACCTGGCCAGGAACTAGACAGTTTTAGAGACATCTTTCTGAAATAGGGCTGGTGCCCCTCATTATTCATTAATGCTATTTTCTCCAAAACCCGGGAACCAAATAGATGTGATAGCATGGCATCCCTCATGATCTGAAGTTACTGTCCGTAACTGCGGTCCCATTCGATTTGGATATTGGGGGATGCCTGCACGTGTCTGTGTCATGTGCTGCATGTCTGCGGTGCCATCAGTCTGTGAGCTCCCTCTGGGCCTGCGTCCGTTTTTCTCATCCTTTGTATTATCTCAGCACTTTGTACAATACCTGGCACTCAATGAATTAAAAATAATCTGAAGCGGGGGTTGGGGGGAGCTTGTCAATATAGCCCCACCTTGTTTTGCCCTTGGACTTGATAAAGCCGTTTGTTGCTATGCATATGTCCATCTCTTTTCTAGACAATGAGTTACTTGGATGAATAGGCAGATCTCTTGGTTAAACCATAAAGACAGGCTGGGCGCGGTGGCTCACATCTGTAATCCCAGCACTTTGAGAGGCCGAGGCGGGCAGATCACTTGAGGTTAGAAGTTCGATACCAGCCTGGCCAACATGGTGAAACCCAATCTCTACTAAAAATACAAAAATTAGCCGAGTGTGGTGGCGCATGCCTGTAATCCTAGCTACTTGGGAGGCTGAGGCAGGAGAATCGCTTGAACCCGGGCGGTGAAGCTTTCAGTGAGCCGAGATTGTGCCATTACACTCCAGCCTGGGCAACAGAGCGAGACTGTGTCTCAAAATGAAAACCCATAAAGACAGCCAAAAAGCTCCTCTATGCCACTTCCCATACTTCTTGTTTAGACTTGCAAGAAAAGTGGATATATAGAAATGAGGTTAGTTTGCTAGTATCCTGGAGGACAGGGTTTGGCTCTATTGTTGGTATCAGTGTTACTATACTGAGAGTGGTCGGTTAACAGTAAAGTTATTCGTGGGATAGGATATGTTGAAAGAATCTCAATGTAAAGTTTTTTTTTTTATAGAATTAATCATTGTAGAGCAACCATCATTAGTCCTTTATTAAAGACTTCAGTTGATCAGGTTTTCGTAGTTCCCTTGGATAACCAGTTTTTAATCCTGTAAGATCCACAGTTCAGGGTCCTTCTTTACTTATAGAAAACCTGTGTGTGTAGCTTCCATCTATACCTTTTTGAAATTAATGATGTTTCTGATTGAGTTTGGAAATAACAAAAGATTCTGCTTACGTGATTATGAAGACTTGATTGACTAAACACCCAAACGGGGGAGGACTAGGTCTCCTAATAAATTTCAGCTGGGTTTTGCCAAGGAGCAATTTGTTGATAGGTCAAACCTTGACTAAGCGGAATGTATGATTAAGGAGATTTTTCTCCTTGCACGTAATTGTCAGAATAGAGAGATTACATCAACAACAGCAGCAGCAGCAGCAACATCAAAATAAGCCCGAAATTATTCTAGGGTAGCTGCAGGAATTCTCTGTGGGAATCAACAGTAGGAGTTCTCCTCTGCTTGCACCTGTAGGTTGTCATCATCCTCAGAGTTAATGATCCTGAGGCTCAGGAAGATCATACTATTCTATTAAGCCAGAAAAGGAGGTGTAAATGTTAGAATGATTCCCTAACACTAAAAGTTAACAATATTTCTCTGGTTAACGCTCATTGAACTGGAAATGTCACTTCCCCTCTTCATCCCCTTATTGGAGTTTGGAAGGCTCGCCTTTAGAGGCTCAGATGCAAATCCTTGTTGGAGTTGATTCACAGATGAAAGGGCTATGCCCTGGAAGGTGAGGAGTGTGTATGCGCCTTTACGGATGTGGGCTGCAAGAGGGAGGTCTGTGTCTGAGAGAATGGGACAATAGGTGACTTCAGTTGGTGCTGCTCCTCTTTGCAGAGTCACTACCCATGTAGGATTGAAGCCCTGGTTCTGTGAGAGGGTAGGAGCATAAGTGAATGTTTACTAACCGTCTCCACCCTTGAAGAATCATTGTTTCACAACGAGAAGTCAGGAGAGAACCTAGATTTATTACAGAATTTGCAGGAAAGAAGAAAGCATAGATTCCTGATCACCTCAGCACATCCCATTATGAACATACAGAGAGGGGACCAAACCATTTAGTATTATCTTTGGGACTGTGTGTGAGGTGCAGTACCTCAGTTTCCTTGTATGATCTTGAAACCCTCTGGCAACTAGAATTCGTGAGCACTGGGAGGCAATTTATTTCTGCTAACATTCCTGTAGATTTTTTCAAGCCCCAGCTACTGATCATTTAGACCAGAGGGCATTGGATGGTTTCTTTTCTTTTTTTCTTTTAGAGACAGCATCTTGCTCTGTCACCCAGGCCGGAGTGCAGTGGCACAATCATAGCTCACTGCAGCCTCGAGCTCCTGGGCTCACATGATCTTCCCACCTCAGCCTCCCTCTGTAATCCACTGGGATTACAGGCTTGAGCCACTACACCCAGCTCTTCTTTTCTTTTTTGAAAAAGCAGTTTAGAACAAATGCCTTGAAATGCTCCAAGTGACACCCGAGTGAGGGTTAGAACTGATTAAACTCCGGGCAGAGAGATGTTATCATATCTTTGCTGCATGCATAGCCCAGTGCAAAAATGCCCATAGATGGACTGACTTCATCTTAGATAGTTGAGGCAAAAACAGAAGAGCCAGTCAGCCACTTGGCGTTTCTGTCCTCACTTAATTCACCCCTTTAGTTGCTGTACCATTAATTCTCGATGCTGGATTGGTGACAAATGAAGTAATCTGAAGAGTGTTAAAATTTTCTTTAAGTGTATTACTTTAATGACAAAACTATATGCTGCTTGAAGGCATCTTGAATCAGATGACCCAAGTGTACTGTGAATTCTCAAAGGATTGGGGGTCACGGCTCTCAAATAAGCTCGTTGCCCTGCTTTGATTTCAATCAGAGCTGAACCACAAGAACAGCATCTTCCTTCAGCCTCTGCCACATCCTTTGTGTGTTTTTTTTAAACCTAAATATTAAAGCCTAGTAGTTTGTCTTTCAGAAAGGAGAAACTTTAAAACCTTGATGTAGATCAGACGTGCACCAGATGATTCAAATATTTTACCTAATGAAAGGGGCAATTTTCTTTTTCTTTCTCTTCTTTCTCTTTCCCTTTTATTTATTTATTTTTTTTTTTGAGACAGAGTCTCACTCTGTTGTCCAGGCTGGAGCGCAGTGGCGCGATCTCGGCTCACCACAACTTCCGCCTCCCAGGTTAAAGCGATTCTCCTGCCTCAGCCTCCCAAGCAGCTGGAACTATAGGTGTGCGCCACCATGCCCAGCTAATTTTTGTATTTTTAGTAGAGATGTTGGCCAGGCTGGTCTTGAACACCTCACCTCGTGATCTGCCTGCCTTGGCCTCCCAAAGTGCAGGGATGACAGGTGTGAGCCACGATTTTCTTTCACAAGGGAAAAAAAAGATCCTCTAAAGCAGGATCTGGCTGTTATTTTGTACAGTTAATATATTCACGCTGAACAATTATTGGAAGAGCAGGTAGAGTAATAAGTTGTATATGACATTTCAAAAAGGGACTGCCCAAGCCAGTGGATGGCAGATGCCCATGTGGGAATTAAGGGCAGCGAGGATGCTTTGGGGTACAGATTGATGTTTGATGTTAATGCCACCAACAGCCAGTCTCTTCCATCAGATGCTTTTGGTGGTCTTTGCATAACACCATTCTCTGGACATGAATGAATGAACGGTTGGTCTGCCCCTCGATGACAGTTTTAATGTTATTTTGCTCATTTATTCAGTGCATCTTGATGGTTAATTTAAAAATCTATTTGAAATATGAGGCATTATGAGAAGACTGTTAAGTTTTGAAATCACTCACTGTCTTATTTTTGCAAGTTTTGGAAATAACAGTACCCACCAGGAACACCAAGCTGTTTTAAAATGTGTTCCACTTACAGTTGTTTGTCTACAAGTCGGGTTTGGTTTAAACAGACATTGAATGAGAGGTGAGAGGGCTGTGCTTGTACTTTTACCTTAACACCACTGTGTTTTTACTTCCTGTTAAAATTAACTTTATTAGAGGTGCTGTATACTTAGAATCCCTCTGCATTTGGCACCATAACCATCATATGCAGCTAGACTTGATGTCCATTGTACAAAAATGTGAGCGAGACATAGGCATGTGGGGAGGGTAAAGCTATTCAAGGGCTAGTGACTACCTTTGTGACTTCAGATGCAGTTAAAATCCCACACACATGTCCACCACATGAGCAGGTGATGATATGTTGAAGACTGCAGAGTCACTGTTTTTTATAGTTCTCTTCCAAAGCGAATGTATTACCATACCAGATTTATGTATAAATGTTTATGCCTGGAATTTGCATTTCCTAAACCATGAAAGAGTTTTGTTGAGAAGAGCACGAAGGAAAAACAGTGAAACTAACCAGTTCCTTGCTTCAGGAACCACCTCTGTAAGGCAGCTCTTTGTGCTTCTCAAAAACCTCTAAAGATGTTGATGGTGATCCCTCGGTCATGAATACCAGTAACTCATAACCATTTTTGCAAGAATACTGTATAGAGTGGGACCCAAAGACTGGGTAATGTCAGTATTATCCAACTAAACCTTGACATGTTTTGGCAAATGTTAAACTTCAGAAAAAGAAAGAAAAGATGAATAATGCAATTAACCCTTTGTATAATAAATTATCAGCAATTCAAATATGCTGTAAAGTGTTAACACTGATTGTATCCTCTAAATAGTGTCTAGCTCAGCCAACTGTTATCCTTTGCCATATCTGTGTACCATTTAAAAGAGGGATTAAAAATAGTTTCAGTGGATTTACTCTACGAAGGGAGAAAGGTAACTTTTCCAGGTAGGCTGATGTTAGAGGGCAGTTTTTTGTTTTTTGTTTTTTTTTGAGACAGAGTCTCGCTCTGTTGCCATGTTGGAGTGCAGTGGCATGATCTTGGCTCACTGTAACCTCCGCCTCCCAGCTCCTAGCGATTCTCCTGCCTCAGCCTCCTGAGTAGTTGGGATTATAGGCGCCCGCCACCACTCCCACCTAAGTTTTGTATTTTCAGTAGAGACGGGGTTTCGCCATGTTGGCCAGGCTGGTCTGGAACTCCTGACCTCAGGTGATCCACCCACCCCGGCCTCCCAAATTGCTGGGATTACAGGCGTTAGCCACTGCACCCAGCCAGAGGGCAGGTTTTTTTAGTGACTTAACCATCCAGAAATGATTAAGTTTACTTTGTTATTTTAAATTCTATAGAGAAGATAAGAAAGTTCCCAGTTTTCCTGAGAAGAGCATGCAATGGCGTCTCTCCTTCTCCAGGCCACTGCCAGGGCTTTCTGTGAAGGAGCTGGAAGGGAGAGGGTCAAGAGTTCTTGTTGCTTCATCCAGTTCCCAAGAAAATTATAGCCTGATGTGTCATGCATTGTGAGAAGCAGGCACTGGTGAGGAGAGACGAGTTTTGGTGGAGGCAGTAAATGAAGTGCAACCAGATTTAAATGACCTCCAAGGAGCCTATGAGATGCACTGTGGCCTTGGTAGGACAGGGGAGCAGAAGTCATGCTCACACCAGAGGGAGTTTTGCAGGGACTGGAGAAAGGAGCTGCAAGGGGAGGAAGAGGCTCTATAACTCTCTCCAAGATAGAACCAGGGAGGTAGAATGGCTGTGCAGATGTTGGAGGTCCCGGGCCAGGTGCAGCTGGGCCAGGGAAAGGGGAAGGTGCACAGATGGTTGGGCACCTCTCTGCCAGGAAACACTCATTGCTGCATCAGGACTGGGGTGCCCAGCACAGCTGTGCAGACTTCCCGGTCCCCAGGATCCCTTGGGGATCCTTCTGAGAGGAAGGGGTGATGTCACAGCCCACACCTGACCCCACCTGGGACCCCTTCCTCCCCAGGGTTGCACCATCCTTCCTGACCCTGCCGTGGTGCAGCGTGTGTGCACACGTGCAAAACAGAGACAGGGCAGACGTGATGTTAAAGGCCATTTGTAAGCACAACAGATTGCAGGATGCCATCGATGCAAAAAGAGTTTGAGAGAGGAGCTAACACATGAGATTTTCTTTTATTAAACATATTTTATCTTGCTTTTTTTTTTGTAATGTTTCCACTGGGTGGTGCTGCAGGAATTCCTACCTTTTGCCTTGGATCTACCCTTCCCAGAAAGACGCCTCTAAAGCATAATAGGAGGAAGTCCTGATTTAGAAAGATTTTACAGTTTCAACACAATAGAAGAGTTGGAGGATGCTCTGGCAGGAAATGTTTCAGTTTCTGGATGTGGAAAAACCGCCATCATTTTGTATCCATGCAAAAAGGTTCTCATTGCACTGGGTAAATACTTTCGACTTTCATCAGCTTCTTCTTTAGCACAGAAAATCTTTCAAGTTTATCAGAAAGATTAGGGTTTCATTCTAGTGGAAGTGGTCTGTAAGATTTCCTTTATTTTGATTTTTGTAACACCATCTTAAAGTAAGTAAATAAACATTTTCTTACATTGACAACCATAGATTTAAGAAAATACTTCTGTCAAGGCTGTCTTTAAAGCTGAAGACATTGTTCCATCCTTATTATAAAGATCATTTATACAGTGTACTGATCAAAAGGATTACATATTTTTACTTTCAAATACTTTCAAGAAGTCTTTTAGTTTGATAGTATGTAAAGGATAAGACTGACTTTACCCCTTCTACAGAGGAGAAGGTTGAAATACAGAAGTTAACATCCCTGCTGTAGCTCACACGACTTTTTCTCCTTTTTTTTTTTTTTCCTACATTTGACCAAGGCACAGAAGATCACACAACTTTTTAAGGTTTTGGCTGCAATGAGGATTTGTTTATCTTGACCTCCCCCAACTTTTTTTCTGTTGTACACAGGATTGAATTGTATTGATATTAATAGTACAAAAATTTGGGGAAAAGATTTTCCATTCAAGCAAAGGCCTCTGAAACATAAGAATCAAAAGTA